>NC_000004.12:106421381-107046381 GCF_000001405.40 Homo sapiens | reverse complement strand
TCTCCTAATTTTCTCTTTCCCATCTTATATTTATCCTAAAGCATTATATGTTGCTTTTTTGTTCTTTCCAGTTTAATCTTCATTCTGAAATGATTTTTCTTCTTACATCACTTCTTCAAATCCTTTTTTCTTGAAACATGATTGGAAATTTTCTAGTTCTGATTTATAATGTTCTTTCATTGTTTACATATATTTCTTAAAAATTGTAGCATATTTTGAATATTAAGTTACTGTTTATATGTATTCTCTGACATTGCTTTATAGCTTGCTTCTATTGATGCTATTTTGTCCTTGTTTTCTTTTTTGTCATATTAGATATACACATGATTGGACCACAGTCTCGTTTGGTTACCAGGTTTAAGGCAAATAAGTTTTCCTTTGCTATCAGAGAGATGGTTGGGCCAGAATAACTTTTCTAGTTTCATTGTTCTTGGCACCCCCTCTTCTATTGTTTTTATGAGGTGATGCTTAAAATGGTGTCACATTTTTGAGATCTGCTTCCTCTCCATCCTGACTTTCATTTAGAATTTTTTCTTTTGTCCCTAATTTCTTAGCCTGCTCAATTTGGATTCTACTCCAAACAATTTCTCCTCACCAGGGGCTTTGATCCTGGAATTAGGGCCTGCAGAATCCATTTTCTTCTGATTTTGTCTACTATTTTCAGATTGGCTGTGCTCTTTCCAATGAGGATCTGTTGGAAATTTGAGGATTCTCTTGTTCTCAGAGCTCCATTGCTTTCCCTCAAACTTCCTTTTTTTTTTAAATGGAGTCTCACTCTGTCACCCAGGCTGGAGAGTGCAGTGGCATGATGTTGGCTCACTGCAACCCTCCACTTCCTGGGTTTGAGTGATTCTCCTGCCTCAGCCTCCCAAGCAGCTGGGATTACAGGCGCCCGCCACCACACTCTGCTAATTTTTTTTTTTTTTGTATTTTTAGTAGAGACGGGATTTCACCTTGTTGGCCAGGCTGGTTTTGAACTCATGACCTAAAGTGATCTGCCTGCCTTGGCCTCCCAAAGTGCTAGGATTACATGCCTAAGCTACCGCACCCAGCCCAAACTTCCTTTTTTATAGTAACTGATATTATGTGGGCCTTGTAATTATTGGGAATTAGGCTTACTCACCTTGTCACCTAATTTTACTCTAGATGTGTGTGTGTGTGTGTGTGTGTGTGTGTGTGTGTGTGTGTGGTGTGTGCTCGTATGTGCATTTTGGGGAATTGTTATCCTCATCTCTTTTTCTGGTTTTACATAGCACCGCATGAGTTAGAAAAACTATGCCATCATGTATTCCCAGATTCTACCTTCAAATTTTTACCTATGAAAATTTTGAATAACATCCTCACCTCCTACCATTGTTTTGGGTCTGCTTTATTTGATGGTTTATTTCAAGCGGTGGAACAAGGTGTAAATTCGGGATAATGTGATTGAAGAAAGAAACAGCTTGCTGAAGTAATTTTTGAAAGAACAAAGACAAAACATTGCTAACATCGTTAGCGTAGTAGGCAGTACAGCAACTAAAGGAAGGTAAAGATGGAAGTCCTTGGATTTTGTTGCATTTTTTTCAGGTAGTGAGAGAAAGACAGATAATAAAGTGGTAGTAAGTAAGATGAAAAAGGTGCTGTTAATTTCCAATGCATTCTGCACAGTCATGAGACCATTTACAAAGTTGCCTACCTGCCTCTGTTTCTGAGTAGTTTGGAAGAGCTTTTACAATGCTACATGGGCAACATCTGCATATGCCTTGGCATAGGAAAATCGTTCCTTTTCTATGAAGTTAGATAAGAGAAAACCTTCTGAATGTTTTTTTAGTTCAGTCAATCTAATATTTGAAGAGTGTTGCAAACTTTTCATGAGAGGAATAGATGCATTTATTTATCAGTTCTCCTCTATTTAATAACACTGGTATAGGAAAGGCCATTAAACACTTTTCTCCAGAAAAATTACTTTGTAATAATCTCTGGCTCATCTCTCTTACCATGACAAGTGTCCATTACTGCCCTCTGCTGCATGAACTTGGACCTCTCAGTATTTCCGACTAATAATCACTATAAGATCACTACTTAAAACAAACAATAATAACCATTACTAACCATTAACAGGAATTCTTTTGTTGTCAGAGAATAATACCATGATGGGTTGTCTTTTCCATCCCCCACATATAAAGATTTACTTAGAGGCATTCCTTAGAATGATTTCCTTAGAGACATTTTTAACATTAAATAGTCCCTGAAACAGAAAATTGGGTATGATTGTGTCAGCTATATTCAGGAAGTGTTTCACAAGTGAGTGACAGATATCATCATACAAATTAATTTAAAATCAGCCATCTTAGGCAGTATCTACACTTGGCTAAAGAGAATGAAGAGTTTGGACTATAACATGTATAACTTTTGGTTAGAACTTGCAGCTGGGGGCTTTTCTAATGAATTACCTTCTAAAATTATGCTAACATATAGGAGGAACACGAAGTAATTTAGTGAATTTGGAAGTTGTATTTAGAAGGCTGGAAATTAGCTTACCTTTTCATGTTAAAAAGAGCCCCAGTTTATAGCTATAGTCCATATATTCCTGGCCTCAGTGGTAGCTACCTCCAGTGTTAAGTGGTGGGGTGAGGTACATTGAATATTATAAAACAAAAAGATGGTTTTAAACTTTCAGTACTTCTGTTAATACTGAGCATATTTATACAATACATTTTGATATATAAAAGGCAAATTGATCAAAGGTTTGAGAGTTTCATTTTATTATTAATTTAAAAATACAACATTGATTGGCATTGGAGGACAAGGCTAACCCAACAATTTCAACTGTAACATATAAACAGCTGTTATGTTCTTGGAGATATTGATTGTTCTTTGATATATACAAATGTTCACATACATTCTTGACAATAACAACCAAAATACATTTTATAAATTTCAGAAAAAAACAACAAAAAGCTAAAGTAAATTTGAGCTTATTCCAAATCAGATTTCTTAATAACTTAAAGACTAAGTGGTCAAGTGCACTTATATTAAAAGTGATTTCATTACCAGTTTCAATGAAATTAGATATCCCCTCTGTTTTCACATATTTAGCACTGCCTTGAATTAATTAAAGGTACTGTGATTCCAAGGAACTATTAACTTTCTGAGTAAATTAAACAAATCAAATTAAATAAATGGACAAATTAAGTTAGTAACAGAACAACTTGCTGATTGCTAGATCACTGTAGTTTTGTTTGCTGCTTCCTTTTCCTTTGATCTACCATGATTTCACTTTTCTATCATGTACTGATATGTTTTATTGTTTCCATCTTTCATTAACCAGGCATTTATAAAAAATGTAGAAATGACTTTATCTTCTTGGCAAATTGCTTGCATTCTCTCTTTTCCTTTTCAGGGCCCCAGTGGAATATTGACAATCACAGTCAGACTCAGTTGGCTGATTTCTAATTTAGCCATAAGTCACACAAAAAGAGAAGGTGAAAAAATGAATATCATTAACACAGATCCAGAAATAAAATGGTAATAAAAATATTTAAATAATGTTTTCAAAATAAACATATAACACAGTTCTCCTTTGAGTTTAGGAACTCTGAGAAACTGCTGTATGTCTTGTGTACAGAAATGTTACTCTTTTCCCAAGTGTTTTAATATGCAACTACATGTATAAATCTATCTGTTATGAGCTGAATTTTGCCCCACGCCCTGCTGCCAAGTTCATATGTTGAAGCCCTAAGTCCTACTACTTCAAAATGTAACCACATTTGGAGATGAGTTCTTTAAAGAGGCAATTAAATTAAAATGAAATTAGGGTAGGTCCTAATCCAATATGACTGGTTTCTTTATAAGAAGAGGAAATTTGAACACAGACGTAGGGATGACCACAGGAGGACACGGTGAGAAAGTGGTGATCTGTGAGACAAGGAGAGCAGCCTCAGAGGAGCCCAAACCTACCAACACCTCGATCTTAGACTTGTGGCCTCCTAAATGGTAAGGAAATGCATTTCTGTTGTTTCAGCCACTAAATCTGTATCATTTTGTTATGGAATCCCTAGAAATCTAATATGCCATCTGTAGCAGAGGGCCTTTTTAAGTTCTCTGCTATATGATTTTTAAGGCCCAAGAGTTTTACTATATTAGGCAAAGCTTCAATACATGTAGTCATGTACTTATATTTTTGGTGTTCTTTGCAACCGTTTACCAAATGACTTATTTTAGCTCCTTCAGAGGAATCTGTGTTGGGGCCTGCTACAAGGGTGAAATGGCACCTCCAATTTCTTCTGATGGGTTCCCCTTTTCTTGTGTGCCTTCCACATTATTGCCATAACTGGGCATTCGTTACTACAAATGGAGACACACTGTGCTGCAAGCTACTCTTTGCTCAGTATTATTTTAATATTGGACTGTACATTCATTGTCTTAAAGGGATGAATTGTGGGATACAAATAAGAGACACTATATGTAAAGTGTTCAACAAACCTGGCACATGTAAGGCATTCAATAAATCTGACTATTATTATTACTTTTATTATTGCTGTATATTCTAAGCCAGTTACCTATAAAATTCCTTAAGCTGACTGCAGCATAGTGTCTTGACTTTCTTATATCCCAAACTATTTTTGAGCCTAGGTATTATGATTTATACCTAGAGCATCAAAAAGTAGGATCTATTACAAATGAATCTTCCAAAGATAAACTAAGCACATTTTTCATTTTCTGTTACCAAGCCCAGTTATGTTTCAAAGACAGATTTTTGAGTTGCCTCTTGAGAATCTATGTCTTTATTATTTGCAAGTAGTTTTTCCATTATTTTTAGTCTGCACCACAGTTTATTTTATGTGTGGTAAGAGTATAGTTAAAGTTTTGCCATATTCATTAATCATAGGTTCAGATAATTGATCAGGAATAAACACATTGTACAATGAATGGATTAGCTACCCTGCCTTTTCATTTTTAATGTTCCCTACTTTAAATGACCAAATCATTTCTGACTAAATAAATTGCCATATTTTTAATAGTTTCCCCATTTGAGTAATGTTCATTTTGGAAATTGTCTGTAATACTAACAGGGTAGAAATCAATCCATCATGTATTTGGTGGGTTGACGGCTCACAGAGTATTTTGTCCAATAAAACAATAACAAAAACAGGCACTTAAAATTTATCTTTGATCCAAGAGCTGGACACCTCTCCTCTGAAATATTATAAAAATTAGCACAGTTCTCAACTTACTTTGAGACCACTGCAGAACCCTAGAGACCCGAAAGGAACAGAGTCTGAAAATCACTGGTCCAGATTATCTAAATGTTGTTTGTTTTGTTGCTCATCAAGATGAGATTCCTTGGAATTGAACCTCACTCAAGAATTAAACATATGATTCTTTCACTGCCAAGTATTACTTGGTACTTTAGTACTGATTCAAAAGCTGAATCTTGAAAAAACCTGCCAGAACTCAGCAGTGAGAACTTACCAAAAAGGATATGCATTGTACAGAACTAACAAAAATTTTATATCGTAAAGGAAAATGTTTCTTATTAAACATTTGATGACTTTTTCTAATTCCACCTCCATCTATGGTCACATATATGCACAAGGCTCAGCAGAAGTTTTTATCTGCCTGAGTTTCAGATTATGTTATTTGCATTTTTTTTATTGTTTGGGTTCAGGCTCAAGGGGTAATATCTGTTCAGTAATCCTCTTTCATTTAAGTGGCAGGTGAAGTATGGATAAGATGACTAACTCGTTAAGGTTCGAAAAAGAAGCCGTTGGCTGAGCAATTGTTTCAGATTGATTTACTGTGAAATCTTCTGACCCATTTCACTTGTGCATGTTTTTGTAAGCATAGCTAGTGAATCAAATGTAGGTGATGAGATCTTTTTTATTAGCTGGTCCTGTTGTCCATGAGACCTTATCAAGATAGCATCAACAACTGAAACTAATGCAGGGATCAAATAGGAGATGCAATTTTTTCATATCTGGTATGAAAATTATTCCCATCAAGAAACACAAAAAATTTTCACAATATCAATGCAAGCTTACATTTGTTACCAGGTATTTAGAATTAATTTGCAGCAACACATAAGACTGTTGTTCTTAGGCAGAGGAGAAACATAAAACTCTCAAAGTATGAGTATTACTAGGCTACAGAGCCAGGTAGCTTGGTTTACTATGGAGAGGGAAAACCCATATAACCTTATTTTTCAGATCCTTAACATCCATCAAGTTTCAACCATACATTAAAGATTTTCATGTCTATTCTGTGTGTGCAAGATGCTTTGCGGTCCTGTGGGACCTACCAAAGACAATCTTACTTCCCAGGTTTGCTATTCTGTTCTTATTGACCTAACATGACCATCACTAGGGTCATTTCTTTGGGTTCAACGACAAATGTAGAAGTATTGTCTCTATGTACACCATTAAAATGTGCATTTAATTCTGAAGGAAAAAAAGAACTCTGGGGGACATATCTGATCACTTATATTCCCATAGTCACATGAATTCAAGCCAGCTTGGCTTGAATTCAAGTTGCAGCTATCCTGTGACAGATTGAACTCTGAGACTGGCATAATTCAGCAGTGGATGAGAATAAAGGCTCACAGCAGCAACTTCTGAGAGGGGCTAGGAGCAGATTTTAGTATATTAAGGTGTCTACAGAGCTCCAAGCCCCTTTAGAGGCAAGACCCCCATTCATTCACCTCTGTGTCCTCAGGGCCCCATACTTGCTTCACGTACGGGGAATGCATGAACAACTGCTAAAAAGGCTATTGTAGGAAATATTCACTAATGCAGGGAGAGAGGTAATGGGATGAAAATTAGTAAGCTTCAGTAAACAAGACTAAGGTAACAAGTTATATACTTAACTTACCTTTGGGATTAAGTATTCAGAAGGAATCCAGGATCCAGAAACAACTGCTGAGAAAGTAGTGGCTTTTCTATGGAACCAAAATGGCCCCACAGCTAGAGGAGCAAAGATAAGAGGGAATGTATGGCCAAAGGAAAAAATGTCCATTAAGGCACTTTCTTCTGGACAGGAAGGTTGTACATCCTGCTTTTGTACAGTCTTGTTTTTAAATATCTACTCTCTAATTATATTATTGCAAATGGCATAAAAATCTACTTTCCCAAGTAAAATATGAAGCTTTTGTCTTTACACTTAGGAAAACACACACAGGAAAAACACATATGGGGCCATGACAGTAATCCACAGGATTATGTTTATTTACAGTTAGTTGATTTTGTGTGTGCATATCTACTTGTCAACATATGGGTCATGTATGTTTGTTTCTGTCTGTCAAAAAAAATTTACACAAAGCATTTGGGTCATGAATGAAATTAGTTTTTGACTGCTTTTTAGCCTAAGGCGTAATTGTGTATGTTTTAGCTTTTGATTCTATATGTCTGATTTTGTTCTATATGGAAGAATGTTTGTGTAAGTAGATTTTATGTCGACTTTTAATTTAACTGTATTTGTAAAAAATTGCTTTTGGAACTTGCGGGGTTTGAATAAGCCTCTGAGATAATGTGTTTAGGATGGTACTCAGAGCTGAGAGTAAATGTGTTGTGCTTGATATATGTTTTCTGTTTAGCAGTACATGTGAGTAAAGTTAGGCCTGTGTATGTGGGATATTATTTTATTTAGAGGTAAAGAAAGAAGGAAGTGACAGAAATAGGCAAAGCATCTTCACATTTTCTCATGGTTCATTTGGGTTTGTTCTTCAACATATGGTCAAAGTCTACACCCTTCCAAGTGAATGTAGAGTGATCTGTTGCCTACATGTTTAGCTTCTATCTTTTCCTTTTGCTCTAAGCTACTTTTCAAAAATATTTAAACCAGTATACTCCTAACTTAAGTTTCTCAATTTCTGTCATGCTTTCTGATTGGCAAATCAGAATGAAGGCAAAAGATATACTCTTCTGTAAAGTCTAAGCTTGGAATCGTTAAGTACTTATTTATAGAGTAACGACCCATTTCCTTGCCTTTTATTAGTGCCTAGAATGCCTCACTTAACTTTATAAACTTACAAATTTATTACTGGGCATATATAGATGTTAAATGTTCTTACTACAATCATGTTATATGTATAAATACATATATATATTATACATGTATATAAAGTCACACACATATAAAATTTATATCTATATAGCATGAGATCTACCTTCTCAATAAGTTTTTAAAAATACAATGCATTATTGTTGGCTATAGGTACAATACCATATGACAAATCTCTAGAGTTTATTCATCTTAGTTAACTGAAACTTTATGATCATTGATATAGTAACTCCCCATTCTCCTCTCCTTCCAATTCCTGGTAACCATCATTCCAACCTTTGATTCTATGCATTTAACTATTTTAGGTACCTCCTATAAGTGGATTTGTCTTTCTGTGATTGGTCGAGTTCACTTAGTATGATGTCCTTCAGGGGTCACCCATATTGTTATTCCTGGCATATTTTTAAAAAGTGGAAAAAAAACCCCACACACTAAAATGTGAAAAATCTCTACCTTAAAGAAAGGAAATTCAAAAGATAAGAACACATGCCAGAGGGTGCATATTTTAATCCCCGTTTCCTTGTGTATTAAAAAAAAAATCTGAAAATGAAGAATTTCAGGGCAGACAGACTCATAGGTCAGGACTGAGAAATTTGCAAAACTGGAGCTGTCTGGGAGAAAATAGCTCTAAATCCACACTTTAGAACTCTGCGTTGTTTTGGGGGAAAATAAGAGTCACCAACGTTCTCACTTAGCGACAAGTTTAATTCGTACTCATGGACATGCGCCAGGATCAGGTGTGAAAGCTGTGAAATCTAGGTCCAAAAATTCTGAAGAGGATGCTGCTTGTATCCTCCCCTGGCGGCTAGCTGCCTTCTAACTTCAAGTTGTGGCTCAATGCTTGGATTTCTCTGCTCCTGGACATTAGTGTCTGCGAAGCAGAAATGCAATAACTTTCGAACAATCCCTTGCTTTGCTTGGAAAGTCTCGCACTTGGCCACCAGACATCACCGAACTCAGCGCTTGTCTCCTGCAGCAATTCCGTGGCTCGCTGAACGGCTGCCACTGGCGCCCCCAAGCGCCAGCGCGTCCCAGTCGTTCCCGGAGCAGCCTTCGACCTTCGGCCGAAGGGAATTGGACCTGGAGAGACCCGGGGGCTGACAGGAATGGCTTCTCTTGTAATTCACTGGGGCTAGAAGGCAGGAAGCCAAGGAAGACAGGATCTCAAAGGCTCCCTGCCCCCGTTCATTCCTATCTGGGATTTCCTATTCGCAAAAAGAGCAGTTGCCTGGCATGGTAAAGATGCTCATTCGAGCTGTGAGGTCCAAACCCTTGGAGCGTACCCAGAGCATCCCCTTCTTCCCAGTCCCTCAGAGACATAGACATATTCTACGAGTGCGGCGGGGCCCGGGGTTCCGAAGGAGGAGACTAAAAAGACCCAAATCGAACAGGCTCATCTTTTCCCCTCTTTGGTCTGCCCCTTTCCTTCCAGACCCTCTATCCGGATCATTGGCCACCCCCTGGCGCACCTATGTGGCTCCAGCTTCACACACTCCCTGGGAGGCACAGTCTAAAACCAAACGTGAGCTCACAAAGAACACAATACTAATGAGCAGATGCGCAGATGCTCACTTCTCTAAAGCTTCCATAGGGCTTTTCCAGCTCTCCTCGCGGAGTCAGGGGCTGAAGATGGGTGGGAAGATCTAAGAAAGGGTGGCAGCGATCAAGTGGTGTCAGCTTGCCCCACTCCGTTTCCACCTTTGGTCTCTGCCAGTTTCCAAAGACCCCTCCAACCGCTGGAGTTGTTGTCAGGAATTAGGAGCCCCTATGTTCCATTCACCTCATGGAAAAGCTAGATCCCCCTTTTCCAGTAGTTGTGGGTGGAGACAGAGCGGGAGGATGAGGAGGAGGAAAAGCTGGAGTGAAAGCCGCAGAAGCAGAAGCAGCACGCAGAGAGGAGGGGGGCGGAAGCGGTGGGGAGTGAGAGAAAAATTTTCACTCTTTGTCACTCTTGAATTGGGGGCGGAGGTAAAAAAAAAAAAAAAGTCCTCACTGTGGGAAGCTATAAAAAGCAAAGAGGACTGGGGAGAGAGCAGAGAGAGAGAAAGCGGGAGCCCGCGGCGAGCGTAGCGCAAGTCCGCTCCCTAGGCATCGCTGCGCTGGCAGCGATTCGCTGTCTCTTGTGAGTCAGGGGACAACGCTTCGGGGCAACTGTGAGTGCGCGTGTGGGGGACCTCGATTCTCTTCAGATCTCGAGGATTCGGTCCGGGGACGTCTCCTGATCCCCTACTAAAGCGCCTGCTAACTTTGAAAAGGAGCACTGTGTCCTGCAAAGTTTGACACATAAAGGATAGGAAAAGAGAGGAGAGAAAAGCAACTGAGTTGAAGGAGAAGGAGCTGATGCGGGCCTCCTGATCAATTAAGAGGAGAGTTAAACCGCCGAGATCCCGGCGGGACCAAGGAGGTGCGGGGCAAGAAGGAACGGAAGCGGTGCGATCCACAGGGCTGGGTTTTCTTGCACCTTGGGTCACGCCTCCTTGGCGAGAAAGCGCCTCGCATTTGATTGCTTCCAGTTATTGCAGAACTTCCTGTCCTGGTGGAGAAGCGGGTCTCGCTTGGGTTCCGCTAATTTCTGTCCTGAGGCGTGAGACTGAGTTCATAGGGTCCTGGGTCCCCGAACCAGGAAGGGTTGAGGGAACACAATCTGCAAGCCCCCGCGACCCAAGTGAGGGGCCCCGTGTTGGGGTCCTCCCTCCCTTTGCATTCCCACCCCTCCGGGCTTTGCGTCTTCCTGGGGACCCCCTCGCCGGGAGATGGCCGCGTTGATGCGGAGCAAGGATTCGTCCTGCTGCCTGCTCCTACTGGCCGCGGTGCTGATGGTGGAGAGCTCACAGATCGGCAGTTCGCGGGCCAAACTCAACTCCATCAAGTCCTCTCTGGGCGGGGAGACGCCTGGTCAGGCCGCCAATCGATCTGCGGGCATGTACCAAGGACTGGCATTCGGCGGCAGTAAGAAGGGCAAAAACCTGGGGCAGGTAGGAAAACCCCCAAACACATTCTTCAGACAGAAGAGGCAGGGGCCAGCTCTCTTGGGCTAGCGGTTTGCCATTGCATCTTGCAACATTCGGAGCGTGGCCCCAGATACAGAGAACAGGCGGCTGGGGAGGGATTCACCGAACAGGGTCTGCGTGGGCGGGGGGTGTCTGGGTGGCTGCTGGTCCTGCACTGCACGGAGTCAAAGGGTTAGGATTCTGTCTCGCCTTTGCTCTGGGGCGTGGGCACATATCAAGATCTAGTGCTTTCCTGTGGAGAAAGTGGTCAGGATGGTCCTTCCATTTAACACTGTGATGCAACTGATGAAGATGTTAATAGCATTTAACCTATAGCACCTAATAACGTGCCAGGCACAGTTCTAAGCGTTTTACATATTCACTCATTTAATCTTCACAACTCTGTGAGCTAGATGCTGTTGCTTTCCCATTCTGCTAATGAAGTAATTGAGGCACGGATTGATTAACGATTTGCCCAAGGCACACAGCTAGTATAAGTGGCAGAGAGGGATTTCAGTCTAGACATTGAGATACTGGGCGTTTAACCATTATATTTTACAATCTGGAGGGGACATTACTCCTTTTCAGGGTCTCCTTCCCTTCCAACCACTTACTCTCTTCAAAGAAGTAAGGTCACAGACAAAACAACTCCAGTAGACGCGCATTTCTCACTCACGCAGAATTGTACATAAATCACCCGGAAGGAAGCAAAATGATGAGATGACAATGACAGCGTCGTAGGCGCCAGCGATACAGCAGGACACTGAAGGCGTTTTTGAGAGAGGGAACTTTCCGCAGGCGCCTCTGTCTCTGTCATACAGACAGATAGATTGAAAGCCACTTGCAAACTGTTATACAAATAGACACGCACAGAGACGAGCGCGCACACTCGGTACCAGTTGTGGCTGGCGCGCTGTGGCCAGGAGAGGGGGCTCTGTGGGCACTGGGAATCATGACAGCTCCCCCTTCCGCTCCTTTTGTGGGAAGCCAAAACTGAGAAAGCCATTTTACCAATGGCACACGCACCTCGCACAACACAAGTGTCAACCCCTGGCAGCGGCCCACGCCCCAGAGATCCGAGTTTCCTTGGAACCGACTGATGCTGCTGTTTTGCGCGCTCTCGGTGTCCTCCGCCGCCCCTGTCCACAGCGCAGCCAGCCGGCTGAAGGTTGGTTGAGAGGGCCGAGCCATTCTGGGATGGACAGAGAGACAAGACCCGGGCTTGGCCCCCTACTGCCCTCTCACGGGGACAATTTTGCAGTTTTGCTAGTTTTGCAGTTCCAGAACTCTTCCCAGAGCTTTGAAGTGTGAACCGTTTCAGCTATCCTTTCAAGGGATTACAAAATCAGCAATCAGATTTTTTTTAAGGTCTCAGGAAAAATAAGAAAGTACATATACGTTCAGGCAAACATAACCGTTGCACATCCTCACACACGTGCACATGCCTACGCGCTTATGTGACCACTTTCCTTCGCTTTTTCTCTCCTGCGAGTCACCCCAGGATTTTCAATAGCAATGGTCCTAACAGTTTCTTAGAAGTCTGTCATGAAATGGAACAGGGATTAGAAAGAATGGGTGCTCTCAATCCAAATCATGACTCCTCTAATGCTACTGACTTCAAATTTCATGTTCCCAGTTGAAGAAAGCTTAATGTGTAGTTCCCCCAAGGACACAGGGAAGGAAACCTCAATAGTCCTGAGGTTCCTTTCCATTCTAATCTATGTATTTTCTGGGAATTTTTGTAAAGCGCTTTTTGTTTCTGTTCCACTATTGGGCCAACATACCTGATGTTCCTCTGTCAGAAAATCAGTTACATGCGTCGTTTCATTAGCCTTAGCGTTACACAGGGGAGACTGAGGGATGCATCCCAGAACCTAGCTTCTTCTTTATGTTTTAATACTGTATCTGTATATAAATCGGTATAAAATATGTTTTTGTGGTGCTACCTCTCCAAATAGCTACTTAATTATGCTTCTTAAAGAGTTTGGAAGTCTACTTACATCGCCTTAAATTGAGAATTTATTTATTTATTTCACAAATGAGTTGAATTTCTTATATGCCTTTCATAACATAGCAGTTCTATGGAATATATTTTATTATATTTACTTAACTGGAATCCTAGATTGTTAAAATTTGACATTAGGCTTGTGAAAAAAATTGTTAACATATTCAAGATGAAGGTAAAACAAAATAAAATACTGGGTTGAATAGCAGGAGGCTAGCTGGCAAATGTGAAAATTTTATTTTGTGTATTCTTCTTTAACGAATGATCTAAAGTATGTACTGTTATGAAGAAACAAATAGTAAAATATTTTCTCTTTGAAGTGAAAAGAATAATTCTTTGGATACTTATGAGTCTCTTTATCTTTTTTATTCTATAGTTATGTGGTCACCAACATTCTTAGTATTATTATTTTCAGAAATGAAATGGAAATTAGAAAGGCTATTACAGGGAAGATGTTATTTCCTTTTGTAGAGAAAAACTCTAGAATAGAAAGGTAGCTGAGCTGAATTTTTATGCATCACAATAGTAAATATGATTGAAAATATTGGAATTAATGTGTCAACTAATCAAATTAGCTAATCATGTAGTATCATCCTAAGACCTAATAAGTTTTATTTCCCCCAATTCCCTTTATACTTGACAGATGATGTTGAAATATATTCCTTTCAGGGATACAGGAGGAAGAAGCTCTAGGATGCAGCTTCAAGTAGGCAGATTGGAAACTCAGTCCTTGGTGTTCTTTCTCTTAAATGGATGTTGAAAATAGCCTATTTTAATTTTTCAGGATAGAGAATTAAATATTGCCACTGCAGAAGAAATTCTTGAATAAATTTAGTAATTCGTTAATCTACAAAAGTGAAAATGAGACTATATGAGCTCTATAGTTTTATTGAAAGTTGCCTGATTTCATATAAAGATAAACATTCTTATTTACAGGAATTCTACTTGTTCCATAGGCAAGGTGGATTATTTGTAATATCACTTCTAGAAAATGTGGCTTTGAATTTTAGAAAAAATTTAGAGAGAGAAAATCCACTGTTCTCCAGAGGTGTTACATTTCTCAATTTAAGGTTGGCTTTCAAAAACACAGTATGAGTTATAATGGAAACTGACATAGGAAATTGAGAGTGATAGTATTCAGATGATTGATACAGAATTAGCAAAAAATGAACTGCTGAATTATTCGCATCAATGTTTTAATTTGCCTTTTCATTTGCAGCTATTGCTAATAAGTACTGCATGTATGTGCTGTATATGTATACAGGCTAAATTAAGTTTCAGACTGTTACTAGTATATTTACATAATATATAAATATTTATGCATTTTAATATATATGTCAATTTCTAAGGATACTGTTTCAGATGTTCTAAATTAAAAGTAATTTCAAACAAAATCTTCAATATCATGTGAATAAATATATTTTGATGAAGTATGCCATTTCTCGATACTATCTCTAAAGTTTGAGGTGTTGACTTTTATGGACCACCTTCAAAACAAATTTTAAAAACCCAAACTACTAAAAAAATCAAGCTTTGCAATTCACATATTTTTCTGTGTGAATGAAAAACCTTTGGATTTGTGTTTGTAATTGCTTATTTTATTCTTCTCGTTTTGTCTTTCTGAGACGGGCAGATGAATTTAATTTGAATGCAATGCAGTAGCATTTTGCAATTCTTTTAAAAGTGACTAGAATAGTGATATTTATAGTTATATTTTAAATGTAGATAAACTTTCTGGCATGTGTTTCTAAAAAGAAGCTATGGTTTAACACAAATTCAGATTCTATGATTTTCTGATATGACTGGGACACTTCAAGGATAGTGGTTTGGATGAAGTTATGTTGTGAGAAAAGAATTCTTGAAATTCATTGAAAGAGAAGCTTGAACGAGTTGACTAAAGAGCACTAATATTTGTAGACTGCATTTTCTTTAATGAAAGTGTGCTGTATCTGTATGCACAAACATTCATGAAAGTGCTCACTGAAATAAACTATATACTCTAATATTCGGTAAGGGATCTCTTTACTTTCTGAAATTATCCATGACTTTTTTTTCTAACCTCAGCCCAACTTTCTCCTGCTTAGGAGTAAATAATCTGATAGCCTCTCTGGACATTGACTAACACTAAACACAATCAGGAAAGCAAATCATTTTTACGATTAAATTTTAAAAAATAAAGGAATTTGAAATAATCTACATTAACGTTCCTTTCCTCTCACCATGAATTATAGAAAATTGATAGTTGATACAAGTGGAAAGTTAGTTCTTGAATAGCAAGAAAAGTATTTTAATGATAATCTAATATGAACATCCATCATTTTATTTTTGTGTTAGACTAGAGAGCGCAAGAGGACAAAGTTGCTCAAACTTACTCCAGCTGTGACTCTGACCCTGTCATAATCTTCTTGAATATTCTTCTACAATACAAACTTTTGCACCCTCTTCTCCTTTCCAAGATATTTTGAAACTTATAATTTTAAGATTAGGTAAGGCAATGTCATAGAACTATAGCTAGTATATTCTGATCTAGGAAAATATTGGCTCTTCTTCATTTCCTTACAAAATTGCTTTAAATGTACATTAAAATAATCGGTTACATTTTAGAAGAAATTTATAATAGTTAACATATTTACCATTTTAGACTCAGTCTCTAATGGCTGTTTATTCTTTAGTATTGAATTAACAGCAAAATCAATTACAATCAAATTTCTACCTGTGACTTTCTGACGGCCTGTTGGAGTTGTTTTACTTCCTTATGCCTCTAGTCACTTGTGCTCACTTATAACAAGGAGATAAACCCGTTTTTAGTTATTTATCTGATTGTTCAAAAGGTTTATGTGATATTTGTGTCTGCCTGAGCCCCTTACTACGTCCTTTTTTTAACAGTCCAAAAGCATAAACCAAAAGGAAGTAAGGCTAATCATAATTGATAGACATATTGCATTATGTAGCATCGCTTTAAGATTACACAGAAAGATTTAATATAGAATGCATAAGAAAAATTTAGTATTACTATTTAAGGTAAGCAAAGGTCAATTTTCTGTTCCTCCTCTGTCCACTCTTGACAGGAACTAGAGCAGAATAACATATTTTTCTCTAATTGTAGTGTTAGGACAAACATAAAGCATTCTTTCAAAGAAGTCAGTCGATACAGCATTTGGTAGGTTCTTTTCTTTGTAATGGCAAATTTAATCAAAGAAAACTTTAAAGCAGAAAGATTGCAATATCCTGTTAAATTTTTTTTAATAGAAGTAATTAGTTTATGTATCACTAACAACAGAATTGCTACTCTAACATGTATTCCACAACCCCTGAATCTGCACAACAGATTATATTTTGGGAACCTGAATAATAGTTTAGATTTTTCTATGTGCTTTAAATATAAATTCAGAAATAAAATCAGCAAAAATACAAAAGTAGTCAATTTTTAAAAAAATGTTACTTATCTTTTTCCACAGAGTCAAAAGGGACAAATGGACATCAGATATCCTTTTAAATACTTTGCAGTATCTAATTTAAAACAAAATAATCTAGAGCAAAAAAAGAACAAATCTACAATTTTAAAAAATCAATGAGCAAATAAGTACATTAAATGACAAAACAAATAAAAATATCACAATTAGGGAAAATGACTTCTCAAAGTGGTAGTTCTGTCCAAACCTTTCCCAAGAGACATTAGATCTTCATGTTATACTTTATTATCCGGAATAAGATTGTTCTTTCTTCAGGGAAATAGAAGAAGTGAGCGATCTTCAGGTATATTATTTCCTTAAACTAGCTTGCAAGAACTTACGGCACACAATAACTTATAATAAAGGGTACCATTAATTGATTATTCACTCTATGCCAGGCATGAAACTAAATCGTCAATTGCGTTAACTCTTTTGATCCTCTAGGCAGCCTTTTGAAGCAAATCCTAGTATCATCCTTATTTTTATAAATGATGAAACATTTAATAAAAAAGACATTCCTGAGACATAGAGAGGTTATACAATGTGTACAAGTCACACCACTGTAAATGGAGAAAGCTAAAGTTCAAACCTAAGCAATCTAATATTAGAACCCATATATCAAACCACCTGCTTATGCTGCTACAATATGCTGTTTATTCTGAATTTAGGAAGAACATGAACCCTTACTCTTCTCTCTCTATACTTGAATGACATGGGTATAACTCCAATTTCATTAAAAGTCACAACAAAATCCAAACTCCCTGTTGCTCCCAGCTGCTATTCTGAGAAGTCTAAAGTATGTTAGTACTTCATGGATACTAAGGCAGGCACCATAGCAATACGTTATTTTCATCCCTGCCTCTACTTGCCCCCCGTCCTCCCATATACCCCTACCTTTCTTCTACTCTTTCCCATTAAAGTATAAATTATAGTGTCACCCCAAGTAGAAAGTAGATTCTGTTGCATAAAGCTTATTCTCTCTTCTTTCTTCAAAACCAGCAACAAACTCCCCTGTCCTCATCTTTCTGAATCTGAATGTCGCTATGTGACAGAGAAGCACAGGCTTTCCCAATGGTTTCTCTGCAATGGCTTTGTTTGTTTGGCTGACATGTCTTACATCCTGATCAGACTGGGGAAATTCTCTAAATTTAGAGTCTTGTATTGCTTTTGCTTTTTCCTTACCTTTGACCCTTTCTAGCTGCCGTTCAGATAATTAGATGATCTATATCCACATCACAGCACTACAATTTCAAACAGGTTTTAAATTCCACTCACCACTGATTAGTTTAATGGGTTTGGAAAAGTCACTTCATCTCTCTAGTCTTTTCTTTTTTTTAGTATACCCATAAAATAGGGATAACAATAACAACAATAACGTAAGAGTAATAATACTTAACTTACTGGGCAATGGTGAGGATCACATGAGATAATATATATGAAAAAAACTCTGAAGAATAAGAAAGTGCACTTAGTTATTTTGCTGATGACATCATTACCACTGCCATTACAGAAATAAGTAAAGTCAAATGCTCATGCACCAAATAAGTGGCCTCTTAATCTCCCCTCCAAGTTGGGCAGGGGTGACTAAACTAATGCATATGATGTACAAGAAGGAAACAAATGAACTCAATTACTCTGAGAGTAAGAATTATAAAGCAAAACAAGACAAAATAAACATGCACATACACATGATGTCACATTTCTACTATTTAATGTTTACATTAAGAGAGGATAAGTCAATGTTGTATTGCAGAAAATAAGCAAGCTGGCAAATAATTAAGTAATTAGTGGAATTGTGGAAAGAGCATGGAAACAATGGTACCTCAGATGTTAACAATACAATCATGGCAGGGCGCGGTGGCTCACGCCTGTAATCCTAGCACTTTGGGAGGCTGAGGCGGGCGGATCACGAGGTCAGGAGATCGAGACCATCCTGGCTAACACGGTGAAACCCCGTCTCTACTAAAAAATACAAAAAATTAGCCGGGCGTGGTGGCAGGCGCCTGTAGTCCCAGCTACTCAGGAGGCTGAGGCAGGAGAATGGCGTGAACCCGGGAGGCGAAGCTTGCAGTGAGCCGAGATCGCGCCACTGTACTCTAGCCTGGGCGACAGAGCGAGACTCTGTCTCAAAAAAAAAAAAATCATAATAGGTGGAGGTCATAAGCAAGTCAATATTAGTTGTTTAACCACAAGAACCAAAATAATTGAACAGCATATTAGACTGCTTCTAAAAGTATTAATTTGATATTTTCCAAAGTGAGATAGCCCCTGCACAGACAAGATTCTTGACACTTTCTACATAGTGTATTGGCCAAGACAGCTTGCTAGGATTTTGGAAGGCTGACAACCTTTGTTGAGTGTCAGCTGTCTCTTCCAGGAGGACTCAGAAACTGGGAATTCATTGTTTCCATATCATTTTCTTTCTTTTTTTTTTTTTCATTTTGAGATTTTTTGGCGATTTAGGTAAATTGAAATATTTTAGTAATGTTAAATCAAGAGTGAAACACATTTCATGGAAGCATGTGATAAATTTCATTTAACATATTGGAAACAAACTGCCAGTAAATGTTTCTATCTGGTAATGGACTAAAAAATCTTCATCCAAATGAGAGGCAGAGGGAAGAATTATCATTCAATATCACCTGAAATTACAATCACATTCAAATAATGGTTTTCACGTTCTATTTCCTCTCAACCCTTTGAAATTTGGAGCAACAGGTATTGTGTTAGTCTTCTGAAATCCAGAGTCTTTTTTCCCCATTAACCATGCTCTGTACTCTCAGCAGCCTATTGTCTAGTCCTTATACCTAAGTTATTTTTTGCATGTTTACTATTATGGTGTTTCTGTTTTTTTCTCTGGTTCATTCCTCTTTATTTTCTTCACTTATTTCTCTACAATTATCTACTTATAAATGTGAGCATTTCCTCCAGCTCGCTCAACAGTTCTCTTTTCTCTCTGTTCCACTTTCTCTTCTTTAGTGACAGTATTTTCCTTTTTGGAATATGCAGCCATCTACTTTTAGCTTTATAAAATTTTAAGCCCCATTTCTTGCTCAACTGTTTTGGAAATCCTGCCAGAAATAACAGCAACCACAACAGAAAAATCCTTGATAACAAAAATTACACCTTTACTGTTAACCTCATATTTTCTGGAGTCGGGCAACAAAATCGTGATTTCTCATAGTTATCAAAAAAGCCTGTACATTAATTAAAGCTATAACAATCAAGTCTGATTGCTGAAAATTCATTCTGTGCTCTGGTCTGTTTCATCACTCACGGGTGCCGAAAGAATGCTATGTAGGTTCTTACCAAAACAGGTGCTTTTTGTTTCTTTAATCCTACTTAATTTAATATTTGGAGTTTAAATATACTTCCATTTTTTTCTCTGTGATAGACTTGTTAAAGAAACTCATGTCTGATTAAAATGTGCAAGTAACTATGACTTAAGCTCATAAAATGTTAATATAATATGCACAAATATTTTAAACAGTATATATTTATCTTTATATCTTGAATTATGTACTAAAGAGTTTTTTTGCTATTTACTTTTCATAAATAATATTTTATTAATTTTCAGTGTGAAAAACCTTCTTAACATTTACTTTCAACCTGATAAGACTCTTTTAAAACGTTTGAATATTTTAATAACCAAGTAAGAGGATTCTTCAAATGTGCTTAAATATTATCATTAAAGATAGTTTTATAGAAAGGACCAAAAGAAACTTTATTATCTAAAAGTTTCAAGAACTTATACAACAGACTAAAGCAGGACACAGAACTGGATGACACATTGGGAATTGCCTAATTTAACTTGCTCATTTTACACACGAGGAAATCT
The DNA here is from genome assembly GCF_000001405.40 of Homo sapiens. Classification (NCBI taxonomy): domain Eukaryota; kingdom Metazoa; phylum Chordata; class Mammalia; order Primates; family Hominidae; genus Homo; species Homo sapiens. The sequence continues at coordinate 107,026,059 of NC_000004.12, read as the reverse complement.
GCTTAAGAGGTGTTTCATGATCTGCCCAATGTACTATAATCAATGCCTCTGACAAAGAAATTCTCACTGGAACTTGCATCCTCTGACTTCTAATATAAACATTTCAAATAATCAGAAGCAATGCTTTCTGTTAAATCTTGAATAAGAAAGCTTTGTGGAAGAATTACATTCAGTTGCCTTAAATTTATTAACTACCTGGTGGGAGATAAATTATACGTAGACAGTTTTTCAGCTCTAAATTTGTGTAGGTCAAAATATATTATCAAAGTTTACAATGTCACGATGACAGCTGTGTCAATCAGTTTTAAACAAAATTAATGAAAGGAAGTGGCTTCGACTGTATTGTTGTTGCTCACTTTTTCAGTCCTGATACTTTAAAGACATGGTTAACAAGAAGCCTGGCTGGAAAGTCTGCACAGCAATGGCAGGAGCACACAAAAGAAGGGACAAAAGTGGTGGTGGGGCTGCTAAGAATGCAGGCTGCTTGTCCTTTTTCCAAGTGCTAACTAGGATAGAGGCCAGTGGCTTTTAAACTTTTCTAACAGAGAAAGAAATATATTTTACATTGTGATTCTGTCTCCTCCCTCCTCCACTCACACTCCTAAAAAAAGTTTCAAAAATAAACTCTCTTACAGTAGGTAATGCAGTATGACTTCTCAATTTTAGTCCTTTTCTTCTCTTCTGCTGTGTGCTATTCTATCAGTCTGTTCTATCTTTAAAAAAATTTTTTAAATGTAAATCATTATTCATTGAATTGATTTGAATACCACCGACCCATTAGACTACGGCCCTTCCCTGGCAGAGAACTTGGGGCACTGTGCTTGGAGATCGGCAGTGTTTTAGGAAGACACTGTCTCAGAATCAGCTCCAGTGAGGGGTGCTGGAAGCAGCCTGAGCTTCATATAGAGAAATATCCATCTTCCCAGTCCTCTCTCAGTTTCCCTTCTTCAACCTCACGTGGACCTCTGACTTAGAGGGATGGACCTCTTTGCCTGGGGATATGGTTAACCTCTTCCTCTCTCTCCACTTCAGGAGTAAGTGAGCCATAACTATGAAACATTTGATACTCTGATGTTTCATACATGATTAATCTGTGTCTGTTACCCATGTTCAATCTGGGTATATGCCTTGTGCACTATCACACTTTCATTTCTAAGAACATACTGTTGAAGGTGGTTACGATTTCTGCATGGGACAGCGGGTGAGCCTGAAAGAGCATTGGATATCATTTTGGAAGAAAACCTTGTTAGCCTATTTTTTAAAAATATGCACGACCTCAAATAAATTGTATAACACCGTTAAGCCTTAGTTTTTTCATCGGTAAAATGGTTGTCATAATAGTAAATCCTTTCTCCATCTCTTTGCAAAGCATAAAACACTACTTATTTGCCTCAACATCATTAGAGGTTATTTTACGAAAAAGAAATTTAAGACCGTGCCACCCTGAATTTATAAAGTGCAAATCTGAATTAAGCAGTTAGAATCAACCAGAGAATAATTTATAATTTTGGAATCATGAATTTAGTTTCTGTTTTGATGGATTACTTTTTAAAAATATCGGTGGAGAGATTGAAAATAGAAGTTTTTTTGTTTGCTTTTTTCCTTTTGTCTATTTGTTTTGATTTTCTTGGATTTGTTTTAAAAATTAGTATCAGTAGTCATACTTTCATATTTCTGATAAGAACTTAGTTTTTTGTTCTTGCAGGCAGGCTACAAACAGCTTTCTTGCCTGCTGTTAGAATATCCTGTCTATTCAAGAAGAGCCCTATGTCTTTATTTTTTTCTGTCATGCCTGGGATGTGCTACTATTTACATATTTTCAAAACACCTTGAAAGGCTTGATAAGAGTCTCAATAATAGATATCAGTATATTTTTAAGGTTCTGAAACTAAGCTTTAGGGTCATATTTTGGACACATTATAGGTTACAGGCTTCAGAATAGACAAAGTTCAGAGAAATAACCAATTGTAAAGCCAGGTTGTATTGGTGCAAAACCACATAGATTAGGACAAAGGATATATATTTTGTCAAAAACTTTTTAAAGAAGAAAGTGAGTGTTTTTCAAAGTTGTTGAAAACACATTATTATATTGTTACACAAGCATCAAACAATGTAATAGGTCCATTTGTTCATATTATATGTGCAGGAATCTCAGAGTGGTAACATAATACATATACATATAATAATATAAGGGCAAAATTTGTGTTCAGAGAACTAGTGTGATTCTTTTTAAATTATTGTTAATAGGTTTTATTGGTTTTTGAGAGTAGTTTTAGTTTCGAAAAATAGTTGAACCAAAAGTATAGTCAGTTTCCATAAACTCCCTTACCTCCTTCTTTCCCTAGCTTCCACTATGATTTGTAGTTTGCATTAGTGTGGTAAATTTGTTACAACTGATGAGTCAATGTTGATACATTATTATTAATAAAACCCATACACAAGGGCTCACTCTTTGTGTTGTGCATTCTATAGGTTTTGATAAATGTATAATGACATTTATCCATAATTATAGTATCACACAGAATAGTTTCACTGTCCTAAAAATCCTCTGTGTTCCACCTATTTACCCATTCCTCCTCTCTAATGCCTGATATTCATTATCTTTGTACTGTATCTAGTTTTGTCTCATCCAGGATGTCATGCAGTTGTAATCATACCATATGTAGCCATTTCAGATTGGCTTCTTTCACTTAGTAGTATATATTTAAGATTCTTCCATGTCTTTTCACAGTGATTGTTTTATTTTTATAAGCTAAAATCGTTTTCCAAAATAAATGAAAACTCTTAATTTTATCCAGCTCTGAGTGTAATCTTTGACTTCCGGTTTACTCAATATGTGAGCAAAAGTAATTAATTATATAAACATGATTATTACTCTCTAATAACATGAAGAAAAGTTGAAGATTATACTCTATGGAAAAATTGCAAAGAGGGAGACTATTGTGGCAAAAATAAGGCCAAGGATTATAAGCTATCAATTATATGATTAGATTATCAGTAAAAGTTCTATATATCCACCTTCCCAGGGGTTACATCTACTTGGACATCTGACAGGCAACTCAAATTGAACATGTTCCAAAACTAAAAACAGTATTTATTTCTCTTAAACTTGCTTCCCCCCTTGTATTCCATATAAAGGCCATTAGCATCGCCACCCAACCATTTGACCAAGTTAGAAACAATCTAGGCTTCCTGCTTTCTATCCCTCCTCCAAAGCAATTATACTGTAATTAATAGGATTCTACTTCTTCCCTAATATTAATCCTTTTTTACTGGTTTATTGCTCTCCCAATTTTTCATTGCCTTGATCCAGTCCATTGTTATTTCTCAATAGATTACTACAATATTGTAAATGTTTCCTACTCTCTGAAACATTATCTACACCACTTCTAAAGTGAGCTTTCTAATGTGAAAATCTGATCTGTATATTCTCCATCTATGTCCATTTCTAGAACATGAAGTCTAAACTCCTCATCATGGCACACAATGTCATCAATTATCTTATTTCTCGCTACTGTGTCCCTCAAGCCACACAGCTCATGAGTAGCAGAGCTGGGATTTAAGGCCAAGCAGTCTTACTTAAGTCTGTATACTTAACCTACTTAATCACTGTGCCAGGCTATCTCATGTAAGTTGGAGGCCAGAGAAACCAGCTACAGACCTTCTTCTATTGGTATATTTCAAAATTCAGATGTGATTCAAATTCTTCAGATAAGTCAGTCAACGTGCTAATTGCTTACTTCTTAAGTGTATTAGATGCTATGATCACAGTCAACAAACATTTAGGACAAGGTATATGTAGCAATAAAAACAAATGTAGTGCACTTGAAGCATCTAGTTGAAATTTTAAGGTTGAAAGAGGTTCCCAGAAATTGTCTAGTTCTTGATTCTGTTTCTAATATGGTTTTAGAATTGGACAACTTGATGAGTTTTTCTTTTTCATAAAGATTTCCAAGGGTGAACATTTTTATTGTATCTCTTAGTTATCTAGTTAACTTCAGTTAAGGATGGAAACATTCTGCTTTTTGCTGGAAGTGAAGCAAATGAATAAAATAAACTGGATATCAATGTCCCCTCAAAAACCTTTCCTCATTAACAGAAAATGTAATCAAGGGATTTTAGTAATTCTTCACAGACTGGCTCTTTTGGCAGACAGTCAGGCTGACTTGTAGGTACAAGCAAGCTACCTCCACAAACAGTCAGGAAAAGATCTGATTGTGATGGGCATTATGCTGACATTGTAAAGAATTGATGTCTGTTTTTCCCCCCAAATATTGTAGGAGAAATTGAAGTTTGATTTTTTTGCCTTCGTAAATGACTCACTGTTCCCTGAGAAGGTCTGATTCTAACTTTGTAATTTTCAAATCACTTAAGAAATATTAGTGAGAAGAGGCAGGCTCACAGGGAAGTAGAAGTATGGGGAGAAATAACTAAGTTGGAGTGTAGGAATCGGCGGTAACCTCAACATGGATTGGTGGAGAGATGTCAGTAAAGTGGACAAGAACTTACTACAGGTAGGGCAGAGCAACAGAAAATGTGCTGAAATATATCAAACTAAGACATTTGATAAAGACGCACATTTAAAATATTGTCATAGATTTTGTAATCAAGCATGCTTAAACATTATTTTCCATATTAGTCACCACAGAGAACTCATTCCTTTGATATTTTTATGTAGAACGTTCTTTAGAAATTGATTTTAGAAGTAGTTTACATGTTTGTTTATTTTAGGCCATGACTTTAGGGCCATAAAAACATCATACATATTGATTAACACACCACATTCAGAATATTTGGCTCTGAGTGGCTTTTTGTTGTTTCCATGAACAAAGTACCCCATAGAAGGTGAGAATGTCAAATGAATGTATTGTTTCTCCAAATAAGTTTTTGAAACTCTAATAAACATTCTGAGTCAAGGATTCAGCATTGTGATTATAATTGTAAACCTTTCCATGTCAATTGCTTTAAGGTGGAAAACCCTCAGTTGGGTTTAGAAAGTCTTAAAATTTAAAATATAATGGAATATTATTTTATAATCTGGTCTTTTCCATTAGAAGAACGTGGTCAAAATTCATGTAATATGCTTATTATTTCCAAAAGAATCATGGTGTTCCAGAAGCAGTTAATGAACCTAGGTCAGTGGTATGTTCTCCACCCCAAACCCATGCTGTTTCTGAAAGAGGAGGCAGGAACAAATCATACTCAGTACAATTCTCCAGAGTCCAGTCTGGTGGCACATGTTACTTCATGTGCAACTTAGTTAAAATGTGCGCACAGAGACACACACACACACAAAGCCTGTCAAAAATTATTTTTAAAATGAGTTCAATTGTTTTAGATTCCACATGTAAGTGAAAACATGCATTATTTGTCTTTCTGTGCATGGCTTGATTTAATTATTCTACAACGTATTTAATAATCATAATATTACTTGTACCCATAGATTTATACAATTCTAAATTGTCAATTTACAATAAATTTGTTCTTAATTTTAAAAAGTTATTTTTTAAAAAATGCAAACCTGTCTTATTAAAATTAAGAGGAAAGACTAAACTTCTTAACCCCATAAAAATGTTCTTGCAGTTGTTCAAATTAATATAATGCTTCCACAGTACTCTTTGGAAATCCTTGTAAATTTCTTGTTTGCCTATTTGCCCTGCTGCTCTGCTGCTGTCTTCCCATCACTTTCCAGGAGGAAATGGCTTTTTAACAAGAAAAATCCTCTTGAAGTTACATTTCCAAATGGGTCCTGGACACAGCATCTGCAATGCATTGTAACATTTTTGGTCTTTTTAAAAATTCTCATTGTTAAAAGCATAAGTGGCCAATACTCAGGTCTTCTGCCACAGCCATCACAGTGATTGACTACAAATTGAATTGAAGTGTGTACTGTGAATTTTCTTGTTAGAAAATAAAAGCTTTCAACACAAAAAAAGAAATTATATTTGATGGCCTGAACCTTACAAAATTAAGACCTAAAAATATAACCCTGTTTTTTAGTAGAAATCAATAAAGAATAGTGTAGCTCAACCTCACCACTAATTTTTTTTTTAAATGTCCACTTCTGGGAGAGTCAGACACTAACAAAGAATATGCTCTAATGGTGGGACCAAGATGTTCTGGATATTCAAGGACTATTTCAAATATCTTAGGAAAACAAAGCCAAAGCACTGAACACATAATTCATGACAAATCCATGCTATTGGAATTAAGAATTGTATACTCAGTGAAGTTTCAATAGCAAACATTATAGTGATATTTAATGTAAGGTATTGAGGGAGTGATATTCTGTAGTTAAGATGCATGGAAAGGAAAGGAAGAACAAAACTGACTGCTGCTTTTAACACAATGATGAACAAAATCATTAGGATAAATAGACCAACTTCCAAATCATAGTCATTATCTGTGGATAATGCAGTCTGACATTAAATGTGGTATCAGTATACTACTCTAGTATATTCCTAGCAATATCCTACATACAGCATTAATGTGACTAGATATTTGAGAAATACATTCTTGTTTCTGGAAGATAGTGACAGCTAACATTTGTGGAGCACTTACTTTATACCAGGAATTTTATGTTGCCTCACTTAACCTTCCCTAAACCCTGTGAGCTTCTGTTATGTGCGGAGTACTCAGTAACTCTTTGAAGGAGGTAATCAAGCAGGAAGGATGATGTCAGGAAAGTGACCATATAGGTTTTGGGCAAGCTCAATCTTTGGTATCTGTGATCCCATGTGACTCAGTTTCAAACTCAGAATTATTTGATTAAAATTTTAATACAGGACAGTGTTGCCTCGTTAAGTGAGAAGACCACTTGAATTTTGTTTTTGTTTTTGTTTTTCTAAAAGTGAATGAGATTGGTTTTTTCCCAAGTTGGAGTTCTATTTTGTTTTGTTTTAGGAGGTTAACATCTCTATACAGCCGTGCCCGTAAACTCTGGAAACGTTGTTGAAGTTCTTATCTTCTCGTTTCTGAGGAGAAAATCCAAAATGACCATAATATTCAAGAGGAGCAGGTTGTAAATCTCTCTTCAAAGCAAAAAACAAACAAACAATAAAAACAACTAAAAACCACCACCAACAAAAAATAACATTTTAAATACCTGGTAGCTACTAGTAGTTACTGAAAGGTAGCAGATTGCAAAACCAGGACTTAAAGATAGTTGGCAGGAAATTCAGCTCCCCAAATTGCAAGAGTGTTAGTTTATACTTTTTTAGATGTCAGTTTTAGTAGGAAAAAAGATAGGCAGTTACTACTAATTATTCAATAGAGTTCGTATTGTCCACTGTGTTTCCTTTGACCAGATTTTCAATGATTAGGACAAGGTATGGGTCAAATATTGCACCATGTTTTAGAAGGGCTAGGAAAGAGAGATATTCCCTTCTTGGTCTGATTGTCACAAACCCAGCAACCCATAGAGCATTTTTGGAATGTGCACATGTTTAACACCTGGAATTATAGTCATACTTCATCCGTCACCAGAATGAAAAGCCAACGGCTGACTAAAGGAGAATTTCTGAGGCAATTCTTCTGGAGCTAGCAATATACCCTACTTGTCATCTCTCAGATATGAGCCTTTAATCCCCTCTTCCTAAAATTGTTTATTTTAAAATAAGAGAAAGGCTAGGGATGTTACAACCGAGTTCTGAGCTTTCTCTTTTAAGAATCTAATCCTTCAAACCCATCTTCAGCAAAGAAACTGGCATTTCATGTGCTGAGCAGATGATGTTCTGCAGCTCTGGCCAGCCCACATGTACAGCTGGGCCGGTCTGACACACAGGTGTTCTAATTTGGACCTTCTTAAAATTCTGACACCATACTCTCCTCCATTGGGAAGTATGACTTGGCTATGCTATTTGCTAGTGACAACAGTTATACTGACTTAACAAAAACAGCTCCAGCTAAGGTGATAACATAATCCTCTGGCTCAGACTGAGCTCAGATCGAGGGTGTGTGGTGTGTTCTAAGAGTCTGGGCCAACGTTTTGATTTTGATTTCCTCTTTTATATTGTGTATTGTCATTCATGTTTCCTCCCTTCACCTCTCAGAATTTTGGGTACTTCTAAGAAGGGCGGAAACATCCCTTGGTGGGAAAAATGCTAGAGTAATCGAACAAACAAAGCTAAAAATTTGTACTGAAATGGGTGTTTTTTTCAATCATTGGTAAATATTGAGCAACCACATTCCAAAGGTAAGTAGTCTGCAAGCATTTAAAAATGAGAAAAACTGGCAAATGTATAAAACTTTTCATAGCATTTGACAAAACAACTGTAAAAGTAAAAGGAGATTTCAAAAATATAGGCAATAAAGAAGAAATGTCATTGCTGTTCCTTCTGCATAATCTTTTATATAATCCTTTCAGTCTCACCAAAAATATTTCTCAGTGCAGAGCCCAGATGTTTTGAAGTTTTTTTTTTCAAGAAAGCAATATTTAAGAACTTTTCCATTCCTTTCCATCTTAGTAACAGCTGCTTCTAACAACCGCTTATAATAAGCATGGCTAAATAGGAAAAATAATAGTGGAAATGAATGAGGAAAGTAGATTGTATCACAGTTTAGAGCTTTATATTGTGTCGTTACTTGGTCTCTGATTCTCTCTCTCTAATGAAAACACAATTTTTAAAATTGTCTCAATTAGTAAAACCCACTCATCTTCACTCAAGTGTGCCTTGAAAAATCAATGGGCTCTGCCTTTAAACAGCTATAATTGCTAAGCTCAAGAGGAAACTAAAAAATTATTATCCAGAAGGGATTTTATCCCATTGCATTAAGATAACTTCAACCTTTGCCATTAATCTAAAATGAACCATATATTGAAGAGATATTCTGATTTTCAGAGAGGAAGCTTTGTTCTACAGAATGGTGAGCTTGATATTGATTCTGGACTACATTATAGAATGGATAAAGTCAAATACTTAGGGAAATAGAGAAACCTAAGAAACAACATAGGTTTACTCAGAATGAATTATGACAAACTAATTTCATTTATTTAACATGGGGACTGGTATGAGTATGACATTTCGTCCTCACCATCTCTAGTCGCTCCTTTTGTGACTTAATGGTCTTCCAGCTTTAAATACCACTACATGCCAATGACTCTCATATTTATATCTGTAGGCAAAATGCCTCTCTTGAACTACACATTTATATATTCAAGTGCCTACTTAACATTTCCACTACTAAATATTTCATATTCAGTATGTCCAAATCCCATCTTTTCCCTTTCCCAAACCTGCTGCACCCATGGTTTTCTCCATCTCAATTGACGGTAAATCTAGTTTTCCAATTGCTCAACCAAAAGCCTTGGATTCATCCATAACTTTTCTCTTTCCCTTATACTCATATTCAGACCATTAAGGAAGCCCCTTAGCTCTATCTTCAAAACACATCCTTAGATCCAAAAAGCATCTTTGTAAAAGTATGATAGTACCTTACAGAAAAATAGCTAAAAACAGTAAAAACAAATTAAAAACTAGAATAAAAGTTGCTCACCAAAAAATAATTTAGGAATTTAAATTAGGCTGAATAGGATATATAAGGACAGAGCAGAGCTTTCTAAGAAAATAGATTTATGCAAACATGAGAAATATCTTTATTTTGTAGTCTAGGGTTTGCTTTTCTCTGTCTACATTTAGAACATTAAAAAGAATTGGTATTCTAGAAACAAATTAAATAATCAAATCTGTCACGGCCAGGGCAGGGAAAATTACCAAGTAGCATTTGTTAAACTTGCTCTATAACAATAGAAAACTTTTATTTTCCACACGTTAACTGTGTTTTCTTCATGTCTCTAATTTTTTAAAAGTTTTCTTCTATGTTATGGTACACATACAGCAAACAGTGCATGCTAAGCAAACAAGGAGAATGACTTTTTAGATTTTCCACGATGTTCTCTAATGCTGTTCAGGTAAGATGGCGACTTAGCCCCCCAGACTCAGACTTTCAAATAACTTTGCTCTAATTTGACTCTTTGGAAGAGCAGGCCTTATTTGTTGCTTAAGGTTAAGAAAAATTATATCACACAAGAGGCGTTATGACAATGTTACCACACCATTTATCATATGTTCCAATTTTTATCATAAGTATTGAAATTTTCTCTTTGAATTTTCACTCCTATTACCAATATTCTTTATCTATCAGAGTGGTACATAGACATTTGAGGGAAATTGTATTTTGTTTTAGCAAACAAAGGCATCTGCTTTTGCCTAAATTTCAGGTCATTCTGTGACCCCATTAACAGAAATTAGTATTCATGTATTAAGAGAGATGAAAAGGACAGTTATTTAACTGACACTGTGGTATTCACAAATTAACCAACAAAACAGATTAGAGAGCCTAGATATAGATTGAGACACAGATCATTGAGGGAAAAAGGAACTATTTAAAAAGTCATGCTGGAAAACATTGGGTAACAATGTGGGAAAAAGTGGTATTTGAACACTATGTTACTACATACAAAAATTAATTTCCAATGAATTAGTGTTTTAAAGGTAAGAATACTAGTTTATCCAATGTACTATGAAGAAAATAGAAAACAGGCCACTAATTGGGAGATGTATGTAGTGCCTGTAGTCAACCCAAATCCTGTATGTCTAAAGATTCCTGTTTAGAATATACACAAAATCCTATAAATCAATAAGGAGTTACAAGAGAGATAAACAATCCAGTAAAAATGGGTAAAATACATGGAGAGGCATTTGACAGAAAAGCAAAATAATGGCTAATAAGTATTTGTATAGGTCCTCGATCTTATTAGTAGCAAAGAGAATGCAATTTAAGATACTGATCTTCCCTTTCATGACATTAGATTATCAAAACTTTAGAATATTAACAATACCAAGTGTATAGGTACCTATGTGAAACTTTAACATTATGGTTCATGGGGGTGTAATTACGGCAATCACTTGGCAATATCTTATAATTCTGGATATTCATATACATTATGATCTTGAAATTCTACTTCTAAGAATATAACCCACAGAAATGTTTCAGCACATGCACGAGAAGATATGTTTAAAATGGACCATAGAACCACTGCTTGTCATGTCAAAAGACAAGAAACAACCCAAATGTTCATGATCAAGATAATGTATATATAAATTAGGGTAGATTAACACCAGGGAGTTAACATTGGTGAATAAGTAAATAATCTACAGTTAGGAATAAACATGAATGAAGATTTGAAATACAATGGCTACTGATAGAAGACTGTGTGTGTGTGTGTTTGTGTGTGTGTGTGTAGAACCTATTTTTAATTTTGTTTATAATTGACTAATTGAGACATAATTGTACATGTTTATGAGGTACAGTGTGATGTTTCAATACATGTGAACATCGTAAAATGATCAAATCAGGGCATTTAGCATATCCATCACCTCAAACTTTTATCATTTATTTGTGGGGATAACTTTTAAATCTTCTTTTCTAGCTATCCTGAAATATACTATGCATTGTTATTAGCTATAGTTGATTTTCTATGTAATAGAACACCATAACATATTCTTCCTATCTAACTGTAACTTTGTACCCCATGACCAGCCCCTCCCCATCCCTCTCCCTGCTCCCCTCCTTTCTTAGTCTCTGGTAAACACTACTGTAGTCTATAATTCTATGAGATCAACTTTTTTAGATCCTACATATGAGTGAAATAATACAGCATTTGTCTTTCTTTTCATGGCTTATTATACTTAACATAATGTCCTTCAGGTTTATCTATGTTGCTGCAAATGACAGGATTTCATTCCTTTATATAGCTCAATAGTATTCTATTGTGTATATATGCCACATTTTCTTTATTCATTCATCTGTTGATGGACTTTTAGGTTGATTCCATCTCTTGACTATTGTAAATCATGCTACAATAAACATGAGAGTGCAGGTATCTCTTTGACATGTGGATTTCAGTTCTTTTGGATATGTACTCAGAAATGGAATTGCTGTATCATGTCATAGTTCTATTGCTAATTTTCTGAGGGAACTCCATACTGTTTGTTATAATGGCTGCATTAATTTTCATTCCCACAAACAGTGTATGAGTTCCACTTTCTCCACATCCTTGCCGGTATTTGTTATTTTGTCTTTTTGATAGTAGCCATTCTCTGCATTTCTCTGATGATTACTGATGTTTAGCATTTTGTCATATAATATCTCTTCTTTTGAAAAATGTCTATTAAAGTCTTTTGCCCATTTTTAAATGAGATTATTTGTTTTTTGCTAGGGAGTGGTTTGAGTTCCTTATATAGTCTAAATATCAACCCCCTGTCAGATGCATAGTTTGCACATATTTTATCCCATTTTGTAGATTTCCTCTCTGCTCTCCCCATTGTTTCTTTTTCTGTGTTGAAGCTTTTTAGTTTGATGCAATCCCATGTGTCTATTTTTGCTTTTGTTGCCTGTGCTTTTGAGGCCCTATCTAAAAATTTATTGCCCAGGCCAATGTCATAAAGCATTTCTCCTGCATTTTTTCCTGGTGGTTTTATAATTTCAGGTGTAACTGAATTAAGTAGTTAATCCATTCTAAGTTGATTTTTATGTATGTGAGAGATAGTCTAATTTCATTCTTTTACACGTGTATATCCAGTTTTCCCAGCACCATTTATTAAAGAGACTGTCCTTTCCCTAATGTATGTTCTTGGTACATTTACTGAAAATTAAGTGGTTGTAAATGTGTAGATTTATTTCTGGGTTCTCTATTTTGTTCCATTGGTTTATGTGTCTGTTTTTATGCCAGCACTATGCTATTTTGTTTACTATAACTTTGTAATGTATTTTGAAGTCAGGTATTAATAGTATGATGCCTACAACTTTGTTCTTTTTGCTCAAGAGTGCTTTGTCTATTCAGGATCCTTTGTGGTTCTATACAAGTTTTAGGATCGTTTCCTTTATTTCTGTATATCATCTATTTTTTAAATAGATTACCCAAACAAGCAAAGAAAAGATAAATAATATGAAGGATAGTGGTAATTTTGGAGGGAGTCAAGGAGTTGGGATAGGGGAGCTACACTAAATAGAGGCAAATTATTGGTATTGTTATAGTTCTTGGGTTGGATGGTGGGTTCACTCTTGTGGTTGATAATCTAAAGATGTTTAAATATATTTTGCATTTATAAAATATACTTAAAATATTGAAAAATATATAAAATATATTAAGAGATAATATAAAAGAAAGATCTGAGAATCTTTGTCTAACTTGGGGACCTTCCATTCAGGTAAGATACCTGCAGATAGGAGTCAAGGGAGAGGCAGATACCTCTGAGTACATCCTCTGAAAAGTGTTATTTTAAAAGTAATTTATAGAGAGCATATGCTGCAATATCATGATAAACAGTATTAGAGAAAGTTTTATAAAAGTAGAACTTGGACCTTAGAGAATGCAGTTAAAGCTTTTACAAGTTTCCTCCAAGAACAAAGACAAAACCCTTTCCCATTCTCACACTTCCCCACCTTCTGGAATATTAACTTGATATATGAACTAGTATATTCTTCTGTTACTCACCGTCTTTGAAAATATCCTATTTTGAGTACTTCTTACCTAACTTAGACACACTTTTCTTTTAGAAAAGCATTCATGGCTCCCAGAAACCATCCCTTCTGCAAAACACATCTCCATCCTATTGCTGTGACTTCCTAGGAAATTGGAGAGAGATGAAATTGCTTTTAATGAATGAGGAGAATAAAGAATCATAAAGTCTCAACACAAATAAATACTGATGAAATTTATTTTAATCATACTTACAAAAAACTGTTGCTGAATTGTTCTACTGTGAATGTTCTTTAATCTATTTGCTTCTTAGCCTTCTTACTTATAAAGTAAGTGATGGGTCTTAAGCTGTCATAAAACAGGTTTAATTTCTTTAAAATCTGTGTTTAAACTTTTCCTTCAGCAATATTATGTACATGGGATATGAGATCTCTCAGCACTTTAGCTTTGGATAAATTTGCTTGTAACACATGGAGGGTGTGATTAAAATGATTTTTGTTATTTAAATGGCAAGCTATATCTAGTTAGTGACTTCCTGTTATAAAGGTAATGGAGGAGGTGCTGCTACTCTTTAGGAGCAAAATAGAAATTTACTTTTACTAATATATTAAGATAAAAAATTGTCCTATGCCAGTGATTCTTCAAGTTTGGCCAGGACTCTTTTGAGAAGTCTAAAAGTTCAAAACTCTTTTCATTAATAATACTAAGGTGCTATTTGCTTTTTCTCACTGTATTGACATTTGTATTGATGGTGCAAAACACTTTGGGTAAAATTGTTGATACCTTAGCAGAAATCAAACTAGTGACAACAAACTGTATGTTGTGTTTTTTATCAACACACTCAAAATAAAATTATACACACCCACACACACACACACACACACACTCAGACAAAGATATATGCTAATTTCCCTTAGGAATGTCCATGATGAAGCAGCAAATGTTATTTTATTACATGTTGACTCTCGAATACACGTATTTTAGTTATTTTGTATGATGAATGCAGAGTATGTGTAAAACACTTTTGCTTTTGCTGCATACCAAAATATAATTGTGCAATACTTCAGCTGCAAGCTGGACTGATAGCAATTTTTCACCTAAAAAGAATGACTGACAAACAAGATATGGTTAATTATACTGAATTATTTAGCAAGTATATTTTCAGAAATGAACAAAGTGAATCTTCCACTTTAGGAAAATCAACTCATAATATTTGTTGCCATGATAAGCTTTGAGCTTTCTAGGTCCGCAGAATTCTATGAACCCACATTTTCTAAATGAACAATGAATGATATTACAAAATCACAGTGTAAAGTAGACCCAAAGAGTTTGATTGTCACAGATTATATGATGTTCATCAATATGGTTTCAGATTCCATATTGCAACTAAATTTTAAGAAACTACCATCTGTCAAGTTTTGTTGTAGTTATCAAAGAAGACTATTCATAATTATATGAAAAAGCTATTAAAATACTCCTCCCCTTTCAAACTACATATCTGTGTGAAGCCAGATCAAAACATCCACCAAAAAAATTCAGATTGCAAGAGACTGGATGCAGAAGCAGATAAGAGTATCCAGCTGCCTTCTATTAAGTGAGACATTAAAGAGATTTCTTAAAATGTAAAACAATGCCATCATGCTTCGCTCTACTTTCATTCTTGAAAATTGTTTTTAATTAAAATATATTATTTATATTAATATCTATGGGTTTTTAATGAATTAATAATTTTTTTTATTTTCTAATATGGTAACTATTGATAGATACAACAAATATAAACAAAAGCACTTTGGGGACCTCAGTACTTTTTAAGACTGACAGTGTCCTTAGATCAATAGCTTGAGAACAATTTCCTTAGGCAAATTATTATTCTTTCCTTTCCAATAGTTAGTAGAAAAGTAAATAAAAATTTTCAGGAGTTTCAGGACGTTACAGAAGTAAAAGGAAGGCAACTCGATCCCTTTTTTTTAGTTTGGTGTTCCAGTTTCTGAGACTTGACACGTCTTACTAAAGTTGGACCACATACTTATTCTCCTAATCTTTATTGTGAATCTTTTATGCAACAAGTATTGTCTAGAAGTAGGAATACAGAAAACAGAATATATGTCCCTGTCCTCTCTTAGAAGGATTATTTAAATATTGGATTTGGCTTAAATTGATAACAGTGAAACATCACATGAAAACAGCAATGTACACTTAGTAGATTATTTCAACTTAGAAAATAGGAATAGAATTATTATCTATTTTATTACCTAATGACTTCATACTTAGCTGTCCTAATAAGGGGTTAAAGCCATACTTTAAAGGGGAATCACTGGACACTTTATAGTTTTAAGTTGATGAGGCTTCAACCAAGAATCATGCTTGTAATTTAAATAAAATCACATACTATGAGTATAAATATTGTATTATTACTTGTTTCCTACTTTGGGGGAGGGCAGCCTACTGATAGGCAAATCAAATCACTCATTTACGTGAAAGGAAAAAACCCACAATTTTTTTAAGTGTAAAAAACAGCTAATATAAGGCTATGAAGTGATGGTAAACTTCACAGATGGAAAAATGCTTTGGGATCCCTAGAGGAAAATAAATTCTTTTGAAGTATAAATTTGAGGAATTGAGGCACAGTCACCTGGGGCCAAATTCTTATTCTCTGTAATTCGAGGAGAATTCCCACAGAATTACAGAGACTTAGAAACTGGTTAGCAAGTACTCATTTAAAGAAAAGTCTCTGTTAGCCAAAGAGCCTAAAATTGCTTTTTGCGTAATAAAATGCCTGATTCCACTTTGATACTTGTTCAAGAATGTCCCTTCCAATGCTGTGTCAAAGTGAGGGCTTGTGTATTTTATTAAAGTGACTTACTTGAAAAATATTGCTGTCCCTTTGCCCTCCCCCAGCTGCAAGTTCCCATGTTGAAGTATGATTTCATAAATTTATTCTGAAATAAAATTTCATTTTTCCTTTGCTCTACCCTTCCCAGCTGCAAACTCCTACCCAGCTTTGTGTTATAATTATTACATATGTTAAAATAAAAACTCATCTTCTCTCCTCACCCTCCCAGCTGCAGATATCTAGCTCTTTTGTGGTTTTATTCAGATTTTTGTTTGTAGTAATATTTCATAAATACAGAAAAAGTGCAGATTCTCTCATACCTCTTTCCAAGCTCACTCGGCTGTGCCAAGTTTCAGTGGTTCTGATTGCTGCCAGTCCAGATTAGCTAAGGTCCTTCTTCTGTTGCAACATTACCTTTACATTTCACTATTTTTATTTTATTTTTGAATTCTTCAGATCTCAAAATGTTACAAAATGAGCATTCAGAAAGAAAGATCATGTTATAAATGTTTGGTGTTAAAATTAATGGGGATTTTTTTTTTCTGTGGTTGAAGACAGTAGACACCTACCTTTGAACTGATCCTTTAGTAGGTAATCTATAATGCCTGTATGTTAAAGATGTAAGTCTGTAAAATCATTTTGGTGGTTAAGAAGATATACCTGGTTCTATCACAGTAACCCTTGATGTTCACGTTTGTTTCCATTTATCAGATTTGCAAACAGAAAATCTTTATTTGGCAGCTTATGAAAAGATATCAAATATAATCAAATATTCCTGATCATAGAGTAAGGAACTGATATTTCTGTTAGATAATCTAGTTTTGATTACGTTTCTATGTCATATTTCTGCCTGACCTTGAAAATTTCTGCTTAACATGTCTAGGAAACTCTTCTATATTATTAGTAGCACTAAAGTAATTTTATTTGACTTATAAATTTTTAGACTATTGAACAGTAAAAACTTGGAAACAAGTGTAAGCCTAATTAGACACTAAGTAAATAATTTGAAGTTCATGTGTGCATGTCTGTTTAGGTATCCCTGTGTATAGGAAATATTGAAAGAGCCTTGGCCCTCTCTCTTTGATCTTCTACATTGTGGCTCCAAGGCAAATCTGATTGTCTCTGCCCTTTAAGATAAAGCCTAACTGCCTTAATATAAGTTACAAGTCTATGATTTACAAGATTGCTTATTTTTGCCTAACACGGGGTGCTTTTTCTTTCTCCTATTAAAAATTCTACTTGGATATCTCTTACTCATCTTATAGTCTAAAATCCTATATCACTTTCTCCAAAAAGCCTTTCTTAATTTCTCAAAACCAGATTTCCTTCTAGGTGTTCCAATAGCGCATCATATTTATCCTCATTATAATTATTGCTGTTCTAAATATTTTTGGTCAGTATTACTGCTCACTTCCCATTTCCACTCAAACTGAAAGATCTTATCTTTTTCACCATCATACACCCAATGTCTAGCATGATAACAAACACAGAATAGATGTGTAGTAAATATTACTTGAATGAATGAATAAATGAATATTGAATTATACATTTTTAAGGTCCCTCTCAACCATGAAATATGATTCTATGCTGATTTTCACCTACGTGGCCTTCATGGGTTTTAATGGTGGTGATCAGAAATTCTCTATTTTCTTTTGGCTCTGTTTTACCAGCAGCTGAAACATAAGCTGGGACATAACTAGTAAAGAGCAATGGCATTGAATCAAACAAGTTTTTGCCAGGAAGAAACGGTCAGGAGGTGATATCGGGGACTAGTTTGGGAAGCTTTCTCACTCTGGGAAATTGATGTTTCCAAAGAAATCACCAAGCCTGTACAATAACAATCAATTGGAATCACCTCCTACTATTCACTGGAAGTTCTAGCAATATCAAGTATGTTTTTATGTATATACACTTATGACTTTATCCACACCAGCTCCTAAGCTTAGCTACACACTAGAATCACCTAATGCCCAGGCCACACTTCAGACCAATTAAATCTCATGATGTAAAATCTAGGCATCATTAGTTTATAAAGGTCTTCAGATGATTTCAGTGTGAAGCCACACTGATATCCACTGCACTTCAGGATGACAACAGAACTGCTGATTTGGAATCACATTCAGATTTACGAGCATGTTCAAGGACAGGCATTTTTGGGTTAAATAATCACCTTCAGTTGTGAACTGTAGCACCATCACACCCAAAATATTTGCTTTCTTTTCAAATCATTTCTTATTTTGTAGTGTTTTTATTCAAAATATATTTATTTTAAAATATGCATGACATTTCAAATCTATGGATAAACGGAGTCACTCTGATTATTTTCAAGAGTGCTAAAATAAATGCTCTATTTTGGCAAGGAAATACAATACATATGAAGAAATAATCTGATTCCTTAGTGCTACTTTGCTTAAACCATAATGATAAAGAACTTAAAATGTTTAGGACCATATGAAGAGAGAAGAGAGCCTTCATTATTCCTGGGTCTATTGACTCAGGGGGATATTAAAATTCCATGTAGAAGCATCAGTTTACAAGTTTAAAAATCATCACAAACAAATCACCTATGCTTTATAAATTCAAGATCTCCCACTGGAGGAAAAAAATCACTAAACTAAAAAAGTAAACTTTCTATAATTGTTGCTTTTCCAAGATATATGCACCCATTTATTTTATTCATTATCTCTGAAGACTTTCAGTCCTATTTGAAAGAATGTCTTCTATTTATGACATCTAAAAAAAAAAAGGACTGTTCTTTTGAAAAGTGTTCTGAGTCTATCGATGTTCGACATGTTTGTTGTGTTAACAATACTTATTTTCTTTCACCATCCTCCTCCAAAACAGATACATTTAATAAGGTAGGTTAAGATTTCCTTTTACTTAGCTCTCAAAGTGATGTACTTCCCATTCAAAAATTGAGAACAATATTTTAGCCAAAAGGTTTTTATTTAACAGTTATACATGTCCTTAATTTTCATTTAATTTGCTTTCTATAAATGCAGGACGCAAACCAAAGATTCTCAGCTGCCTTTTCACTTGTCTTTCACTTGAGTTAGATTGAGAGGTATGCAGTGTGGGTGTGGGGAAGGGGCGAGCAGAGTAAAAAGTGGAAACCACCTGCACTCAATTCAGCCATCAAATTAATCATATAGAATTTAACACTTGACAAATATGTGCAGTTAACATGATCTTGGAGTCATTAAAGATTTCAAGCAGATCCTAGAAATTCAACCCAGACAAACAAACCTTCTTGGTTACTAAAAGATTGTTTTCTGAAGGTATTCTTTTTTCCCACAACCAGGTGCTGCTAAGTGCAGAAAGAGGATCTGAGACCAGGGAGGACTTCCTCCCTGGGGTTTAGTTAGGTTTATAGAAAAATGAACTGCTTTGAAATTATCATTGAGATGCTGAAATTCTTCCTTCTGAATCACTCTATAATACCCTGCCCACATTACCAAAATTATATATTAAAAGATGATTGTCATTAATAACACATGAAAATGGTTTGCTTTTTTAAAAGTTATTTTAATGTGAACCCCCAAACCATTACCTTCTAGCTCTTTAATTTTTGTTTCCAACATTTACCTTCTAGCTCATTTGCTACATTCTAGCATTTTGATTGCTTTCTAGACCTTTGGTTTTTAGTTTCAATATAATCTTAAACGTTGGAATTGTTCTCTGAAGTAATGATTAGTTTTTACCCAGAATGGTGCTATTTACTTTAAGTCTCTTTGCCTTTAATGATACTCATTTTTGTAGAGATAAGCTGTTTTAAAACAAGGGACTATAGTAGTCCCTGAGAAGCTTCCACAATGATTCTGATGTACTGTCAGATCTAGAAACCCACTGCTCTAGAAGTCGAAGTTTATTAGATGAGGCTGAACAACTTCTTGTAAGTAGGGTAGCTTATGCAGTGGAAGAAGATACTTCTACTGATAACTGTATGGTCATAATATAGTTTATCTAATGGTGAGTATATGAATCTATCAGAAACTAAAAATGAAATGCTAATAAAATAAAAATCTCCTCATTTTAACTCCCTACTGAAAAACATCTTTGAGACTATCCCTACCTCTTTAATTGCAAGTTCAGAAAAATAATGTAAATGGGACTCGTGGGGAGCTTGACTGCATTCATAGCATACACCAAATACCACCCAAGGAAGAAAGAATATAATGATGTCGGAGCACCATCAGAATATCCACATTTATTTGGGGAGGACTGTGTTAAAGGCATCAAGAAGGAAGAAGCAGATCTTCTAGGACTTTTTGTTGATTCATTTTTTTAAAAAAATTATATTTTTTTGTTTTCTATGGCTGCTGTAATTAATTACCAGAAAATTAATGGCTTAAATCAAAACAAATAATCATCTTTTGTTTTTGTTTTTTTTTTTTTTTTTTTTTGAGACCAAGTCTCCCTCTGTCACCCAGGCTGGAGTGCAGTGGCACGATCTTGGCTCACTGCAAGCTCCGCCTCCCGGGTTCACGCCTTGCTCCTGCCTCAGCCTCCGGAGTAGCTGGGACTACAGGTGTCCACCACCACGCCCAGCTAATTTTTTGTATTTTTAGTAGAGACGGGTTTCACCGTGTTAGCCAGGATGGTCTCGATCTCCTCAAATCGTGACACGCCCGCCTCGGGCTTCCAAAGTGCTGGGATTACAGACGTGAGCCACCGCACTCTTATATATGTCAGAAGTCCAAAACTGATCTCACTGGGCTAAAATCAAGGTGTCAGTAGGGCTGAGTTCCTTGCTCCAGGCTCTCAGAAAGAATTCATTTCCTTATGTTTTCCAGTTTCTAGAAGCTTCCCACATCCCTCAGCTCCTGGGTTTCCCTTCTTTCATGTTTAAAGTCAATGATAGCAGGTTGAGTCCATTTCATCTTACATATCTCAAACCTTCCTCCCTTAGCAACATCTCTTTCACTATAGCCTGGAAAGCTTCTCCAGTTTTAAAGACCCTTGTGATTAAATTCTGTAATTTTATATTAATTCCCAGATATCCCAGAATAACCTTCCCATACAAAAGTCTTAATTACATCTGAAAGTTCTTTTTGCCACGTAAGGTAATATATTCACAGGTTCCAAGGATAGATATCTTCGGGGGACTATTATTCTGCCTACCATAACATGTGTGACCTTTAGGCAATTATTTTGTTTGCCATGTCTTCTATAATATGTAGAATTATAGAATTGCATAGTGAGGCAAATTTTGAGATTTTATTAGTGGTATTTTGTAGCAATTACATCTGCAGTTAATTCAGGTAACTTATGGATAATGGCAGGATAGATGTTACAGATTCTTAATTGGAGCTTTGGTCTAAGTCATCCTCGAACATTTCTTAGGAAGACATTATTGTGAATCCTAACATAGGTCTGTCAATAATAACCAACACAATTAGTTTTTCTTCTGTACTGGAATAGATCACTAGAATTGTGATCTGGACTGAGCACCAGATACAGTAGTTAGTAGATGAAATATCCATATCTCTAAACACTTGAATCACAGGTCAAGTGAGATGCCCACAGCATGAGAAGCACTTTGAAAATGAGACTGAGTAATGCTAGCATATTCATATAGCCAGTTCCTCACTGACTCTGCTTATGTGGTCTGGAATGGTGGGCTTAATTTAAATTGTTCCCTTTATTGCATTCTATTTTATTGATTCTTGTTCTGTATCTCTCTCTCTTTCAATCCACATAGTATTATGAATATGAGTGATGTTGGACCATACTGTTTCATCAATTCTATTTTTGGCTGTCTCTCATAAACAAGAGTAAATGAAACAAACACGGAATATAAATTCCATCCGGATGAATTTTTGCCCACCAGTGTGAAATGCAAGATTTACTTAATTTCTAGAGCTCTGCTTCTCAAAAGTGCGTATAAATTACCTGGGGATCTTATTACAATGCAAATTCTGATTTTGTAGGTCTGAGGTCTGATATTTTAAATTTTAATAAGGTCCTATGTGATGTGATGACGCTGGACCCGGTCCTGAGACAGGTTAGTTTTATACTACTGATGATATGTTGCTGCCGTGGTAATCTTGCTCAGTAGGAAAAGAATCTGCAAGTTCAGACATCTGGTGTATATGCTTGGCTGAGGAGCCAATGGGGCACAACTACCATCTGTGGAATTATGACCAAAAATCTCTAAGTCAGAATCTCTCCAAAGGAAAATGTTAGGGCAGTGCTACTGATCTTTGGTTAGCGCTCTGTGCAATGAAGGTATATGCTGGTGAGGTTGCCCACCAAGGTGGGCTCTCCAGACCTCTTCAATCTTCTGGGGTGCAAATTAGAGACCAGTCTTGTCCAGAGCATCCAAGAAGTAGAGCGTGAGCACAATGCTAGGGCCTAAAAGATGGTGAACTATGCCTGAGCAGAGGAAAGCCACAGGAAACTTGGTGGAGGTTTGTAGTGGTCCTGATGTGCAGATCGGTCATCTGACCTGGGTAAAAGAGTGAAAGACGGAATCTTCTAGTAGTTGGTTTCCTGCAAGTGTTCCTCAGTATAGTTGGCACACACAGGGAGGATGCTATGTGAAATTAAGGCAGAGATCTCTGAGCCAAAGCCACTGAAAATTGCCAGTAAACCACGAAAAACTAAGAGAGAGGCAAGGAACATTCTCCCTGAGCTCATTCAGAAGAACCCCTTCCTGCCACCACTTTTGAGGAACAAGGTTCCAGTAGACTTGAGCTAAGAAAAGTCTCACTTTCAATCTACTCATAATCCTTTAGTAGGTATCATGAATTATGTATTATTCCTCATCTGTAAGAGTGTTGAATTACCTAATGCTATATTAAGGATTTTTTATGTTATCTAATTTAATCACCACAACAATGCTAAGAGATGGGTATTCTCCCCATTTTATAGGAAAGAAAGAGAGATGAGAAAAGTCAAGTGATTTGTCCAAGGTCACACAGTTTGTAAGTGTCACAGTTGAATTCAAAAGCATCCACATTATTCCAGGATGTGAACTTTTAATTACTGTAATGCTAACTATTTCAACAAGGAGTAGACCCAGAAATCCAGGTCTAGTAGATAGAATATTATAATAACATTTATTTTCAGTTTCTCATTCTTAGGCCATACCAAATTTACTTTTGACTCAACATTTGTTCAGTGACTAGTGGTTTTCTCTTCCCTTTTCTTTTTTTTTACTGTCTTTTTGGCAGTAAAAGTCATTGAGACAGCAAAGCAGAAGCATGTGAAGCCCTCTAGCAGATAAACATTTTCCATTCACGTTTTGAAGAAAACAAAAAAGCTAAATAAAAGAACCCAAATGACAAACACTGTAAAGCCATATCTTTGTAAAAATAAATTTTTTCGGTGAAGAAGTCTTTCATTTGGAAATTAGATCCAGCTTCTGCTTATGGAAAAAGCAAGTAAAACGCAGAAACAACCAATAGGTCTGCTAACTATATAGCCACACATCATCAATACTTAGAGTTCAATAATACAAAAATGTAGACTTAAATGATTTTAATAATTTGTTTGCCTATCATGCACTATGAAATTAGACATTGTAAAGAAACAGTCTTGCAGTTAGTTCAGAACGATGTAATTTAGGACAGATTATTTTTTCCCTAACAGATGGTTTTGAAATTGAAGATTTCTTTTCTTTGAAGGAAGATGGAAAAGTCATTATATACCAAAGTGCAAAAAATTAAGTTTGAGTAAGACTTTCATAAAATGGAACATTTGACTTCCTGCTTAACTTTGATTGGGTGGATGTATTTGTTGTCAGCAAAGACCAGTGAGTTTTCCGGGTCTATCTGGGTTGAGGTCTGTAGTGGTGTAATCAAAGTAATGTAATGATAAGACTTACATGATCCAAAGGACACTAATTTATTCATATTGTGAATTCAACATGTTTATTGTTCTTAATTATTCCAGAAATCATCTTTAATGCATAGATGCACCCTTTCCTTATGGAAAATAAGTAGTCTTTCATTCTTTTAGGTTAAAATATAATTGTTCATTCTTTTATACATACAACATATTGTCTTCTGAGTGAGAACACACTGAATGGTATGAAACATGGTAATCCATGGTCTCTGCCCTCTAGACTTTAAAACCTGTGAATAACCTGAGAGAAGAGAATAGAAAAAGAAAGAGAATGCACTGTTCTTTACTGAGCACCAAGCATCTTCCAGGTTTGGGGCTAAGAACTTTAAATGTATTTAAAGAGTACTCGTTTTTTTTAAATTCTAGTTCTGTTGCCTCTAAAAGCTATTTCCTTAATGCAATCCTGAATGTAGGAATATCATCATATGAGAGTTAAATTGCTTATTTAGAAAATTCTTAGAAGAGAAAAGCCTTTAGGATTGCCCAAATCTCTATTATAATTTCCTGGAGTTGCTGTAACCAAGTAACACAAATTAGGTGGCTTAAAATAACAGAAATTTATTTTCTCGCAGCTCTGGATGGGAGAAATCTAAAATCAAGGTGTTGGCAGAACCATGTTCTCTCTGAAGGCTCTGGGGAAGGGTCCTTCCTTGCCTCTTCCTAGCTTCTGATGGTTGTGAGCAATTCTTGAGATTACTTGGCTTTGTATGTTGTACAGATTTGTGATGCTGGAAAGTGTAAAGTTATAACACCTGGTCTCATTGGGAAATTAAGTTTCTAAGCTGGGAGTAGGGTAGAGTTTTTTCCCCCTTTTGGTTTTTGTTTTTGTTTTTTTTTTCGTCAGAAGAGAGAGGAGCCCTATCCACATGTTATGGTGAGAAATAAAAAGAAATCAATCCATAGAACAGTCATCCTTAGTTTTTCCCTCCCAGGAAGCCTCAAGTCTATGAACTTAGAACCTGTTACGGTTAGTACAGTTTGAGTAATTTTGAAGTTGATGATATTTGTCTCAACTCTTATGAGTTCTGAGGGTAGGGACCTAAACTTCCTAGTTGTATGGCCATGGACATCATACTTGATACAAATTCTGTTTTTGCCTTCTATAAAATGGAAATAATAAACAATGTATGAATACTTTATGAGATGATGTATAAAGATTCTGGCATCATGCCTGGCATGTAAAGGACCATAGGTATTTGTTCTTTTTTGTCTTATGGCTTATATGGGCATGCTATATTACAAAAGTGCCACAACTTTGGAAATCTGGAACAGGGTCCCTTCAATTAGCATATAGAATAGGAAAACAGTAAAATGGAAAATGATTAGTATATAACAGACCAGAAAAACACTTAATAGTTACTAAATGCTTAAAAACATTGAAATATGCAGGTTTAAATTCCCTTTTGCCTTTTGAGTAGAAACCTCCACTATGAGTAATGTTGCATGTGCTAAAAGTAGTTTAGTGTCTAGAGTTACAAAACTGATGATATAAATTTTGCTTAGATCAAAAAACCCATAATCATTTTGTCCAAATGTTGTAAACAACATTCTTCATTCTAATGGAAATAAGTGCCATATTGTTGATGAATTAATCTCTAGTCATTAACATCATTCCAAAACCACTGATCTGTGATTTTAGTGTAAAAGACTAAGAAAGAAAAATCCATAGCAAAAAAAATAAAATTACCATTGACCAAGGACTAAGACTTTTTTAAAAAATGAGAATTTATTGGACATAGAGCCAATCCATTGAATAGTTTCAGTGGGCTTTTATCCTTGACTATTCATAAAATGATACATTCTTTTAAACATTCTGGCCTCTTAATGTTTATATTCTATTTTATCACCCCATTACACACTTTCCTCTTCTCTGATTAAATTTGCTCTTATCACATCTTTCTATACTTCTTTTTGTATTACGTATTTCATTATCACATTTATGCATTTTTGTAGTGAGATTTCAAAGCAATCCCCTTCCTTTCACAAGCATTTATTTCTACCATAGTTATTTGAAGAATTGAAACCTTGACAAATTTAAAATGCTCCATTTATACTTAAAATTTCCATTATATGTCTATAGAATATCAAAATTTAATACGAGAAAAAATACAAAAATTTGATGTATATTTTTAAATTAAATCTATTTTTTTGTTATGTAGTCATATCCTTTCTAACCAAAAAATAAAAATAAGAATTGATGCTGGAGGCATGGTGGCTGAATTTGAAAAAATTTACTTACAAAAAGATACAGGGCCGGGCACGGTGGCTCATGCCTGTAATCCCAGCATTTTGGGAGGCCAAGGCGGGTGGATCATGCAGTCAAGAGATTGAGATCATCCTGGCTAACGTGGTGAAACCCTGTTTCTACTAAAAATACAAAAATTAGCCGGGCATGGTGGTGGGCACCTGTAGTCCCAGCTCCGTAGGAGGCTGAGGCAGGAGAATCACTTGAACCTGGGAGGCGGAGGTTGCAGTGAGCCAAGATTGTGCCACTGCACTCCAGCCTGGGACAGAGAGAGACTCCGTCTCAAAAAAAGAAAAAAAGATATTTACATATGTGTTGGTATATGCACATAATGTACATATATGTATATGTTATACAGATTTTATTTATGAAGTAGGGTTACTAGTAATGCATTCTTAAAACTCTGCAACCTACTATTACCCAGGCTGTCTGCTAGATGATTTCCATACTTCAGTTGTGAGGGTCATAGCAACCCTAAAAGTTAGGCATAGAATTAGCATCAGGAAAGTTACTTGCCTAAGAACACACAAACTTAGCTGTGGGGTCAGGATACTAATTCAGATTTTTTAATCCCACAAGGTTTATATGCTTTCTCTGAAGCCAATCCCCCTTTTATTTTTCTAAAGAATGTCCTAACAGGGATAATTCTAAAGAGTTATATTATGTCCATGTTGGTGAACCCAGTGACTCCCCCATTTTTAACACCTCTGTTGTTCCTCTGACAAATTATCGCATAGTATTCAGTGAGCTATTTTTATCAGATGTAAAATCACATACTTACAACATAATCAATTTGTGAGATAAAAAATGACCTGAAATTTTACTGCTTTAGATGTAATCTTCCTAATATATTCCCCAGTAGGAGGTACTCTTTTATTTTTTCTATAATTAACACAAATAAACTGATTTCCTTTTCTGAAAAGAACATACGGCAATTTTTCTGAATAACTATAGCTATTCATATAAGACTTATTGTGAGAAAATCTGACAACAAATTTATTAGGTGTATATTTTTGGAAAGTATTATTCATACTTTGCAAAATTATTCCGTTTACATAAGAAAGCAGTGAAGAGTTTCATTTACAATTGTTGTAATTTCTAAAAATCACTATTCTTTATTGACTAGAGCTATTGAATTAAATGAGATTATTGTAACTACTTGTTGGCATTCATTTCAGAGATTGTTCTGGAAGGAACATTGACTGCTTGTCCTTATGGGAGTAAAGGAAGATAGATAAATATACCTTTACAACTTTGAGTAACCAAAGTGATTGCAATAATTTGATAGAGAAATGTGGAAACATTTTATGTATACTTCTTCTAGAAGAAAATTAAGCAAAATCACTTGTTTTGGGGCCAGATTGAGAGCTACCACATTTTGAGATTGAAACAGAATGGACTAGAAAAACCCAACACATTCAAAATGCATTAGAAAAATGTGATTCATTAATTTTGTGGAAAAACAAGATATCTTGGCAACTGAGAAGAAAAAGTCCCTTTGCTTGGATATTTCAAGCCCTCCATGCTAGTTGTTTAGCATTCTCCTACCTCACCTACTTACATGTTCACAAAAAGGGTGTTTCATATACCCAATGAGCTCCAGGTCATCCTTGTTCTTCAACAGTTCTGACAGCTTTAAGACTGTAATTCTAGAAACAAGAGCTTGATGTTAAGCATCTGCACATGTTCTCCATTATGTCCTCTAGAAGAGAACAATAGTTAGGTAACACTACACTCTAATGGAATCCATTTTCACAAAATAGGTACATTTAGTCAGTTGTAATTTGGTGGGCAATAAAAGGGAAAAAGAAGAAGCTATTTAAAATGAGAAGGTCAAATGTAAACCTATTAAAGAACTTTCTGAGTAACTGATTACACATGCATGCATAGTTGCAGACCTGAATATGCATTTCAACATACCTGCAGTCCTGGATATTATTGAAAAGAAAATTCAGCATTTAAGTCGCCACGACCTTTGTCATGGATGTTTTGGTCTGTAGAATGAATATGTTCCTGTCTCCCCATTAACTTTTTTTGGATGAAATTGCAAGGAAGTTTTTCAGTTGACATGGGAAAATAAGAGTTGAACTCTAAGGGAATTGAGAAATAAATCTCTTCGGTGACTGGATAGAGTTTTGTTGATGCTCTTGGTGGTCTCCTATATTTTGAGAGGAGTTGAATCTATTCGCATATTGCATTACATGCATGCACAAACACACATAAAACTTGGCTGATAAGTCTGAAAGCCATTTCACAGGATAAACAGAGAAAATAATGGAAGCGTTTTAACCAGGAAAGGATGTCTAGTAACATATTGACATGGAGTAATATTTTATTCATTCACATACTCATTTCATAAATATTTTTTGAAAGCCTTCTACGTGTCAGGTTCTGTGTTAGATGTTAAAAGTATAGAAAGAAAGAGCTCTTATGTTGCTTCACTAGTATAGTGGGAATAGTTATTCTCTGTATTATAACTGGAAAAAGAACTGGAACTAAACGATGGGCACTACAGAGATTCAAACTTGAGTTTTGCATGAGGTAAAAATTTCTAAACATCATAGATTTCTTTAAAAAAAAATGGCTATTTTAAGTTATAGAACTCTCCAGGAGTGTTCTAAAGGCAATTCTGTGCCAATTTGGAGGTAATCCTTAACATTTGAGAGTTGCTTTTTTTCTTTCTACTTTTAGGTTCGGGGGTTACATGAGCAGGTTTGTTACATGGGTAAATCACATGTCACTGAGGCTTGTTGATGAAATTTTCTAAGTTTCTGCTCATCTCAATGATTTATTTTTAACATAGTAAGTAATGTTTTCAGTCAAACTAAAATTAGGTTTTCAGAGTTATCCTTGGCCTATCAAGAAAGGCTAAAGTAGGTGTCAGGCAGACGTTTTTCAGAGAAGCAGGAAATAAATCTACTGGTTGTATTCCTGTCACAACTGCCTTAGGAAAGAGGAAGCCAATTTTGTGCAGCTGTTTTTCCTCATCCTGCTAGTTTGTAGACTAGCAAAACAGATCACCGAGGGAACTATGGAAATCTGTCTCCATCCCATGACCCTGTAATTTTGTGTGTGAGGTTAATCACCAGACAGCACCCTTTCTTTGATGTCTTGGGGAAAGAAGGTAGTTGTGGCCTTCAAGACTTGTCAATTTCAAAACCCATGTGATTTCGTATAGTTTATGTCAGAACTCGAGGCTCAAAAAGAACTTCATTCAAAAACCTTTCTTGGTAGCATACTAACCTTATAATCTGCTGTCTAGGAAAGGTGTTCAGTTACCTTTCCTAGAAAGAGAATGGAATCCTGGTCCAAACACTTGAAACAAGAAATGTCTCAGTTTGTACATTTTCCCTTTGAGTTGCATATTCTGTGTCTTTCTTAAGTTGAATTGTATACTATTTTAAAAATCTAATCTACAAATCGTTGGTGGTGTGGACAGCTTTGTATCTGAACAATGTTATTCTTTAAACAATTCTGTAACTGAAGATCCAGAATGACAAATATACATTGTCAATACAATTCTCTTTGACTTTCATTGCAAATGAAAGGCTTGCAATGTAGACTTTTTGTTGTTGCTTTTAATTCTTCAGAACTATTTTTCCTCCTTTATGATCTCTCAGTATCACAGAATTAAGAGTCTGAGACAAATATTCAAATAGCTGGTTGAGTAAAAACATGGAAGTAAAATTTCTTTTGGAGTGCCCATGGAGAAAGAGTTTGTTAAAGATACATAGAGTCCTGGCCAGGTGCAGTGGCTCACGCCTGTAATCCCAGCACTTTGGGAGGCAGAAGCGGGTGGATCACGAGGTCAGGAGATTGAAACCATCCTGGCTAACACGGTGAAACCCCGTCTCTACTAAAAATACAAAAATTAGCCTGGCATGGTGGGACACGCTTGTAGTCCCAGCTACTTGGGAGGCTGAGGCAGGAGAATCGCTTGAACCCAGGAGGCGCAGGTTGCAGTGAGCCGAGATCGCGCCACTGCACTCCAGCCTGGATGACAGAGCGAGAGTCCGTCTCTAAATAAATAAATAAATAAATACACATAAGGTCCTGTTCTTCAGTGACCTCATTCTGCATATGAAAATTATTTGCTTTTCCTCCTACATTATGTAAGATTATGTAATTCATATTAGTGAGTTTAGTTTTTAAAATTTCCTTTAGCAAAAACTGAATAAGCAAGAGCAAAATGAATTTGTTCTGTGTATCTTATTTCATGAGAAACAACAGAACATTGAGACTTTTATCACATGTAAAATGAAAACAAAACTAAGACAACAAATGAGAAATTGGTGACAATTCTGAGATACGGTTTTAATTTTAACTTATAAATTTTATAGAAAGTCGTGTAGGAAAAAGAATTTCAGTGCCCTAATCAACATATTTCCAATAATGTCTATAGCTAAGAAATAAAATAAAAAGAATAACAAAAATTCTATAGATTCAAATTCTGCAGGCATTAATTCTCAAAGAAGTTGCCTTAGAAAATGATGTTAGAAATATTACTAATCTTAATGTAATATTTAATATTATTAAATTTCAGAAACATAAAAAGGAAACAGATTATAGTAAATTAATATTTTAGGTAATAGTTCAAGTTTTATATGTGGTTAATACTGTTAACATTTTCTGTAACTCATGAAACCATGGTTTTAATAAAATAATATGCCAGGCTTGAGAAATTTTTGTTGTAGAATAACAGCTTATTTTAATAGAAAATTGAATGATCAAATGAGTACCCCCATCTCCCTAGAACTGTTTGAGCTGAGTTAACTGCATGTGCCCCATGTGTTGGCCAAACAGGAGCCCTTGCAGGGCTTCCTCCAGTGTCAGGTGCTGAGGGCATTCCATGGAGTAGCACCAGGACTTCAAAGGAGAGCAGCAGGGGGCCATATGGGCCAGTGGTAGCCATTAAAGCATTAATTGGGAGTTCCTTGCAAGCTCTAATTCTTCCCTGGCTTCTTTTCTGTTACTTACACAGTTATGTTATTGAATTGTAAAACAGAAAAAGAGAATTGGTCTCTACTCCCCCAGTTATTTTTTCTTCTATAGAAGATTCACTCAGCATAACACATCTTTTGGATTATTTAATTTAAAAATTATTATAAACTTTAATTGTGAACTTGTCCTATGTGTGTGTGTGTGTGTGTGTGTGTGTGGTGTACATGTGTGTGTGTGAGAGAGAGAAAGAGAGAGATAGGAAAAGAGAGCGAGAGAGACAGAGAGATTGTTCTGAAAGGTTTCTTTCTAGAAGAAAGGGGGATGACTATGTCTAGATCCCAGACCAAAATTGTATAAGTGAACTCTGAAAATTATGTCAAGTGAATGTAAGCAAACCTTTAGATGTGTTTGCCTTCAGAAATAGCCAGCAATAAACAAGCATTGCAGGCAAGCTCTGAAGGCTCGGCTTTTGTCTTCAAGAGGTCTTGGACAGGTTGGTAACAACCCAGAGATAAAGCTAAATCGCCTTACTTGGTGAAAGTAAAGGATGGTATGTGAACTTAATAGTGGAGAGACTGCTAAATACAGTGTCTGTTGGCAGTTTATAAGAACCACAAAATGCTCTTTAGGTTCTTCAAACCGAATTACTTCAACCGCTAGATAAGGTTACAATGCATGATATTATCATGCCGCAGGCTTTTTCCCTCTTCCAAGTTAATATCTTTGTTTTGATTTTGGCTGGGGAAGTTTCTTTGTTGGTCAGCCACAACATTTCCATTAACTCATATAAATTCTCCATCTCATGACTCCTGCCAATTTTCTCCCTGCCCAGACAGGATAGATAACATTAGCAATGTTGCATGAAACATTTAAAATTAAAATTATTTTCCCCGCAGCTTCCGACCACTGGATGGTGAACAACTTCAGTATTATTCACAACATTCATAATCAAAGCAATGAATTTGGGAAGACTTTTAACTAAGAATTAAAACTGTATACATTATATTGGACATTATGTAAAGGTTTAAAACAATAAAAGAGTGCCAAAGTTGCTTGAGAGATTACTTTTTGATCTTGTGAAATCTAGTTTGCCTATTTTGGCAGCTCAGAGCAGTGATCACTAAGAGCTTATATATATATTCCCCCTTTAATCCCTAATAGCTTGGAGGAATCCAGCAATTCAATCTGTCAGCAATCCAAGTAGCCAACGTATTTACTAAATACCTGTTAGTTGTAATGGAAATTGGTCTTCGTGGATATTATGGCAATGATTTCATGGATAAAGTTAGCTGATATTTTATGGTTTAAATAAACTAGGGAAATAAGTTTAGTAGTGGGTTAATTGGGAAACCTCCGTTTATTGAACATTTTAGTATGTACCAGCCATGAGGCTATGTGCTTTACACATATTATCTCTTGAATTCCTGACAACAATGCAGAAAGATAAATATCATTCAAATTTTACAGATTTACAGGCATAGCTTCTTTCAGTATTTGTCCAAGGCAATATAGTCACCAGCGGAAATTGGGAATTAAGCAAGACTCCAGAGGTTATGCTCTGAACAGTTATTTTATGCTGTTTAATTGAGCCCTGGCTAAAGCCAGTTTAGCCAGGCTTTGAGAAGAGTAGAAATGAATAAACTTGTCTACACTTGAATTGGTTTCTGATTCAAATGAACTCATAGAGAGGTCCATGCTGGTTCTTTGCAGTATCCATATGGAATTCTCATATCACTGGAAAAAGATCCCTGTTCAATCCACATGCAACTCTGTTTCTTCCACAGAAGACACAAAGACACCTGTTGAGGTCCCAGTTAGACATCTATGCAACAACAACAATAGCAACAAGCCCAAAGTGCTTTTGTCTTCAGCCAGGCCCTGTTTTAAGTGCTTTCCATGTAATAGTAGGTAGGATTTCGAGCACATATTTAAATAGAGAAATCTCCCTCTGCTACACTCTGCCCCCAGAACATTAGAATTTACCCGAGAGGGTTGCTGTGAAGACTGAATGAGATTTCTCTATTTAAATATATGCTTGAAATGCTACCTACTGTATTATTGCTTTAACAATTCACATTTCATATTGGCTTAGTAAAAGCTCTGAGAAGTTTTGCAGCAAAGAAATTTGTCTTTGTTATAGCCAGCACAACCCATATTTATTTTCATATACAATCCCTATCTTCATTCACAACTGTCAACATCTCACAGAGCACAAATTGAGGATGGCTGCTCCAGACCTTCAATAACAGCCTGAATCCAAAAGCAAACTTTCAATGGCCAAGAGGTGGGAAGAGGGGCAGCCAGGCATGAAGAAGTGTTCCTATTCCAGAGACCACACTGGAGAAGATGGACTTGGGTGAGAAAAGCTGGATTCCACACGTTAATCAGAAAGTTGTTGGCCAGTGCAGAAACAGTTGTAGAAAAATTTGGTACTTAATCACAGTCCAGCACTTAGTAAACCTAAACCTTTAGCATTTCTACTCCATCCTAATGAACATCTTTCATCTAATAATATGGTGACTCCGGGGCTTAGGGCAGTCTAGCAACACGTATGTTACTGCTAATGATAGGATAAATCTGTTCACCAGATATAAGCTTATTACATTTACTTGTAAAAGTTGTTGGTGTTTCCTAGCCTACTGCTTATCTCAGAACTCTGAGGAAAGTTTCAGCAAGTGACTGTCATTTAAAATCTAATCACCTTTCTGGATTCGTGGGATTATTTTTAGAGTTTAATGTTAAAATGGAAGCAAAAAGGAGTGACGCAAAAGACAGAATAGGAACAACTGCAGTGAAGATCCAGGTGCAAAATGATCAGGGAATCAACTGTCACTGGAGTTCGGAGTATGGAGCTGATGGTGTAGGCCAAATATGAAGCCTTCGAAAAGCTTGTACTTGAACCTCAATGATGGATGAGGTTTGGAAAAATAGAGATAATTAAAAGTGGTATTTTGGTGTGTATACATGCATGCCTGTTTTTTGTGTGTGTGCATGTATGTGTGTATGCGTATGTGTTGGGGCTGGGCAAAAATGAGTTAGCATAAAACGAAAACACTGTGGCAAATTGGGCCTGTGTTCTGGAGGTAGCAACAAGTTGATCTGGCTGCATGGATGTGCTCATATAGGACTTTAGAAATGTAGGTTAAATTCAAGTTATGAAGTTCTCAGAAGCCCAGGTGAAGAATTTGGACTTGTTTTGGTAGTCAAAAGAGTCTCTGAGGGTTCTTGACTAATGGGATGACAAAAAATGTGGTATCTTAGGAAGAATCACCTCATGGTGCTATGTAGGGTAATCTGGGAAGAAAGAGAGAAGGAAGAGGGCCATGGCAGGCAAGAACATGAAGTGAAGCATGATGAAAACCTCGATTTCTACTGCAGTGGGATGGAACTAAAAGAAAGAATCTGAAGGATTACTGGTTATGAGAAAAGGCAGCTGTAGTAGATTGTAGGTGTACAAACCTGGGCAATTCCAAAAATGGAGGATGAAAAAAATTAACTGGAGCAACATTTTATCTATGCAGCACTTCAATTTTGTCAATATACTGAATAATTACATTATTGATATAAAAACTTATTGTTTCATATAAAATGTAACATTTCAATAATTATCTGCTAAAACTCTTTTTTCAAAAGTTTTATAGAGGAAGGACATTTTTCCTTTGCACAAGCTCTATACTCACAGAACAAAAATTTTTCATCTAACAAATAAACAATCTGATGCCTGCTCTACTTAACATTCTGTCTTCAAAATATTCGAGCTATTGATTTCAGCTGCTTTATGACTGTCATTTTCTTCTACATGTACAGAAGTCAAAGATAAAAAGATAGACAGGTCTTTTAATTTTGAGCATCTAGTATACTTTCCACTTGCCCTTTCTGACCATTCTCCATTCTATTCAGTGCCATAGGAGGCTGATATGCATTCAGTGCCATAGGAGGAAATGCATCAGCTGCTTTCTTGCCTCTGGTTGCCAGTTGAGTTTGGCCAATAAAAGACACTAGCTGGAGACTGGACTGTAAGAGGTGCTTGGAGAGAGCACATTCTGCACACCTTTCCACAAGTCTGTGTTCAATGACATCATATTGTCAGCTTATAATTAGCCACGGTGAAAGAATTTAGACTATGGAAATGAGCAAATGCTGCAAATCAGGGTTTTCATTTTTGATAAGTCAAGTTACCAGCATGGAGCTAGAGGAGTGTGGTTGTAGATATTAATCCCTTTGTTTCCCTCTGTACTTGGTCTTCTAGGTTGGTTGTGTATCTCAATCCAAGGAATTCAAAGGGGGCTCTCTCCATACAGCTAACACTTGAGGTTTGTGAAACCACTGTATCCCCTTACTCTTTCAAGCTTAAAGCTTCCCTGCTCAGGTCACCTCAGACTACTACACTACGTCTTTTGTTTCTCTAAATCTGCATCATCCAATTTGAAGCCACTGGCTACATGTGGCTATTGACCTCTTGATAGTGGGACTGTCATAGTGGTGTGACTGAGGAAATAAATTTTGTATTTTATTTAGGAAAAATTAATTTATTAATTAGTGTTAAAATTTAAAAACAAAATATATAGTGCAAAATATGTTTTTATTAAACAACTTTATTATTTTTATCAGACTACATTTTACTTGAGGATTTATTATTTGAACAGGAATGGGCTGTAAATGTGAAATGCACACAAATTTCAAAGACAATATAAAAAAGAAAACATCTTACTAATAATTTTATATTCATTTCTGTTAAAATAATATTTTTGCTATGTTGGGTTAAACTAAAGATATTTTTAAGATTAATTTCACCTGTTTCATTTAACTTTTAAATGTGTTTACTAGAAAATTTTAAAATACTATGTGGCTTTGACTATTGGATAGTCCCACTCTAAGCTTTCACCATTATTATACTCTCCTCAAACACATAGCTTGAATATGCCATCAGTTTCCTTCTGTGACCCTAACTAACATCACCAACAACCAAAACAGAACAATCTACTATGATTAATTCATTTTATTCCTTGTGAGCTAAATTACAACGCTATTTTTAAAGAGAAAAGAAACAAGCTTCCTTTGGAATATAGTCAGTAGGCAATATTAATTAGGTGATACTTGGTTTCTAATGATGTTTGCTAAGCAATTGATATAATTTTTATAGTGTGCTCTACCAGAATAATTCTGAAAAATGTTCCCTGAATGGAAGGAAATATTAATATAGTGAAGTAGCTATCATATTCCAGGGAATTTTTGGATAGATTACCCAATTCAACCCTCTCAATAACCTCAAATGATAGAAATGTTTTGAGATACCCTAATTTTACAGAGCAGGAAACTGAGGCATGAAGAAATTACTTGTTCAAGTCACACAGCTGGAAAACATAAAGGCTAAAATAATAATCAGGTTTGCTTGGCTTTATAGTCCAGAATCCTTCTGGCACACTATACAATAAATATTCCTTACTCCAAGGCATTTTAAACACAATTTATGGGAGAAAGTTGTTGGTTTTACTAGATACTGATTTTAAAACTTTCCTCAAAATGTAGGTGGTCTTTAGCATGGCTTCTTCCTCAGACCACATTCCATTTCTTTCTTGACCCCAGGAGTAACCACTTTGAAATAGACATAGAAATCACCATACTCCTATGAAAAATTGCTTCCAAGTGCTTGTCAGGTCACTTACAGGAAGAGGCGAGTCAGAGGTTTGGTGGCATTAGGCCAGTTTGAGCATTCTGCATTCAGGTGAGCCTAGCTTCAACCCCAACCTTGTCTATCCCACCCTGACTTTGATCCTTAATCCCAGTGCTACTTGGCCCATTAGACAGTGTTGTTTTGCCTTTAGGATGCTGAAAAAGGATGAAAACAGAGGCTCAAACATGTAAACTGTACACAAGTCACAAAAGGAACAAAAGCCGTTGACCCTTGGATTGGAGACTTAACAGTGCTTTCTCCTGTTCTTACTTTCAGTCTAGAAATAATTTGATCCTCCTGCATCTGACTGTGACTTAAAGTGTAGTTCTTCATGGGAGTTTTTAAACGATGTTTACACACATGTTAGCACTCATTGCACTGGACTTCACTTCTCCCTTCTTGCTAAATGGGTGTGAAATAAAAATATTTTTTTAAATACAGGTAGACCCTGTACTTGAACTCACGTTAATTTGGAATTGTGCACAGCTGCATGACATTAAACACTAAAAGGAGAGTAACAGGAACTTCCAGGATCACAGCAAAATTGGTCGTTATTTAATGCAAGGAATCTTTTGGGTACATAATAAATACTGTCTGATTAAATGTAACAAAGCAATAAATCATTCCTTTTATATCCATTTTATATTTTTAGTCTAACCTAATATTATTGTGTGACCACCTAGATGTTCTCACATCTGAATGACTTTGAAACTGAAAACAAGGAGTCAATGTTACTTTGAGTTTAAAAACAGAGCTTGGAATCAGGCTGCCTGAGTTCAGCTGTTTTAACTAAAAACCACGTGACTGTGGACCACTGCCCCTTCACCTCTTTACACCTCAGTTTCCTCATCTGCAAGAAGAGGGTAACATTGGGCCGGGTGCGGTGGCTCACGCCTGTAATCCCAGCACTTTGGGAGGCCAAGGTGGGCAGATCACGAGGTCAGGAGATTGAGACCATCCTGGCTAACATGGTGAAACCCTGTCTCTATTAAAAATATAAAAAATTAGCCGGGCGTGATGGTGGGTGCCTATAGTCCCAGCTACGCAGGAGGCTGAGGCAGGAGAATTGCTTGAACCCGGGAGGCGGAAGTTGCAGTGAGCCGAGATTGTGCCATTTGCACTCCAGCCTGGCAACAGATTGAGACTCCATCTCAAAAAAAAAAAAAAAAGAAGAGAGTAACATCATGTCAGTTAGGGTTTTTCAGGTGCAAGAAACGGAAATCAACTTTTAACTATTTTTTTTAAAGAAATTTATTGTGAAGATATGAGGTAGCTAAAGGAAACAAATGAAGAACTGAACTGGGCCTCAGAAGGTATGAAGCCATCCAGCCCCAGGGTTTCAGAGAACAAGAACTTATGCTCATTATTAGGGTGCCAAAACTGGAATCAAAGAATGAATTGAATTGCATTCTTATGCCTGTCTACTGAAGTTGCAAATACCCCAGAAAGAGTCTGAGTGGCTAGTTGGGATCCTGCGTCCCTTTCCTCAGGCAGGGGAGAGGAGAAAGCAGGATGTCCTGATTGACAGCCCCATCAAACTGCAGACCATGCCTGAGGCCAAGTTTTCAAACAAAACATCAGGGTGGTGTTACACAAGAAAGGGACGTGGGTGTTAGACAAGCAAGAGAAATTGAAGTGTTTAATAGACTCCTGACTTATATAATTATTATGTTTTTCAAATGAGATAATTGACCAAGGCACACACAGTGACAGTATATATGTTATTAATAAAGATAATTCTTGAAAATTATAATTAGAAAGAGCTCACAATCTGGTTTATTCTTCTCTACTAAGAATAATCATGTTCTCAAAGATCATATTTTATACACAGCCACTTGCATACACACATATATGTATATGAATATGGATTATTTAAAACAGAACATTTTATAACAGAACATTTTAATATTGTGCTAACTAGGTGGAGATATATGAAAAACAAAGTAAGTATAATTATGCCTCAAATAGTTAGCATGCAATTATTTAATTAAAAAATCTGCCTTTGCTATTTCAAACATAAGCCAACAATAAATCCCACACCATCTATTTTAGTTATGGTAAATCATAGTTGTATGTGGTCATGATTATGGCTAATAGTGGGATAAAGTATTTAATTTTAGAATATGAATGAAATACACTCTTGTTGACATTTTATGCATGACAGTCTGGGAACAATAGGGGGAGAGCTAGCAGCTCTGTGATATAAATCCCCCTACAGAGAGAATAGTAAAGAAAGAATAATAAATCAAGGATTCTGATTGTTAATGATGGTTTTAGAAGCTCAGGCTCTCCATATTTAGAATGTACCAGCTGCTTCGAATTAGGAAGACTGTAGGCTCTTCTGACATGAGTTCATTGATGATGGTGTGTGTGTGTGTGATGTGAATGAGTCACTCTAGTTACATGTAACAGAAAATCTAGAACACTTCCCTGAACTATTAGTTTATGAGGAATAAACTGTTATTCCACACTATGATTGCCAATCTGCATTAAAATTTGTAGCTTTTTAAAGAACATTAAGAGATTATATATTTAGCACTTTGTCTGAAATTGCTTATAGACTGCATGACAACACCAAAACTTAAAAGGGAGGAACTCTGTATATCTTTTTAACTTCTGCTTTCACTTCACAACAGACAATGACTTCCATTCAACTAAACAATTAGCCCCGTCAAAGCAAGTCCTCAAACAATTAAGACTCAAAGTTATTCTCTCAGAAATCTTTAATAAAAAGCAAAATATTTATAAAACATGAAGAAGGAGGGAACTAGAGTATGCCCTTTGCTTCTTAACATGCCTCCAGGAAGAGAAACTCCTAGTGCGCTGACAGTGGCCATTTAGCGTCAAAATACAGTGGCTGTCAAAACTTCAGGGAATTCTGGAAATAAATAGAAGTTGAAGGAAATTTAAAATTGTGCCATTTTATTATTACACTGTGTGCAGCACACTGTGGGCATTAAATTGAATCTGAATAACCACGCTTCCCAAGAGGTAGCACTTCTGAGTCACCATTAAGTGGTGATGCCAAGGAGATTAGGCTGGCTGAGATCTGAAAGGTTTCCTGGTGAGATTTCTTGCCTTCCTCCCTTCCTTTCTTCTTTCTTCTTGCCTTCCCTCCCTTTTTGTCCCTCCTTCTTTCCTCCCTCCTTTCTTCTCTCCCTCCTTCCTGTCTTATTTTTTTTCTTTTTCTTTTCTTTTCTTTTTTCTTTTTTTTTTTTTTGAGACGGAGTCTCGCTCTGTCATCCAAGCTGGAGAACAATGGTGCAATCTGTGATCTCAGCTCACTGCAACCTCTGCCTCCTAGGTTCAAGTGATTCTCCTGCCTCAGTCTCCTGTATAGTTGGGATTACAGGCGCCCGCCACCATGCCGGGCTAATTTTTGTATTTTTAGTAGAAACGAGGTCTCACCATGTTGGCCAGGATGGTTTCAAACTCCTGACCTCAGGTGATCTGCCTGCTTTCACCTCCCAAAGTTCTGGGATTACAGGCCTGAGCCACCATGCCTGGCCCCCGTCTTAATTTTAGTTAAACTTTTTTTTCAGATAATTATAGATTCACATGCAGTCGTAATAAATAATGTAAAGACATCCGGTGTACCCTTCACTCGTTTTCCTTCAGTGGTAACACCTTGCCAAACTGTAGGACAATATCAAAACCAGGATACTGACACTAATACAGTCAAGAGACAAAACATCATCACACCATCACCACAAGGATTTCTCATGCTGCTTCTTATAGTCACATTCTCTTCTCTCCCACCTGTCATTTTAAGAATGTTATGGAAATGGAACACTACTGCCTATAATCTTTTTTTTTTTTTTTTTTTTGAGATGGAGTATCGCTCTGTCGCCTAGGCTGGAGTGCAGTGGCGCGATCCTGGCTCACTGCAAGCTCTGCCTCCCGGGTTTACACCATTCTCCTGCCTCAGCCTGCCTAGTAGCTGGGACTACAGGCGCCCGCCACCTCACCCAGCTAAATTTTTGTATTTTTAGTAGAGACGGGGTTTCACCGTGTTAGCCAGGATGGTCTCTCTCTCCTGACCTCGTGATCTGCCCGCTTCGGTCTCCCAGAGTTCTGGGATTACAGGCGTGAGCCACCGTGCCCGGCCCAGCCCATAATCTTTTGTGTTTAGCTTTTATCACTCATAATTTCTCTGGGGATTACAGGCTGTTGTGTGTATCAATAGTTTATTCTTTTTTATTGCTAAGTAGGATTCCATAGTATGCTTATTCCAGACTGCTTAACCATTCACCCGTTGAAGGATATCTGTATTTGTTTTCAGTTTTTGGCTAGTAAGAATGAAGTGGCTACAGACCCTTGAACACCAATATTCTTAGTGGCATTAGTCACATTAGCCACAAGGTGGAAACAACCAAAGTGTCCCATGACAGATGAATGGATAAACAAAATGTGGTATATACATACAATATGAGATTATTTGGCCTTAAAAATGAAATTCTGCTAAACAAAATGTGGTATATACATACAATATAAGATTATTCAGCCTTAAAAAATGAAATTCTGATACATGCTACAGCATGGACTAACCTTGACAACATTATGCTGAGCGAAATAAACCAGACACAGGTAACATGTTGCATGATTCCACTCATAAGCAGTAACTAGAATAGGCACATTTATAGAGACAGAAAATAGAAGTCACCAGGGGCTGAGGGAGAGGAAACGGGAAGTTAGTATTTAATGGGTATAGAGTTTCCATTTGAGATGATGAAAAAGTTCTAGAAATGGAGAGTGGTGATGGTTGCACAACACTGTGAATGTACTTAGTGTAACAAAACTGTACACTTAAAAATGGTTAAGATGATACATTTATTAATACCACAATAATTTAAAAAGTTAATAAACCTGCTACAAACATTTGTACATAGGTTTTTGTGTGAACAGAGTCTTCATTTCTCTGGGATAAAAGCCCAGGAGTATAAATACTGGGTTGTAGGATAGTTGCATCTTTAGTTCTTTAAGACATTGACAAACTGCCAGAGTGGCTGTGCCATTTTCCATTCCCCTCAGCGGTGTGTGAGGGATCCAGTTGTTCTGCATCCTCACCAGCCCGAGGGCTCTCTCATTTATTTTTTAATATAGCATTCTGATAGGTGTGTACTGATATCCTATTGTGGTTTTAATTTGCATTTCCCTAATAACTAATAAGGTCGATCATCTTTTCAGGTGCATTTTGTCATCTGTATATCTTCTTAGATGAAATGTCTCTTCACGTCTTTTGCCTACTTTCTAATAGGATTATTTGCCTTTTTACTGTTGAATTTTGAGAGTTCTTTATATATTTGAAATATAAGACCTTTGTCAGATATGTGGTTTGGAAACATTTTCTCCTAGTCTGCCACTTGTCCTTTAATCTTTTTAATGCAGTCTTTCACATAGCAAAAGTTTTTACTTTTGATAAAGTATGATTTACGATGTTTTTTGGCAGGGTTGGAGGGTAACCGTGCTTTCGGTATCAAATCTCTAAGAATTTCTGCCTAGTCTTAATTTCCAAAGTCTTTTCATACTTTTTTCTTAAAACTTTTATTGTTTCATGTTACATGTAAGTCTGTGATTCATTCAATACTTTTGAGTTAATTCTTGTGTAAGATATGAGGCTTGGCTTAGGTGAAGTTTTTTCTTTTTCTTTTCTTTCTTTTCTTTCTTCTTTCTTTCTTTCTTTCTTTCTTTCTTTCTTCCTTTCTTCCTTTCTTTCTTCTTTCTTTCTTCTTCCTTTCTTTTCTTTCTTCTCTCTTTCTCTCTGTAATATTAGAATCATAAAATATGTTATTAGAGTGGTGTTAGTGTTGAATTTGCTGACAATATTTTATTGATTCACCCAGTATTTACTGAGCACATAAATATTTAAGACATCATCCTAGTTGCTACTATGACCTCAAGGGAAAAATATTGCATAATTTCTGATTTCTAAAAATTTAGAAATTTTCTTTGTTTCTTTCTTTTTTCTTTCTTTCTTTTCTCTTTCTTTCTTTCTTTCATCTTTCTTCTTCCTTCCTTCCTTTCTCTCTTTTTCTTTTCTTTTCTCTTTCTTTCTTTCTCTTTCTTTCTTTCTTCTTCTTTTTCTTCTCTTTCTTTCCTTCTTTCTTTCCCTCCCCAATGTATAGAAGGCGACTATGCTTTCTCCATTGATTTTTTTTTTTTTTGAGATGGAGTCTTGCTATGTTGCCCAGGCTAGTTGTGAACTCTGGACTCAAACAATCCTCCCACCTTAGCCTCTCAGTAGCTGAGATTACAGGTGCATTTCACTATGCCTGTCTTGAAATTTTGTGCATTTCTCTCTCTCTCTCCTCTGCTTTACATAACCTACAGTATTTTCACTGTGGCTTTTTGTTTCTATAAACATAGGTTTGACACCTTTGTGCTATGAGATTTGATGCTTAATATGTATATGAAGACATGAATTTATATTTTCTTACATATTTACCAAATACCTAAATTGGAATTTCACTGGTCTAGTTATGCACTTTCATGATTGTCACATTAGTTAATGAGCAAAAGAAAGATTGAAATATGTAAAATAATATCAGCCCTCCCTGTTATACGAGGTACCCAGCACTAGCAGCCCGGATTCACCAGAGTTTCTTTCTGTTTGGGTGTGTTAGGAGCAATGGAAACTAGGGAATGAGACAGAGGTGACTTTCTAGTTAGTGGAAGGGGTGATGAGTACACTAACTTACGCAAATTCTGTGCACTTCTTTCTTCCCCCTCTCTCTTTTCTCTCCTTATCTCTTTCCTTCCTTCTTACACATACTCAATACATACTTGAGAATAAAATGTTGAACAAAGTATGTATTTGCTTTTATGGAGATTCCAGTCTAGTGATAGACAAATAAAATAACCAACGAAATAAACGAAATAATCACAGAGTGGAATTAAATATCACTTCATAAATTTTTATCCTTGTCATACATTGAAATACTCCAAATCTTAAAATATTTGTTCTGTGAACTAGAATATTAGAATCATAAAATATGTTATTAGAGTGCTGTTAGTGTTGAATTTGCTGACAGTATTTTATTGATTCACCCAATATTTATTGAGCACATAAATATTTGAGGCATCATCCTAGTTGCTACTATGACCTCAAGGAAAAAATATTGCATATTTTCTGATTTCTAAAAATTTATAATTTAGCTGGAGAGAGATTATACATAAACACATAAATATATTATATAAGTATGATATAAATAGGGTGAATGATAAATA
This sequence comes from Homo sapiens, assembly GCF_000001405.40. Classification (NCBI taxonomy): domain Eukaryota; kingdom Metazoa; phylum Chordata; class Mammalia; order Primates; family Hominidae; genus Homo; species Homo sapiens. The sequence goes on along the minus strand of NC_000004.12, from coordinate 106,981,808 downwards.
AAAGTAAAGCAAAAATGGTTGGTAAAAAAAGAAAAATTCCTTTTCTCTGGAAGGATCATGAAAAGCACCCTTGAGTAGCATCCAAAAAGATGGGCTTTGCAGTAAACCTGAAAAGATAGGTAGGATTTCAAATAGGCAAAGTCCACAGAGGAGACAATGGGAAGTAAATGAGAAGATGATTGCCCTATGAAAGGCTCAGCATGGAGAGAGAAGGAGGATCTTCTGGTTCAGAGAATGACAAAAGGACTAATTTGGCATTATAGTTAAAAAGGGGGAAATTCAAATATGAAGGGAACAAGCATATGGTAATGCATTTTGAATGCTGGTGGAAAGCTACCTATTTGTACTTAGATGCTATACTCAACCATAGTTTCCAAAGCCATTCAAAGATACAGGCTTTAAATAAGAGGGGAAAATGTTTTCATCTGGGCAGTTTATTTTCAATATGTTAGACTGAAGAATGGAGAAAATGTATTGCTTTCTAAGAAAAATCTTTATTTTCCCAATTAAAGGCTAGAAATATTTATTTGCATATTGTGTCAATTATGAAATTATAATATTTTTATCATTAATTTCTTTTTTTTCCTTCAATTTAGACCACCCCTTCAAGTATCTTTAGGGCACAATTTTGCTTTACTCTGAGTCCCTTTTTCTCCCCCATATAGGTTGACCTCTAATGATTTAATAGCAAAGTCAATCAACACTTTAAACAGGCTTTAAATGACTTTATTATATGACACGTGGGCAAAATTATCAGCAAATTCCAGTTACTTTTTCATTTGGGCAGCAGTAGTAAATTCTTGCTCATGACACTTGCCTTCTTCGGGTGGAGGGATAATAATAATGCTTATTTCATATTGTTGTTGTAAGGACAAAGTGAGACCATGTTTGTGAGTTTTTAAAAAATTTGGTAGCACTCAAATCTAATATTATTATAAAATAAACTTTTGGTGGATTGGACTACCCTTTATAGATTGTTCATTCTCCAAGTGCCTTCATAGCTGGCATGTAGCACTTAGTTATTATTGGTAACATTATTGAAAATAGCAACAATATGACAGTGCATTTAATTTCCTTTACACATGAAACCTGCTTAATAAGCATGTTGACAAATAAACAGATAATGCTCTATGAACTTTAGCTTGCAGCGAATTCAGCATGTATTATCTTATTTAACCATAATAAATCATCCAGTATAGAAAAATTGTATTACTTACATCCAAAACAAACAAACAAAGAAAATTCTCACAGAACTATTACTTGTTATACTTTTGGGATGAGTTATCTAACATAATGCAGAATAAGAGTTAAATTACATATCTTCCATTGGCTTTACTTTGTCTAAGCAAACATAATACACATTATATAATAGTTAATATATAATATGCAGAAATGTTATGAAGCATAATTAAGTTTAGAAGATTTGAGCCTAAACATTTACATGTGACTTTTGATAACATATTGATAGACATATGCATATACCTGTGTATATATGTACATACACATAGATATCTATAGATATAAATTAATATATGTAAGTATATAGATGTGTAGATAGTAAAGATATATAACCATATAGTCTAAGTTGAAATCAATAATACTAGTGCTTCAGATGTACTGAGTTTCAAAGCATATTGATAGTGAAACAAAACATAATAAAACAAAATAAACATGTCTAGCTATATAGCAATTGCCTTGTTTAAATTAAAACTTTATTTCAGAGCTCTTCTAGCATACCATTTGAGAGAAGTTTTCAGTAATATAAGTTGGTATAGCAGTAACCATGATATGGACACCAAAATGATGTTTTAGAAGTTTTATGTGTATGTTTGTGAATGAGTAATTTAGACTTATTGTAGTAAACTATTTAAAGTGACCAGTATTATGAATTGCCCCCTTATGAATCTATTTGACCACTTATAAAAGTCTTGTGTGGTTCAATGTCATGGCTGAGCAAACAAACAAACACCTGGATACTGTGATGTATGAGAAAAGACAGAAACTGCATCTGTGCCTGAGTGCAGCGAGTTTGAGTAAGTCGGTAGTAAGGCTGGGAATAGCACAGCATCTGCATGTGTGTTACACACTCAGCAGAGCTGATCCTGAACACGTGCAAGCCCTCATGATTTTGGCCATGGTCAGCAACACTGTCCCAGAGTGATGTGAGGCTCCTTCTAGGATAACTCATGAGTATGTAATTTACCATGGAGTAGCCTATTTATGGTACACAGGAGGATACCTTGCTGTTTTTCCCTCCAAAGTTATTAAATCTTAGCGGCAGTTAAAATCCAAGATATAGTATGATTTTGCACAAGATGACAGGATGCTTCCTACACTCTTCCTGTATTTGAAAAAAAAAAAAAAAAGAAGGATACTAAGTAGTCTGATTAGAACTCAGGGAATGGAAATAATGTGAAGAAAGAATCTGATTTTTTGAGTTAGATGAGCTTGCCTTCAAATCCTGGAGTTTTATTTAACCTTTGTTAGCCTACAGTCAGTTTTTTGCCCAACAGACAAAGCAGTATGTACCTTGTGTGGTCATTGTGAGTATTTAATGAGGTAATGGGTGAAAATATATGAATATAATATCCTACAACTGGAGGCCACAATTCCTTTATAAAGGATGGCCACATTCCTTTATTCTTCAACACCACATCTCCTCTGAATTTCCTGTCATCCATGGAGAAGTTAGCAATAGAACTTCACAGTTTTATAAATTCTGAAAAAAAAACAAAAACAAAAACAAAAAACCTTTGAATGTTTCCTTATTTAAGATTAATACAGGTCGGGGAACTCCTTCCCCTACCCAAGGGAAGCTGTGAGGGACTGTGCTGTGAGGAGTGGTGCATTCCGGCCCAGACACTATGCTTTTCCCACAGTCTTCGCAACCCGTAGACTAGGAGATTCCCTCGGGTGCCTACACCACCAGGGCCCTGGGTTTCAAGCACAAAACTGGGAGGCTGTTTGGGCAGACACTGAGCTAGCTGCAGGAGTTTGTTTGTTTTCTTTTTCTTTTTTATCATACCCCAGTGGCACCCGGAACGCCAGCAAGACAAAACCATTCACTCCCCTGCAAAGGGGGCTGAAGCCAGGGAGCCAAATGGTCTAGCTCAGCGGATCCTACCCCCACAGAGCCCAGCAAGCTAAGATCGATTGTTTGAAATTTTCGCTGCCAGGACAGAAGTCTGAAGTCGACCTGGTATGCTTGAGCTTGGTGGGGGGAGGGGCATCCACCAGTACTGAGGCTTGAGTAGGTGGTTTTCCCCTTCCAGTGCAAACAAAGCCTCCAGGAAGTTTGAACTCGGCAGAGCCCACCGCAGCTCCACAAAGCTGCTGTAGTCAGACTGCCTCTCTAGATTCCTTCTCTCTGGGCAGGGCAACTATGAAAGAAAGGCAGCAGCCACTGTCAGGGGCTTATAGATCAAACTCTCATCTCCCTGGGATAGAGCACCTGGGGGAAGGGGTGGCTGTGGGCGCAGCTTCCGCAGACCTAAACCTTCCTGCATTCTGGCTCTGAAGAGAGCAGCAGGTCTCCAAACACAGCGCTCGAGCTCTGCTAAGGGACAGACTGGCTTCTCAAGTGGGTCCCTGAGCCCCGTGCCTCCTGATGGGGAGATACCTCCCAGCAGGGGTCGACAGGCACCTCATACAGGAGAGCTCTGACTGGCACCTGGAGATTGCCCCTCTAGAATGAAGCTTCCAAAGGAAGGAACAGGCAGCAATCTTTGCTGTTCTGCAGCCTCTGCTGGTGATATCCAGGCAAACAGGGTCTGGAGTGGACCTCCAACAAACTCCAGCAGACCTGCAGCAGAGAGGCCTGACTGTTAGAAGGAAAACTAACAAAAAGAAAGGAATAGCATCAACATCAACAAAAAGGACAGCCACACAAAAACCCCATCTGAAGGTCACCAACATCAAAGACCAAAGGTAGATAAATCCATGATGATGAGGAAAACCCAGCGCAAAAAGGCAGAAAATTCCAAAAACCAGAGCGCCTCTTCTCCTCCAAAGGATCACAATTCCTCCCAACAAGGGAACAAAACTGGACGGAGAATGAGTTTGACGAATTGACAGAAGTAGGCTTCGGAAGGTGGGTAATAACAAACTCCTCTGAGCTAAAGGAGCATGTTCTAACCCAATGCAAGGAAGCTAAGAACTTGAAAAAAGGTTAGAGAAATTGCTAACTAGAGTAACCAGTTTAGAGAACATAAATGACCTGATAGAGCTGAAAAACACAGCAAGAGAACTTTGTGAAGCATACACAAGTATCAATAGCTGAATCAATCAAGTGGAAGAAAGGTTATCAGAGATTGAACATCAAAGTAATGAAATAAAGCATGAAGACAAGAATAGAGAAAAAAGAATGAAAAGGAAAGAACAAAGCCTCCAAGAAATATGAGACTATGTGAAAAGACCAAACCTACATTTGATTGGTGTACCTGAAAGTAACGGGGAGAATGGAACCAAGTTGGAAAACACTCTTCAGGTTGTTATCCAGGAGAACTATCCCAACCTAGCAAGACAGGCCAACATTCAAATTCGGGAAATACAGAGAACACCACAAAGATACTACTCGAGAAGAGCAACCCCACGACACATAATTGTCAGATTCACCAGGATTGAAATGAAGGAAAAAATGTTAAGGGCAGCTAGAGAGAAAGGTTGGGTTACCCACAAAGGGAAGCCCAACAGACTAACAGCAGATCTCTCTGCAGAAACCCTACAAGCCAGAAGAGAGTGGGGGCCAATATTCAACATTCTTAAATAAAAGAATTTTTAACCCACAATTTCATATCCAGCCAAACTAAGCTTCATAAGTGAAGGAGAAATAAAATCCTTACAGACAAGCAAATGCTGAGAGATTTTTGTCACCATCGGGCCTGCCTTACAAGAGATCCTGAAAAAAGCACTCAATATGGAATAGAAAAAACAGTACAAGCCACTACAAAAACATACCAAATTGTAAAGACCATCGACCCTTTGAAGAAACTGCATCAACTAATGGGCAAAATAACCAGTTAGCGTCATCATGACAGAATCAAATTTACACATAACAATATTAACCTTAAATGTAAATGGGCTAAATGCCCCAATTAAAAAACACAGACTGGCAAATTGGATAAAGAGTCAAAACCCATTGGTGTGCTGTATTCAGGGGACCCATCTCATGTGCAAAGACACATATATGCTTAAAATAAAGGGATGGAGGAAGATCTACCAAGCAAGTGGAAAGAAAAAAAAGCAGAGGTTGCAATCCTAGTCTCTGATAAAACAGACTTTAAACCAACAAAGATCAAAAAAGACAAAGAAGGCCATTACATAATGGTAAAGGGATCAATTCAACAAGAAGAGCTAACTATCCTAAATATATATGCACCAAATACAGGAGCACCCAGATTCATAAAGCAAGTTCTTAGAGATCTACAAAGAGACTTAGGCTCTGACACAATAATAGTGGGAGATTTAACACCCCACTGTCAATATTAGACAGATCGACGAGTCAGAAAATTAACAAAGATATTCAGGACTTGAACTCAGCTTTAGACCAAGTGGACTTAATAGACATCTACAGAACTCTCCACCCCAAATCAACAGAATATACATTCTTCTCAGCACCACATCACACTTATTCCAAATTTAACCGCATAATTGGAAGTAAAACACTGCTCAGCAAATGGAAAAGAATGGAAATCATAACGAACAGGCTCTCAGACCACAGTGCAATCAAATTAGAACTCAGGATTAAGAAACTCACTCAAAACCGCACAACTACATGGAAACTGAACAACCTGCTCCTGAATGACTACTGGGTAAATAACAAAATTAAGGCAGAAATAAATAAGTTCTTTGAAACCAATGAGAACAAAGATGCAACATACCAGAATCTCTGGGACACAGCTAAAGCAGTGTTTAGAAGGAAATTTATAGCACTAAATGCCCACAGGAAAAGGCAGAAAAGATCTAAAATCAGCACCCTAATATTACAATTAAAAGAATTAGAGAAGCAAGAGCAAACAAAGTCAAAAGCTAGCAGAAGACAAGAAATAACTAAGATTCGAGTGGAACTGAAGGAGATAGAGACATGAAAAATCCTTCCAAAAATTAATGAATCTAGGAGCTGCTTTTTCTTTAAGATTAACAAAATAGACAGACTGCTAGCCAGACTAATAAAGAAGGAAAGAGAGAAGAATCAAACAGACATAATAAAAAATGATAAAGGGGATGTCACCGCTGATCCCACACAAATACAAACTACCATCAGAGAATACTTTAACACCTCTAGGCAAATAAACTAGAAAATTTAAAAGAAATGGATAAATTCCTAGACACATACACCCTCCCAAACTAAACCAGGAAGAGTCGAATCCCTGAATAGATGAATGACAAGTTCTGAAATTGAGGCAGTATTTAATAGCCTAGCAACCAAAAAAATCCCAGGATCAGATGGATTCACAGCCGAATTCTACCAGAGGTACAAAGAGGAGCTGGTACAATTCCTTCTGAAACTACTCCAAATAATACAAAAACAGGAAATCCTCACTAACTCATTTTATGAGGCCAGCATCATCCTGATACCAAAACCTGGCAGAGACACAACCAAAAAAGATAATTTCAGACCAATGTCCCTGATGAACATCAGTGCGAAAATCTTAAATAAAATACTGGCAAACCAAATCCAGCAGCACATCAAAAAGCTTATCCACCACAATCAAGGTGGCTTCATCCCTGGGATGCAAGTCTGGTTCAACATACTCAAATCAACAAATGTAACCCATCGCATAAACAGAACCAATGACAAAAACAACATGATTATCTCAATAAATGCAGGAAAGGCCTTCAATAAAATTCAACACCCCTTTATACTAAAAGCTGTCAATAAACTAGTTATTGATGGAACGTATCTCAAAATAATAAGAGCTATTTATGACAGATCCACAGCCAATAACATATTGAATGGGCAAGAGCTGGAAGCATTCCCTTTGAAAACCGGCACAAGAAAAGGATGCCTTCTCTCACCACTCCTAGTCAACATAGTATTGAAAGTTCAGGCCAGGGCAATCAGGCAAGAGAAAGAAATAAAACGTATTCAAATAGGAAGAGAGGAAGTCAAATTGTCTCTGTTTGCAGATGACATGATTGTATATTTAGAACACCCCATTGTCTCAGCCCAAAATCTCCTTAAGCTGATAAGCAACTGCAGCAAAGTCTCAGGATACAAAATCAATGTGCGAAAATCACAAGCATTCCTATACACCAATAACAAACAAATAGAGAGCCAAATCATGAGTGAACTCCCATTCACAATTGCCATGAAGAGAATAAAATACCTAGGAATACAACTTACAAGGGATGTGAAGGACCTCTTCAAGGAGAACTACAAACCACTGCTGAAGGAAATAAGAGAGGACATAAACAAATGGAAAAACATTCCATGCTCATGGATAGGAAGAATCAATATCGTGAAAATGGCCATACTGCCCAAAGTAATTTGTAGATTCAATGCTGTCCCCATCAAGCTACCATTGACTTTCTTCACAGAATTAGAAAAAAACTACCTTAATTTCATATGGACCCAAAAAAGAGCCCATATAGCCAAGACAATCCTAAGCAAAAAGAAGAAAACTGGAGGCATCATGCTACCTGACTTCAGACTATACCTCAAGGCTACAGTAACCAAAACAGCATGGTACTGGTACCAAATCAGGTATATAGACCAATGGAACATAACAGAGGCCTCAGAAATAACACCACACATCTATGACAATGACCATCTGATCTTTGACAAACCTGACAAAAACAAGCAATGGGAAAAGGATTCCCTATTTAATAAATGGTGTTGGGAAACTGGCTAGCCATATGCAGAAAACTGAAACCGGACCCCTTCCTTACACCTTATACAAAAATTAACTCAAGATGGATTAAAGAGTTAAATGTAAGAGCTAAAACAATAAAAAACCTTAGAGGAAAACCTAGGCAATACCATTCAGGACATAGGCAAGGGCAAAGACTTCATGACTAAAATACCAAAAGCAATGGCAACAAAAGCCAAAATAGACAAATGGGATCTAATTAAGCTAAAGAGCTTCTGCACAGCAAAAGAAACTATCATCAGAGTGAACAGGCAACCTATAGTATGGGAGAAAATTTTTGCAATCTCTCTGTCTGACAAAGGGCTAATCTCCAGAAGCTACAGGGAACTTAAACAAATTTACAAGAAAAAAACAAAAACCCCATCAAAAAGTGTGTGAAGGTTATGAAGAGACACTTCTCAAAAGAAGACATTTATGTGGCCAACAAACAGGAAAAAAAGCTCATCATCACTGGTCATTAGAGAAATGCAAATCAAAGCCAAAATTAGATACTGTCTCACTCCAGTTAGAATGGCAATCATTAAAAAGTCAGGAAACAACAGATGCTGGAGAGAATGTGGAGAAATGGGAACACTTTTACACTGTTGGTGGGAGTGTTAATTAGTTCAACCATTGTGGAAGACAGTGTGGTGATTCCTCAAGGATCTAGAACCAGAAATACCATTTGACCCAGCAGTCCCATTACTGGGTATATACCCAAAGGATTATAAATCATTCAACTATAAAGACACATGTACTTGATTTATTGCAGCACTATTCACAATGGCAGAGACTTGGAACCAACCCAAATGCCCATCAATGATAGAGTGGATAAAGACAATGTGGCACATATACACCATGGAATACTACGCAGCCATAAAAAAGGATGAGTTCATGTCCTTTGCAGGGACATGGATGAAGCTGGAAACCATCATTCTCAGCAAAGTAACACAGGAACAGAAAACAAAACACCATGTGTTCTCACTCATAAGTAGGAGTGGAACAATGAGAACACATGGACCCAGAGAAGGGAACATCACTCACTGGGGCCTGTAGTGGGGTGGAAGGGTCAGAGAGGAATAGCATTAGGAGAAATACCTAATGTAAATGACAGATTGGTGGGTGCAGGAAACCATCATGGCACATGCATACCTATGTAACAAACCTGCACATTCTGCAAATGTATCTGAGAACTTAAAGTATAAAACAAAAAGATTAATATGAAGTCATATGACAAGAATATAATAGCTTCTCATACATTGGTACTCATGGCCTAAAGCTAGACACTGTTCTAAGAACTTTATATAAGTTGTGATTTTAATCCTTGCATTAATAAATATCCTATCCGGTAAATTTTATTGCAAGCCCATTTTGCAGATTGTTGTCATAATCATGAGGGAAAAAGTGACAACTTACTTTTATTGGCTTTATAACAATAAAACAAGCTCTGAAAGAATAAGATATATCTTACCCTCCTTGTCTTTTAACAGTACTTTGTACTTAGGAAGTCAAGAAACAAAGTCTTTTTTTTTTTTTTAGATTTTCATTGTTAAACCTGGAAAGATAATAACATTCCAGAGACTCTCTGCTTCTTTGATTCAAGTAATAATCAAGAAGCTATGTAGTAAAAGTCTATCTAGGTAATAAATGAAGAAGCGAGATACTTGCTTTGTAATTAGTGAATAACCTGGATAAATTTGCTTCTGTAAATTGACTTGTTCATCAGTGTAAAAATGTGGGTGGGGAGGAGAAGTGGTGAGGCGGGGGTAGATGGCACATAATTCTCTAGGTTTCAGGCACAAGAAATTACAGTAAATTATCCTTGAAGCCATTGAATTGCATTCAATAGGTTGCACTGAAAAAAGTGTATTAGTAAAAGATTTATTACAGCATTACTGGCCTGAGGCCTTTATTTATTTGGACATATTAGCTAGCATCACAAATTAATGGACCCTTCATAACAATGGATTTGGAGTACCAAAGAAAGTAGTGTCAGGTTGCTACATCTGGATTATTTTCAGGAGTGGAAAAAGAAAATAATGAGGATGCCAACTAGGCCACCCACTGCAAAATGTGGGTGACCAAATGAGCCAACAGAACCTCTAATGAGTATTTACTCCAAAGGACTCTGCATGTAAACTACTTCCAGACTGATGTGGTGCCAAGCTTAGAGGATTAAGTCTTTCAATGGCTTTTGTTGATTAGCCGCCAAGGCATCTAGGAACAAAGGAGGGGTCTCATTATTAAACTATCAAGAATATTACTTTCAAACAAGAAGAATGCAAAGAATGGATCAAAGAACACTATAAAATAGATGGAAGACAGTAGAAATAAGTAATAGCAGCATCATTCATACTCTGGATGTAGGGGGACTTTGTTTAGTTAAGGCATTATTTTTCAGAAGACTTTAAAGCATCACTTAGCATTTCTGTGGTCTGGCCTACATTATAGGTAGTTGTGTACATGTCTTTGGTTTAGATGATCTTAGAGACAGAGAATTTTCTGTTCTGTACCATTAGAGTGTCATTAATCTTACAGTTATTTCCTCTTCCAGCACTAAACAGAGTGTAGATATAAGCTGTTTAATAATTAGTTTTGAAATACATTGAAGTGAATTCTGGGGCTACTATTGTTAACAATATAGAAAGGAATATAATGTGATTTCCTTTTAAGACAGAAAAATCCATAACACAAAGAAATTGCATATCAAGAGGGAATGGCTCAGTATCACTTAGAAAGTTAATTTCTGGGTTTATCTTGACTCATGGATCCTGTATATCTCCAAAGTAACCCAAATAACAGAGTACATATGGATAATTACATTGTCTATATGTTTACCCAGAGGGAACACAAAGCTAGAAAACATTTGCACACTGTGACAAAATTCAGTGCTCGAATAGATTCAAAGATGGCCACCCAAACAAATGTTTACTTCAGTAAAGCAAAGCAAAGCAAAACCTAATTTGGTATTTTAAAAGTTTAAAACTTAACAATAGCAGTTATTGTATTCCTTTTTTCTGTTTCCAAATGTTGACATTTTGGAAACTTCACCTCTCTAGTCCTTCTCAAAGTGCTTGATTGCATTTAATAGCAAGATTTCTTAAGAAACACTTTCAAATGTGAATTGAAACTGACCACCAGTTTTCCCCTCTTTAGGTTCAAGGTAACCATATGGGTTTTAAGTGTTGACCTGCACCATCTGGATTAAAGATTTTCCAATGATCAGCAGTGCCACTTTTGCTACAATGCTAACATTCTGTGGGCTCAGTAGGCCTTGTACAATATAGCAGTCCACAAACAAGATCACAGTGGTAATGAGATGGAATTTTGACCAAAACTGGAAACACCTATTGAGTCAATCATTTGAGAGGTTCTGTAATAGCAACAGGGATTGTCAATCAAGAGATTCTTGATGATGAGCGTGCCATGGGAAGGGTTATATAATCATGATAACATGGATAATGGTAATAATAATAGCTATTGTTGAGTACTTACTCTATGCTAAGCACATTTCTGGGGATTTCACATACTGTATGTGCCATTATCACTCTAAACATGCAGTGACATTTCATCTCACCATACCTCTAGAGTGATATTGGCAAAAATAGGTAACCATTACTCTCTTCCAGATCCACTATTGCAGGTTTGATGTTATGTGTGCATTCAAAAAGTTTCTGCAGTGCTTATCTATCTCCTTAATTAAACAATCCCACACAGTGTCAGAAAATGTTCTCAGTTCTTTACCTTAATTTAGTTAATCTTTACAATACCCTTGTGAAGTAGACAACAATATTGTCCCTATTTTATAAATGTAAAAACTCAGGCTAAACAATTGTCAAAGGTAACGCATCTCATAAGTGGTAGAACTAGAATTCGAATAAAAGCTACCTGGCTTACGTGCACTGAAGTTTGCTCCAAGCTTGAAATACATGTTGTGTTAAAAATAATGACAGTGGTTGAGTTTTCATAAAGTTTTATCTAACTCATAATATCCCTGAAACTGTATATTAAGAGTCCCTCTTTTACTTCCCAGCCAGGTCTGTAGTTCTCCAGGTCTTATGCCCCTGGAGTAGGAAGGCCCCACAGATTTGACCCGAGAGGAAGGTTAGAATTATGAGGGTGATAGGTAGATATCTGACCTATTTAAACTCTTGGAGATATTTTTGTTCTCTTCACAGCTCCATTTCTTCCTTTCATCAGCCTTTTCCTTTTGCTGCCACCAGTTAATTCCAAAGAGTTTTTTGGTCCCTGCTCTCTTCAGTTTAGAAAGCAGTAGCATATTTCTCACACGTGAAGAACTCACTCAAAATAAATATCAAAAGCTTTCAAAGTTTACAGGCCAGGGACCAAAAAAAAAATTAGAGAGGAGTGAAAATATGTCAGGGGAAAAGAATATCACTCCTGTCTTTTTTTAAACACTGTCCTCTTCTTCTCCTTTTAAATACTACACTTGGTGCAAGTTACTTATTAATTTTCAGAGTAAATTTTTTTTTCTGTTTAACTGTGGAGTCAGCATGGGGCTTTTCTGAATAGAGGACTGGGAAGCATAGGAAGTGATAGATCAACAGAGAGAACCATTAGTACTACAGAGAGAATCCCAGAAAAATAGTCATGAATACAGAGAGGTGGGAGCATCTGAGATGAGCCCTGAGTATGTGAGATGAGAGATGAGAGATGAGAGAGGAAAAGGGAGAGGGGAGGGGGAGATGGGAGACAAGCAGAGGAAAGAGGGGTCCCAAACTGGAGGCGAGAAGTTTGAGCAAAAGCAGAGCAAAGGAAGCCCAGCATCAATTCTGAGCAAAGATTAAGAAATGGCTTCTTTGAGGTCATTGATTCCTAAATTAGAAAAAAAAAAGCATAAATCAACTTCATTCTTCAGGAACTTAGCACTTAATTCCAGAAAGAACTGGGATGTACTTTTGCTCAAATGCTAAAATTTCTTTTTCAGTACTTTTGTTTTACTTTCCGCATGCCTATAAATTGACCAGGTATGCCTTAGTTATGCTTCTGTGAAATCCAAACTAGCAACACAGGAAAGGGAGGAAGAATATGACTGTGTATCTTGAGGGAATGTCTTTTTGTCTTCTTTTGGGTTGAGGAGTCAATAATATTAGCTGCTTTCCTCTTGACCTGAAGGAACTATGAGGAGAGCCAGCCCTTTAATTTTCTCTCAGCCACATGTGTGACAACCACTTGGGAATCTTACCAACTCATTCAAAACCAAACTGTCCAGAACGCCATATGGAAAATGAAGACTCAATTACTTCATTATGCAGTGCATTTTATGCATAAATAAAATTCCCACTATCTGTTAGGCGCACTGTGTCACAGAAACTTTACTTAAAAGTAAATATAATGTTTGCAATAATTTTAAGAATATATAAAGCATGGTCTCATTATTTTGATTCTTACTTGGAATCTAATGAAAATTAAGACATTCCCAGTGGAGACAGAGTAAAAGGACATGCGTGCACATACATGATATATGCCTACACACACACGTTCACATGAATGTGTTAATATTCTGGAGAGAAGGCTTGTGTGAGAACTGGTTACATCACCTTAAGCAAGTTGATTATCCTGGGCTTATCATCCCCATCTATAAAAATGGCAATAACGACCAAAATGAGATTACCTGGGATGTTTTGGAGAAAGTTCAAGGAGCCACGGTAGTAGATGGGGAATTGATTTGACTTGTCTCTAAATCCTATGCCTCTGCTGTGTCTCACTCTCTGATGTTTCCTTCCTTCTCCCCTTTTTCCCTCTCTGCCTACATTCCTTCCTGCATTCATTCCTTCCATCCTTTTTTTTGTCTCTTCCTTCCTTCCTCCCTCCTTCCCTCTCTTTTCTCCACCTTTCTCCCTTCCTCCTTTTCCCTTCCTTTCTCTCCCCCTTTCTTCATTCCTCCGTTTTCTCCCTTCCTTTTTTCCTTCCTTCCTGCCTTCATCTCTCCATCTCCTCTCTTACTACCTTTCTACTTTTCTCTTCATTCCTTTCTTTCTTTGTTTTCTCTCTTTCTTCCTTCCTTCCACCCCTCTCTCCATCCCTTAACCTGCCTCTCCCTCCCTTCCTTCTTCTCCTTTTGCTTCCCTCCTTCTTCCCTTGCCCTCTTCTTTCTTTGCCTTCCTTCCTTTTTTTCTTTCTTCCTCTCTTCTTCTCCCCTCCTTTCTCTTTTACTTGCTTCCTTTCCTAATTCCCTTTCTTTCCTCCCTCCCTCCCTCTGTTCCTTCCTCCTTTCTTCCTTCTTTTTCCTAACAAATATTTATCAGCTATATTAAGTGTCAGGCATTGTCTGCTAGGTACCAGATTTCACAAAAGCCCTGGCAGAGAAGACAGATCTGTGGCATAACATGTCATCACCCTCCTAAAAATCCTGTAGCTTCCTGTTTCTTCCAGGGCAAAGGCCAATCTCTGGAACATGGATGAGCAGCCTCATCTCACACCATCCCTACCTTGCTCTCTTCCCTCTGGGGCCTCACCTTCTTTTTCCCCAGGCTTTCTCCAGCCACAGGGACTTGACATAGGCCTTTTCACTTTCTGGTACTTTTCCTCAGCTTGGCTCTCATTGCAACTAGGTAACTCCTAGGTATCCTTCAGGTTTAGCTGGAGTACCACATTTTTGTGGTACTTCTGACTTTTAGTCTAGACCAGGTTCTTCCACTATGCAGTGTGTCACATTTATTCAGACTACTTATCTAAGTTTGGTGGCTTTATTTTATTAATTGCTATCTACTCCACAAAATAGTAAGCTCCCTAAAAGCAAATGTTGTGTTTGTCTTCTCCCACCACTTTGTGTAGCCAGTGCCTGACATGGTGCCTGGCCTGTGATAAGTGCTCAATATTCATTAGTTAAATGAATGAATTGATCTATTGAAGAACTTTGTTGATATCCTATTAGTAACTGTAAAGCTTTAAATACAGTTGTTCCTCCTTTAAACTTAAAAAATAAAATTCATGACTCCTATGATATACAAATGAACTATAGTAATGAAGGAAATTGATATGGTTTGGCTGTGTCCCCACCCAAGTCTCATCTTGAACTGTAACTCCCAAAATTCCCACTTGTTGTGGGAAGAACCAGGGGGGAGGTGATTGAATTATGAGGGTAGGTCTTTCCTGCACTGTTCTCGTGATAGTGAATGAGTCTCATGAGATCTGTTGGTTTCAAATATGGGAGTTTCCCTGCACAAGCTCTCTCTCTTTGCCTGCTGCCATCCATATAATTCTTTGGAGAGAGTTCCTCATTGTGACCTTTCTTTTACTTTATTATTAACCAGAAACCTATGGCTGAAATGGCTGTTAGTTCAGAGGCAGCCTCCAGAGAATTAGGACCTCTAGGCTCTTCATTAAGATGCCTATTGTTTAAAGAAAAGAGAACCCAGGGGCTTATAACATGCTGTTTCAAATATGACTATTTGTGAGCAATGATCAAGACATTTAGTTTAGTTTCTAACACATGAGATTTAAATAAAAAATACAAATACATTCTTAGGAAAATTGGAATGGTTCAAAATTTAGAAGAGATGGAGAGTGGTTGCATATTCTTATATATATTTCATTGTGTAAAATGTATATAAGAATCAATGAATTACACACTTGTCTGTAAACTTGAAGTCTGATTCCAAAGCAAAAAAACATTTATTATTCTTCAGAGAAAGAGTGGTACATCACAAAAGCCAACTTTTTTAGCAGAGTCACAATTATTGCATCAAATTACGAGGTGGTTATTCTATGATTTCAAACACCTCATGAGCACAAATTAATTATCACTGACTTATTACAAGCGTCCAAGCCTAAGTTAATTTGCAACCACTTTCCTAAAATCCTTTACATTTTCCCAAATTATTTTTAAATCTTAAATTACTTTATAGCGGCTGGTTCCGGTAAAGACACATGCACACGTATGTTTATTGCGGCACTATTCACAATAGCAAAGACTTGGAACCAACCCAAATGTCCAACAATGATAGACTGGATTAAGAAAATGTGGCACATATACACCATGGAATACCATGCAGCCATAAAAAATGATGAGTTCATGTCCTTTGTAGGGACATGGATGAAATTGGAAAACATCATTCTCAGTAAACTATCGCAAGAACAAAAAACCAAACACCGCATATTCTCACTCATAGGTGGGAATTGAACAATGAGATCACATGGACACAGGAAGGGGAATATTACACTCTGGGGACTGTTGTGGGGTGGGGGGAGGGGGGAGGGATAGCATTGGGAGATATACCTAATGCTAGATGACGAGTTAGTGGGTGCAGCGCACCAGCATGGCACATGTATACATATGTAACTAACCTGCACAATGTGCACATGTACCCTAAAACTTAAAGTATAATTAAAAAAAAAATCTTAAATTACTATAAGTACCACTGGATTTTCACTGAGTTTCAAGTATAACCAAGAATTAGTATTCTTTGGAATTAAACAGAAATAATTATATAAATATAAAAAACAAGGGAGGTTATATAAAATTTTATTTTTGGTGATATGTTCCAGTTTTTATTGCTTTTTAAGTGAGAAAACCTGTATAACTCTTGGCTTTGACATTCTTGAGAAACTTATTCCTGCCAAACCTTTAGAAATAACTCACTAAACTCACAAAAGGTTATGTTGTCATAGTTGAAACACGATGGCTAATATTAGTTGTCCCTCAAAATATAAAATATTAATTATCTGGATATTAACAAAATAGGGCAAAGACATATTTCAATTTTGTATCTTTGAAACTTCTATCCTATGTGGTGTTTAAATATCAAGAAACAAAATTTATAAGACATAGCTAAAGTAAGAAGAATGTAGGAGTACAAGAAAAGTATGGAAAGACAAAGATAAATATATTTCTTATTTTACCTTTATCCTATTTGAAATCATGTAGGTTGAGTGATAATGAACACTGAACTATATCAGGCAAAGTTTCCAGAGAATCAGAATCAATCAATCTATCTATCTATCTATCTATCTATCTATCTATCTATCTATCTATATCTATCTATCTATATCTAATCTATCATCTCTCTCTCTCTCTCTCCTATCTATCATCTATCATGTTGTTTAAGAAATTGGCTGACATGATTGTGGGACTGACAAGTCCAAAAATCCTTAGGCTGGAAATTCAGAAACAATTGGTGTTCCAGGCTTGAGTCAGAATTTCTACTTCTCTGGGAAATCCCATTGTATGTCCTTATGGCCTTTCAACTGATTAGATGAGTCCCATCAACATTATCCAGGGTAATCTCCTTCACTTAAAGAAAACTGATTATAGATGTTAACCACATCTAAAAAATTACCTTCACAGCAAAATGTATATTAGTATTTGATTATAGGGCACATGTGATATTTTGATACAAGCATATAATATATAATGCTCAATTCAGAATTACTGGGATATCCATCGCCTCAAGAAATCAACATTTCTTTATGATAGGAACATTCTAATTCCACTCTTAGTTATTTTGAAAAATACAATAAATTATTGTTAACTATACCCACTTTATTGTGCTATCAAACATTAGATCTTATTTCTTCTGTCTAAACATCATTTTTGTACCCATTAACCATGTCTTCTTTATCCTGCTCTCCCCACTGCCTTTCTCAGCCTCTGTTAAACACCATGCTACTTTCGACCTCCAGGAGTTCAATATTTTTTAATCTCCCACATACGAGTAAGAAGATGTAATATTTGTCTTTCTGTGTCTGGCTTATTTCACTTAATAGAGTGCCCTCCAGGTCCATCCATGTTGTTTTCAATAGCAGGATTTAATTATTTTTATGGCTGAATAATCTTCTATTGTATTAATTTCATTAATAATATTCCAGTGAACAAAAGAACAAAGCTGGAGGCATCACATTACCTGACTTCAAATTATACTACAAAGCTATAGTAACCAAAAAGCATGGTGCTGGCATAAAAACAGACACATAGAAAAATGCAACATAATACAGAATACAGGAATAAATCCAGGCATTTACAATAAAGTTGTCAAGAACATACTCTGGGGAAAGGAGAGTCTCTTCAACAAATGAATGGTACTGGGAAAACCGGGTATACATATGCAGAAGAATGAAAAATAGAGTTAGAAGAAATAAAATCTAGTGTTTGGTAGCACAATAAGGTGGCTATAGAAATGTACCCCATTTTCTTTATCAATTCATCCATTGTTGAACATGTTGAATCCCTATCTTGGCTATTATGAATAGTGCTGTAATAAACATGGGAGTTCAAATATCTCTTGTATACACTGATTTCCTTTCTGCTGGGATATATACCCAGCAGTGGGATTACTGGATCATATAGTTTTATTTTTAGGTTTTGAGGCACCTCCCAATTGTTCTCCATAGTGGCTACAATAATTCATATTCCCACCAACAGTGTATGAGGGTTCCTCTCTCTTCACATCCTCACCAGCATACATTATTGCCAGTCTATTGGATAAAATCCACTTTAATTGGGGTGAGATGATATCTGATTATAGTTTTGATTTGCATTTCTCTGATGATTAGTAATGTTGAGCTTTTTTCATATACCTGTTGGCCATTTGTCTGTCTTCTTTTGAGAAATGTGTATTAAGATTTTTTGCCTCTTTTTTTTTTTTAGACAGAGTCTAACTGTGTCGCCCAGGCTGGAGTGAAATGGTGCGATCTTGGCTCACTGAAACCTCCGTCTCCAGGGTTCAAGCGATTCTCCTGCCTCAGACTCCCAAGTAGCTGGGATTACAGGTGCCTGCCACCACGCCCAGCTAATTTTTGTATTTTTAGTAGAGACGGGTTTTCACTGTGTTGGCCAGGCTGGTCTCGAACTCCTGACCTAGTGATCCGCCCGCCTCAGCCTCCCAAAGTGCTGGGATTACAAGCGTGAAACCTCGCGCCCGGTTTTGTTTTGTTTTGAGACGCAGTTTCGTTCATATTGCCCAGGCTGGAGTGAAGTGGCTTGATCTTGGCTCACTGCACCCTCTGCCTCCCAGTTTCAAGCGATTCCCCTACCTCAGCCTCCTGAGTAGCCTCTTTTTAAATCCAATTATTTTATTTTATTTTTTTTCTATTGAGTTGTTTGAGTTCCTTATATATTCTGGTTTTAATCCTTTATCTGAGGTGCAGTTTGCTAATATTTTATCCTATTCTACGTGTTATCTCTTCACTTTGTTGATTGTTTCCTTTGCTGTGCAGAAGCTTTTTAGTTTGATGTGATCCCATTTATCTGTTTTGCTTTGGTTACCTGTACTTTTGAGGTCTTACTCAAGAAATCTGTGCCCAGACAAATGTCTTGGAGTGTTTCCCCAATGTTTTCTTCCAGTAGTTTATAGTTTCAGGTCTTAGATTGAAATCTTTAATCCATTTTAATTTGATTTTTGTAGATGGTGAGAGATGGGCATCTAGTTTCATTCTTCTGCATTCACACACACACACACACACACACACACACACACACACACACACACACACACACACACACACATAGTTTTTCTGGCTCCATTTCTTGAAGAGACTGTTCTTTCCTTAATGTATGTTCTTGGCACCTTTATTGAAAATCAGTTGGCTGTCAATGCCTGGATTTATTTCTGTATTCTCTATTCTGTTGCATTTTTCTATGTGCTCAGGATTGCTTTGGCTGAGTCTTTTGTGGTCCATATAAATTTTGGATTTATTTTTTCTATTTCTGGAAGAATGTCATTAATAACTACCAAACTTTTTAAATGGTGATGAGTGAAAACAATATTTTGAAATCCATAAATAACTATAATGAAATATGGACGAATCTGTAATTTCTACTGTTGACAACATTACAGATACTGCTAATAGTACTGTAATGGATTTTGTACATTCACAATTGAAGGACATACACTTAGAAGTTAGTGAAAATAAAGATGTCCTGTTTTCCCAGTCCAGTTCAGAACCCTCTGGTTAAAACCAGTCCACTGCTTGGTGAGAAAACTAATGATAGTTTGACAAGCTAAGACTTGAGAATTATCGGTGGATTTATGTTCTCAAGCTTTGCCCTGATGACAAGCATAATAATAGTAGTGGCTAACACTTACGGCACTTATTAATGTCAGATATTGTTTTAAGTGCTTTGCGTATGTCATAATACATCATTCTCAGAAAAACTCAGAGTGGTAAGATTTTACAGATGCACAGAGAGGTGCGGTAACTTGCCCAAAGTCAACAGTTTTGAAGTGGTGGAGGAAGGAATCAAATAGTACAAGATCTTTTAACTGTATAATTGACTGCTGGCCTGTCTGAATTACAAATGATTGTAACTAAATTGTTAATGTCAGCAGCACAAGAAAGAGAAAGACCATAAAACCATGTTTACGAAGAAAGTCTGTGACTTTTGACTTTTACCAGACTGTGTGTGTGTGTGTGTGTGTGTGTGTGTGTGTGCAGGCTGTTGGCGGCTGCAAATTTAAGAGTTTGAAATGTTTTCTAAGGTCAAACATTTTAAAATTTATTGTTATATGGTTGTTTGTTGAAATTCTGTAACCACTTATGAAAATGTCAAGGTTTTAAAAATTGTAACAAGATTAAAAATTTAGGAAAATTAATATGGTGTTAAAACATGGCTACTATAATTAAATATTAAAGTTTTCCAACTTTAATAATTTTGTAAAAGAGACAACTCACAACATGTACCAACTTTTTAGCAGGGTCAAAATCCTTTTTTCTAAAAGATTTAGTGAATTTCGGATTACAATTTTAGAACACATGGACATTTTCTTAACTTTTGATTTTCCAAAGAAATGGGAGGTGAGATGGCAAGAGTCTTCACAAATATTGTCAAGCCAAAATTAGTATTTAATATTAATATAAGCATTCTCTTTTATCAAAATATTAAACTTCTAACAAATAGATGCCTATTTAAAAGCAATTAGCCTCTTCATGTATTAACTTGCAGAAAGAGAAAACTTCAGATAAAAAGAGAGAAGAGAAAGAGCGAATGCTTGGACCCTTCTAAATATGTATAATTGTAATGAATAATAAATATACAGTGACAATATAATTTTACTATTTCCCTCAAGTAGAGCAGGCCTATGATATTAGAATAAAATAATCAGTAGAAAGGAAGAAATTTGGGAAAATATAAACCAGTCCACTTCATTGATTTTATAGTTTAATTTCTCATTATTGTTAAGACTGGCTTGGTAGAAAAAGAGAATTTAGTTAATCAATTATAAACATTCTCTCTAGTTTTAAGTTATAATGAATGCAAGGGAAAATTTATGTATTTTATAACAATATAAATACAATATGAAATATCCTGAAATTTCAGGCAGTGTGTCTTAGAGCTAGTTGACCATATATTTATTGAGACATAAATTTAGTGAGACATAAATTATTGTTGACAAAATGGATATCTTTTTTTGTTTTAACTTTTAATTTCAATAGCTTTTGGAGTACAGTGGTTTTTGGTTATATGGATAAATTGTACAGTGGTAAAGTCTGGGATTTTAGTGCACCTGTCACCTGGGTAGTGTACATTGTTCCCAAAAGTTAGTTTTTCATCTTTTAGTCACTTTCCAGCTCCCCTCTTCTGAGTCTCCAGTATCCATTCTACCACTCTGTATGCCTTTGTCTACTCATGGCTTAGCTTCCACTTAGAAGTGAGAACGTGTGGTATTTGGTTTTAGATTCCTGAGTTACCTCACTTAGAATTGTAGCCTCCAGTTCCATTAAGTTGCTGCAAAAGACATTATTTCGTTCTTTTTTATGGCTGAGTAGTATTCCATATTTTATATATATATCACATATCTCATATATATTCTATTATAGTAGTATTACTATATATGTGTGTATATATGTATATATATGTGTGTGTGTATATATATATATATATAACATTTTTTCTCTGCACATCAGCTGATGGATACTTAGGTTGATTCCTTATCTTTGCAATTGTGAATCACGCTTCAATAAAAAATATAATAAAAAGGATATCTAGATATCTAGTATAAAATGGATATTAAACATCAAAGTTTTTCTTTCTTTGCATAACTAGTTTTATACAGTTAGCAACTCTCATTTCAGCTTTTATGACACTAAGCAAATTGTTTTAAAAATTGATATCTTGAACAAACTCTGAAAGGGCATTTAAAAATTACTTGAACTTCATTGTGTATAAGCTTAATTGAGTATTTATACACCCCAAGGGAGGAAAGGCAACTAGGTTTCACAAGGGGCAAAAAGTATTTGGTGAATGAATGCATGAATGAATGAGTAAATGAACGAGGAGTGAACTTTTGCTAATTATAATTTTTTTCAATATCTTTTATTTTTCCAAACATATTGTTATGGATTTGTTTATATTCCATATTTTAAAAAGTTAAAGCTTTGAAATTTCCATTAAAATCACACCATTCTGTTCCAGAAATGAAGTTACTTATGGGAAGTTTACAAATTTTGAGTCTAGATCACACTTAATCTGTATATCCTCTTAGGCAATATTTGAAAAAATAGGCATGAAGAATCATGCCTATTTTTGGCATGCCTCAAATGGACTCCCCAGATAAATGAAAATATTTACATGAAAGGGAAAATAGTAATTTCCTTGGGTTGAGTACAGCAAGCCAACTATTTCTTAATGGCATGGAAGACCAATTTCTTAAGAATGAGATCAATCAAAAACATAAACTTATATAAGGCAATCAGGCGCTCATAAAAACAGCTTAATAAAATGAGCTTTTGGTGATGTGGATATTTGGGATATTTCATTCCTAATCTACCAGAAAAAACCCTTTTATATGTTTGGAATATTTTCTCATACAGGCAAATAAAATCTTTTTTTAGACATCTTATGATTTCAGAAAGTAAAATACAGTAATTGAGCATGTATTTTTGGTTTTCCAAAATACTGTCTGCTTGATATAATCAATTTTTAAGAAAATAAATTTACACATATGTATTTAATATCTTTCATCTTTTATATTCATATATTAACCTTTCTTATCATTTTGTTTTATCTAAGGAATGGAGATAACACTAGGAAAACTGAATCTATTAGGAATGAGGGCAATTGGTTGAACTGGACATCAAAAAGTAGAAGCAGCTGTGCTTAGTTAAGATTTTCTTTTTCTTTTATGTTTTCTTTCTTTCTTTCTTTTTTTTTTTTTTTTTTGAGATTGAGTTTCACTCTTGTTGCCCAGGCTAGAGTGCAGTGGCGCGATCTTGGCTCACTGCAACCTCTGTCTTCGGGGTTCAGGCGATTCTCCTGCCTCAGCCTCCTGAGTAGCTAAGATTACAGGCGCCTGCCACCACATCCGGCTAATTTTTTGCATTTTTAGTAGAGACGGGGTTTCACCATGTTGGCCAGACTGATCTTGAACTCCTGACCTCAGGTGATCCACCCATCACGGCCTCTCAAACTGCTGGGATTACAGGCATGAACCATCGTAATCCCAGCACTTTGGATATAGATTTTACTAACTATATCCTTCAAAAATACTGCTTGGCATGCCCCCATAAATTTAGACTTACTTCACAGTGCCTACCATATATTCAGTACAGCAGGACTATAATTTAATTTATATATAAAGGGGTGGAGGAGATATAACATGAACGGACAGTAATTATGACAATATCATGCTTGTTTCTTGAATATGGGTGCGAATCTTGTAAATTATGGGTAATGTATAATCCAGGCATATTCTCATAGATCTCGGGTTTGCATCTAGTTTTGACTAATCCTTTTAGAAAAGATTGACTAATATTTATACTTGAGTTTGGGATAGCTTTTTTTTATTATTAATAATGCTCCCAACAAAGATAAAGAGAGTAAAGCAGTCCATTCCAAGACCCTGTAATATAATCTATATATATAATATACTTTTAAAATATATTATCATTCCATCAATCATTTCTTTTGTAGGTCATAGAAACTGCAAAAAAAGTTTTGAAATGCAGACAATTCTAAATAAATTCTCAATTATTTTACTTTAATAGACATGGTCAGCTAAATTTTCTAAAGAATTATTACTCTTGGAAAAAAATGCTAGTAGAGAATCATCTTTTTTAAAATTAATTAATTAATTAATTAATTAATTTTAATTATTATTATACTTTAAGTTTTAGGGTACATGTGCACAATGTGCAGGTTAGTTACATATGTATACATGTGCCATGCTGGTGTGCTGCACCCATTAACTCGTCATTTAGCATTAGGTATATCTCCTAATGCTATCCCTCCCCCCTCCCCCCACCCCACAACAGTCCCCAGAGTGTGATGTTCCCCTTCCTGTGTCCATGTGTTCTCATTGTTCAATTCCCATCTATGAGTGAGAACATGTGGTGTTTGGTTTTTTGTCCTTGCGATAGTTTACTGAGAATGATGATTTCCAATTTCATCCATGTCCTTACAAAGGACATGAACTCATCATTTTTTATGGCTGCATAGTATTCCATGGTGTATGTGTGCCACATTTTCTTAATCCAGTCTATCATTGTTGGACATTTGGGTTGGTTCCAAGTCTCTGCTATTGTGAATAGTGCTACAATAAACATACGTGTGCCTGTGTCTTTACAGCAGCATGATTTATAATCCTTTGGGTATATACCCCTTAATGGGATGGCTGGGTCAAATGGTATTTCTAGTTCTAGATCCCTGAGGAATCGCCACACTGACTTCCACAATGGTTGAACTAGTTTACAGTCCCACCAACAGTGTAAAAGTGTTCCTATTTCTCCACATCCTCTCCAGCACCTGTTGTTTCCTGACTTTTTAATGATTGCCATTCTAACTGGTGTGAGATGGTATCTCATTGTGGTTTTGATTTGCATTTCTCTGATGGCCAGTGATGATGAGCATTTTCTCATGTGTCTTTTGGCTGCATGAATGTCTTCTTTTGAGACGTGTCTGTTCATGTCCTTTGCCCACTTTTTGATGGGGTTGTTTGTTTTTTTCTTGTAAATTTGTTTGAGTTCATTGTAGATTCTGGATATTAGCCCTTTGTCAGGTGAGTAGGTTGGGAAAATTTTCTCCCATTTTGTAGGTTGCCTGTTCACTCTGATGGTAGTTTCTTTTGCTGTGCAGAAGCTCTTTAGTTTAATTAGATCCCATTTGTCAATTTTGGCTTTTGTTGCCATTGCTTTTGGTGTTTTAGACATGAAGTCCTTGCCCATGCCTATGTCCTGAATGGTAATGCCTAGGTTTTCTTCTAGGGTTTTTATGGTTTTAGGTCTAATGTTTAAGTCTTTAATCCATCTTGAATTAATTTTTGTATAAGGTGTAAGGAAGGGATCCAGCTTCAGCTTTCTACATATGGCTAGCCAGTTTTCCCAGCACCATTTATTAAATAGGGAATCCTTTCCCCATTGCTTGTTTTTCTCAGGTTTGTCAAAGATCAGATAGTTATAGATATGCAGTGTTATTTCTGAGGGCTCTGTTCTGTTCCATTGATCTATATCTCCGTTTTGGTAACAATACCATGCTGTTTTGGTTACTGTAGCCTTGTAGTATAGTTTGAAGTCAGGTAGTGTGATGCCTCCAGCTTTGTTCTTTTGGCTTAGGATTGACTTGGCGATGCAGGCTCTTTTTTAGTTCCATATGAACTTGAAAGTAGTTTTTTCCAATTCTGTGAAGAAAGTCATTGGTAGCTTGATGGGGATGGCATTGAATCTATAAATTACCTTGGGCAGTATGGCCATTTTCATGATATTGATTCTTCCTACCCATGAGCATGGAATGTTCTTCCATTTGTTTGTATCCTTTTATTTCATTGAGCAGTGGTTTGTAGTTCTCCTTGAAGGGGTCCTTCACGTCCCTTGTAAGTTGGATTCCTAAGTATTTTAGAGAATCATCTTAACAAATATGGACTATATTAGTTCTTAGATTGTATTATTATTAGCATTTGGAATTACTGTATGTATTCAATAATTATCCACTGATCTTCTGTGTACCAGAAACTGTTTTGGGTGGATTTACAAATAGGGATGAGTTAACACCTAGTTACCCTTAGGGAAATTCTAAACAGCCATAGTAAAATGAGATCAATGTAGCTATGGTAAAATGAGATCAATGTATCAGTAAAGGTAAAAGAGTTCAGGGAGCAGGGCTGAGGGATTTGTTTCTAAGCTGGAGTGCAGGAGGAGGGCGTGAGAGGACTTGACAGAAGGGTAATATATACTTCAAATCTTTACTGGACTATGTCATAACTTAAATGTTGGATTTCTTTTTTTTATCAGTATTCTGGTAAAATAGCTTAGTACCAAGATATGGTTTTTTTATTTGTTCTCTTTATGTTTCTGATTGTGTTAAATAAAACCAGTTGGTATATCTAGATTTAGCTGCAATTTTGCCAAAGGTTTCCATGACCTATCATGTATTTGTTGATCCTTACTAGAAAACAATTTGATTCTTCTTTTGTATTGTTAGGTGTGAAAAGGGAGACTGTGGTGAATTCATGGGTGTGAAAAGGGAGACTGTGGTGAATTCATGGGTGAAATGTTGATGTGTGTTGGGTGTAATTCCATAGGGGGAAAGCAATTAGCCAACAGACACACTGTGGTGTGGCTGTTCCTCTGCCAATCCTACAATGCCCCAAATGCCTGGCCTAGCAATTGGAGCCAGCAAAGGAGTCTGTTTACAAAATGTCTTTACATTACATTATTTTCAGAAATTGTTAGCTGTAAAGATGCTTTACCTTTCCAACTTCTAAAGAAGGGGTAGAAAAATATGGATAAGAAGAGAGAGGCAAAAGGGCCATTTAGCCTTTAGCTTTTGGGAGGGCATTAAACATTAAACATTATAAGAAATAACATTATAACATTAAAAGAAAAAATAAAAGCCCATTCAGTTTCCAGTAACTTATTATTTTTAAGATAATTAACATTAAATTATAGTACATTATGTCTTGTTCATTATTACTTGATTTATGAATAAATCAAATTCCCATTGAGAAGACGTGAAGTTGCCCTGTTACACAATTCTCAAGTCTCTTCAATTGAAGCAAAGCAATGTTATTAATTATGAATGTGTGAGGTCATTGTCCACAATGGGGCAACCCCTGTACATTATTCAGAAATGTTTCCATTCCAGTCCCTACAGATAAAGCGTTCTGTTTAACATTGATGGTATTTTCTGTACAGCATGAACTGCCAAAGACCTGCTTTTCTCTGTCACATAAAAATGAACATTTCTAGCCGGGTGCAGTGGCTCATGCCTGTAATCCCAGCACTTTGCGAGGGCGAGGCAGGCAGATCACGAGGTCAGGAGTTCGAGACCATCCTGGCTAACATGGTGAAACCCCATCTCTACTAAAAATACAAAAAAATAGCCAGGCGTGGTGGCACACACCTGTAGTCCCAGCTACTCTGGAGGCTGAGGCAAGAGAATCTCTTGAACCTGGGTGGCAGAAGTTGCAGTGAGCCGAGATCATGCCATTGCACTCCAGCCTGGGTGACAGAGTGAGACTCCGTCTCAAAACAAAAAAAAGAAAAGAAAAGAACATTTCTAAAATCTGCTTTAGGATGTCATTTAAAATAATGGAGTTGTACATTAAAGAATATATTGTTATCTTGATTAAAGTGCAACATAATAGTCATCTCTTTTTCCTCTCTTATTTCCTAGGCTAAAATAAAATTTTTGATAGTATATATGAAAAAAATAAAGAAGTGATAATACTATTGTATCAGGTAAAATGAACCTGAAGCAAGAAACAAAACAAAAAAAGAACTCAAAACTTTGAAGTTCATATGCACAGTACTAGAACTTTTAGATAATAGCTTGCCTTTTAAATACATTTTCCAAAAGTGTAATGGGCACAGTGGTGACACTGGCTACATCTGGGAGAGGAGACAACTTTCCATCCTGCAGGTTATTTTCTACTCTAGAGCTTATATATAAATCAATGAGAATAATAACTTTTAAAAATATTTCATACTTTAAATAACATATTATCTCATTTGACTACTCAATGACATAGTAAATAGTAGTTATTATTATACTCACTGTGTATTTGTGGGAAACTGAGGGTTGTCCAGTAATTTGCAAGAGATGGTCCTCATACTTGGTCTAAGACCTGGATTTTCCTCACCACATTGCACAGCAGGACTTTTTACCATAAGAAAACTAGAAGTCAAGAGCTTAAGATAAGTTGACGAGAATTATAAAGTAAATGAATAGAAATTTGAATGCTTAAGTATTACGGTTTGTTTCCTGAAAGTTATTGGATTGTGCTGCAAGATCTATAAGCTCTATGTCCTATGATTCTGTGATTCTGAAATGTCAGAAAGAGGTTAAAGTGTTCCACTTCTGAAGGAGAACATCCTGAATCCCACAGATTGTCTCAAATTGACACAGAAAAAAAGTATTCTCTCAGTAGCCTCTGAGCTTCTGAGTGATGGGTGGAAAGAGTAGGAAATCTCAAAGCTTTCCCTTTTCATCTACAGAGTGAAACGTCTGATCTGTAACCTTGAAAACTGTCAAAATGGAATTGATCCTGCAAGTGGTAATGGTTAAAGCCTTCTTTGCTCCCCTCCCCACCCCATATCTTTGTGATTTTTTAAAAGCACTTTGTTCTTTTTATGTAGAGCAGAACTGCTGGGAAGGTATGAACAGAGTTTACATCAGAAGGGTGTGCAAGCTGCCTTTTTAAGTTGGTGCTGTAAGTGAATTTTTGTCTGTTTTATTTCTATAGAGAAAGGTGAAATCCAATTACCCACTCTGGAGTAGTGAACACATAGTGATAGGGAGGGCCAGCACTCAATGCTGGTTGCCCCGGTAACAACATCTCAAATCTTAAACTAACATCTGGTGTTCTTAAGTTTAACAGCTGGTGTCTACAGAAAAATTTGAACAAGGAGTTGAAACACAAATGGGAATACCACAAAATAAACGTGGTTACCTAGGAGGAACACCAAGAAATAACCTAACATAAGGAAGGAAATTAGATGCAACTTGCAAAAGACAGAGACAACTATAGCAGATATTCAAAAATATGGATAAAAGAGAATGTTGTCCCTAAAAAATACATTGAAAGTACTTTGTTTAAGTTTTGCATTATTTTTGATAAGCAAGTTGACCAACATACGAGGGGAAGATGAAAGATTAAATTTTGAAGAATTTATACTAACAAAAACAGACTGTTGACATGCTAACCAGCTAACCATGTGAACCAAACCTGATTCCCAGTTCAGCCTCTTGACCATTCATGATAAGGTGTTTGATGATCAGAAAATGCCCAGATCTTTCCCTAGAAGTAGTTGACCAATGACTTCTAGTTTTTTATTTCTATACAGTAAATTAAACATATTATCATTATATTTTAAGATTTGGAGGCTATTTTTATTTTTGAGAAGGCTGCTTACTTTATGGACTCACTGAATATGTATTGACATTGAAGTAGCCCTCATTTTAAATCATGACCTTAATATAAATAAAGAATTTTGGCATCAATATAACTTATCATTTTGAAGGAGATAGGATTTGATTAATTATGAAATGTTGTAAATAGAAAGGCACAGTGAAGATTCTTAACCTTCATCTCGTTTAAGTTGGAAAATTCAAGATGCCAGTTTCTATGGCTTAAGAAAGTTCTGCTATACCTACTATCATGCTAGGTGATATCAGTATAGCTGAAATAAAAATAGGTTCTTTTCTATAAGGAAATTAACTAAAGCCAAGAGGGTACTTTTTGGAGTTTAATATATAATCACAGCATTAAATAAAACTTCTGGACTTAAAACAGCCTACGACATACTCTGAGTTGATCTACTAGGAAGAACTATAAAAATTGAATAGGATACAAAGGTAAATAGATTTTTACTTTTTATAGGAAAGAACAGCTTAGCAATTCATTTTCAAAATGGAATGGACAGCCCCTTGAGGTAATGATTTCACCACTCACTGGAGCCAAGTTTGATGGCCACATGTCAAAATGCAGAGTAAAAATTCTTATTGCGTTAAATAACTGCTAAGCTCACATCCAAATCTAAGATTCTTTAGTTTTGTTGTTGTTTAGTCAATACCACACCAAACAGGCAGTTGTTTCCAAATATGTGTTTCTGTTTTATGGCATTTAACAAAATAAGCAAATTGACTACATTACTTTCCATTTAATACAAATGTTTTCCCAAATGGTAGACGTATCTATTATTTTCTTTCTTAGGAGCCATATTTTGCAGAAAATTTTAAAACACTAAATATTTAAAAAGAATAATTAAGCCCCTGATTCCCACCAGTTAGAACTAAGAGCTATTAACATTTTTGCATACTTGCTTTAAAAAAATAAAATGTTAGAGTTTAACATGTTTACCTTTATTGTCAAGAGTGCTCTGCCACCCACATATAGTTCTAAGCCTGTGGTGTCTGTCATTCTTCTACTTCATGAGGTCAACTTTTTTAGCTCTCATGTATGAGTGGGAATATGCAAATTTTGTCTTTCTGTGTCTTGCTTATTTCACTTAACATAAAGGCTTCCAGTTCCACTGCAAATGACACGGTTTCATTCTTTTTTATGGCTGAATAGTATTGCATTGTGTCTATATGCCACATACTCTTTATCCATTCACCCGCTGATGGATGCTTAGGTTGATTGTATATCTTTGCAATTGTGAATAGGACTGCAGTAAACATGTGAATGTAGGTATCCTTTTGATATATCGATTTCTTTTCCTTTAAATAAATACCCAATAGTGGGATTGCTGGATTGCATGGTAGTTCTTTTGTTGTTGTTGTTTTTTGAGAAATCTTCATACTATTTTCCATAGAGGTTGTATGAATTTGCCTTCCCACTCTTTCTCTCTTTTACATATATATAGAGATATACATATATTTTATATGTGTATCTATATCTTTTGATTAAACATGGGTGTGCATTTATTTTTGGTGTCACAAGAGGCAGGTAAATTTGATATGTTTGTACACTGAAAAAAGTGTGTCAATAAAAATAAATAATTATATTTACAGGCAACAACATGGGTGAATCAAAAACATGATACTGGGTAAAAAAAAAATCCATATACATTTCAAAACAACCCAACTAGTAGAATGATAATAAAAGTCAGAATATGGTAGACTTGCGGGGCTGGTAATATATGGGAGGAAGCACAAAGGAGGTTTCTGGAGGGACTATCAGTGTTTTATTTCTGTACTCAAGTTATGGTTTCATGGATGTGTTAACTTCGTGGAAAATTTAGCAATGTGTACACTTATGGATTATGTACTTTTATATGCATATTATAATTTAAAGTGCTAAATAATTTAAAGTAATAATTCAGGTAGTGAGGTAAACTTTTACAAGAAATAATAATTGGAGTAAGAATCTTTGGGGACTAAAAGACAGAGAACTTGTGCTCAGCCCTCAGCCCAAGGATGCTGGCATGTGGGAATAACGGCGGGAAGATGAACATGGCTGGAGCAGGGTAAGCCAAGGACAAGTAGTAAGAAAGAACCTAGAAGCACTAGCAGAAAGAAGGGGCTTGGGTGTTCACGCTGAGTGAGATGCAAAACCAGTAGATAGTTTTCAGCAAGTGAACTGACATGATGAGATTTCCTTTTCCACAGGTGCAGTAGGGCTGCTGTGTTGAGAATATGGTGTGGAGAATGCTGGGATAGAGGGGCAGGGTGGATATCTTGGAATAGAGTGGCAGCAATGCACACATTCAGAAGAGGCTGGATTCTAAAAACACTTTGAAGATAGAACTGACCAAATTTGCTAATGGACTTAAAGTTGGGAGTGAGAAGGGAAATTAGAATTGCTCCAAGGTTTTTGGTCTGAGCAAGTGCTTTTGTAGACTTTCCATTTACTGGGATGGGAAAGACTGTTGTTAAAAAGAAATAAAGTAGCATTTAGAATATTTCTTGAAGACCTCTAAAGAAATCCTTCCTTACCTAAAACATTTTTGCAAAACATATGTATCTACTGAGACCTTCTTGACATTCCAGTTTGTAACTGAATTGTGAAAGTTGTACAATGCAAGACATGTTTTACACTCTCCAGAAGCCTTCACACAGCAGTCATTGCCTGTAAAGCTCTTAACATAGAGCATGGCACAGAGGAAACAGTCAATATTCATTATTATTATAATTTTTTTAATAATGCTGGGCTGTGTTAACAGTGTTGATGCTATTTCATATTTAACAAATGTTCTGTCTAGGTGTTTGGTTTGGTCCTAATAGATAGACACAACAAAAAGAGGTCATGCCATACTATTTCTGTGATGCAAAAGAAAAATAGATTAATGAAAAATAGAATAGATCCAGGGCTATGGTAAGTTTTTCACTAATTGCAAGAGATAACTTGTTCAATAAAAACCCAAAACTGACTATTTAAAGCTGATTTCCTTCATTCCATATATAAGAAAACAGAAGCCCACAAATGTTAAGTGATATGTGTAAAGCTACATCTGAATTGATGGTAGAGTCAGGACTTGAACTTAAAATTCTGCCTCTCAGTCAGTGACTTTGACTACAAAATATTCTCTCTTGCTTAAAGCCAGACATCATTCTTTATGCTTTTATTTGATGTATGGGCAGAAGATAAATAAAAATCATACCAGTGTGACCAGAACTGTTATATTTTTACCCAAGGTAAAACAGAATCAAAATAGCCACCCACCCACAGAGAAGAGATCTAGAAATGTGTGAGTAATTCAAGTCACCTGGTACTATGAGCTCTGCAGGTGTTTGTAACACACACCCTTCACTGGAAAATAGTTTCCTGGTGTTGCATTTAGTCCCAGTGTCATTGCATAAAGAAGAAAATCTCAGACATCAAAGGAAGAAAGAAGATTAAAGTATCCCAGCACTTTAGAAACAAGACATTGTCAGCCCTACTGTTGACTCTCCTGCAATGCTCCACCTTACCCAACCTCAAACTAAATGACCAGGAGGGTGCACACAGATCTGGTAGGCAGATGTTGAAATATGTGTTGGCTATTTTACAGATCATCATTTATATACCCGTATACACAAAGGGAAAGGGCAAAGAAAATGGTTTTTGGTTGATGCTAAAACATTGGCCTCAACTTAAACAGAGATCTGAAAGAGAAGCAAAAGTCCCAGGCACTTCAATACATTAAGGTGGCTTTTTAATGCATTTAGACTAGGACACTGGCATGAAATCTGACTTGGCTAGTGATTAACATGTATAAAGCCCTATCCATGAAGTAGATCATATAAGTTCTGAACATTTGGAAGTGCTTCAAATAATACCAAAAGAAGCCCTCTTACCTTTGATGTTCAGTAAACTAATTTATTAGACAAATATTTAATGACTACTATATGCCAGGCACTGTGCCAGACCCACGATAGGAGATACTTCTGGTTCTGGCCTACAAACTTACACAGTTAATCAGTTTCCTCAGATGTACTATAAGAGATACTAAATTCAGCTAGCTAAGTAAAAGGGTCTTTAGAAAGACATTTAATTCTAATCTACATGGCAACTTTTAAGCTGGCAAACTCTTTTCACCTACATGTTTTCATTCCGATGGTGAGTTAACCAAATAACTGGTGAGGTACAGAAAGCAAGTACCCCCTACAAGCTGACTTTGTTTCAATATATAACCATCCCTGAATGAGTTAATAAAACCTATAATTAAAGAATAGGGGAATGGGAAATTCAATGTGGTGCAGTGGTTCCCAGAGTGTGGTCTCTGGATCAGAAACATTGGTATCACTTGGAAACATAGATTTTCAGGCCCCACACAGACCTACTGAATCAGAGGCTTTGAAGTTGGAACCCTGCAACCTGTGTTTTAACATGCCCTCCAGGTGATTCTGATGCACACTAAATTTTGAGAACCTCTGGTCTGGTAGAGAATTTGCAATTAGAAAAACTGGGTTCTGTTTCTAGCTCTAACATTTACTACCTGCATAACATTTGACAGTCTCGGAGTAGGCTTCCTCACCCGTAAAACTGAAGTTAATAATGCCCACTCAAACTGCTGAATGGATACAGAGTTTTATTTAGGAGTGATGGAAATGTTTTGGAACTACAGCTAGTGGTTGCATGACATTGTGAATGTACAAAATGCCACCGAGCAGTTTACTTTAAAATGGTTAATTTGCTGAGTATGTTGGCTCAGGCCTGTAATCCTAGCAACTCGAGAGGCTGAGACAGAAGGAGAGCTTGAAGCCAGGAGTTTGAGGCCAGCCTGGGCAACATTTCAAGACCACAGATAGGCATGGTGGTATACACCTGCAGCCCCAGCTACTTGTGAGACTGAGAGGGGAGGATTGCTTGAGCCTAGTAGTTCGAGGTCACAGTGAGCTATGATCATGCCACTGCACTCCAGCCTGGGTGACAGAGCATGAATCCATCTCTAAAAAAAAAAAAAAAAGAAAGAAAGAAAAAAGATAATTAATCAATTTTTTTAAAGCCTACCCAACTCACTTTCCTTATCAGATGGGAAAATATGTACAAAGGTTCTTTGCCAAAGAGAAGGTACGGTACAGATATGAGTTTATGGGAAGGCTGCTCCAAGAGTAACTATTCTTACCTCTTTTCATTTTTCCTGAAAAACTGACAGCTCTGTCATTTCTATTACACAGAAATTTAGGAAGTGTTGCCAAACAATGTGACATTTTAATGAAAATACTATCATTACAGTATCTTTCAAGCTGTTGTCACAGGGTACGGTACCTTTCAAGCAGCTGTCACAGGGTACCAATATTGGGCTGAGCAGAGAGGAGCATAGGCTGCTGATGTGGTTAGTAGCACAGACAGATGTTACCTTCAGATGTCACACCTCCAGGATGTATGTAGATCCCATTCATTCCAAGACCAATAAATAAATAAGTCAAGGCACTCCATATACCTGGAAAATTTTTACTCTGATCATATCCATTCATTTCCCCGTTTGCCCATGCCCACTCCAATGTAATGGAGTTCCTGTGTGGTCCCTGAAAAGACGGATTGAAAGTAAACACTTTGTCAGCACCTGAATGAGTTGTGACTACCCAGAAAAGCAATGGTTTGGTTCTGCCTTCTATAATATGGGTTTCTTGAGGGCAGTGAGGATGTTTTAAACATCTTTACCTCTGCTAAAATGCCTACATTAGTAGGCCTTTGGTAAATCATCAATGGATCACAATGGTTTGGAATGCATGTGTTTTCCTGTTAGCTCTTGGGATAATCTGTGCTCTAGGGATTTGAGGAGCAGAAGGTAGAGCACCTATTTATAAGCCCAGTTAACTCATGACTACCTTTGCACGGTGGATTTTGAACCATCCAGCTTGTGGAAGCTCAGAGGTTTATTTACGCTACCAGAGGTCTGTTCAGCCTTGTAACAACCGCATCAGAGGTTGATTTTTCAACCTCTCCAAGGAGAGGATGGAATGAGGAGAGCATTTTGATTCACAATGTCAGGGTGCTGCCTATGCTCTATGTGTAGGAACCAAGAGATTTGAGATTATGTCTTCAGCTGGCTGCTTCTTGAAGATTAGTTTGGGAGTTCTGTCTATGTTGCAGAGATTCTGTAGTTTTGTTTGTTTGTTTTTTAAGTGGAAATGTCAGAGATAACACAAAAATATAGAGAATAGTATGAGTGAACCCCTATGTGCCAGTTCTATAACTTCAACAATTTTTAACTCATGGCTAATCTTGTTTCATCTACACTTTCAACTCATCTTACTTCCCAGGGATCATTTTTAAGGAATTCTGGACATCATATTATTTCACCCATAAATACTTGTTGTTTCTTTAAGAGAAAGGATATTTTAAAAAATAGCTGCAATACTATTATCAAAACTAAAAATTAATCATAATTCCTTAATATTAATATTATTAAATATCCAATAGATGGAATTCTTGAATTCTTACAAATCTGGAAATTACCAAAGACAAGTGATTACAATTAAAATTTGTAATAAAGACCAGCAGTTGGTCTTTATTCATTTGTAAAATGACACATAGATAAAGTGCCTAAGCAAATTGTGAAATCATTTTGTAAAAAGTACATCTGCAAAATATCTGTAGTTTCCAGGAGCCTGTTATTTTCAGGGTCTCCTGGAGATATGTGCAGTTTGTAAAGAAGCTCTAGCAATCATGGCGTCTGTTAGCAGGAGGAGACTTTTGGCTGGTGAGATAGTGAATTTAAGGATCCATGGCTGGCTGTGGTTATGTGTAGAGTTACTGAACTCTAGTGAGAAATGTGAAATGCTCATCTTCACCACACCCAGGTTATGCACCCAAATTCCCAGACAATTTTTGTGTTATTTTCGGCAAATCTTGTCCTCAATAGAAAACATATTGCTCTATCACTGGAAACACATTTTTGACTTTGATTGGATATGGTTGAGGACTCAGCAGTGAACAAGCCAGACATCAGGATATGGGTATATATTACTACTCCATCTCTGTACATCCAAACATGTTTTTCTAACCATGGAAGGATTCCACTGCAGACGTGAACAGAACACATGAATGTTAAATAAAGTTCTTCCTAGAGCTCTCCAAACTTGTGTTGGAAGTTTGCAAAAGAGAAGTGGTTTGTTAATACTTAGGAAATTCATTAATTTGAAGACAAAAAGCTCTATGTACAGATGCTGTTTAATATTACTATTAATTATTATTATATAACCAGTAACTGGCTGATTACTCCTCTAACTGGTTCATTTTGTTACACTGTGTTTGAAAATCTGTAATTTCTTATTGGGAGGTTCCCAGAAAGTAGGACTGAACTTTTTAGCAAATTTTATGACACTTATTAACATTTCTATATAAGAAAATCATTCTAATGTTTCTTGGAAGCATCACTTGCAAGTTGTAAATGGCTTTCAATGTGCCATTAATAAAAGTACAGTTCCAATTCTCTTTACTGTAGGATGAACTGTTTTATTTCAAGGGCCCATTCTTTGCTTTTTCAAAACATCCTACTTAAAATCCTGGGCAAAATTTGATCAGTGTGTATCAGACAGTGCTGTGCTCTAGAAGGGAAGATGAAGAGTGGTGCATGACCATAACCTTATGCTTTTGATCTGTCTGTCCTCAGACAGGAGCCTGGCTAGTGCTAGGTTTTATAATAAACATCACTTCATCCAATTTTAATGTGGAAACAACCTGAGTTGTTTGTGTGAATAAAGTTCTGGTGATCTCATTTAAACCTAGGAAATGTTATAGTCAGACAGTAATCCATCCTGTTTGATACCTGCTGTGCCCAGGTGTTTCAGTGTCTTTCCTCTTATAGAACAAGGGAATCCAATTACTCTGGTCTCTAGAGTGTACAGCTAGATCTATAAGTCTTATAGACTTATAAATGTACAGTGTACAGCTAGATTTATAAGACTTAACATTTTCAAATGCACAGTGACATCCCTGTCTGGACTCAAAACATGTAGTAAACATGTAACTTAGGAAATTTAACCTAGAAAGTAGAGTTCTTATTTCTTGCCTCTTTGTCCAGGTAACAGGATTATATCATCTTTCTACAAATATCACATGTGAACCAAGCTTATGCTAAAGAAAGTATGTAAATTTCTTTAAATTATGTAAATTTCTGTAGGGTTTTAAACCTGGGATCAGGGTATGAAAAAATATATGGATGTTTCTAAAACTTTAATAAGCATGGGCATAATGAGAGGAGTTGTATAGATGTGTACAAAGATTGCAGACATTATTTGAAATGAATTTGGTTCAATACCTAGAAGCATTGTCTGCCTTTCTGATGAAAACGAACATGCCATGAGGTTTCACTAATTTAACATAGCTGGTGAGAACCTTGTTTAACTCAATTTGTTTAGGATCATAAACAAGTTAGACATCATATAAATGTTTGGGTGGTGACATTCTATGAGGCAAGCATTTGGAAAAATGTACTTTACTTGTTAGGTACTGGTTGCTATATTGCTGTGACTAAAGTGTATCAAGAAACTGATCTCCTTAGTACCAACAAGATGTTGAAGTCTATGCACCCCCAAGATGTTTAAAGGAAGCTGTCATGAAATATATTCTTGATCCTTTGCAATAACACCTCATAGCGATGGTGCTTAACTAGGAATACTATCAGATATGATCCACCAACAAGAAATATATTTAGTGACAAGGGCAAAGACAACTTAGAAATAATTGTTTAGGATGGAAGTGTCACCAGTGCCATCTGATCCTCAGAAACACCTATTGTCATAGCTCCCACATGCCATAGGCTTGAAGAATTTCCAGATGATTAGAAAAGGGGTAAAATAGTTACTGCTCTGAATAGCTATTGGGGAATCATTATTGCTGGGGCAGAAATAATGTATGCCACTTAGAAATGAAAGAGCCTAATTTTCATCACATACAATTTACAGATGAAAAACATGATCATCTGTAGAAATGTAATGCAGAACTGATGATAGTACTTGAAAATGTGGACTGATGGTTCAACATAAAATACTTGCAGCCAAGTTGCTGACTGCAAAAGTACTCACTAGCCAATGTTCTTTCTTCTCAAATACATATAATACTCTTCCCTCTATACTGTATAGGTTATAAATAGCTTTTGTAGGACTTCAATTTTAAAAATCAATTTAAAAATATCCACAAAGTCAACTCTTTAATTTTCAATATTTTCCTTTTTACCATTTCCTGATGGGTTCTTAATTGAGTATTTTTGTCAATTTAATGCTACAAACTTCCAACCACTGTTGCAACAAATTTCATGCATTAATTCATTAGTGGATAAATTGTGGAATGGTAAATTATTCCAGGTATAATGTGGCCACTGAAGATACAGAAATGAAAGATGATTTCCTTACTCAAAGAGTATAGGTAGGGCAGACGAAGAATTCAACAGAGCATAATCTACATCATGGTGCAAAGAAGCATGTGGTGTCAGCAACATGCAGGTTAAATGGAACATCAAGCTTATCTGGGGTGGTCAGCCAGCTTGGAAGGTTGCTTAAAAGTGAAGTCAGTTGATATAATCTCCAAATGATGAGTTGGAGTTGTTCTCATGATGAAGTAAATGGAGGAAGGGTGTTCTTGGCAGAGGGAAACTTTGCAAATGCAATGAGTCCTGAAGGAGTATGGCTGACTAGGGGATGTGCAAGTAGTACCGTACAGCTGGAGTGTATAATACAAGACCTGGAGAAGTAGGCAGGGAACACAGGGTTTATACAGCATATTAAGAATAGACATGTTTCTGGGTAGTCTTATTTGTAATGTAGATTCCTTCTTTGGTTAAAACAAACACCAGGCAAGATTTTATATAGCGTACTAAACATAGTTCCAGATACACTTCACTGTTCAATGTGAGGGAAAAAAAAATTTGAAACAAGAATAAGATTACAGACTGACCCTAGCAAAGTTGTATAAAAGCTCTATTAGCCAGTTGGTTAATAAATTTAATTTGTTTTGTTTGCCTAGACTTCTTATTACCCAAAACAGCACTCAAATTATGTGTTATGTATCTCAATCCCTGAGGGGAATTTCTTATCTGAGTTTTCCTTTCTTTTTCACTCTCCCTCCCCAGCTCACTTTTTGAAGCCCCATATCTGCTACAAAGGCTACTGGAATGGGAGGCCAGAC
This sequence comes from Homo sapiens, assembly GCF_000001405.40. Lineage (NCBI taxonomy): Eukaryota > Metazoa > Chordata > Mammalia > Primates > Hominidae > Homo > Homo sapiens. Next base: position 106,942,510 of record NC_000004.12, on the reverse strand, counting down.
ATAGAGACTCTTAAAAAGAGTCTAGTATATCTGGGGATCCTGAGTAATGAATAAGGGCCAACAAAAGAAGTAGCAGCAATACAGAGGAGTATACTCTTTAAATAGACTAGAAGAACCAGTGGGATGGAGGGAAAGTGACTTAAATCTGGAGACAGGATTTCATTTTTTTATCTGGTAACAAATCTTTCCTTTCTTGCACTATTGAGAATGTACTGGTCACCACACCAAAGCAGATGTACTGGGATGTGGGTGGTGTGGGGGACCAACATCTTCAGTATGTTCTTTTGGGGATTACTAACACGTTGTGTATGTCATCACAAGATGTACCACATTTCTGAGGCTGAGATTTGAACACTAGGGTCACACAAACCAAAGCATCTATCATCTGGCTTATAATTTCCTCCCTTTCAAATCCTCTAGCAAAGCATTCAAACAGAACATTTTGATAGAGTCTTTCTCTGTACCATGTTGTTCACTAGACATAAATCTCTTTTGCCCTTGTGAGCTGACCTTTCCTTCTTCCACATAATAAAAATTTAAATTAATTTATGCTGGTAGGAGGCTGAGAGGCAAGTCCATGTATGTACTGAGATATTGATTATTTTTTAGAAAAGTATTTTAATAAATAACATGTGGTCATATTATTGCTATTATCAGAAACTTAAAAGAAAAATTCCCTCCATGCTGGGGCTTTTTAACTAAATCATCTGGAAAATGTCTGAAATAAATGAGTAGCTTTGGCTGTTGTAAAATTCTATCTGTCAGAAAAATAAGCAACACTTCTAGCAGGATGCTTAACCCTATCATTATGCTGAAACTCTGACGCTGCCCAAACTCTCTCAAACATAGTTTGTCCTGAGTTTTGGAACCCAGTGACGATTAGAAGGACAATATAGTGTACTTGGGGTGCTTCACTGCATAAACTGCTGTGTGAGATCTGCCTTGACAACTGAACAGTCCAAAGAAATGAGAATGTAGCTCAGGCATGGAACACATATCCTTACCTATTTTACAGGTTATGTAAATATAGGCCTGAGATACCTAGAGAAGGAATCAGGCTGGAAAATGGGAAGGCATACAGATAGTAAAAGAACTGATTATATGAGATAACTTCCATTTCTTTCTCTTACTAATGGACAAGCAATCTTGTTCAAAGCTCAGGAGTTAAAGTCCCTTATCCTGTTGCAAATATAACTTGCATCTAAGTCCTTCTATATCTCAGGGAGACATGATGATCTTAATCCAGAACTTATTCCAGAAAAATAAACAGACTTACTGTTTATTTTCTTCAAATGGCAAAGGGAGAAAAGGATCAGTTAGGTAGAGTTCTGTGGTGGAGCCGTGAATCACCTCCTTGTCATGCTTTTTTTTATTTTATTTTTATTTTGTTATTTTATTTTTTATTATACTTTAAGTTGTAGGGTACATGTGCACATTGTGCAGGTTAGTTACATATGTATACATGTGCCATGCTGGTGCGCTGCCCCCACTAACTCGTCATCTAGCATTAGGTGTATCTCCCAATGCTATCCCTCCCCCCTCACCCCACCACACAACAGTCCCCAGAGTGTGATATTCCCCTTCCTGTGTCCATGTGATCTCATTGTTCAATTCCCACCTATGAGTGAGAATATGCGGTGTTTGGTTTTTGTTCTTGCGATAGTTTACTGACAATGATGATTTCCAATTTCATCCATGTCCTTACAAAGGACATGAACCCATCCTTTTTTATGGCTGCATAGTATTCCGTGGTGTATATGTGCCACATTTTCTTAATCCAGTCTATCATTGTTGGACATTTAGGTTGGTTCCAAGTCTTTGCTATTGTGAATAATGCTGCAATAAACATACGTGTGCATGTGTCTTTATAGCAGCATGATTTATAGTCCTTTGGGTATATACCCAGTAATGGGATGGCTGGGTCAAATGGTATTTCCAGTTCTAGATCCCTGAGGAATCGCCACACTGACTTCCACAATGGTTGAACTAGTTTACGGTCCCACTAACAGTGTAAAAGTGTTCCTATTTCTCCACATCCTCTCCAGCACCTGTTGTTTCCTGACTTTTTAATGATTGCCATTCTAACTGGTGTGAGATGGTATCTCATTGTGGTTTTGATTTGCATTTCTCTGACGGCCAGTGATGATGAGCATTTTTTCATGTGTTTTTTGGCTGCATAAATGTCTTCTTTTGAGACGTGTCTGTTCATGTCCTTTGCCCACTTTTTGATGGGGTTATTTGTTTTTTCTTGTAAATTTGTTTGAGTTCATTGTAGATTCTGGATATTAGCCCTTTGTCAGATGAGTAGGTTGCGAAAATTTTCTCCCATTTTGCAGGTTGCCTGTTCACTCTGATGGTAGTTTCTTTTGCTGTGCAGAAGCTCTTGAGTTTAATTGGATCCCATTTGTCAATTTTGGCTTTTGTTGCCATTGCTTTTGGTGTTTTAGACATGAAGTCCTTGCCCATGCCTATGTCCTGAATGGTATTGCCTAGGTTTTCTTCTAGGGTTTTTATGGTTTTAGGTCTAACGTTTAAGTCTGTAATCCATCTTGAATTGATTTTTGTATAAGGTATAAGGAAGGGATCCAGTTTCAGCTTTCTACATATGGCTAGCCAGTTTTCCCAGCACCATTTATTAAATAGGAAATCCTTTCCCCATTGCTTATTTTTCTCAGGTTTGTCAAAGATCAGATAGTTGTAGATATGCAGCATTATTTCTGAGGGCTCTGTTCTGTTCCATTGATCTATATCTCTGTTTTGGTATCAGTACCATGCTGTTTTGGTTACTGTAGCCTTGTAGTATAGTTTGAAGTCAGGTAGTGTGATGCCTCCAGCTTTGTTCTTTTGGCTTAGGATTGACTTGGCGATGCGGGCTCTTTTTTGGTTCCATACGAACTTGAAAGTAGTTTTTTCCAATTCTGTGAAGAAAGTCATTGGTAGCTTGATGGGGATGGCATTGAATCTGTAAATTACCTTGGGCCGTATGGCCATTTTCATGATATTGATTCTTCCTACCCATGAGCATGGAATGTTCTTCCATTTGTTTGTAACCTCTTTTATTTCCTTGAGCAGTGATTTGTAGTTCTCCTTGACGAGTTCCTTCACATCCCTTGTAAGTTGGATTCCTAGGTATTTTATTCTCTTTGAAGCAATTGTGAATGGGAGTTCACTCATGATTTGGCTCTCTGTCTGTTATTGGTGTATAAGAATGCTTGTGATTTTTGTACATTGATTTTGTATCCCGAGACTTTGCTGAAGTTGCTTATCAGCTTAAGGAGATTTTGGGCTGAGATAATGGGGTTTTCTAGATATACAGTCATGTCATCTGCAAACAGGGACAATTTGACTTCCTCTTTTCCTAATTGAATGCCCTTTATTTCCTTCTCCTGCCTAATTGCCCTGGCCAAAACGTCCAACACTATGTTGAATAGGAGTGGTGAGAGAGGGCATCCCTGTCTTGTGCCAGTTTTCAATGGGAATGCTTCCAGTTTTTGCCCATTCAGTATGATATTGGCTGTGGGTTTGTCATAGATAGCTCTTATTATTTTGAAATACATCCCATCAATACCTAATTTATTGAGAGTTTTTAGCATGAAGGGTTGTTGAATTTTGTCAAAGGCTTTTTCTGCATCTATTGAGATAATCATGTGGTTTTTGTCTTTGGCTCTGTTTATATGCTGGATTACATTTATTGATTTGCGTATATTGAACCAGCCTTGCATCCCAGGGATGAAGCCCACTTGATCATGGTGAATAAGCTTTTTGATGTGCTGCTGGATTCGTTTTGCCAGTATTTTGTTGAGGATTTTTGCATCAATGTTCATCAAGGATATTGGTCTAAAATTCTATTTTTTTGTTGTGTCTCTGCCTGGCTTTGGTATCAGAATGATGCTGGCCTCATAAAAAGAGTTAGGGAGGATTCCCTCTTTTTCTATTGATTGGAATAGTTTCAGAAGGAATTTCCTCCTTTTACCTCTGGTAGAATTCGGCTGTGAATCCATCTGGTCCTGGACTCTTTTTAGTTGGTAAGCTATTGATTATTGCCACAATTTCAGATCCTGTTATTGGTCTATTCAGAGATTCAACTTCTTCCTGGTTTAGTCTTGGGAGAGTGTAGGTGTCGAGGAATTTATCCATTTCTTCTAGATTTTCTAGTTTATTTGCGCAGAGGTGTTTGTAGTATTCTCTGATGGTAGTTTGGATTTCTGTTGGATCGGTGGTGATATCCCCTTTATCATTTTTTATTGCATCTATTTGATTCTTCTCTCTTTTTTTCTTTATTAGTCTTGCTAGCGGTCTATCAATTTTGTTGATCCTTTCAAAAAACCAGCTCCTGGATTCATTAATTTTTTGAAGGGTTTTTTGTGTCTCTATTTCCTTCAGTTCTGCTCTGATTTTAGTTATTTCTTGCCTTCTGCTAGCTTTTGAATGTGTTTGCTCTTGCTTTTCTAGTTCTTTTAATTGTGATGTTAGGGTGTCAATTTTGGATCTTTCCTGCTTTCTCTTGTGGGCATTTAGTGCTATAAATTTCCCTCTACACACTGCTTTGAATGCGTCCCAGAGATTCTGGTATGTTGTGTGTTTGTTCTCGTTGGTTTCAAAGAACATCTTTATTTCTGCCTTCATTTCATTATGTACCCAGTAGTTCATTCAGGAGCAGGTTGTTCAGTTTCCATGTAGTTGACCGGTTTTGAGTGAGATTCTTAATCCTGAGTTCTAGTTTGATTGCACTGTGGTCTGAGAGATAGTTTGTTATAATTTCTGTTCTTTTACATTTGCTGAGGAGAGCTTTACTTCCAAGTATGTGGTCAATTTTGGAATAGGTGTGGTGTGGTGCTGAAAAAAATGTATATTCTGTTGATTTGGGGTGGAGAGTTCTGTAGATGTCTATTAGGTCCGCTTGGTGAAGAGCTGAGTTCAATTCTTGGGTATCCTTGTTGACTTTCTGTCTCGTTGATCTGTCTAATGTTGACAGTGGGGTGTTAAAGTCTCCCATTATTAATGTGTGGGAGTCTAAGTCTCTTTGTAGGTCACTCAGGACTTGCTTTATGAATCTTGGTGCTCCTGTATTGGGTGCATATATATTTAGGATAGTTAGCTCTTCTTGTTGAATTGATCCCTTTACCATTATGTAATGGCCTTCTTTGTCTCTTTTGATCTTTGTTGGTTTAAAGTCTGTTTTATCAGAGACTAGGATTGCAACCCCTGCCTTTTTTTGTTTTCCATTTGCTTGGTAGATCTTCCTCCATCCTTTTATTTTGAGCCTATGTGTGTCTCTGCACGTGAGATGGGTTTCCTGAATACAGCACACTGATGGGTTTTGACTCTTTATCCAATTTGCCAGTCTGTGTCTTTTAATTGGAGCATTTAGTCCATTTACATTTAAAGTTAATATTGTTATGTGTGAATTTGATCCGGTCATTATGATGTTAGCTGGTTATTTTGCTCATTAGTTGATGCAGTTTCTTCCTAGTCTTGATGGTCTTTACATTTTGGCATGATTTTGCAGCGGCTGGTACCTGTTGTTCCTTTCCATGTTTAGCGCTTCCTTCAGGAGCTCTTTTAGGGCAGGCCTGGTGGTGACAAAATCTCTCAGCATTTGCTTGTCTGTAAAGTATTTTATTTCTCCTTCACTTATGAAGCTTAGTTTGGCTGGATATGAAATTCTGGGTTGAAAATTCTTTTCTTTAAGAATGTTGAATATTGGCCCCCACTCTCTTCTGGCTTGTAGGGTTTCTGCTGAGAGATCCGCTGTTAGTCTGATGGGCTTCCCTTTGTGGGTAACCCGACCTTTCTCTCTGGCTGCCCTTAACATTTTTTCGTTCATTTCAACCTTGGTGAATCCGACAATTATGTGTCTTGGAGTTGCTCTTCTCGAGGAGTATCCTTGTGGCATTCTCTGTATTTCCTGAATCTGAATGTTGGCCTGCCTTGCTAGATTGGGGAAGTTCTCCTGGATAATATCCTGCAGAGTGTTTTCCAACTTGGTTCCATTCTCCCCATCCCTTTCAGGTACACCAGTGAGATGTAGATTTGGTCTTTTCACATAGTCCCATATTTCTTGGAGGCTTTGCTCATTTCTTTTTATTCTTTTTTCTCTAAACTTCCCTTCTTGCTTCATTTCATTCATTTCATCTTCCATCGCTGATACCTTTTCTTCCAGTTGATCGCATCGGCTCCTGAGGCTTCTGCATTCTTCACGTAGTTCTTGAGCCTTGGTTTTCAGCTCCATCAGCTCCTTTAAGCACTTCTCTGTATTGGTTATTCTAGTTATACATTCTTCTAAATTTTTTTCAAAGTTTTCAACTTCTTTGCCTTTGGTTTGAATGTCCTCCCGTAGCTCAAAGTAATTTGATCGTCTGAAGCCTTCTTCTCTCAGCTCGTCAAAGTCATTCTCCATCCAGCTTTGTTCCATTGCTGGTGAGGAACTGTGTTCCTTTGGAGGAGGAGAGGTGCTCTGCTATTTAGAGTTTCCAGTTTTTCTGTTCTGTTTTTTCCCCATCTTTGTGGTTTTATCTACTTTTGGTCTTTGATGATGGTGATGTACAGATGGGTTTTTGGTGTGGATGTCCTTTCTGTTTGTTAGTTTTCCTTCTAACGGACAGGACCCTCAGCTGCAGGTCTGTTGGAATACCCTGCCGTGTGAGGTGTCAGTGTGACCCTGCTGGGGTGTGCCTCCCAGTTAGGCTGCTCGGGGGTCAGGGTTCAGAGACCCACTTGAGGAGGCAGTCTGCCCATTCTCAGATCTCCAGCTGCGTGCTGGGAGAACCACTGCTCTCTTCAAAGCTGTCAGACAGGGACATTTAAGTCTGCAGAGGTTACTGCTGTCTCTTTGTTTGTCTGTGCCCTGCCCACAGAGGTGGAGCCTACAGAAGCAGGCAGGCCTCCTTGAGCTGTGGTGGGCTCCACCCAGTTGGAGCTTCCAGGCTGCTTTGGTTATCTAAGCAAGCCTGGGCAATGGCAGGCGCCCCTCACCCAGCCTCGCTGCCGCCTTGCAGTTTGATCTCAGACTGCTGTGCTAGCAATCAGTGAGACTCTGTGGGTGTAGGACCCTCCGAGCCAGGTGTGGGATATAATCTCATGGTGTGCCGTTTTTTAAGCCCATTGGAAAAGCGCAGTATTCGGGTGGGAGTGACCCGATTTTCCAGGTGCCATCCGTCACCCCTTTCTTTGACTCGGAAAGGGAACTCCCTGACCCCTTGCGCTTCCCAAGTGAGGCAATGCCTCGCCCTGCTTTGGCTCGCACACGGTGCGCGCACCCACTGACCTGTGCCCACTGTCTGGCACTCCCTAGTGAGATGAACCCGGTACCTCAGATGGAAATGCAGAAATCACCGTCTTCTGCCTCACTCATGCTGGGAGCTGTAGACCGGAGCTGTTCCTATTCGGCCATCTTGGCTCCTCCCCTTGTCATGCTTTTTTAACCAAAAGGTTTATTAGTCTATTTAAACTTTGTGGTGATCACTGTTGAGCAATCCTCTTGCTCAAACTCTGTAGGTAATCATTTGGGGCCAGCTTTTTCTCAAGTCATTGTCTCTCTGCACCAGCACACCTGAGGGATAAAATGCTTCCTGCCTTCTTGTGTATAGGTTCTACATTAAAATGGGAACATTTTATAATTTTTAAGCAAAAATTTTGTAGCCCTTAAAGTATCTCTTTTAAAATGGAAATTAGAAGTCATTTCACCATAGAATGAATATCGAGGATTATATTTTGCTTTGCTTTTTTCTATCTTCCCAACCATGAAAGAACAGTCTTTCAAATTTTATCTGCTTCCTTCAGCTGTTTCTTCAAAAGCAGAGTAGAATTTGACTATTGATCTGGCTTAATTCCTAGAGGAAATGAAAGAGAATTCAACAAGATTAGAGAAGTGTTATGTTTGGAAATTCCTATATTAAATGAAATTAACCAAGGCAATAAACATTAGCTCAATTAAATAATTGTTAAAAACAATGCATTGTGTATGTGTATGTATATTATATGTGTGTGTGTTTGTGTATGTATTTGAATGTTACATTGGTAGTCTAATTCTGCTATTAAGATGATATTTCTGAAACAAAACACAATTTTTAATAAAGAAACTTCAGTCGAGGTGCTTGATACCTCTTCTAAAAAGCTCTGCCTCTAGGAAAATAAAATTTTTCCAGCTCTCTTAGTATGAAACCATAAAGCATAAACTAGCAAGAAGACATTTCACTTTAGTATTGTAGTATTAGCTCCTCTTTAAATTGCATTAATTTTAATAGGTAATACTTGCATCTAGTGCAGATTACAAAATGTTTAAAAGAGTTTAATGTAAACGAAGTTTTTTCCTTTCCTCTGTTCTTGATCTTGTCTGGTCTCAATAATCCTGTCTACCTTCCTGTTACACAATTTCTGGGCATATTTCCTGAGATAACTTGAGCTAATTTTATACATACATATGTGTGTGTGTGTGTGTGTGTGTGTGTGTATCTGTGTGTATGCAGATGTATATATATATAGTGTGTGTATATATGTATATATACATACATATATACACATACACACACACACACACACACACACACATTTACAGGAAACTTACGTCCTCATTTCTGAACCCATATGTTAAAAATTACTTAAACTTGTATAACATTTAAAACTCACAAGTGTTTACATTTTGGGTGCAGAAATATTCACCAACCATAACCTGTTCTATAATCATAAAAAAGTATTTTCTAAACAACAATTTGAAAGTATGTTTTCATATCTACCTGAATATAAACTTTTGAATTTTAAATGTCATTTTCATTGGAAAAGAGAAAGGTGATGCTATACAAAGAAGAGCATATAATAAAAGCAGACATCATCTATTTATCATACTTGATATGGGGAAGAAGAGTGTTTTGTAAGGGCCCACTGGATACAAAATATAAAGAAAATGCAAAGTTTGCGCATTGCCAGCAAGACATAGGTGTATACCACTTGAGGATATGAAACAATCCAGCCATAATGGGTGTGTTGACAGCTCTGAGTCCACACAGCGTTCCTCCCAAAGTGCACTGGTGTGTGTGTTATGTGTTATTTTACTTTTTCATACAGTTGTAGAAATTCTCAACACCACCACCACCAAGCACAGTGGCTAAGCACTAGGAGTGAAGATGAACCTTCCTGGAAATTGTTGTTATTGTCAGTGAGCCTCTCATTTAGACTCACGTTGTTTTCAGGGAACTAATCCTTCACTTAGACCCATGTCTATCTGGAGGTAATACTGAGTTGCATTTTATACAGACCAGGCATTGTCAGTATGATATATATGCAGGAGGCATCAGTAATCTTGCAACAGTTCTATATAGCCGTGTTTCCCTATCTTACCTTATTGTATCATCACCAGGACAGTATTTGTTAAAAGTACAGATTCCTGGACCCCATCCAGTCTTCTAGAAATAGAATCTCTATTAGAAGAGTCTGTGAAGCAGTAATTTGTAAAGAAACCCCATGGAATTTTTATGATTAAGTAAGCAGGGAAACACTGCTGAATTCAGAAATTTTATCCATTTTATCATAGAAGAAACTAAGATTCAGTAATTTAGCTAACGGTCACTCAACCAATCAATTTTGTTTGATTTAAGGAAGCATAAATTGAATTGCAGTATAACTCCAAATTTTGCCCTACCATGTTACTTCTCTGAAGTAAAATTAGGTCATGACATCAGGAAAATTTATAAGGCAACAATGAAAATGTTTTACTATAAATCCCAGATTTGGAAGAGACCTTAAGATTGTGCAGTTTCTTCCTCTCTTTTGGTTAGGACAATTATACTTATCCAATTACAAATTATAGAGTACTTTATAATTATATATTACTCCCAACCACTGCTGTAAAACCTGAGATGCTGCTTTTTGAGCATGGAGTGGAAGTGTTCTGTCCTATCCATTTTAAATGAGTGGGGATGGGTCTAAAACAAACAAAAACAATCAAGAGCCAGGTAAACCTCGTAGTTTAGATATCTCTAGGAGCTGAGACCATATGGAAAAGTTTAGCTCTCTCCATTCATCCCATGATCAATATCAGTATTGTACATGCTACAGTTGAGAATGTGGTCTATGTTCCAAGTAGAGCATTCCCTAGAATTTCCTTTTGGTTTAATGACATGCAGAGAACAGGGAGGAGCAACCAAAGTTAAAGAGGACTTGCCTTCATTTGATAGAGTTACTGTTTCTTTGGATTTAAATGACGCTTTCTGAATACATTGGAGAGGCTAATGGACCACTAGAAAAAATCCATTCCTAATTTGTAATTCAGATAGTTTTAGGAGATACTCTTTCATCTCTGATCTTTCGTATCAAAAACCAATTTTCTAACTACCCTAGCCTTAAAATGAACATGTGTAAAAGGTACTGAAATATTTTCCATGGGGTGCAGATCACGAGTTGTTCTAATAAAATCAATGTCCAGATCCTCAACTTCCAATTTTTTTCTTAAAATTCTCAAGGAATATGCCTGGGTTTACATTAATTTTTTGCCATTTTATGTGGCAAAAAAAGGCAAAACCTTCATGCATTCCAAATCTCAATAGACTGCATTAGCCAAAGGTACAAAAACTTTTTTAGGTGACAAATAAGTAAAATTTGGAATTTTGATTGGAACAAAGATATGTTTAATGATTGATCAGGGCATCTTAAACTCACAAAGGTACTTTCTTTCTTTGTCTTATACTTAATTTTTTAAAAGTGAAACTTGGCCCCAGCTGGAAATTCTGTAGGCAGAATGTTCAAAATAGTTGCGATGACTTGTATATTTTATAATCTAACTGAAGGTTTCTCAGATTATGTAATTTTTCAAGAGAAAATGCCCATGAGTAAATATGTTGTGATTAATTTCAGGATCAGTATGCTTTGATTAATATAATAGTCAGAAGTCATTTTATTAATCATGTCAAATTACTGCAAATTTTATCTTAGAAAATGTTTAATTAATAGTCAAGTTATTTTATTCATATCAAATTACTGCAAATTTTATCTTAGAAAATGTTTAACATTATATTTCATACTAATACAAAAACACACACACCAAAAAATTTTAAGTGTCAAATGTATTGAAGGATATATGTTTTTTTCAAAATTATTTTGGGGGTAACAGACAATACATTTGACTGTATTGTCACTGACCTAGTAGTTTCTGGATCATAGTTGGTGTTCAATAAATAAATACTAAATAAATATTGATTGAATACTGAATAAATACCCAAGCAGCTGCCTTAATGAACCTGTAACTACACATGCAGGACATCATGTAATATCTGAACTTTTCCCCTTAAATTTAATATAGCTCAATCCCCCTGGCCTGATGTTCATGAATCCTCAAAGATGCATCCAGTACACCCTTATCCCCTAGAGGTAATAGGAGACAAAGTGAAAGATGAGATTGCACAGCCTTTGGCAGATAGTATACAACAGCACACAGGCAGATTGACATATAAGTCCCTGCACCTCCTGCAGTTGCATTTTAGTGTTTGATTTTGAAGTGACCACCTGAAGGGTAGTGTACCTTGACTGTTTGTGGAAATATAGATCTATCATGTAGAATATCATGATGAGGAAAATTAATCTTTTCTCTAAGGACTCAGGGCAAGCCAGTCCGATCAGGTTTCCCAAATGTAATTGCCAATCTTCTGCTGTGCTCTCAGAGACCCCAGATATATTCTCATCCCCAGTTCTTTGCTGCTACCTCCATCTATCCACTAGCCTCAAATGTTTTTCATTCCCACAGCTGGGTCGTCCCCTGCAGGCTTTCTTCTGCCTGCCTAGCTGATGATGTTTTTCTGGCTCCAGAAAGCTTCCGAGATTGTTACAAACAGTGCTTGTAGGGACAAAGGATTGTCCCGATTAAAACAACAAAAAAACGAGGACGGTCTTGCAAGAATCCAGATGGGTGGCCATCCCACATGAACACTGTGATGTTTCTCTCTTCTTTTCTTCCTCTCATCATTAAATAAGGACAATATTATTATTTTGAAAACTTAGGAGTTAAACTAAGGTTTTAATTGTAGTCAAAGGTTTATTCAATGATTTTGCTACTGAGATACCCAAAACACTTTTTCTCCTTTCATTGTTCTTAGGGATCTGATTACTTCATTGTTGTATTTTCATGTTCAAAGGGATAGGCAAGTGAAAATTAATTCAACCCTAAATGTAAGTCTCAAGTTATTGGGCCTTTTCTTCCTGCAGTTTTGAGAAGACTTTGGGGGAAGACAGACTCAATTATTTCAAAGAAGATTGAGTGACTACATTTTATTTTACTTTTGTTCATTAGAATATTATTTAATTATCATTATTTTCATTATGGACTTTTGATTACAACTCTGATTTACATTGAGTTTAAATGAACAGAAAACTGTGCTCAAGAAATAGAATGAGAAAATACTGTTCACAGCTTTGTCAGTGTTTTCTGCCAGTATTCTCTTTTTCCAACAGCTGCAGTAGGACATGCTGTTGGTATTCGGAGGCTTCTAGAAAGAGATGTGGCCAAGTATATTTTTCTAACCTCTAACTTCAGCACATAGGTCACCACTCAGTCACCTTGTCGATGTATCCTTTAAACTCTCACTATTAATTGCTCTTAGTAATGATATCTGAGGCCTGAACGCCAGGGAAGAACTCAAGGTCTCTAATTTCCCTGCCACTGAGCACACATTACTTATTTCTAGCAGTTACTTAAACTCTCTTTACTTTACTGCTAAAATTTTAGGTAATGATTCTAAATTAGCACAGAGGAAACAGACTTTAAAAAATATTTTATGCTAAAACGAAATACCAATTTCTGATAGATTTTATTTTCAAAATGTGTCCAATGTGTTTTTCTTCTTTTAGTTCATGTCATGGTTGTAATAATAAGTAACACTGCTATTTGTGGAAATTCACTCTATTTTTAGCCTAGAAAGGGGGTTGCAGAAAATGTCTTTGTTTTTTTGGCCTGATCACTGACAGTTCTCATGTATTCTGAATTTATGGCCAATCGTTTGCTATTATTAGGTGTCCTGAATTAATTCATCTCCTAATTATAACTGATGCAATAATGAATGATTCTGCATGAAGCTAAGTATTCCTGGATGCTCATAAGCTGAGCGTATGATTCAATTGTGGGGCAGTTTAGCATGTGATAGGTGTACTAGAGTCCTTCCCTAATTCTTTCACTTGATTTCCAGTCTTCCACACAATCATTGTTCCTCAGACAAAAAGGAAAAGTTATCTAGTCTGTTCCAGGTAAATGAAGAGCCATGAGAATGCACTATTAACAATTGCCATAGCAAGTAAAATAAAAATCAGACCTTTAATTCACCTTTAAAATAAGTACCAGGTAAGCATATTATTGATTTCGTTAAAGGGAAACTTAGACTAAGGTATTCAAGCTTATTTGTTGCTTGTCACAAAGCCATCATCAAATGAGACTAGACAATGGCCTTTGGAGGTCAAAGTAAATGGAAAATAAAGATTATCTATGTGAGAGTTTCTGAATGGCACTTTAATTAATGTATATAATTCCCTCCAGCAGTCCTTTCATTGCCACAGTCATCGCTTCTTCAGGGTCATCCACAACTACTGTTAACCCTCTATCCCTCTCTCTCTCCCTTTCACCAATGATATCATTTCCAGAAACTTTAGAGGGGCTAATGTAGGAAAAAAGCCAATGGCAACTGGCAACTGCAGAACCCTCATACTTCAGTAGAAAATGCCTTCTTTAAAACTCTTTACTAAAATAAAATGCATTATGCTTAGTAAGACATGAGAATTGTTATTAATGGGTTAGAACCATATTATTTCATGTTTTATGTTTTCTTGCTAGAAGTTATTACAAGGTAAGCTTTACGGTTGAAAAAATCTGGGCTAAGGGACATGGATTTCAGAGGGCAAGGCATGCCCCCAAATACCACTTGCTTTCCCTATACTCTTCTTTAATCAATTTATTTCATCCCTTCTTGATTGTATTCATATATAAAGACTGTTTATTGGATCCAGGAGTTACATAAGCATATTAGAAGCTGTGTAATACAACTTTACTTTTTAATTATTAAAAAATTTATTTTTAAAATTTCCAAAGAATGTCTCCTAGTATTTATGTTCTGAAATTCCATTCCAAGTACAAGTTCCCAATATACATAACCTTGTATAGTTAGGCATTTTTTGGCATACTTTCTCTGCCTGTGTCATTTTTACTTCAAGTTAATTAAAAGAGATATTGGAGCATAATAAAACTATGTATTTTCTAATATACTTTCTATTTTTGATCAAATGAGGTTCCCTCTTTCAAAATTAAATTATTATAATTTTATTGTAATCCCATTCAAATATAAGGCTACTGTGCACCCCATTTTTTTAATGTCATCTGCATCAGATATTTGTCATTTTAATATTTTCCAGTTCCTGTCAACTGAGAATGGAAAGATGGTGATGCGCCATTCACAATTTTTTGGCAGACACTGCTACTTTTACCAAACAACCAGAAAATAAACAGCTATCAATAACAGCTAATAAATAAAATAGTGTATCCTGTGGACTATTTTGGGGGGATGGAATCCAGGATTATCCTATACTCAGAATGGCTTGAGGACTTGTTATTTGAGTTGTAAATAGCACATGATGTTTTATGTGGCACATGTTTATTTCCATTGAAAGAGCATGTCCTATTTTTGAGGAAGGAAAGAAACTTGTAACTTCAAATGTTTGTTGCAAAACAATTTGATGAAATAAATGTAAATGAATCAGAAACATGTGAATTGTATTTCATTAAAATTAATGGGTTTAAATGTGAAGGGGGTAAAATGCTTGGGGGAAAGAGTGTGGTAAGGCGGGAAGGGATATTTGTTTTGTTTTCATCAGTCTTGGATTCTTGAAAAATGGCTTAATAGTCTGAATTTCATCTCACTAAGATTCTCTTAAGCCTAATGGTGGAGTTACAGAGTGGAACAATGAAATGCAAATTTATTTTATAGCTTTGTGTGGCTCCAGTTATAAAGTATGCATCAAACATTGCCACTATGCAGTCCTTCAAAATAACTTTCAATTTGAAGTTGGTGGTTTTTCTATATAATTCTTTAAAGGGTAAACAAGAAATTGTAATGATGCTAAAATACATTTTTTATCTCTCAGACTCGTACATAAACTTCACATTTCCTTTTTCTAACTGAAGATGATCTGATCACCTAAACGGAAAACATGTGAGGGCTCAATGTGTAGACATATATGCAGGAGATGGGCAGGAGGAGAAGACACTGGAAGAAAGGGAAAGAGTAAAAGAAATAAAAGGAAAAAAAGACATGAGCAATGCAGGCCGAGCTATACCATCAAACCTAATTCATAAGTAAAGCACTGAAATCTCACTAAGTATTTGAGAGCCATAACCATTTTATCCCATAGTTTATGTTCAAATTATTTATGGTTGCTTAAAAACAAATACATAGCTTATTTTATATTTTGTATTTTCAATTAAAAAATCATCTATTACTCTGAAAATGAGAAAAATATCAACTTCAAAAAAGAAAAAAAGGTTTACAAATGAGTCTCCCTGCCTCAAAATCTGAGTAAGTTTGATGTGGGTTATGACATTTTAGTTTCTCAACTTCCAGTCTTTGAACACAGGGACATTTTTAATGTTCCAAATACTTCCAAGAGGCAAGGGGTGCACAAATGGGTATATATGTATGTATAACCCCTGAAATCTTCATTTTCCTAAACTCTGACCACCTTCTGTATTATTTCACATGTATTTTTTTTTAAGATAATATATGACACTGCTGAAGTAGCCTTCTGGACATACCCCTAGGTAGAGAAATGTATGAACAGAGGTTCTTTCTTTACAATAGAAGGCGTAGTAGCCTGTGGGGCTATTTCAGGTCTGTAAGGAGTCTGCTTTTGTGCTTCCTGGGAATATAATGATATAATTGGAGCTTAGCATCTCTCTGGCTGCTGGGAGCTCAACTGCTGCTTATCACCGTGTTTGGAATGAGGATCCTGTTCCTTAGTGTCTTTGTGCCAAATAATTCACTGCCTCATACTGTTCTGGAAATGTTTCTCCTCCTTGCTTTTATAGGCAGGAACTGAAAGGGTTCACTTTTAAAATATTTGTTTCATAATTGGGCAGGAGATACATTTTGGCTTCTAGCATAGCCCTTTGTTGTTTTATTTAACATTTCTCTCATCGTTCTTTAACAGGTGAAAAAATCGAGTGGCTAAGATGGCTGTGTCATTTTTACCTTACAATAGCATCAATGCAATAATTACAACTGCTCTTGAGACCCCAAAGTCACACATAAGGGTCCTATGAATCAATAAAAGTCTAAATTCTAACTCTAGCGTTGTGTCAATGAAAATATACAAACAGCGTCAGCTTTATCTTTGTCATCAAGCAATAGATATTTATAAGGTCCTCAATTAAGTGTGACTACTTAGGCTCTAGGTTCAGAACATTATGATGATGGTATAGTTCCTTCCGGGTGAGATATATTGTGATTCATTTTCTATCATGATTTGCTATAGTAATGTTTCATAAGTGAAACACGATCTAATCCTTTACTTCTGGTGTTGTTCCACTTGATGACAGGCCTACCCTTGTAGCAGTGATAAGGAGTGTGAAGTTGGGAGGTATTGCCACAGTCCCCACCAAGGATCATCGGCCTGCATGGTGTGTCGGAGAAAAAAGAAGCGCTGCCACCGAGATGGCATGTGCTGCCCCAGTACCCGCTGCAATAATGGTAAAAGATCTCACTAAGTGTTAATGGGCCTCTTTCTTTTCATCATCATAAGCCTGTCTCTCAAGTCAGGCTATCGTCTCCTTACTCAGACTCCTGAAATATAAGAAGCCTGGTAGAACTGGTTTAGGTAGTGTAAGATTACCTGGATTACCTCCCCAAATCTTAGTTTTCCTAGAGTCTGGCTACTTTCTATATTTTATGACCTACACTGATCTAGAATATTGCCATGTTGAAGTGTTGTGTATAAATAGCAAGATGTTCTATTTCAGTAAACACATAAGTGAATGCATGTAAAAGAACCAAAGAAAGAAACTTGATATGATTTAGTAATGCAGTTGCAAATATCTATTCCAGTTTTGTGCTTTGGGTTTAGTCAAGATGTTCTGTGGCTCAGTCTTATGGTAGTAGAGTGATTGGTTCCTCCAAAGGGAGATGCAGCATTTTATTCCCCAACCTGGCTTCATCCAATATCAATGAATTTATAGGCAGACAATTCAGTAATAATGATGAAATGGATCACAGACAAGATGTGGCAAAAACATTAAATAATTGCAGAAGGTAATTAGAAATATATACTTAATCATATAAAACAACATAATCAGGCTCATTTTCTCATGCCTATTCCTGACCTCTGGGTGTAGACCTACTGTGAGTCTCTTGCACAGGAGGTGAAGGGAAGAAGACCTCACACCATTAGAGAAGTTTACAGTGTAAACTAACATTATGTTGTTAATTAATAAAGGAATCTGGATCCAGAGGATGTATGTCTGATCAGATTCTTTAAAAATAGTAATAGCTAACATTGATTCTTCACATATATTCACAATAACTTTGTGACTATATAAAATTATGCTTTTATTCCCAGTTTTGTCCAAGGTCACTTGGTCTTGAGAGAGACAAAATTCATATTAAAGAAGTTTCACTTTAGGGCCAAAGTATGCTCAGTCTCAATAAATAAGTAAATGAATGGATGGGTGGATAGATAGATAGATACACAGATAGATAAATGGCTTCATATTTCACATCAAGAGAGTATGTGGATAAGTATCACATTTCATAGAATTGAATTAGTCTAACTGATTATATGATCATCTCCAGGCATCTGTATCCCAGTTACTGAAAGCATCTTAACCCCTCACATCCCGGCTCTGGATGGTACTCGGCACAGAGATCGAAACCACGGTCATTACTCAAACCATGACTTGGGATGGCAGAATCTAGGAAGACCACACACTAAGATGTCACATATAAAAGGTAGGGATATCTGTAGTTCTGGGGTTTTTTTAAAATAAAGAAATAGAAGAAAAATATAGATAATTAATTCCATTGGTTTTAGAAAAAATTACAAGGAAGTTTCTTTAATCCTAGCTAGTCATTAAACTTGTTATTTAGGTGGCAAATAATGGAAACAGACCATAATAGATTTATGTGATAAGAGGCAGAGCCAATTGGTATCAACCAAGACTTTTCATTATAAATGGTAACAACATAGAAGATAGTATAAGTAAAAATATTTTATGTGCTTCTGATTGCAAAATAGAATTTTTTTTTTCTGAAGTGTCAGGGTAACATCTATTGGTCATCATCTCTGCAGGGCATGAAGGAGACCCCTGCCTACGATCATCAGACTGCATTGAAGGGTTTTGCTGTGCTCGTCATTTCTGGACCAAAATCTGCAAACCAGTGCTCCATCAGGGGGAAGTCTGTACCAAACAACGCAAGAAGGGTTCTCATGGGCTGGAAATTTTCCAGCGTTGCGACTGTGCGAAGGGCCTGTCTTGCAAAGTATGGAAAGATGCCACCTACTCCTCCAAAGCCAGACTCCATGTGTGTCAGAAAATTTGATCACCATTGAGGAACATCATCAATTGCAGACTGTGAAGTTGTGTATTTAATGCATTATAGCATGGTGGAAAATAAGGTTCAGATGCAGAAGAATGGCTAAAATAAGAAACGTGATAAGAATATAGATGATCACAAAAAGGGAGAAAGAAAACATGAACTGAATAGATTAGAATGGGTGACAAATGCAGTGCAGCCAGTGTTTCCATTATGCAACTTGTCTATGTAAATAATGTACACATTTGTGGAAAATGCTATTATTAAGAGAACAAGCACACAGTGGAAATTACTGATGAGTAGCATGTGACTTTCCAAGAGTTTAGGTTGTGCTGGAGGAGAGGTTTCCTTCAGATTGCTGATTGCTTATACAAATAACCTACATGCCAGATTTCTATTCAACGTTAGAGTTTAACAAAATACTCCTAGAATAACTTGTTATACAATAGGTTCTAAAAATAAAATTGCTAAACAAGAAATGAAAACATGGAGCATTGTTAATTTACAACAGAAAATTACCTTTTGATTTGTAACACTACTTCTGCTGTTCAATCAAGAGTCTTGGTAGATAAGAAAAAAATCAGTCAATATTTCCAAATAATTGCAAAATAATGGCCAGTTGTTTAGGAAGGCCTTTAGGAAGACAAATAAATAACAAACAAACAGCCACAAATACTTTTTTTTCAAAATTTTAGTTTTACCTGTAATTAATAAGAACTGATACAAGACAAAAACAGTTCCTTCAGATTCTACGGAATGACAGTATATCTCTCTTTATCCTATGTGATTCCTGCTCTGAATGCATTATATTTTCCAAACTATACCCATAAATTGTGACTAGTAAAATACTTACACAGAGCAGAATTTTCACAGATGGCAAAAAAATTTAAAGATGTCCAATATATGTGGGAAAAGAGCTAACAGAGAGATCATTATTTCTTAAAGATTGGCCATAACCTGTATTTTGATAGAATTAGATTGGTAAATACATGTATTCATACATACTCTGTGGTAATAGAGACTTGAGCTGGATCTGTACTGCACTGGAGTAAGCAAGAAAATTGGGAAAACTTTTTCGTTTGTTCAGGTTTTGGCAACACATAGATCATATGTCTGAGGCACAAGTTGGCTGTTCATCTTTGAAACCAGGGGATGCACAGTCTAAATGAATATCTGCATGGGATTTGCTATCATAATATTTACTATGCAGATGAATTCAGTGTGAGGTCCTGTGTCCGTACTATCCTCAAATTATTTATTTTATAGTGCTGAGATCCTCAAATAATCTCAATTTCAGGAGGTTTCACAAAATGGACTCCTGAAGTAGACAGAGTAGTGAGGTTTCATTGCCCTCTATAAGCTTCTGACTAGCCAATGGCATCATCCAATTTTCTTCCCAAACCTCTGCAGCATCTGCTTTATTGCCAAAGGGCTAGTTTCGGTTTTCTGCAGCCATTGCGGTTAAAAAATATAAGTAGGATAACTTGTAAAACCTGCATATTGCTAATCTATAGACACCACAGTTTCTAAATTCTTTGAAACCACTTTACTACTTTTTTTAAACTTAACTCAGTTCTAAATACTTTGTCTGGAGCACAAAACAATAAAAGGTTATCTTATAGTCGTGACTTTAAACTTTTGTAGACCACAATTCACTTTTTAGTTTTCTTTTACTTAAATCCCATCTGCAGTCTCAAATTTAAGTTCTCCCAGTAGAGATTGAGTTTGAGCCTGTATATCTATTAAAAATTTCAACTTCCCACATATATTTACTAAGATGATTAAGACTTACATTTTCTGCACAGGTCTGCAAAAACAAAAATTATAAACTAGTCCATCCAAGAACCAAAGTTTGTATAAACAGGTTGCTATAAGCTTGGTGAAATGAAAATGGAACATTTCAATCAAACATTTCCTATATAACAATTATTATATTTACAATTTGGTTTCTGCAATATTTTTCTTATGTCCACCCTTTTAAAAATTATTATTTGAAGTAATTTATTTACAGGAAATGTTAATGAGATGTATTTTCTTATAGAGATATTTCTTACAGAAAGCTTTGTAGCAGAATATATTTGCAGCTATTGACTTTGTAATTTAGGAAAAATGTATAATAAGATAAAATCTATTAAATTTTTCTCCTCTAAAAACTGAATTCAAAGCTCCTTGTCTTTTGTCTACGGGAAGAATTTTCATAGAATCATACTTTCTGAGAGTTCAACTGGACTTGGTCTGATTTTGAGGACTGGGTGTGAATCATTTGGAGGACATCAGCATGAGATAACTCAGAGCAGTTTACTATTACAAAAGGTAGTTTATTTCTTGGCAGTTTAGCTGTAATTGTTAGAAAGTTGTTTCTGTTTTTTTTTTTTTTTCCAAACCAAAATATTCCAGCTTGTGATTTACACCCATTTAGTCATATTTTGCCTTCCAGAACAACTTGGAACGAGAATATGCTCTTCACAAATTCTTCAAAATACTTTAAGACAGGTAACATATACCCCATAATCTTCTCTCTAGGCTAAAGTTTTCCAAAATGGAAATACTATTATGCTTAGAGTATTGGTTCATTTCTACATGAACCAATGAACGTGAGCTACACGATACCTTTTTCTGTGTTTGGAGAGAAACTGAGTGAAATCAAATCCACTTCCTGGGAAGCAAGTCTTTCCTCTGCTTCCTGAACCAGAGATGTCAGGAGTGTTTTGAGGAATAGTGTTCACCAAGTATGAGCAGGGATGCTACAAGAGCCCATGTTTTATTAGACATCAGAATGGGCTGCATATGTGGATAATAAACATTCTGTGACATAGTGAATGAATTAAATGTAGCTATGGCTGCTTCATGAAGCTAAAACAGTCCCACAGCTAGAAGTTAGAGTTAAAAATACCTTAAGCATTGCTGAAATACTTTCCACCATATGTTAATTAGTCATTTAAGGATATTCTTAAATCATTGGCCATTTCCTCAAATTGAGAATATTTATATTTTCTAGTTAAAGTGTGCTTTTGACTATAACAATCATATAGGCGATCTTTTTCTTTTCTATTGTGCTCAGTGAGATGCTCTGAGAAGTGACAAATTGTCCTGACATTTTTTTTTTTTTAGTTAAGAAATAAAATACCCTTAAGTAGCCTTAGTATTTTAGGGGAAAACATTCAGTTACACTTTTGTAAATGTAATTGTAGCCTTAGGATTTTAGGGAAAAACGTTCAATTATAATTGTCTTCACTCAAAATCAGGCCAGTTGAAAAACAGATTTTTTTAAAAAATGGGCAAATGAAAGATTACTCTATTGCTGGTGAAGCTGATATTGAAAAATGTAGCATATACCTGTGAGCAAGAAGACATTCTAACACTAAACACCAGAAATAGATTCTGTGCCCATTCACATTCAACACCAGACTATATCAGTTCCATCTTATGGGAGCTGCCCTGTAAAATTTATAATATGGATGGGCAGAACAGAATGACAGGCCTCCTTCTGGCAGTTAACACCGAAGATGAAGTGGGTGGAAAGTGGGCTGAACTATGCATTTCTCATTCAAAAATCTCATCCAAAATTTTCCAAAGCTGGACAATTTGTACTACATGAAAGGAGTGAGTGAGGGGTGGAGTGAGACAAAGATGATCATTCCATGCCACATCGAACTCACTTTAAAGATTGAGAAAGAAGAAGCCCTCCTCATATCCTTCCCCAGATATTTTTAACCCATTGTGCATACCATTTGTCTATGGTGAAGATATGAGTTTTAGCCAAAATCTGACCTGCTACCTCCTAGGGGAAGTGCCTGATGAAGTCTTTTTTCCTAATGACATCCATTTCTTCTTTATGGATCCTCTCAGGATGTGGTGTGGTGGGAAATTTAGCTGTTGTCCCCAGGAGCTAGCAAAATGTATGAAAATAATACATTAATTAAATAAACTTCAAGACCACTCTATATCCAGGACTAGAAAATAATTCTCTATTCTTTTAACTGCCCCAAATTATATCCATCATGTCATCTAACACAGTCTATTAGGGATTTTGCAGTGAGACTAAATGATGCATTGAGTATATGATAATAAAATATGTGAAAGCATTTCATTAATAAAATTCTAACAATGCAGAGATGCCCCACCTTTGAATATAAATCTTCTTCCATTGAAAATTTCTTAGGGAGAAAGTAAAGGACAAAAATTAAATCCTCTTGCATGTTAAAGTCAAAATAACTTGAAGTTCAAAAGAATTAAAGTCTGCAATCATTATCTTCCTGTTTATGATAAAGAGCCCAAAGACATCAAAGTTTAAAATCTTCAGGTTAATAGCTAAAATTTTTCTTCCTTATTCCATATTTTGCTCTGTCTCAGCCATAGGGTTTCCAGATGCCTGGGTGAGCTAGAACTTCTTCAGCAGCTATGGCCTGAGCAGTTTCCCACTAGAATGACTGCTGGTTCGATAGAACCTCAGAAGATTTATTAGTTTGACAACAATCTCTGATGCAGCTCACTTTTACTAAAGTCCAGTGAATTATTATATCACACTCAATTAAGCCAAAGGTGCCACCACATTTAGAAAACAAGCTAATCTTGTTCTTAGAACAGACACCTTAGGCAAAGTGCTGTTAACATATGCAGGGCTTACAATGCCAAAAATCATAGCAGAGATGAATGGACTCTGAATGTAGAAAGATGGAGAAAAATCTGGTTTTGGTTTGCTAAAAATGTCAGTAAATCCAAACCAGGTGTCTGTACCCCATGGTCTGTGAAACTTAAACTTATATGGGAAAAATGTCCCATCAAGAAGTTAGATATGGCACTATATTTTTCCTTATAGTAGGGTGGGAGGAGAAGCCACTTGTATTCTATCTCCTTATAGGGAGTGAGTGGTAATTGAGGTATTGCTGCCTTCAGTAAACGTGGTCAACTTTAAAAATTTTGCCATGACATTAGCCTCATTAGGGCTTCTTTCTTTTGTAGTTAGCCTACTCAAAGCCTCACCAGTGCTTAATTCAGAATAGGCTCTGTCTGGTGATGTGTGCTCCAATTGTCTTACAAGCGGAACTTTTTCAGGGCTGTGCACAGTGGCAGGTTCCACTGCTTCATGCTGTAGAATTATTTACTTCCTCATCTCTGCATTTGTTCTACTTGTACCATAACATCAATAGATTCCTGAATTAAAATTGCTATTGATACCTCTGAAAGTTATTTTAGCAAAGTATACACTCCTAGGAGCTAAGAAGACACTCCTAATTTACATTCCGTCATTCAACATATTCATCAAGCGTCTATTATGTGCTAGGCCACTTTGTAAGCACAATGAGTAGAAGTAGAGTACCAAACTAATAAAGTACATTTTTACATTCCAGTTAATTTTTAGGGCAATGGCTAGGAGGCAGAAAACTAAATAACAAAAATATCAATACTACAGGAGACAAAGATGAGCACTGTGAAGAAAATTGAAGGAGAGTAAAGGAACAGAGGGAGATGATTAGTGTTATTTTAGATTTTCCAGTGAGGGAAGATCTCTTAAAGAAGGCAGATTATGAGCAGAAACCTGATTGAAGTGACAGAGTGACAATGAAAATGTCTGGAGAAACTGACATGGGCAGTGGAAGAGCAAGGTAAACATTTGACAATGGGAAGAGGTTGAAAATGGAGACTAGGATGAAAAAAGGGAGGAGATAAGAGATGAGACTAGACAAGTAGCTTGGTCAGGTCATGTAGAACCTTATTAACCATCATTAGTTTTATTATGAAAGAGATATGGAACTGGTAGAAGCTTTTGAGCAAGCGAGTAGCTTGAGCTGACATGTTTCCCCAGGATCACCCAGTCTGCTGTGTGGAGAATAGACCATAGGGCAGTAGGGCATCCAGGCAAGAAATGCTGGCTCGGATAAGTGAGGTAAAGTGAAAGCCATGAGAGTTGTTGGATTTAGGGTATGCTGGAGGTGGATTTGCTGTTGGATTGCTTATCTTTCCTTCCAGCTGTAGTGAAAGAATGAAGGTGGTGAAGGAAAGAAGGGAGTCTCTCTAGACTAGCCTGAGGAACACAGAAAAATAAACTGTTGATAAGAAAAGTTAAAAAAAAATTTCCTGTCCACTGTCCTTGTATTTAATATGTAAAGAATTGCCTCTCAGTAGAATATCAGAAATTCCTTAGAAAGTGGATCTTTGTAAATCTCTCATCAGCCATCTTGAGATCTTAAGAAAAATTCTACGAAAGAAGAATTACATCCACAAAATAGAGCTTATTGGATGTGCTAAGGGAAGTGGTTGCAAACAAATGAAAGGGTGAGGGAGTGGCAGGACAATATAGAAAAGAGAACAAACAGGGATCAGAGAACAAAGACTGAGCAGAATTTCCAGTGAGAGTATAAAAAAAGAGATGCATCATCAAGTGGAATGCTGGGAATCCCAAAACGTGCTAATAAGAAGCTTCAATTTGACATAGATACCAAAAGGTGTCAAGAAAAACTTACGGGAACAGAATAGTTAACACACAGCAGTAGGCTTAGAAAATGATTTTAGCAAAGGGTGCAGCTCAGGCAACTCTCCCATTGACGTTGGGCCAATGAATTGCATTAAAGGGAAATTTCTCAAAGTAAGTAATAGTTCTCTTTGAGTATTAAGTAATTGTATAGTTCAGGACCTGGGAATTCTAAAGAA
This sequence comes from Homo sapiens, assembly GCF_000001405.40. Taxonomy (NCBI): domain Eukaryota; kingdom Metazoa; phylum Chordata; class Mammalia; order Primates; family Hominidae; genus Homo; species Homo sapiens. The sequence goes on along the minus strand of NC_000004.12, from coordinate 106,917,308 downwards.
ATAACAGTATGCAAGTAATTGAAGTACTTTCATGAGAAATACACTTGCCATCATACCTCTCACACATACGTCATGAATACCACAGTGCACATAACCTTTTAAAATTTCCTGGGGGTCAGCATTTCTTACGGATGCCATGGACTTTTTTATTTGCTCCACACCTTCCCACTTCACTGCACCTGCTGCACCAGTCATCATTTTGTGTTTAATGGCCAGTCAGTCTCCAGGGCCTAGTAACAGATGGAGAATATCAGATCAGCTAGCACCTGTAAAATATTCTAAGTCCTACTTAAGCTTTTCAGGCAGACATTGAAATTAAGACCGTTTTAGCCTCCATTTATTTTCCTCCCTTCCTATCTTTCCTTCCAATGGGATCTTGTTCTTCCTAATAGTCAACAATTCTGTGCCCAAGTGTATGCCATACATAAAGCTGACTTAGATAACCGTTAGATGCAGCAATGTCTGTGGGAATTTCAGAGTAACTTTCAAGCTGTTTAACACAGGTCCATGTCTTAGAACTTTTCAAGATTCAAATATAGTGATGCTTCCTTTTATAATGCCTGAAGGGAACACACAACATGACTGTGTTTTACATGTTTCAAGGGACCTTGCATTCTGTACAGGGAGTAAACACCCCAAGACACTATGGGCTTCAGTTTGAGACTGTTAAAAATCAGTATTAGCTCTGGAGAAATGTGGGGATGCTGTACAAAACTTTTCCTAATATAAGAGAGGTCAAGGCAACTTGAAAGCATTTAGGATTCACTTCTTCAATGAATATAAAGTTGCTCAAAACACTGTTTTAAGGTTACAGAAGAAAATGGGTATCTGTTGTTTAATAGAAAAGACAACCCTAAGAGAGATCTACTCAGTGTTAAGAGTAAGATAGGCAGAAGAGTTTGATCATCTGGGAGAAAGGGGTAGGAAGAGGTGATTCAAGAAAATGTTCAGGGAGCAGGAACTAGGTGGACTTCCCTTTTAGAAAAACATGTTTTGGTAACCTTGAAATAGGACAAATAAAGGGAACATTTAGAAAGATTGATTGGGTGAAAATTTGCTGTTAGGAATGGGGGCTTTACAGAAAAACCAGTGACTTAAGGACTATCCAAACAGTATTGTGTTAGTCCAACATTCTCTTCTTACTCATTAGGTCATCTTATCTCATTATCACTTGGCAAAAAGCATAATTCATAAGGTATCTCCCCATAGGATTAAAAAATAATAGTAGTGATAATAATCTTACATCTATTCAGCACTTTTTACTTTGTCTCAGAATACCATCAAGGGTGTTACTACACTTTATTCTTTACAATAAGCTACACTTTATTCTTTACAATAAGCTGTAATTCTTTCTATTGAATGTTTGCTATAGACTAGGCGCTGGCTTAGTGCTGTCTCTACATCATCTCATGTCATCCGTCACAGTAACCTCTGCACAGTTAAGAGAGGTTAAGCCAGGATTTGAGACCTTGACTGTCTGAAGCCAGAACTTTCACTTTTAATCATGAATTTATACTGCTTTCATTAGAAATCAGCCTGTTTACGATTTGGGAAGATTCTGTGGCTTGCCTGCTGTCAAAGAGTTCATGAGTATCAGAGCTGAGGTTAAAGGCTATCTTTGGCAATCATCTCTTTACTGTAAGCTTTTTTGATTACATCCTAAAACAGTTTCCTAACTTCCTCCAAAACCGTAGAAGTTAGTGCTGGTATTAGGGCTAACAATCAACATGTCACTCTCTCCTCCACCCAATATTGCTCCCTGTTCATTTCTTTTCAGAGGACAAACTCAACCACCAGTCAGTATTTGGACATTAACGAGAACAACTTAAGGGTTTATCACATTCTTCAGGTTATAAGGCATATAACTAAAATCTATATCATTTGATATGTAGAGAATTGAAAGGTAATTTTGAAAGTGCAAAATTTCACAAACAGAGTGAAGAGTAGGAATGTGATTTTTATAAACAGAATTTAAGGAGTATGTGGCTGGAATTATTAGACTTAGTATGACTAACACACTAAAATAACAATTGGCTCTCCATCCTATCCCCACCTTGCATTCTGCTGTGAGAACATGGTTCAGAGTAGAAAATCACCATTTCTTTGAAAATATTGTTATATTTTAGAAGTCAATTTAAGTTTCCACTGAACTTATGCTCTGTTGTGTCTCTTACTAGAGCACTATCTCTATGTAGATAATACACCTAGTTACTAAACATAATGAAAATATATACACCACTCTTTGACTGCATACACTTTTTAAACGTTAATCATCCTGTCACGGAAACTGAAATGCAGACAGAACCAAATGACTTGCCAAGATCACTGGGTTGGAGGCCAGACGAAGTAGAGGTGGAGATTTGTCTGAACTACGACCAATATGCTTTGATTTCACACCTGTGCTTTATTTGTGGGCCAAGTTCTCTTATATGTTCTTTAAAAATATTACTATTTCTTGTTTCTTTCCATAGTGTGGCCTAGAGAATGTATCAGCTTCTGGAGGGACTGTGATTTCTTATACTAAACAGTGCTTTGTTGATATCATCCATTCATCCATTCATTATGCTTGACTCCTTAAAGATAAAATTGATTCTCAGTTCATACATGTTTTTCTTGAAGCCCTGAGGTTTATTTATTTATTTATTTTTTGGTGGGGGGGGTCTTACTCTTTTGCCTGGGCTGGAGTGCAATGGTGCTATCATGGCTCACTGCAGCCTTGACTTCCTGGGCTTAAGCAACTCTCCAACCTCAGGATTCCATTCCTTTCTCATTGTCCTCTTTCACAATCTACAAGAGTCAAGATGTAATGTCATAATGATGGTAAATTATCAAGACCAGGCCTTAATCTGGCTGCCAAACATGTTTAGTTTTGTACACAGACAGCTGGCTTGTACAGTTGTCCTTTGGTATCTGTGTGGGAATTGTTCCAGGACTGCTAGCGGATACCAAAATCTCAAAACACTTGAGCCCCGCAATGGCCCTGGGAAATCAGCCAATAAGAGTCAGCCCTCAGTATGGTTGGGTTTCGCATCCTGTGAAAACTGCATTTTCCATCCACATTTGGTTCTGGATGTGGAACTCACTGATAAGGAAAGTGAACTGTATTTATTGGAAAAAAATCTGCATATACATGGACCAGTGCAGCTCAAACCCGTGTTATTCAAGGGTCAACGGTTGACTGATTCTAGAAAAATTTGTATTATTTACCAATATTTTGAAAAAGGAAAGTTTATCACATACAAATATGGATTTCTAGATCCTCCTGAAAAAGAAACATTCTCCCTATAGGGAAATTCTGGGCCTGAACCTCTGCCTATCAGTCATTAATTAGTGCTAAGAGACAGCTGGAGTTTTCTGGGTCTTTTCAGTTCACACCACTTCCTGATTTTTCTGAATATCAGTTGGCTTTTAAAAAAAATCAGTGTGGGCTTCCCCCTCCCTTACTAAACATTAAGGAAAAAATAATTCTCACACCATTCCTTGGCTACAAATACTCTGAAGTCTCCCATTCCCTCATAATAGCCTCTAAATCCCTTGTGATACGGCCTATCTTCTAGGCCTCATCTCCTATCTCTCTCCCTTTCTCTTGTGGCATTCCAGCCAAACTGATTTTCTTTCTGTCCCATGAACAGATCAAGCTTGTTCCCATTGAACTCATCCGTCCTTGAGTCCTTTTGCCTAGTATAGCTTCCACAAATACACCTTCACTTGAACTTCGCTGGGCTTCCTTACTTACTTTCTTGAGGTCTGTCAAGTGCTACCTTTTCAAAAACTCTTCCCTCTAGAATCTGAAGGGCTCCGTTTAGAGAAGAGAATCTAGCATGTATGCATACAACTCCAGTGGTGTTCTTTTTTTTTCTTCTGGCTTCTCTACCTTTTATTTATTTATTTACTTTAATTCCAGCCCCACCACCTCTTAGCCTCATCCACCAGTGAGTCCATAAATTGTGGCAACAAGTGAACAAATACTGCATGACCTCTATAAGGTCCAGGTTGTGAATGTTGCTTCAGCCCTGGGATTAATGGGTAAAAGAGTTATTATGCAGTATTAAAACCAGATGGTGTTATTTTAATTAGAGTAATGGGGGCTCTTAATCAGGAAAGGTGCACTAACAAAGCCAGGATATATCATCTCATCATGAACCCTAAAAAAATCAGCAAAGAATTGCAAAGCCATTACATTAAAATATCCTCGAAATTTTCTAGAAATAGCCATTTCCATTAACATGTGTACTTGTAATCCTTTTTTCAAAATTTCTTCCATAATCTTTTATTTTTTGAGTTCTTTCAATGAAAAGACAAAAACATAAATGTCTTAAAAGCACATAAACTTTGAATTTTGGTGCTTCATTTTTTGAAGGGGGAATGTGTATTTTCTATGTGCGTAAGGTGTGTTTTCCTCAGAAATAAATAAAATAAAAGACAAATCCTCCCTTTGGAACCATTACCCACAAAAGATCCCTATGAGAAAAGTGAAATTTAATTTGGGAGGGATGAATGGAACAATCTGGTCCCATAAGTAGTGCAATATACTTTGCTCCACTCCAATCATTTTAATAACTCACACCCACTCTTTATCCTTTTCACTTGCCTGTGTTTTAGCACTTCTATATATATCTCCAGAGACCTGAGCATTCTTTCCATGTTTCTGACACTTGTGCTTATACGTATTGGGGCTGATCCTCTCTCCTCCATTAGGTTTTAAATTTATGGTGCACCCAGAACTTTGTAACTCCCCACACTACTTAGTAGCCCCACAGCTGAAGCCTTACCTTCTCCACGAACTCTCCTATAGATCCTTCTGACCCCTGGTGATCCTTTTCTTCTCCAAATTCATACTGCATTTTTTCACTGCATCACACTCTGCAGCACTGTGCTGTAATAACCTTTACTGAGCACTTGTTATATGATACATACTTTTTTCTGTACTTTATATACATTACTTAATTCAACTCTCACAATAACTCTATGCATCAGGTACTATCGTTATGCCAGTTCAATAAACCAGATTAAAATACTCGCTCAAGCCATACAGCCAGTAAATGCTAGCACCTACCCAGGCTTCTGAACTTAGAGACCTTCTTTTTCACCATTCTACTTGATCATGTTACACAATCTCCCATATAAATAATGTCTATCTTCAGTTTCAGCCAAATGTACTTTACTCAAATATCATCTACAGTGCTCAGGTCTATTCTATGGGAGGCACTCAATAAATATATCTCAGTGAATTCAGAAGCTATAGTTGGAACTCAAAGGTCCTTATCAGCATCTCTGCAGTCCTACACTAGCTCACCTAGCTGAAAGAGGCCAAGTTTTTAAAATCTGTGAGACTTTTGTATTTCCATTTTGAAATCCATTAGAGTGCTCCAAAAAATGAGTTATGTTATGCAATTAAGATTGTCATTTTCAGGATCTAAGAAAGAAAAACTGAGCCAGCAAAACCTTCCACACAACAACATGATTAGAAAAAGTAATTCCTTTCTGGTGTAGAGTGAGTTACCATGTAACTAGAAATACTTCACCTTAATTTATGATGTGTGGATAAACAGAGAGAGAAGAAAAAAAAGAGGCACCATTTATTAAGCTTCTCTCTATCTTATTGCACAGATTTAACTGGTGTTTTAAACTATTAAAGCTGTGTCTTACAGCAATTTAAACAAATCAATCACAAGAAACTAAGATATCTGTGTTCCTTTCTTTGTCCTTGTGTAGGAGTTCTTAGAACTTGATGGTGTCAACAAACAGACTCCGGGGTGTTCAAAAACATTATGAAATTCTTTGTAAGATTTTTTGTCTGTTGTTATATTGAAGTGAGAGTTTTCATAGCTTCCATCATTTCCTCAAAGGTCAATAGTCTCAAAGTTAGAGACCAATAAGATCCATCAGTATACTTATGATTATAATTCATCATAAGTAACTGAAAAATTATTTACTTTGCATGATCAAATAGAATAACTAATATTAAACTTACATGAAAATTTTCAGTTTTTAATGTCAGGAAAGTGAAAACAAACAAAATTGTTTGTACTTTAGAAAAGCACTTCTGAGGATCATTTTATACTCTCAAAAATGATTCAGGACCCCTAAAGTGCTTTGATATTTGTGAGCTGGATCGATTAATATTTGTATTAGGGATTGGAACAGAAAATTTTAAAATATCAGCATACATAAGCCCACATTCCATTAGTCCTCAAAGTGACAGCAGCATCACATACCATGTAGCCCCTGGAAGACTCTATGTTGCCGTCCTGCGAGAATGAGAAAGAAACGGCAATGATGGTTTTGTCCTATTAAAAATAGTTTCCACTTTATAGCCCTCCAAAGAGTGTAAGAGATCACCAGGCATTCTCAGACCACATTTTGAGAAACCACTGTTTTAGAGAAACTAGTCTTTTCATTGATACTATTTTCCCATTTCTCGTTTGTTTTTGGAATGATAAAATCTAAATGTGAGACTATCTCTAAAAAACGGAGCTAATGTTATGAAAGTGTTAATCAACCACATTACTCTCTGATTTCATTATTTTCCCTTTGCCTTACTTTTGTTAGATATTTATTTAACTTGCTATATTGTGTGCATATTTATAAATCTCCTTAAATCCTTTTTGGGATAAGACAGTATTTAGTATTTGAAGAGAAAGAAAAGCACTACATCACAAAATGCTGAGATGGAAACAATTTCTTAAAGTAATTTATTCTGAAATTACTAAGTGCAGTGTCAAGATACTATTAGAAAATTTGTAACTTTTAGCAAGTGAAAAACTTATATAATATGATAAATTTAAAGCTAGAAGAAATTTTGGTGCTTTAGTCAAATCATGTCTTTCTACAGAGAAAGAAAATAAAGTAACAATGTTTTTCTCCAGTTTCCTCAACTACTAAATATGGGCTATACAATAAGTTTTTTAAAATTCTTGATATAGAAGTTACATTGGTAGAAATACCACATATTTTCTCATAATTTTGTTGTTAATGGTGGTGAGCATTTTGATAATTTTTTTACATGAATGAGCCATGATGCCATTTACCTTATGTGACTTCAATATATAATGGCTATATATTGTTAATATATAAATAAAATAAAAATAAAAATAAAATTTAACTGATGTTGAATTTTTCCTTGAGTTGGTGATCTTGAATGGGAGTCAGCACAACAGAAGCAGCTAGTATCTGTTTCTATGCACTGTTCATAATTGACAATAAAATACCATATCTTTTATGTGCATATGGTAGATTTCCCTCTGTGCCAGTAGTCCATTGTTAAAGATACTGTTTGCAAAGAGGAGATTTCTCCCATGAAACCATAAATCTGTGTTTGTGGTATTGTCTAATCTCTGTTGTGGGAATGGATCTGACATCACCATCTGCAAATTATGACTTTTTTCAACTAAAAACCACAATGCAAATGACCATGAAAAAAATTTCCTCTTTATATTACGTATAATTTTGTTATACACAACAACAGAATTGTGTATAATCCTGTTACCTATGTGAGAGTTAAATGGACTTAGAGTTTACTATCCTTTAATTAGAATTATCTTTCATAGATGTTGTGGTTTATGTGTTCACTAAAAGCAATTGAACTGAGCCCTTCCTTCTCTTCTAGCTAATCCTGGGCTGGAGAATGCAAATGTCATCAGTGTAATATTATAAGTCATGGAAACAACCCAGAAAAGGGGATTTCCATCCAAGGGCTCAAATCAAGTCCATATTTCCAGGTCCCCAACCACTTCCCCATGTTCTTTCATCAAATATTTCCAGTGTACATCACACCTTGCTGGAAATATTTTTTAAATTCCACTTGTCAGATTGACATGATGCAAAAATTTTGCTTTATCGTAGAAAAACAACCTGCCACCTATTTATCCATTCACCCTTCCTTCAATTCCTGACAACACCCTCCAACAAAATAGTATTGCTTTAGCTACTTCCCCCCCCTTTTTTTTTTTTTTGATATTTGAGCATATGTTGGAAGCAATGACATCATGTGCTAAACTTCCTGTCTCAAAGAGCATACAACACCTTTCAAGCAAGATGCTCGAAGCAAACATTAAACATGCATCCCACCTCTCCTCTGTATGTGGTTAACCATCTCCACGAATGCCACAGAGAAGCTGACCTACAGGTCACTCCACGATCTGATGGTGTAGCTGGGAATAGAAGCCAGAAGCCCCAGTAATTTCTGAGGTTCTTCAACTAGAAAACACTTGGCCTGTTTCTTCAGGGATTTGGCAAATGGGGCGCAGGTCAGGGCTTCTTAAGCTCTGAAATGAGCACCCTTTTAGATACCTTCACAGTGGTTCTTATGTGGGTGTGGCCTTTGCTGAATAATTATTTCTATCTGTGCAAAGACAATTCAGATCCACGTTTGATAGCAATATGGAGGCAATTTTTCTTATTTCAAAAGGAGTATCAAAGACTGGAGGAGAAGGGCTGCTTTGCCTGGAAAAACCCCAAACACACACCTTGACCTATGAAAATAAATCAAAACAAGCAAACAAACCAACAAAAAACCCATTGTGTTTCTCTATGAACAGCAGGCAAAAATATGCTCGCCTTTTAATTTGAGGGATTAATACGTTTTTGTTGCTATGAGTCGCATTAAGTATTTTGGGCAGCTACTTTGTTTGGTATTATTAAAACTTAAATATGTTGAACTTATTCAGGCCTCAGAATCTGAAAGTTTCAGTACAGTCCAGCTGTGCCCTTCAATCCTTTACCAGCAGGGTTAAGTTCACCAGCACTGGGGGAAAACATTTTGTTAAAAGAAAAACGTAGTTTGCTTTCCATCTGTATTTCCAGCTCAAAACATGTTGTCAAATATTTTTTGACTATAATAATGAAAATTGCTGTCAAAACCCCCATGCCTGTGAAGGATGACCATTCCCTATGTTTTTTCTATGGGGAAAAAAATGCACCATTATTAGGGGTGGGCAGCTCATGGGATCCTGAAGAATAATTCGATAACATCTCCTGGCCAGGCGAGGTGGTTCACGCCTGTAATCCTGGCACTTTGGGAGGCCCCGTTGGGTGGATCGCCTGAGGTCAGGAGTTTGAAACCAGCCTGGCCAATATGGTGAAACTCTGTCTCTACTAAAAATACAAAAATTAGCCGAGCATAGTGGCGGGCGCCTATAATCCCAGCTATTTGGGAGGCTGAGGTAGGAGACTCACTTGAACCGGGGGCAGAAGTTGCAGTGAGCTGAGATCGTGCCATTGCACTCCAGCCTGGGTGACAAGAGCGAGACTGCATCTCAAAAATAAAAATAAAAATAAAAATCTCCTGCAAAATATTTTGAGATCTATCATTACTCATGCAGTCATGGGTTGTCACTACTGAATCAAATGTGTCATCAGACTTGATTTTCTTTAACCATACTGTGTAATTATTCCCTTTGCATTACTCTAATTGGCCAAAGCAATGAAACCTCTATGTCTACTTAAGTCTCATTTTTCAGAAAGGCAAGACCTAAAGGAGGAGAAGGAAATTTTTCCTTGTATACATTCAACATGACAGTCAGATTTTAAAGCAATTTTTAATTCTTATTTGTAAGTTCCCTATAAACTAGACCTTCTTAAATAAGGTTATAAAATCTTCAAATTAAATACAATAGCTGTATTTGGCCAAGTGGGGTGAAAGTCAGACATTTGCCAACGAGTAGCTTGGACTACTGGTTGTTTATATGTAGAGTGACATATAAACTTGTATTAAGAAGTGATAAACATGAGTTAATTAGCAGGACAATGGGAAGAGTTCAGATGGAGAGAAAAAAAATCAAAGTAATTTTTAAGTTAGTAACCTTTCACCTGACTCACATTGGTCAGAATCCAATATTGACCAGAGGGACTGAAACTCATTCTGATGATGTGATGGTAAAAAGTTGTGAGTTCAATATGTCTGGTGGTCTTGGCATTATTCCCAGAGAATTTGAGTTCCCAGCACATAACTAAAGGACCTCCACTTTGGTCCAAATTGCAGTCTTCGTTCTGTCAAAAAAGACTCAGGGTGGAAATGGGCTATAGGGACACATTTTTTTCTTCCTACTGACAGGCTTCATCTCTGAATGAGTGGAAGGGACTTTGGTGGTCGCCCTGGAGAAGTGGTGTCCAGGACCCTATTCTCACTCTGACCTGTGGTTTCAGTGGACTTGGGTTTTGAAGGAGTCCTTCTCAAGGGCTAATGCTATCTTTGGGGAACATAACAGAATATAAAATTTATCATTTGGAAAGATAGAATGAGTTCATGTGCCGCCTTCAGATCAGAATCCTCAAGGAGAAGTGATGAATAAGCTGAGAAATTTTATTCAGCAGAACTGTTCCCTTGGGTATGGGGAAGAGTGAGCCATGGTCATCTTTATTAGAAATTATGCACATGAAGGCTCCCAGACAGAGTGAGAGAGCATGCATAACCTAACTCTAAAACACTTTATGGAAATCTTTAGAATGCATTAGTGCATTAATACACAGGGGTTTAGCTCTGATTGCCTGATACAGAAATCCCAGCTGCTCATCTTTAAAAAGCTAACACTTTTCATTATAATATGATTTCTCCCCTCACTGGTTTTCTTCTTTCTTTTAATTCACAATATTCATCTACAGAATCCTTAAATGGTCCCTATGGTTTCCAAAATTACTAAAGAAAGAAACGCTTCCCCAAAGTCATTGTAATTGGCTGTGGTGAATGATTTTTGTTGATGGATCAAGATCCAAAAACATATGAAAAAAATGCAAGCAAGGTTATGGTGAAGTGATTCTAGTTTCTATAATGTACCATTCTACTGGTGTTCCAACCCAAATGGATTCTTTGAAAGAGAATGGTGCAAAGCCCAGGAGTTTCCTGGTGAGGTTCAATCCCAGTGTGAGAAGGATACAGGCAATCAGAAACAAATATTACAAAATTAATTCTATAAAAGAGAGGACAAGGAGCTGCTATACAATTTCCACAAAAGAAAAAGTCACATGCTAAGCAAGAGGATGCAAGATGAAACTTTAGTCAGCACCCCCCAACTTGTACCTTATTTGGGCTCTTGGCAAAATCTGACACTTTACAATGCCCTCTGTCTTCGAATTTTCTCTTCTCTTGACCTTCACAATAGCAATTTCCTATCTGGGTTCCTACTCTGTTAGCTTTCTGCCTGGAAAATTTGATTCTTTCAGGGACCTAGATCCTCTTTTCTTCCCATTCTGCGGACTCTCCCAGGAATATCTTCTCCTATTCTTTGGCTTTAGATTCCATTTACTTGATGACAACTTCTGACTTGGTCACAGATCTGTCAGAGGCTAGTAGCAGAAATCCAAATTAAATCAAAGGAATTTTTAAAGGTATTTGTTGGCTCACCTAACTGAAAACTCTAGGCATAATCATGTAAAGGTTCCTTCATTTAACAATATTTATTGAGGACCTACTATGAGCCAAGCACTATTCTAAAGATTGGAGATAGAAAAGTGAACTAAATTTAGAACGATCTCTGACATCATGTAGTTTACAATAAAAAAATACATCACAAATATTTTTAAAGTATACTAAAACATATTGTATGTTGGATGCTGATAAGTGATAGAAAAATAAGGCAGGGAAAGCACATAGGGAGAGCTGTGATAAATTGGTGCTGCTATTTTAAGTAGTCAGGGAAAAATATCACTGAAAAAGTGATATTGAGTCAAGATAGAAAGGAGCTAAAGGAGTGAGCCACATGGATGATTGGAGAAAGTGCATCCTAGGCAGAGGAAACAGCAAGTGCAAATGCCTTAAGATAGCGTAAGTCTAGGGAGTGTGAGATTTGCAAGGATGCAGGGTAATTGAAGAAAAGTGAGTAAAGGAGCCAGAAAGAGATGGATGTAGAGAGGTATCCAGTGGCCAGACCATACATAGCCCTGTGAGCCTTTTTAAGGAGCTTGGCTCTCACTTTGAATGAAATTAGAACCATTGCTGTGTTTTAAGGAGATGAGTACCATAAGCTAACTTATGATTTGATAAGATTATTCTGATGACCATAATAGGAAGAGAAAAATTAGAAATAGAAAGACCAATTGATGGGTGTATCACCCTAAAACTCAGCGACTTAAAACTATAAACATTAATTTTCACTCATGTATCTTTAGTCATCAGGATATTTTCTTTCTCTGTTCTCAGTTGAGCCCACTCATACATCTGTAATTGACTTCAAGGTAGCTCAGTTGATCTTAGCCCTCCTCCATTTTGGAAGATTGATTAACTGTAGGTTAGACACAGATAGACTTGTATGATCTGGGCTGGGATGACTGGGATCTCCTCTTTATGTGCCCTAATTCTTGCAGGCTGGTCCAAGGTTGTTCACATGGTGGTAGCAGGATTTCAAGAGACAAAGCAGGAGCACTCACAGCCTTTGTGGCTCGGCCACAGAACTGTCACAATCACCTCTTCCACATTTTGTTGGCCAAAGCAAGTCACGAAAGCTAGTCAAGAGTCAAGGGGTAAAGAATAGTTCTCTCACTTTATGGAAAATGTAGCAAAGTCACAATGCAAAAGGTATGTAGGGAGGCCAATGATGCACAATAGTTTTTTTAATGTGATTAAATTCTCTATATTATAAAAGTAGAGCCAAGAAAACAAATGCAGCATGTGAGAGAAAAGGGAACTGAAATGTAACTTAAATTTTTCTATCTCCAGCAATCAGAATGCTAGAATTACTACTAAACTGGAAAGAGAGGGTAGCAGGAGAAGAATTACTTTTCTCTCCGTCAGGACTTTATTTCTAACATCTGATTTCCTCTAAAGGAAGTTTTCCCCAAATCTGGCAAAAATGGTCACCAGTAGCTTCAGGAATATCTATTTTTCTGGATTAGCAATTGAGTGAAAAATGAGTTTCTTTTCCCATATTTTTATTGGGAGTTCTGACTGATTTTCATTAAATCAGTCAAGTCTTGTGCCCATTCCAAAACCAGTTATTGTGGTTCTGATTACAAGAGTTAGTAAATTAATATTAGGTATCTCTGTTGCAATGTTGAGGAGAACTCAAGCATTGAATCCTCTGTGGCCACCTTCCTCTTTGAGCCCTTCGCTTGACTTCTAAGAAAAATCTCAGTTCCTACTCCCTCAAGCTCCCCATACCCACAAGCTTCAGGAAGCTTCTTGCGAGAGAAACCTTGGAAAATTCTTGACATTTAAATCCTTTTTTTCACAAAGGTGATGACTTCTTCAGTGATGCAGTCAAATCATTAAATAGAATACCTAACCTGACAGCCTGAAGGATTTGTGTTTGGATGCTGTTCCCAAAGTCCTGGCCTCCCAAAACACAAGCAATATCAATCAAAACGGCCAAAGGGGCTCATCAAAACAACAACAAAAAGAACATATCAACCATAATATCTACTGCTCTCTCTTTAAAGTTACACAAGGCCAATTTCTGGCAATTTTAGAACAGTGATCTTGTCCTGAAAGTCAGCCAATAAAGCTTCAGATATATTGAGGCACAGTCAGAAATCTGTAGTAGGTAAATGCTAAAATTTAAATGTTTTTCTCAATAGTGAAGCTAAATATGGATTTTCTAAAATCATCTGCCTTTGCTAAATAGAACTTCATGTAGACTATCCTAGAAAGGTATCTATCAAGGAGATCTCAAGCCCAAATTTGTCACTTGTTTTTAAAACAAGTGTGGGAAATTTAATGTTTTACCCAATTTACTCCCACTACCATTTCCCTGGCATCTCACCCCAGAAGAGGCTCCCTCTTTGCCCATAAAATATGCTTTCAAGTAAACTTGCTCTAATACTATCATTTAATTCACTTTCAGAGACTTTTTTGTCCTTTCTGCTTTTTTCTTTTGTTTTTTTTTTTTATACTTTAAGTTTTAGGGTACATGTGCACAATGTGCAGATTAGTTACATATGTATACATGTGCCATGTTGGTGTGCTGCACCCAGTAACTCATCATTTACATTAGGTATATCTCCTAATGCTGTCCCTCCCCCCTCCCCCCACCCCACAAAAGGCCCTGTGTATGACGTTCCCCTTCCTGTGTCCCAGTGTTCTCATTGTTCAATTCCCACCCATGAGTGAGAACATGTGGTGTTTGGTTTTTCATCCTTGTGATAGTTTACTGAGAATGATGGTTTCCAGCTTCATCCATGTCCCCACAAATGACATGAACTCATCATTTTTTATGGCTGCATAGTATTCCATGGTGTATATGTGCCACATTTTCTTAATCCAGTCTATCATTGTTGGATATTTGGGTTGGTTCCAAGTCTTTGCTATTGTGAATAGTGCCACAATAAACATACGTGTGCATGTGTCTTTACAGCAGCATGATTTATAATCCCTTGGGTTTATATCCAGTAATGGGATGGCTGGGTCAAATGCTATTTCTAGTTCTAGATCCCTGAGGAATTGCCACACTGACTTCCACAATGGTTGAACTAGTTTACACTCCCACCAACAGTGTAAGAGTGTTCCTATTTCTCCACAGCCTCTCCAGCACCTGTTGTTTCCTGACTTTTTAGTGATCGCCATTCTAACTGGTGTGAGATGGTATCTCATTGTGGTTTTGATTTGCATTTCTCTGATGGCCAGCGAAGATGAGCATTTTTTTCATGTGTCTTTTGGCTGCATAAATGTCTTCTTTTGAGAAGTGTCTGTTCATATCCTTCACCCACTTTTTGATGGGCTTGTTTTTTTCTTGTAAATTTGTTGGAGTTCATTGTAGATTCTGGATATTAGCCCTTTGTCAGATGAGTGGATTGCGAAAATTTTCTCCCATTCTGTAGGTTGCCTGTTCACTCTGATGGTAGTTTCTTTTGCTGTGCAGAAGCTCTTTAGTTTAATTAGATCCCGTTTGTCAATTTTGGCTTTTGTTACCATTGCTTTTGGTGTTTTAGACATGAAGTCCTTGCCCATGCCTATGTCCTGAATGGTATTGCCCAAGTTTTCTTCTAGGGTTTTTATGGTTTTAGGTCTAACATTTAAGTCTTCAATCCATCTTGAATTAAATTTTATATAAGGTGTAAGGAAGGGATACAGTTTCAGCTTTCTACATATGGCTAGCCAGTTTTCCCAGCACCATTTATTAAATAGAGAATCCTTTCCCCATTTCTTGTTTTTGTCAGGTTTGTCAAAGATCAGATGGTTGTAGATATGCGGCATTATTTCTGAGGGCTCTGTTCTGTTCCATGGGTCTATATCTCTGTTTTGGTACCAGTACCATGTTGTTTTGGTTACTTTAGTCTTGTAGTATAGTTTGAAGTCAGGTAGTGTGATGCCTCCAGCTTTGTTCTTTTGGCTTAGGATTGACTTGGCAATGAGGGCTCTTTTTTGGTTCCATATGAACTTTAAAGCAGTTTTTTCCAATTCTGTGAAGAAAGTCATTGGTAGCTTGATGGGGATGGCATTGAATCTATAAATTACCTTGGGAAGTATGGCCATTTTCACGATATTGATTCTTCCTACCCATGAGCATGGAATGTATTTCCATTTGTTTCTATCCTCTTTTATTTCATTAAGCAGTGGTTTGTAGTTCTCCTTGAAGAGGTCCTTCACATCCCTTGTAAGTTGGATTCCTAGGTATTTTAATCTCTTTGCAGTAATTGTGAATGGGAGTTCACTCATGATTTGGCTCTCTGTTTGTCTGTTATTGGTGTATAGGAATGCTTGTGATTTTTGCACATTGATTTTGTATCCTGAGACTTTGCTGAAGTTGCCTATCAGCTTAAGGAGATTTTGGGCTGAGACAATGGGGTTTTCTAGATATACAATCATGTCATCTGCAAACAGGGACAATTTGACTTCCTCTTTTCCTAATTGAATACCCTTTATTTCTTTCTCCTACCTGATGGCCCTGGTCAGAATTTCCAACACTGTGTTGTATAGGAGTGGTGAGAGAGGGCATCCCTGTCTTGTGCCAGTTTTCAAAGGGAATGCTTCCAGTTTTTGCCCATTCAGTATGATGTTGGCTGTTGGTTTGTCATAGATAGCTCTTATTATTTTAAGATACGTTCCATGAATACCTAGTTTATTGAGAGTTTTTAGCATGAAGTGTTGAATTTTGTCAAAGGCCTTTTCTGCATCTATTGAGATAATCATATGGTTTTTGTCTTTGGTTCTGTTTATATGCTGGATTATGTTTATTGATTTGTGTATGTTGAACCAGCCTTGCATCCCAGGGATGAAGCCCACTTGATCATGGTGGATAAGCTTTTTGATCTGCTGCTGGATTTGGTTTCCCAGTATTTTATTGAGGATTTTTGCATTGATGTTCGTCAGGGATATTGGTCTAAAATTCTCTTTTTTTGTTGTGTCTCTGCCAGGCTTTGGTATCAGGATGACGCTGGCCTCATACAATGAGTTAGGGAGGATTCCCTCTTTTTCTGGAATAGTTTCAGAAGGAATGGTACCAGCTCCTCCTTGTACCTCTGGTAGAATTCGGCTGTGAATCCTTCTGGTCCTGGACTTTTTTTGGTTGGTAAGCTATTAATTATTGCCTCAATTTCAGAGCCTGTTATTGGTCTATTCAGAGATTCAACTTCTTCCTGGTTTAGTCTTGGGAGGGTGTATGTGTCTAGGAATTTATCCATTTCTTCTAGATTTTCTAGATTATTTGCGTAGAGGTGTTTATAGTATTCTCTGATGGTAGTTTGGATTTCTGTCAGATCGGTGGTGATATCCCCTTTATCATTTTTTATTGCGTCTATTTGATTCTTCTCTCTTTTCTTCTTTATTAGTCTCGCTAGTGGTCTATCAATTTTGTTGATCTTTTCAAAAAACCAGCTCCTGGATTCATTGATTTTTTTGAAGGGTTTTTTGTGTCTCTATTTCCTTCAGTTCTGCTTTGATCTTAGTTATTTCTTGCCTTCTGCTAGCTTTTGAATGTGTTTGCTCTTGCTTCTCTAGTTCTTTTAATTGTGGTGTTAGGGTGTCAATTTTAAATCTTTCCTGCTTTCTCTTGCGGGCATTTAGTGCTATAAATCTCCCTCTCCACACTGCTTTGAATGTGTCCCAGAGATTCTGGTATGTTGTGTCTTTGTTCTCCTTGGTTTCAAAGAACATCTTTATGTCTGCCTTCATTTCGTTATGTACCCAGTAGTCATTCAGGAGTCTCAGACCACAGTGCAATCAGACTAGAACTCAGGATTAAGAACCTCACTCAAAACTGCTCAATTACATGGAATCTGCTTTTTTCTTAGTTAAGGACATTTTCTATCTGGCACAAATTCCGAGTCAGAGAAGAAGATTCTACAGAGGACAAGTATTTCCTCCTACAACAGATCATTAACAATCAGGGTAAGCAACAAGACTGGAGGCTTAGAACTGTCTATTTAATTATAATTGATTTTTTGTAGAACTGAAACAACTGTGTTGAGAAATGTCATTGACAGCGACAGTTCAGATAAAGTATGGGAAGGGGAGGGATGTTTGCCTTTTATACAAGGCAGACTCCAGAGAAGCTTACCATATAGATCTTAAAATTCTGATTAAAGACACAACAAAATGAAGCAACAAACTAATAAGTAACTTTTATGAAAATTGTATGCTTAATTCAAAGCCACCATTTTTAAGGAGTTAAATTCTAAAAGTTATTTCCAGGCTTTCTATTTCCTTTCATGTTAGTCAAGAAAAAAAAATTCAGTGTCAAACAACATTTAAAAATTTAAACTTTAAAATCACCTTTTCCCAGGAAAACAATTTCCATATTTGAACACTTCTCAATACCAGAAAACTGATTTAAGAAGAAAAGGCCAGGTGCGGTGACTCATGCATGCAATACCAGCACTTTGGGAAGGTGAAATAGAATGATCTCTCGAGTCCAGGATTTCAAGACCAGCCTGGGCAACATAGTGAGACCCTGTCTCTACACATTTTTTTTTTAAATAGCCAGGCCTGATGGTGCACGCTCGCTCATAGTCCTAGCTACTCAGGAGGCTGAGGTGGGACAATCACTTCAGCCAAGGAGTTCAATGTTACAATGAGCTATGATTGCATTACTGTACTGCAGCTTTGGTGACTGAAAATTTATCTCAAAAAAGGAAGAAAAAAGATAAGGAGCATAAAGCTTTAAACATATTGATGCATGTGAGTGAGATGAGAAGGATAAATTCAAATTACAAAGTCGGAATTAATGCAGGTATTATTATTAGTTTGGAAGGTGAAATTTCAAACCTTTATACTAAATCTAAGAAAAAAAGTCAACACTTCAAGAAGTCACCAAAGAAAGTGAAATACTACCTATATGAATGGGTATCTGAAAGAGAGAGAAACTAGACTAACTGCCATGAAATTAAATTCCATTGAAATAACATTGACATCTTATGGAAATATTTTAACATTTTCTGACCTAAAATGAAAAATGATTTTACTATATAATCCATGTAAGCTAGAATGCAAATTCTACTTAAATAGTTAGAATAAGTAACACTGATATTTTATGAGTTAATCATAACATAAAGTTTAACTTTAGAACTCAGAGAATTCAGACCTTACTCTTCATAGGATGCTAAATGTTCAACCAGCAGAGGGCGATGGTGTATGCTTACAGCTCAGCTCGGAACAGTGCAGAAGCAGTCAACTTGGTAAATAATCCATTGGAAAGAAAGAAAGTGTAGAGAAGTAAACATGCAAAGTACAACATGTTAGAAATTATTGCAAACATTTTCAAGATTTGATAATAGTGGGAGATAAGTCATTTCAAATCTTAAAGATTTGTCGAAATATTGGTACAAACAGCCTAGAAGGGAAGAAAATAAGCTTTTGAGATACTCTAGCTTCAAATGACAGATTCAGCTGAGTTAACATTAGTGGGAATTATATGACTTTTCACTTTGTAAAAAACTTTTAACTCCATTTCTAATTTTTAAACTTAACACTATTAAAATTATGTTGTTTTACCGTTGTATGCAACAATAAAAGTAGTGGTAACTAATATTTATTGAGTATTTTTAATTTAGTTCATTGATCTCAATAATTGTATTGCATGTGTACTATTATATTTCCTTTCTAAAGATGAAGAAACTGAGGTTAAGTAACTTTTGTACATCTCGATTACTGCTTCTCACAGGGTAAGCATATTTTAAATTATTTCCTCCACCATATTCTATTGTATGTTACTGTACTGCAAGGGCATAGATTGCCTCCAACGCGCCATTATGCAACCTGAATTGCAGTGAACACATTCAAATTTTTCTCCTGTCCATAACTATGAAATATGTGTTCATCTGTGTAATCATTTGGTTGAAAGGTATATCAATACTTAGTTTCACTAAGAACTGCCAATTTGTTTCCAGAATGGCTACACCAGGTTACACAGAGAATTCTTGTCTTCTCACATTCTCACTAATTAATATTTTCATGTGGATCTTTTAATTTTTCTCATTGCTAATAAGCTGTATCATTTCTCTAAATAAATTTGTTGCCCATTTGAGAATTTCCCAAGTGCCATTTCAAAATAATTAATTTTGATGTGGGAAAGTCTAGTTTTCACTTTAAGTTTTATTTTTGGGGGGGTCTTAT
Organism: Homo sapiens; assembly: GCF_000001405.40. Classification (NCBI taxonomy): domain Eukaryota; kingdom Metazoa; phylum Chordata; class Mammalia; order Primates; family Hominidae; genus Homo; species Homo sapiens. The sequence continues at coordinate 106,897,828 of NC_000004.12, read as the reverse complement.
TTAAGACTTCTCTGACCTTGGGTCACAAAGATATTGCTTTTCTTCTATTATCTTTTCATTTTACCTTTTGCATCTAGGTTTTAAACCACATAAACCCACTTTCATATGTAGCATAAAGTCGAAATTGAGCTATGCTTTTCCGCATATAGTGAAGAGTTTTCCCAACACAATTTTTTCCCAGTCATTTAGTAGTGACTATTCATCAACTAACTTCTTACATACTCTCAGTGGCATACTAACAGTATAGTTTTCTGTTTTTATGTTAGTTTCATAACATTTTTCATACTAAAGCTTTATTATATTCTACTTTTTGTTAAGGTGTACTAGCTTGTAATTTACAAATACTGAACTCGCCATTTTAAGGTACAGTTCTATGATTTTTGAGAAACACATACAGTTAATGTAACCACCACTTGGTACTGTATCTGTAATCAAGATACAGAAAAAATTCTATCCCCACTTAAAATTCCCTCATGGTCCTTTGTAGGTCACTTGGCTCCAACCCAGATTCTGGCAGTCATCATTTGTTTGTTGTCCCTTTAGATCTGCCTTTTCCAGGATGTCATACAAATGGAATTACATAGCATGTAGCCTGTATCATGACGAGAAGGGCTTCTTTCACTTAGCATATTTCACTTAGACAATCCACGTTGTTGCATGAAAGAGTAGTGTGTTCTTTATTATTGCCAAGTAGGAAGCCATCCTTTGGATATACCACAGTTTGTTTACACACTCACGACTTCAAGAATATTTGACCTGTTTTCCACTTTGGGTGATTATGAATAAAACTACTATAAATAATGACATACAAGTTTTTATAAGAATATAAGTTTTTATTTAATCTGGGTAAATAGCAAGGAATGAGGTTGCTAAGCTACATATTTAAATATGTAGAAGAAACCGTCATACTGTTTTCCAAAGTGGTGATAATATTGTGCATTCTTATCAGCAATATATGAGATTTTCAGGTGCTCTGCACCCTCTCTAATAACCATAGCTTTTTTCTTTTTCTTTCTCTTATTGATCATTGAAAGATATACGTTCTTGTATCCGATTGTAATTTTAATTTGCTTTTTCAAACTGGCTAATGATATCAAGCATCTTTTCATGTTTTATTTAACTTTCATTTTAGTTTAAGTGGTTACATGTGCAAGTTTGTTATATAGATAAATTGTGTGTCATGGAGATTTGGTGTAAAGATTATTTCATCACCCAGGTAATAAGCATAGTACCTGACATGTAGTTTTCTGACCATCACCCTCCTCCCACCCTCCATCCTCAAGTAGGCTGTAGTATCTATTGTTCCCGTCTTTATGTCCATGTGTACTCAATGTTTAGCTCCCACATGTGAGTGAGAACATATGGTATTTGGTTTTCTGTTCCTGTGTTAATTTATTTAGATAATGGCCTCCGGATCCATCCATGTTCCTGCAAAATACACGATCTCGTTATTTTTTATGGCTGCATAAGTATTCCATGGCAGATATGTAGTACATTTTCTTTATCTAGTCTACTGTTGATAGGCATTTAAGTTGATTCCATGTCTTTGCTATTATTGTGAATAATGCTATGCATACATGTGCCATTATAGTAGAATGATTTATATTCCTTTGGGATCCAATAATGGGATGGCTGAGCTGAATGGTAGTTCAGTTTTAAGTTCTTTGAGAAATTGGCAAACTGCTTTCCACAGTGGCTAAAGTAACATACATTCCCACCAGCAGTGTATAAGCATTCCCTTTTCTCTGCAACCTTGCCAGTCTGTTATTTTTTGGCTCTTTATAATAGCCATTCTGCCTGGAGTGAGATAGTATCACATTGTGGTTTTGATTTGCATTTCTCTAATGGTTAATGATGTTGAGCATTTTTTCATGTGTTTGTTGACCATGCACAGATCTTCTTTTGAAAAGTGTCTATTCATGTCCCTTGCCCACTTTTTAATGGTGTTGTTTTTTGCCTGTTTATTTACTTAAATTTCTCATAGATTCTGGATATTAGACCTTTGTCAGATGCACAGTTTGAAAATCTTTTTCCCATTCTATGGGTTGTCTACTTACTCTGTTGACATTTTCTTTTGCTGTGTAGAAACTCTTAAGTTTAATTAGGTCCCATTAGCCTATTCTTGTTTTTGTGGCAATTGCTTTTGGCATCTTCACCACGAAATCTTTGCCAGGGCTTATGTCCAGAATGGTATTTCCTAGATTTTCTTCAAGAGTTTTAATAATTTTAGGCTTTACATTTAAGTCTTTAATCCATCCTGAGTTGATTTTTGTATATGATGTAAGGAAGGAGTCCAGTTTCAATCTTCTGCATATGGCTAGCCAGTTACCCAGCATGATTTATTGAATAGGGAGTCCTTTCCCCATTGCTTGTTTTTGTTGACCTTGTCAAAAATCAGATTGTTTTTGGTGTGCAGCATTTTTTCTGGGCTCTCTATTCTATTCCATTGGTCTATGTGTCAGTTTTTGTACCATTTCCATGCTGTTTTGGATACTGTAGCCTTGTAGTATAGTTTGAAGTTGGATAGTGTGATGCTTCCAGCTTTGTTCTTTTTGCTTAGAATTGCTTTGGCTATTCGGGCTCTTTTGTGGTTCCATATAAATTTAAGAATAGTTTTTCCTAATTTTGTGAAGAATGTCATTGGTATTTTGGTAAAAATAGCATTGAATCAGTAGATTGTTTTGGGCAATATGGCCATTTTCACAATATTAATTCTTCCCAACCATGAGCATGACATGTTTTTCCATTTGTTTGTTTCATCTTTGATTTCTTTGAGCAGTGTTTGGTAATTCTCATTGTAGAGATCTTTCACCTTTCTAGTTAGCTGTATTCCTAAGTATTTTATTTTTCTGTGGCTATTGTAAATGGGATTGCAGTCTTTGTTTTGTTCTCAGTTTGAACGTTATTGGTGAATAGAAATGTTACGGATTTTCCTACATTGATTTTGTGGCCTGAAGCTCTGCTGAAGTTTTTTTTTTTATCAGATCAAGGAGCTTTTGGGTAGAGACTATGGACTTTTCTAGGTATAATATCATATCATCTGCAAACAGAGATATTTGACTTCTTCTGTTCCAATTTGGATGCCTTTTCTTTCTCTTGACTGATTGCTTTGGCTAGGACTTCTAGTAGTATGTTGAAGAAGAGTGGTGAGAGTGTTTCAGCTCTATTAGATCATTTTGGTTCTTTCTTAAAATGACCATTTTATCTTTTAGCTCCTGTATTGTTTTATTGTATTTCTTAGATTCCTTTGATTGAATTTCAGCTTTCTCCTGAATCTCAATGATCTTCATTCCTATTCATATTTTGAATTCTGTGTCTGCCATTTCAGTGATTTCAGCCTGGTTAAGAACCATTGCTGGGAACCTAGTGCAGCTGTTTGGAGGAAATAAGTCACTCTGGTTTTTTGAGTTGCCAGAGTTCTTCTGCTAGTTCTTTCTCATCTGTGTGGGTTGATGTTCTTTTATCTGTGGTATAATTTGAGTAGTCAGTTGACTTCGTTTCTGGATGTTTTCAGAGGGACTAGGGTTTGTCCTGGGACTTTATTTGTGGCTTAATTCTTGTCCTTGGTTTCACACGGGGTATATTTTAGGCTTTTGCTCAGCCATGTGGCTCCTCTGTATTTCCTTGCATTTGCAACCATGCTCAACCTCAGTGCTCTGAGAGTCTGGGCTCCTCTCCCACTGGAGTGCTGGCTGCAGATCTCGGCTTGGCACTCCCAGGCTGTGCACTGCAGCCCCGAGGCAAGCTCAAGTTTTATGTTCCCTCCTTAGCTTGTAGGCAACAGGGGAAGGAAACTTGGCAGTGGCTGTGACAAAGGACCTTTCACTTGTCTCTTTGAGCTCCACCCCAGAGATATGCAGAGCTGCTACCAGTCAAAGCAATCAATGCAGGGTGGTGTGGCTGCATTGTGGGTCCAAACTGGGGGGCCCCTCCTGGTGAAAAGCAGGAGTGGCAGAGAGTTTGCAGGGGAAATAGATTGGCCTTTTTACCTGTGGGTGGCCACGGTGTGCTGAAGGTGTGGGCAAAGCACTCAGGGTCTTTGTTTCTTCCCTAGTCCAATCGCAGCAAGGGCAGTACCACTGCAGTGGCAATGACAGAGGGCTGTCAGTTGCCTCTGGGAATTCCTTCCTGGAGAAACACAGAGCTGCTGCCAGTGGGAATGCTCAGCTGGGGATGGGGCAGCTGTGCTGCAGTCCTGAGCTGGGCGCCCTGGCTGGGGCTGAGGGCTCACAGGGAAGAGCAACTGGGCTCCTTTTTTTATGGTAGCTACGGTGCGCCGGAGGTGTCAGTGAAGCAACCAGGCCCTTTTTTCCTTCTCCAGCCCAAGGGCAGTAAGGGCGTACCACTGCAGCTGCAATGGCAGAGGGGCTGTCGGTTGTTTCTTCCCCAGCAAAACACAGATCTGCTATCAACTGAAGTGTTCAGGCAGAGGCAGGGGGGGCCTGAGTCTAGAGGCCCTGCCCAGTGAGGAATAACAGAGGCAGGGACTCACATGGAAAACAGTCTGGCCACTTTTCCGTAAGGCCACTGCTCTGTGCTGGGTGCCTGTGTTAAAACTTAAGCTCTTCGCTCCTTCCCTGGCTTACGGGCATCAGAAGTCGGCACTGCAGAGCAGTAAAAATGGCGAACCTGTGTGCTACCTCTGGGAGCTCCATTCCAGTGAAGTACGAAGACATTACTGGCCCAAGAGCTCAGCCAGGGCTGAAGTGGCCGAGAAAGGGTCCCAGGTCAGTAAGCCTTGTCTGGTGAGATGCAATAGATGTCAGGCCTGTAGTCCATCTGCTCCTCAGCCCCATGGATTTGGCCCCGGTCCTGGAGGTGTGCGAGGAAGCCTGGCCTCCCCCCTTTCTGGAGCTACAGCCACTGGTGCCAGGGTGCCCAGAAATCCAAGGCCCCCAAGACTCCATATATGCCTGAGTGGAAGCTCTGTCCAGACTCCAGGAAGCTCTCCATTTCTGTCTGGAGGCCCCGGTTGCGGGGTGGGAGGGGATAAGAGGAATCTCCTGAGCCCAGGGTTGCAAAGGTTTGTAGCATAAGTATGTGTCCCTGGGGCCTCTCACTCACTACCATTTTCCCATAGTGTGGAGCCTCTCCTTGCTGCATGCCAGTCCTGGGTGGACAGCTGTCCTGCTTCACTCTTCTCTGTTCTTTTGGGTTGCATTGTTTCTTTGATGAATCCCATGTCCACCTGGATGATCCAGTTGTAGAGCTGGTGTTTCCTAGCCATTCTATCTCCTCTCCATGAGAGCGCTGCACACTAGCTGCTTCTCGTTAGCCATTTTGGCACTTCTCATGTTTTCTTGACAGCTGTATATTCTATTGTGAAATGTCTGTTAAAACTGGCCCATTTTTTATTGGGTTGTTTACTTACTACTGAGTTTCAAGAGTTCTTTGTGTAGTCTGGATACAGGTCTTTTTCTCAGATACATGTTTTGCAAATATTTTCTTTTACTCTGTGGCTTGACTTTTTTTTTTAAGAAACGTGTCTTTAGAAGAGCAGAAATATTTAATTTTGAAGAAGTCCAGTATGTTAACTTTGCCTTTAAAGATGGTGCTTTTGAAGAGGTATCTAAGAAATATTTGCCTAAATCCTAGTCACAAGTATCTTTTTATCATGTTTTCTTTTACAATTTTTATAATTTTACCTTTATGATGAGGACTAGCATCTATTTTGACATAATTTTTGTATATGTTGTGAGTTATGGGTCAAGGCTACTTTCTTAATATGAATATCCAATTTTCTCGGGGCCATTCGTTGGAGAGATTATGCTTGGTCTTTCACTTTCCTTGGCACATTATTGAAAATAATTGATCATATATGGGGTCTATTTCTGAACTCTATTTGATTCAACTATTCTATCTGACTATCCTTTTGCCAATACCTCACTGCCTTGATTATTGTAGCTTTATGGTGGTCTTTAAATCAGATATTGTGTCTCCTCTTTGTTCCCCTTTTTCATAATGTTTTCAGGTATTCTAGGCCCTTTGCCTTTCCATGTGTATTTTAGAATAAGCCTTTAGGTTTCTAAAATTTCTGGGATTTTTATTGGGATGACAGTGAATGTATAGATCAAATTAGGGCATATCAGTGTTTAGAAATATCATGTCTTTTACTCTGTGGGTTAGAAAGGTCCAAATGAACATAGTGCCTTTTCCACAAGCAGCATCCATGACCCTCTTTCAAGCCTACAATGCTGTCAGGAGTTTTCTTGCATTTCTGCCTGTAATTTTTCTTGTGAGTGACCACTTGAAGTCTGTGGAGGAGAACCTACAAATTCATGCCAACTCTCCTTTTATCTGCAGCATCATATGCATCATTTATCCTTGCCCAGGGATTTCACACCTGCATAGTCACCAGGGATTTAGCAATTTGTTAACAGTTTTTGCTAAATTCTTCCCATCCATTTTTATGGCAGTATTGTCTGCCTCTCATGCTCAGACATGAGTTTGGGGCACCGGCTTTTCTTTAGATTAGGGGAGAATAGGAGAATAGATCACTCTGCAACCTCAGTTACTAAGAAATTGAGGACAACAATGATTTTGTAGATATTCTGGGTTTTTCTTGTCAGGGTGGGAGTGATATGTTTTCCATCTTTCTACATCCTGGGTGGAAGCCAGGAGTTATTACTATAGCTTTATAAAATGTTTTAATATCTGATATTAAGTCTCCTCTCTGATATTTGTGAACTTCATTCTTCCATATAAATTCGTTTTATATAAAAGTTTGTTGGTATATTAATTGGTTATACTGTAGAATAGAATTTATGAATGACTTGGAGATAATTGACATATTTTCTAAGTTTCCCATGCATAAACATGATTTATATAAATATACATATATACATATACACACATACCATATAATATATAAATATAATATCCACATATTCAGAAGATTTTATGTCCTTTAATATATGTTTATTTATTTATTTCTACTGATGTGCAATTCACATGACATAAAGTTAATCATATTAAAGGGTACAATTTAGTGGAGTTTAGTACCTTCGCAATGTGTGCAACTGTCACCTTTATTAAGTTCCAAAACATTTTCATCATTCCAAAATAAAACCCTGTACTCAGTAAGCAGTCAGTCCCCTTCCCCACCTGGGCTAGTTCTGATAACCATCAGTCTGCTTTCTGTCTCTATGGATTTACCTATTCTGAATAGTTCATATAAGTAGAATATATGAGTTCTTGTGTCTGGCCTCTTTCACTTAGTATAAAGCTTCACAGTTCATGCATAAAAGCTTTTGACTGGACAGCAAGGACAGGAAAGGAGAAAACAGGTGTATTTTTAATTTATCATTTCAATTTTCTTTAATCATTCGAGTTTTCTATCCTGGACTCTGGACGCTAAATACACCAATTACATCCCCAGCCACTGTGATAATCACAAACACTTGCACTGATATTCAAATGCCGGATAGAGATTGATATTCACTCTGGTTGAAAACAATGGTTATAGATTATGAAACTTCTTAGCATATATTGTTCAAAGTCTTCTTATGTCATTTCTTAAATCTCTGGTATTTGAGGTTACTTTCCCCTTTTACTGTATGTTTTTGCTTTGCACATTTTCTTTTTACTGTAAGTTTTGCCAAAGTTTTGATTTTTTTTGTCAATCTTTTTGCTTTGATGTCATTCTTCTCTCTTATTACTTTGTTATTTTAATAATTTTTGCTTTTATGTTTATTGCATTATTCTTATTTCATAGGGTTTGCTCTGTGGTTCTTTTCCAAAAATTAAATTTTCATTACTTCAACATTTTTTGCTTTATGGCTAATTCATATAAAGCTATAACTTTGACAATGTGCTTTAGCTCTAATAAACTTTAACTGCAATATTTTCATTTTTGTTCAGTTCTTAATGTTTTGTACTTTCCCTAAAGATTTGCTCTTTTACTTAAGGGCCTTTTTATAGTGCACTATTTAGTTTTTTTCAAACATTAGGTATTTTTTAAAGTTTATTTCAATTATTTCTAATTTTATTGCTTTGTGATCAGAGAACACATTCTGTAAAATATTAATTCTTCTGAATATATTAAAGCTTCCATATGGCCTTGTCAATATTTAATTTTTGACTGTTTCTCATTTAGTTACTCAAGAAATATTTAATAAATACTTATTCTGTGTCTGGTACTCTCTTAAATACTTGGGATAAATTAAACACAAAATAATTTTCCTCATGGACTTTCTACTAGAAAGAATAAGATAAAATAGCCATAACAGATAAATGGAAAGTTAGATAGATATAAATACATGTGAAAAAGTAGAGTTAACATAAACTGGGTTGGGATTGATAATTGGGGTAGTATTTCAATTTTAAATAGAGTGATCAAGGTAGGCTTTATAGAAAAGATGCCATCTGAGTAAACAGGAAGTGAAGGAATTAATCATTGGGATATCTGGAGGGATATGATTCCAAGGAGAAGGGCCAGCCTATGCAATGTCCTCTGGTAGAAATATATTCACTCTTCAAGGATTGTGTGGCAATGGCAACCAAATTATGGAGAGTCTTGTAGACGATTGTAAGGAGTTTGACTTTTACTTTGACTAAGATGGGAACCGTTGATGTTTTTGAAGAGGAGAGTTATGTGATTCTCACTTACATTTTAAACACTGGCTCTTGAGTGAGGACAGACTGTGGGTCAAGAATAGAAGCAAGGAGGGGATTTAGGAAACTGTAGCAATAATCAAGATAATCAGAGATGATGAATCGTATCACGTTTGTTACAGTAGAGGTGGTAAAATACGGTTGGATTGTGAACATATTTTTAAGACAGTGAAAACAGAATTTTCTGATAGAGCTGATATAGGAAACGAGAGAAGAAAGGAGCACAATCCACTTCCAGGCTGTGGGTAAAGTAGGTGTAAGGGTAATTATAAGTTTCAACAAGGTAAGTTTAAGACATTGACTGATAAACTAGATATACAGGTCAGGAGAAATGTGTAGGCTAGAGATATAAATAAATGTGGGAAAAACTTATAAGATTGGATGAGGTGAAAAATGTATAATTTTTATACGTTGAAAGTAAGGTTCTCCACGTATCTATTTATTACATGGTATTGCTGTTTAAATTGTCTGTCTTTTCTTGCATATATGTTCATAATTAGTATAGTTATTATATAATAGCATGAACCCTAAAATCATAGTAACAGGGTTTTGATTCTGGATTTAACCCTTTCTTGCTGTGGACAAGTTACCAAAAAAATCTATGGCTCATTTTTCTCATCTACTAAATGTGGATGATAGAAGTACCTGTATCTTTAGGTTGTTATGAGGATGGATTGTGTTATAATATGTAAAGAGTATAGAACAGCACCTGCAAGCAGTATACTCATCATTTTATATGTGTTTATATGCATCATGAGCATTATTATCATTTTATAACAATAATCACATTTTTCCTTAAAACTAGTTTTCATTTCAAATTCAATTTGTCTGATGATATGATTGGTACTACATATTTCTTTGTGTTTGGTATCTATTTTTCCTTTTATTTAATTTATAGTTTCCTTTGATATAACTATGTCTTACTGATAATATATTGGTAAACTTGTTTTCCATCCATTGGAGAACCTTTAGTTTTTGTTTTGATTTGTGAGTATATTACATTTAGATTTCCTAAAATATTATGTTAGGACTTATCTATAGCATAATACTTTCTTTCATTTCTTTTTGTTTGTTTGTTTCCTGTTCCAATTGTACAGATTATATTTCCTTTTTTCTGCTGATTTAAAAGTTATATATGTTTTACTTTGCTATTAGTTACACATAATTTAAAATCGAGTTTTTAAATTAATTGTTAAAACTTGTTATGATCTATGTATTCTACTGAAACAAATTCTATTTCCCTCTTTATATCAATACCCCGTTCACCAGTCATTTAGTTATTACCTTTCTAAAACTGTTTCTGTGTTATATGGGTTATCTTTCTTGCATTTTTAAACTGTGTGTGTGTGTGTGTGTGTGTGTGTGCATGTGTGTGTGTGTATATGTGTGTGTCTGTGTAGTTATTGCTTGCCACTACTTCTCACTCATGTCATACTGACCTCCTGGGTTTATTTCTCTTCATGGAGCGTGCCCACACCAAGGATTTTCAAAATGGGTCTTTGCATGGTTACATTTCCGGTATCTTATTCCACTGATCTCATATTTAAAGGATAACAGCCAACTACAAAATTCTAGATTAGATATTCTTTCACTTTAATAATTTAAACTTTTTACTTAATACTTTTAGTGCATCTTATGTCACTTTTTGCAAGGCAATTTGATTCTTGCTCTTTTTGAGTCATCTGCTTTTACTCTTTGAAATTATTTAAAATGCTCTTTTTTACAATTTTAGTATCACATGTCTAATTATGCCTCTACTTGAAGACATAGCCCTTACTCCCATGGAATGATTCCAACTCTTAGGCTTTAGCCCTTACTCCTAAGGTGTAGCATTTATGATGTCTTAATTGAAATATAGGTAGTAGGCAGAAGGCTCATAATACAAGCAAAGGTAGGATTTGAACTATAATCTTTTGTACTAACAGCCCACAGGTAAACTCTCTCATCAGCTTAACATCCTTATAGTTATTCCCTACTGCATTTTTTTGAAGTTTTTCCATGCACACATACATCTTAGGAAATGGCAAAAGACCTGGATAATGTCTATTAAGAATTTTAGTGTCTTTCTCTGTTGTTTTCACCATTCCTGAATTCTGTTCCTCAAGTCTCAGTCACTTTGGCTGTACAAAACTTCAACTTCTGTCTCTTGAGCTATTGAGATCACTTCCCTCCTCTTGGGTTATATTCTTCTACCCCACAATGCAGAAATTTCCTTCAGAGTATAAGTGAGGTTAATGTGTAACTTACCTGTATGTTTCTCTTTTCTCAAGTACTGTCATCTCTCGAGTCCTCCTGAGTTGATTGCTCTCAAATGTCTTTAAATGGTTGTTTTACGTACTATGTTCAGCATTTATAGTGATCTGCAGGAGGCTTAGCTCAACATAATACAAGCCATTGGATTATGGCCAGAACTGGTCTGCATATGTTTTTATTTTAATTTATACATAACCACATCATAGCCTGGAACCCTGATCAAAGCTGGACCAATTATATTCTCATGCCACCACCCCCACCTTGCTTGCTACCATTAATAGAGCATTTATCAAATGCTGTAAATGGACTCTAACATGGACATCCAGAGGTATACACGATGTCATCAAAACAATGCTTCTCTTCATTTTCTTGTCATCTTTTCCTATATGTTGACTTTATTTTCAGGCAGGCATTTTCCTATGGCAGCAAGGATGACTTCCAGCATCCACAAGATTATAATAATACTTTTAACTCATATTCCCAGTTGGAGATGGCATAAAATTCTTATATACAGCATCCATATTAATCCTAGTCTCAAATAATTCTAATTTGTACTGATGTGGTTTTATGCTTACCTAGAAATACTTATTATTTCTACAGGAATGTAGTACACTGATGGGTTAACCTTGATTGCACATCTATACCTGTGGTGAGGAAGTATTGCCAGAAATTCCCCACCCCTCCTAGAATTTCATAGTTGGGAAAGGGCAGTTCTCAAATAAAACAAGGTTGTCCTATTAACAAAATCTGCTAGGTAAGTAAAACAATAGATAAGTCACATAGAGCTATTCCCTGGAACTACTGAGATAAAACTGAAGAAGAGAATGATTCCTGCATGTATGAGTCTTAGAAACAACCTTCTATAAAATATGAACCCTAGGAGATGCTGGAGGCCATGTTATTAGACTTGTTGAGAAAGCCATTGGGCAATGTGAGAGAATGAAGCTAACAAAGGTCCAGAAATTCATGAAGTTCCATGTTCTATTGGCTCTTAAGTCTCTAGTTACATCTTTGGTTCTTTATTGCTTGGACTTTCCCTGGTTTTACTGGTCCAATAAATTCCTATTTTGCCTAAGTTATGTCACTTGCCAGCCAGAATCCTAACTAAAAATATGGCTACTGAGCACTTTAAATGTGGCTGGGACACAATGAAATGTTTTGTAACTGTGAAATACACATTGGACTTTGAAGACTTAGTATGAAAAATATAACATAAAATATCTTATTAATACATTTTAAATGATTACACATTAAAATTATGTTTTGATATATTAAATATAAAATATTAAAATGAATTATATCTTTTTAAAATAATTAAAGTGACTATGAGAATATTCAAAATTGTATATGTAGCTTACACTATATTTTTATTGACAATGATGCTAGATGATTACTTAAGATATGTCTCTAAATATATAATTTGTAAAATCCGTATTTCTTTTTCTTATTATTATTTTACTTCAAGTTCTGGGGTACATGTGCAGAACGTGCAGGTTTATTACATAGGTATACATGTACCATAATGGTTTGTTGCACCCATCAACCAGTAATCTACATTAGCTATTTATCCTAATGCTACCCCTCCCCCAGACCCACACCCCCTGACAGGCCCTAGTGTGTGATCCCCACCAGCCCTGTGTCCATGTGTTCTCATTGTTCAACTCCCACTTATGAATGAGAACATGTGGTGTTTGGTTTTCTTTTCTTGTGTTAGTTTGCTGAGAATGATGGTTTCCAGCTTCATCTATGTCCCTGCAAAGGACATGAACTCATCCTTTTTTGTGGCTGCATAGTATTTCATGGTGTATATGTGCCACATTTTCTTTATCCAGTCTATCACTGATGGGCATTTGGGTTGGTTCCAAGTCTTTGCTATTGGGAACAGTGCCTCAATAAACATACATCTGCATGTGTCTTTATAGTAGAATGATTTCTAATCCTCTGGGTACATACCCAGTAATGGGATTGCTGGGTCACATGGTATTTCTAGTTCTAGATCCTTGAGGAATTGCCACACTGTCTTCCACAATGGTTAAACTAATTTGCACTCCCAACAGTGTAAAAGTGTTCCTATTTCTCTACATCCTCTCCAGCATCTGTTGTTTCCTGACTTTTTAATGATTGTTATTCTAACTGGCATGACATGGTATCTCATTGTGGTTTTTATTTGCATTTCTCTCATGACCAGCAATGATTAGCCTTTTTTCATGTGTTTGTTGGCTGCAAGAATGTCTTCTTTTGAGAAGTGTCTATTCATATCCTTTGCCCATTTTTTGATGGGGTTGTTTTTTTTTTTCTTGTAAATTTATGTTCTTTGTAGATTCTGGATATTAGCCCTTTGTCAGATGGATAGATTGCAAACATTTTCTCCCGTTCTGCAGGTTGCCTGTTCACTCTGATGATAGTTTATTTTGCTGTGCAAAAGCTCTTTAGTTTAATTAGATCCCATTTGCCAATTTTGGCTTTTGTTGCCATTGCTTTTGGTGTTTTAGTCATGAAGTCTTTGTCCATGCCTGTGTCCCAAATAGTATTGTCTAGGTTTTCTTCCAGGGTTTTTATGGTGTTAGGTCTTAGGTTTAAGTCTTTAATCCATCTTGAGTTAATTTTTGTACACGGTGTAAGGAAGGGATCCTTTGTCAAAGATCAGATGGTTGTAGATGTGTGATGTTATTTCTCAGGTTTCTGTTCTCTTTGGTCTATATATTTGTTTTACTACCAGTACCATGCTGTTTTGGTTACTGACGCCTTGTAGTATAGTTCGAAGTCAGGTAGCATGATGCCTTTAGCTTTGTTCTTTTGGCATAGGATTGTCTTGGCTATGTGGGCTCTTTTTTGGGTCCATATGAAATTTAAAGTAGTTTTTTCTAATTCTATGAAGAAAGTCAGTGGTAGCTAGATGGGGATAGCATTGAATCTCTAAATTACTTTTCACGATATTCGTTCTTCCTATCCATGAGCATGGAATGTTTTTCCATTTGTTTGTGTCCTCTCTTATTTCATTGAGAAGTGATTTGTAGTTCTCCTTGAAGAGTTCCTTCACATCCCTTGTAAGTCGTATTCCTAGGTATTTTATTCTCTTAGTAGCAATTGTGAATGGGAGTTCACTCATTATTTGGCTCTCTGTTTGTTTGTTATCGGTGTATAGGAATGCTTGTGATTTTTGCATATTGATTTTGTATCCTGAGACTTTGCTGAAGTTGTTTACCAGCTTAAGGATATTTTGAGCTGAGATGATGGGGTTTTCTAAATATAAAATCATGTCATCTGCGAACAGAGAAAATTTGACTTCCTGTCTTCCTACTTGAATACCTTTTATTTCTTTCTCTTGCCTGATTGCCCTGGCCAGAACTTCCAATACTATGTTGAATAGGAGTGGTGAGAGAGGGCATCCTTGTCTTATGCTGGTTTTCAAAGGGAATGCTTCCAGTTTTTGCCCATTCAGTATGATATTGGCTATGAGTTTGTCATATTCAAAAGCTAGCAGAAGACAAGAAATAACTAAGATCAGAGCAGTACTGAAGGAGATAGACACATGAAAAATCCTTCAAAAAATCAATGAATCCAGGACCTGGTTTTTTGAAAAGATCAACAAAATAGATAGACCACCAGAAAGACTAATGAAGAAGAAAAGAGAGAAGAATCAAATAGATGCAATAAAAATGATAAAGGAGATATCACCGCCGATCCCACAGAAATACAAACTACCCTCAGAAAATACTATAAACACCTCTACACAAATAAACTAGAAAATCTAGAAGAAATGGATACATTCTGGGCACATACACCCTCCCAAGACTAAACCAGGAAGAAGTGGAATCCCTGAATAGACCAAAAAAAAGTTCTGAAATTGAGGCAGTAATTAATAGCCTACCAACCAAAAGAAATCCAGGACCACGTGGATTCACAGCCGAATTCTACCAGAGGTACAAAGAGGATCTGGTACCATTCATTCTGAAACTATTCCAACAATAGAAAAAGATGGAATCTTCCCTAACCATTTTATGAGGCCAGCATTATCCTGATACCGAAACCTGGCAGAGATACATCAAGAAAAGAAAATTTCAGACCAATATCCCTATTGAACATTGATGCAAAAACCCTCAATAAAATACTGGCAAAACAAATCCAGCAGCACATCAAAAAGCTTATCCATCCGGATCAAGTCGGCTTCATCCCTGGGATGCAAGGCTGGTTCAACATAAGCAAATCAAGAAATATAATCCATCACATAAACAGAACCAATAACAAAAACCACACGATTATCTCAATAGATGCAGAAAAGGCCTTCAACAAATTGAACAGCCTTTCATGCTAAAAACTCTCAATAAACTAGTTATTGATGGAACGTAAAATTCATATTTCTAACCTGCAATGCACTTAAAGAGTTCAATAGAATTGTTTAAGACTTCAATTCTAAATGATGAATATTAAAAAATAGTAGGCATAGGGCAATAGGGGAGGAGATATGTAGTATTTGACCAACAACATTGTTTCTAACTTTGAGAATGACATGTGCTTCAAACTATTTGTCAGTGACAGTCTTTAGCACATTCTTCCCCAAAATATGGCACCTTAGCATTTGAGAAAACGTCAGAAGCAGGAAGTTCACTTCTATCTTCCCCTTGCCTTTTTTCATGAAGAGGCCATTAAATAATTCTCTGACCTTTCTCTAAAGTAAGTCATAAAATCTTCATCTCAGAGCTATCCTCCCTATACCTGGAAGAAATAAATGCCCTTATTCCTGAAGACACAGAGCACAGAAAAGAATCTGAACAAACAGATCTTGCTTTGCTCCACCCAGTTTGTTACCATTAGGTTATTCCCCTTTGTCCTCCAAATATACTTCTGCACAACTGTCCTTGCTTCTGAAGACCCCTATGTCACATAAAACTTACAGTAAGTAAATTTGAATGCTTTTCTTTTGTTAATCTGTCTTATTTTATAGGTGTCTCAGCCATAAAACACCTTGTGATGAATGAGAAGTATTTTCTCCCCTGCACCAGAAAAGTAGTAATAAGTGTTATTTGCAATCATTTAACTAACACTGGTAAAAGAAACATAATAAATATACTAGAAAAGTTTAAGGCACAAGTCAGTCATTCCTTCTCATTTAAAGAATGTTTTCTGAAACTTCAGATGGGAAATGGTGCTAACATGGGAGATAAATGGAAATGAGCCAATTAAAAGTTTCTTGTTGCTGAATGTTCTCCAGCTTTGCGACATCCTATTAATTTCACCCAGCACAACCATGGTGTAAGCCAGGTACATCAGCCCTCACCTGCACTGCTGGGCTCTTGAGTAAGCAACCTGAGGAGCATGTGAGGAATGCACACTTTGGCATGTTCTGCAGAGTGAATGTAGGCCACTGATCATAGCACTTATTTCTAACATCTATAGTCATAGCTCTTACAATTGAAGCAGTCTTTAATTGCCATTTTTCCTGTGGAAAATCACAATTATGGAGATTAAAAACAAAATTAGTTATTATCTGTGACAGTATAATGTAGTAGCTGATTATGAGGCTTGGAGTTAGACAATCCTGAATTTCAATCATTCTTTTACCACATTGTAACTATGTAATCGTGGATTTATTACTTCTCTAAAATACAGTTTTCTCTCTGGCAAAATGTGGAGGATAAAAATGGTATCTACCTCAAAAGATTGTAGAAAGAAATAAAAAAAATTAAGTGCCTGGCATTTACTGAATAAATAATAAATATTATTATTTATAATATGGCCATGGAGAAAAAATAATTGTTACCTCAAAATAAGTTTTACTTTTTATAAAAGTTAAATATTACATTAAACACATAAGAAATTAAAATCAACCAAAATCTTACAATGTAAAACCTATAGTATATTACAAAATTTACAGATGTAATAAACAGTCTGAAAATAAAAACCGATTACAAAATGGATATTTTAGGATGCATTTGTCATTACTGACATGTTCCATAAGCTATATTTCAGTAAATGTTATCATTATAAAAGTTACCATGAGTTACACTATTTAATACATTTTACAAGGACTCTAGAAAAAGAAGAAAACAGGATTAAAAAGTGTTATGTAAGTAATTATGTAGTACTATATATAGTTTTATCATTGATTACATCATGCCTTTGTGGTTTGACCACCAAGACGCAATTTACAATCAATACCTCTATATTCCAGTAAAAACTTGGTTATGCTCTAGCCATTGAACAATCAGTTCATTTCTTCCTTTATTGTTTTCTCATCATTTTATTCTTGCTATACTTTCACTTCAAGGACGAAGATTTTATTGAATACAATCTTCTCTTAAAGTACAGATTTGAGTTAATTTCAAAGCATTTCTCAAAAATGTGGAGAATCCATATATTACATTTTAATTGACACATTATACTTTTGTGGACTAAGCAGGGTAGATTTTAATTGTGGACTAAGCATGGTAGAGTTTAATTGTGGACTAAGCATGGTACATTTTCATTGGTCATGAAGTGAGGTAGGCAAGCTATTCTAGGGAATTTGCTGGCTCTATTTGGAGAAAGAAATCCAACTTTCATTTTAATATACATTTTAACAATTAGTATGATACATGCTAAAACATAGGTAGTTTAAAATGTTCTCAAATACAACTACTGCTTTATTAATATAGAGCACATATAATCTCTCTGTGATCATTTTTGTAGTTTTAAAAATTCAATTGTTTTTATTTTTTAATCTGCTCAATAAGTGACAAACCAACACGTCACTGGTTTTAGTCTGCAAGACGTGTTTGTTCTGTCATTTGAGTATAAAGCATTTTATTTTAGAAAGTGAAAATTGACCCAGGAAGTGTCCATATTCACTCCCCTCTAAGTTGACCATCACAAGATCTAGTCTTCTGAGGTGATAGAAAGGAGACTAGAATTCCATTTGTCTCTGTGGCAGATATTCTTTCTTGCCCAAATTCTTGCCCTTTAATGCCATTACCACCTGATACTTGAGTATTCTTTTCTGGTTGCAGGCAAATACTTGAAAAGTGTTCAGGCTCATGGAAGTTCTTGAATCTATGGATTGATGTATTTCATCAGTTCTACACATATTTAATATTTATGGGTAATTACCCAAGAAACCAGTATCTGTGATTTTCTATTATGATTTGAGGGTAAGGAGTGAAAGGAAGACTTATTTTTCCATATTACCATTTTCAATAGTTGTCATTCACCATGGACTTAACTATCACCATTTTTGACCATTTAACAATTACATGAAATTTGTACTGACTATAGAAGATGGGCAATATTTAAAAATTTAGTGAGAAAAGAAGATAAAATACTTTCTCATGTTGTGTAGGTGATAAAATCTATCATTTTGGTTAAATTTTATATTTGTATATGGAAAGTAATAACATTAGAGAGATTATAAAAATTATAACCCGATTTAGTGTTCAATTATAGTTTTTGTATTTTGACAGGTAAAGAATATTCAGTACTTGAAGATATCTCACAGAGAATGAACATATGTTGGTTGATATTTTATGTAAAAAATTCAATACCAAATTTATAAACATTTCTTTCAAAAAAACAGAAATTAACTTTTTGTACTCTCTTACATCTCTTATATGTGCCAGGCACAGATGATTGGATGGGGCATTTTCTTTTTAAATAAAAAGTTCAATTATAACCAAATTTCTCATTTGGTAATAATAAAATAAATTTTAAAATTGTGTAAACATATTTAAATTGAGCAAGCTTATAAGACCTGAAAATATGTAGAATCATTGCATATACGGATATCAATGATGCTCATTCTGAAATAGAATAAAAAATATTTATGGCTCTTTCCCTTCCTTTTCTCATTCCCCTTCCCATTCTGTTTCCCTTCTCTTACTTTGCCCTTCCCCATTTTCCCTTTCTCCTTCTAAATAATTAAGTCTACAGCCATTAGGTGAGGCTGACCAAGGTAGGTGTTGGCACTAGGAAAATGGAGTGAGTCATGGGGACCTAGATTGGTGCTCAAGCAGGGTGAGAAGGGCTTTGGCACAGAAGAGCTCTCAAGCCCAAGAAGGGTAAAGAGGATATCCATGCATTGGAGCACCCCATTGTAGGATATGAATCTAGGCAGGATTAATAGGGTGATATGGCCTAATGAAGAGTGTCAGAGTCTAAATGTGGATAGAAAAGCTTTCCAGAGCTGGGTGTCAAAGTCGAAAATGTGTGAGGATATCATCTATCCAAAGGAAAAGCTCACTACTGGGAAAAGAGCAAATAGGAGGGCCTAGCATGGATTGCTGGAGGTTGAGTGTGATAAAAAGCTGCCCATGCACATCAGCCGCCTGGCATAGCATGCCTGGAAACAAGCAGGATAAGGAGAACATCCCTGTGAAAAATGACCTGATGAGAAGTGCCAGAGTCCAACTGTGGTTAAGAGGGCATCCATGTGGGGGAAGAGGGGTGAGCATCCTAACTTAAGTATTTAAATTTCAAGCAGGTAAAGCAAATGTCTATGCTGGTAAAAGGGTGGTGGGGAGGCAAAGAAGGATGATGTAAAGGAGGCAGCATAGAGATTTGGGAAGAATATCGGAACCTGAGTGACATTAGGACACTGTCTGCAAAGGGGAAGGAGCAGTGGCAGTGGGAGATTAGTTACATACATAAGTATTGATCAAATATGTAAATATCTTATGGATAATGAGATCTGGTATTTTCACTGTTGGATAATGATATCTGGTATTTTCACTGTAAAATGATAAAGCCAGAATGATTCTTGCTATGTTAGACTGGAACTGGCGGTATCAGTGTAAACTCACAGTCTCCAACATACATTGACGGATGCAGAAGTATAACCAAAAATAAATATGAGTATGTACAAGTGGCATATATATATATATACATATATATATTTTTTCTTATCCTTGTCCATAGAAAGGGCCTGGGAATAGTGGCATTCTAAAAGTGAGCACCCATTTTGGTTTCTAAAAACCATTTTCTACTCTGAAGAATCAAGGGTCTTTGAAGAAAATAGCAGATTCCATAGTTAGATAAGAGAAAGTATAATATGAGCCTTGAACATCTCATTATGCCAAAAAGGAAGGAGATACACAAAAAATGGTGGGCACGTGTCTAAAAGACACAGAAACCTGATTGAAGGGGCTCACACTAGCCAAATCTAGAACAATATGAAAGCACACATTAACAGTAAAGAATAGGAAGCCATGAGTCAATACTAATGTAAATAAATAAATATAAATAGTAAATAAATGGACAGCTTGATTAGCATATCAGTTTTCTATTGTTGTATCACAAATTCTCCAATTTAGGGCCTTGCCAGCCTACTGTCCAGCTGTCAGCAGGACAGTGGTCTCATCAGAGGCTCGCCTGTGGGAAGATCTGCTTCCAAGCTCCCTCAGGTTGTTGGCAGAATTTATTTCCTTGCTGCAGAAGGGCTGAGGGTTTTGGTTTCCAGCTAAAAGTTACCCCCAACTCATAGAGGCTATCTCTAGTTCTTTCTGTGGGAGCTTTACAAACATTGCCACTTATTTCATATCAGCTTTCTTCTTCAAAGCCAGAAACAGAGACCCTTCCTGCTGGAAGAAGGAGTCTTATATAACATAATGTAATACTTACAAGAATGACATCCTATCACTTTTGCCTTATAAAGTTACATAATCAATTATAAAGTAATGTTCATCACCTTTGCTATATTCTCTTGGTGAGAAAAAAGCAAGTCATACATCCTTCCTATTTTCAAGGTGAGATTATACACGCTCTAAATTCGGGAAGGAGGGGATTCTTGAGGTCCCATTAGGGTTTACCACTACAGTTTGCCCTCTAACTCCCAGTGATTTGCATTCCTTTCATATGCAAATGGGCATTTTCATATATTATTAGCAGAATTATAAATCATTAAATACTCTCTAGATGAAAATTTGACTGTAGACCCATTTTACATTAATTTTTCTTCAGGGAAACTTAGATTAAGGCAACAATTAGGGATATGCAGAAAAATTTAGCTATGATGGATGATCTCTGTTTTGTATAATAGCAAAAAATTGGAAAATTAAACTTCCACACAGGTTGGGAGAAATGTTTAGTTTTTAAATGAATTGCCACAAAGCCCTCAAAAATATCATAGAAGTAGTGTTAGTCTGTTCTCACACGGCGATAAAGAATTACCTGAGACTGGGTAATTTATGAAGAAAAGAGGTTTAATTGACTCACAGTTCCACAGGGTTAACAGGAAGTATGGCTGGGGAGGCCTCAGGAAATTTACAATCATGGCAGAAGGTGAAGGAGAAGCAAGCATGTCTACCACAGTGGAGCAGGAGAGGGAGAGGGGTGGGGAGAGAGAGAGAGAGAGAGAGAGAGAGAGAGAGAGAGAGAGAGCACAAAGTGGGGAAGTGCCACAATTATAAACCATCATATTTCATGAGAACTCACTAACTATCATGAGAACAGCAAGGGGAAAGCCACCCCCATGATCCAATCAACTCCCACCAGGTCCCTCCCCCAACACTGGGGATTACAATTAAACATGAGATTTGGGTGGGTACACACAGCCAAAGCATATCAGAAGCATTTGTGTTTATATAGCTAAATGTGCAAAATACTGTTTTAAAAACTATGTTACTATACAGTATTTATGGTACTCAGATTTTTGTGAAACCTATACCACATCCATATGCATAGATGGCAAACTGAGAAATATATACTCTAGGATATTAAAAAGTCATTTATTTTTGCTTTATTTTTATTCTTTTCTTTTATATATATTTTCTGATATTAAAAAAGCATAGTTTAATTTTAGCATTTAAAAAATTAAAATTTAAAGTTTAAAAATTCAACATCTACAATAATGTAAAAATGATTAATTCATCAAAGGATAACAAATTTAGCTAATGAGAGAACATTTACACAACAAAAATTAATCCTAACTTATTGACATGAATAACATTTTGAATCAGTTACAGTGCACTTTATCCTTTTATAAATGTTCAGGAATTAGGAATATTCCCCAAACATTTACCCAGTTTGACACAATGTAGGTAAGAAACATTCATGAACTATATCCACAACAATTTTTAAATGTGCATATTGCATTAAATTCTTACTTTCTCTACTTCACAAATTCAATTACTTCTGTTCCTTTTCCTCTCACCAAATTATATATTTATTAACTTTGTATTCAATTCACCTAAATTATCTTAATGGGGCCAGAAATCCAGTGCCTGGAATTTCCTTATGAAGTAAAATAATTTGTTTCCCTTTTGTTCCTCTATACTTAAAAACTCTTCTCTCTGGGGGCAAGGCATAGTAGAACAAAAGGCAGCAGACAGCATCTGCACAATTAAAGGTCCCTGTCTGACAACTCTGAAGTGGGCAGTGATTCTCTCAGCATGGCGTTCGAGCTCTGAGAACGGACAGACTGCCTCCTCAAGCGGGTCCGTGACCCCCGTGTAGCCTGACTGGGAAACACCACCCCCTAGGGGCCAACAGACACCTCAAACAGGCGGGTGGCCCTCTAGGATGAAGCTTCCAGAGGAAAAATCAGGCAGCAATATTTGCTGTTCTGTAGCCTCCACTGGTGATACCCAGGAAATAGGGTCTGGAGTGGACCTCCAGCAAACTCCAACAGACCTGCAGCTGAGGGGCCTGACTGTTACAAGGAAAACTAACAACCTGAAAGGAATAGCATCAACATCAACAAAAAAGGACATCCACACCAAAACCCCATCTGTAGGTCACCAACATCAAAGACCAAAGGTAGATAAGACCACAAAGATGGGGAGAAACCAGAGCAGAAAAGCTGAAAATTCAAAAAAACAGAGTGCCTCTTCTCCTCCAAAGGATCACAGCTCCTCACCAGCAAGGGAACAAAACTAGACGGAGAATGAGTTTGATGAGTTGACAGAAGTAGGCTTCAGAAGGTTGGTAATAACAAACTTCTCCGAGCTAAAGGAGTATGTTCTAACCCACCGCAAGGAAGCTTAAAATCTTGAAAAAAGTTTAGACGAATGGCTAACTAGAATAAACAGTGTAGAGAAGACCTTAGGAGCTGAAAACCATGGCATGAGAATTTTGTGATGCATTCAAAAGCTTCAATAGCCAATTCGATCAAGTGGAAGAAAGGGTATCAGTGATTGAAGATCAAATTAATGAAACAAAGCAAGAAGACAAGATTAGAGAAAAATGAGTGAAAAGAAATGAACAAATCCTTCAATAAATATGGGATTATGTGAAAAGAGCAAACCTACGTTTGATTGGTGTACCAGAAAGTGACAGAGAGAATGGAACCAAGTTAGAAAACACTCTTCAGGATATTATTCAGGAGAACTTCCCTAACCTAGCAAGGCTGGCCAACATTCAAATTCAGGAACTATAGAGAACACCACAAAGATACTCTTCTAGAAGAGCAACCCCAAGACACATAATTGTCAGATTCACCAAGGTTGAAATGAACGAAAAAATGTTAAGGGCAGCCAGAGAGAAAGGTCGGGTTACCCACAAAGGGAAGCCCATCAGACTAACAGTGGCTCTCTCTGCAGAAACCCTACAAGCCAGAAGAGAGTGGGGGCCAATATTCAACGTTGTTCAAGAAAAGAATTTTCAACCCAGAATCTCATATCCAGCCAAACCAAGCTTCATAAGTGAAGGAGAAATAAAATCCCTTACAGACAAGCAAATGCTGAGAGATTTTGTTACCACCAGGCCTGCCTTACAAGAGCTCCTGAAGGAAGCATTAAACATGGAAAGGAACAACTGGTACCAGCCACTGCAAAAACATGCCAAATGGTAAAGACCATCAACACTATGAAGAAACTGCATCAATTAATGGGCAAAATAACCAGCTAACATCATAATGACAGGATCAAATTCAAACGTAACAATATTAACCTTAAATGTTAGTGGGCTAAATCCCTCAGTTAAAAGACACAGACTGGCAAATTGGATAAAGAGTCAAGACCTGTCAGTGTGCTGTATTCAGGAGACCCAACTCACTTGCAAAGACACACATAAGCTTAAAATAAAGGGATGCGGGAAGATCTACCAAGCAAACAGAAAGAAAAAAAAAAAAAAGCAGGCATTGCAATCGTAGTCTCTGATAAAACAGACTTTAAACCAACAAAGATCAAAAGAGACAAAGAAGGCCACTACATAATGGTAAAGGGATCAATTCACCAGGAAGAGTTAACTGTTCTAAATATATATACACCCAATACAGGAGCAACCATATTCATAAAGCAAGTCCTTAGAGACCTACAAAGAGACTTAGACTCCCACACAATAATAGTGGGAGACTTTAACACCCCACTGTCAATATTAGACAGATCAACTAGACAGAAGGTTAACAAGGATATCTAGGACTTGAACTCAGCTCTGGATCAAGCAGAACTAATAGATATCTACAGAACTCTACACCCCAAATCAACAGAATATACATTCTTCTCAGCACCACACTTATTCTAAAATTAATGACATAATTGATAGTAAAACACTCCTCAGCAAATGTAAAAGAACGGAAATCCCAACAAACTGTCTCTCAGACCACAGTGCAATCAAATTAGAACTCAGGATTAATAAACTCACTCAAAACCACACAACTACATGGAAACTGAAAAACCTGCTCCTGAATGACTACTGGGTAAATAACAAAATTAAGACAGAAATAAATAACTTATTTGAAACTAGTGAGAACAAAGACACAATGTACCAGAATCTCTGGGACACAATTAAAGCAGTGTGTAGAGGGAAATTTATGGCACTAAAGGCCCACAAGAGAAAGCAGGAAAGATCTAAAATCAACACCCTAACATCAGCATTAAAAGAACTAGAAAAACAAGAGCAAACAAATTCAAAAGCTAGCAGAAGGCAAGAGAAAGAAATACAGGATATGCAATTAGGAAAAGCAGAAGTCAAATTGCCTCTGTTTACAGATGACATGATTGTATATTTAGCAAACCCCATTGTCTCAGCCCAAAATATCCTTAAGCTGATAAGCAAATTCAGCAAAGTCTCAGGATACAAAATCGATGTGCAAAAACCACAAGCATTCCTATACACCAATAACAGACAAACAGAGAGCCAAATCATGAGTGAACTCCCATTCACAATTACTACAAAGAGATTAAAATACCTAGGAATCCAACTTACAAGAGCTGTGAAGGACCTCTTCAAGGAGAACTATAAACCACTGCTCAACGAAATAAAAGAGGACATAAACAAATGGAAAAACATTCCATGGTCTTGGATAGGAAGAATCAATATCGTGAAAACGTCCATACTGCCCAAGGTAATTTATAGATTCAATGCTATCCCCATCAAGCTACCACTGACTTTCTTCACAGAATTGGAAAAAGCTACTTTAAAGTTCATATGGAACTAAAAAAGACCCAACATAGCCAAGACAATCCTAAGCAAAAAGAACAAAGCTGGAGGCATCATGCTACCTGACTTCAAACTATACTACAAGGCTTCAGTAACCAAAACAGCATGTTACTGGTAGTAAAACAGTACCAATGGTAGTAAAACAGTACCATTTTCTAATGGTAGTAAAATAGACGAATGGAACAGAACAGAGGTCTCAGAAATAACACCACACATCTACAACCATTTGATCTTTGACAAACCTGACAAAAACAAGCAATGGAGAAAGAATTCCCTATTTAATAAATGGTGCTGGGAAAACTGGCTAGCATATGTAGAAAGCTGAAACTGGATCCCTTCCTTACACCATATACAAAAATTAACTCAAGATGGATTAAAGAGTTAAATGTAAGACCTAACACCGTAAAAATCCTAGAAGAAAACCTAGGCAACACCATTCAGGACATAGGCATGGGCAAAGACTTCATGACTAAAACACCAAAAGCAATGGCAACAAAAGCCAAAATTGGCAAATGGGATCTAAGTAAACTAAAGAGCTTCTGCACAGCAAAAGAAACTATCATCAGAGTGAACATGCAACCTACAGAATAGGAGAAAATCTTTGCAATCTACCCATCTGACAAAGGGCTAATATCCAGAATCTACAATGAACTTAAACAAATTTACAAGAAAAAAACAAACAATGCTATCAAAAAGTGGGCAAAGGATATGAACAGACACTTCTCAAAAGAAGACAATTACGCAGCCAACCGACATATGAAAAAATGTTCATCACTTGTCATCAGAGAAATGCAAATCAAAACCACAATGAGATACCATCTCATGCCAGTTAGAATGGCGATCATTAAAAAGGAAACAACAGATGCTGGAAAGGATGTGGAGAAATAGAAACACTTTTACACTGTTGGTGGGAGTGTAAACTAGTTCAACCATTGTGGAAGACATTGTGGCGATTCCTCAAGGATCTATAACTAGAAATAATATTTGGGCTGTGCGCGGTAGCTCACATCTGTAATCCCAGCACTTTGGGAGGCCGAGGTGGGCCGATCACCTGAGGTCAGGAGTTCGAGACAAGCCTGACCAACATGGTGAAACCTTGTCTCCACTAAAAATGTAAAAATTAGCCAGGCGTGGTGGTGCCTGCCTATAATCCCAGCAACTAAGGAGGCTGAGGCAGGAGAATGGCGTGAACCCGGGAGGCAGAGGTTGCAGTGAGCCAAGATATCGTGCCACTTGCATTCCAGCCTGGGCTACAGAGTGAGACTTCGTCTCAAAAAAAAAAAAAAAAAAAGAAAGAAAATAAATACCATTTGACTCAGCAATCCCATTACTGGGTATATACCCAAAGGATTATAAATCATGCTGCTATAAAAACACATGCACACATATGTTTATTGTGGCACTATTCACAATAGCAAAGACTTGGAACCAACCCAAATGTCCATCAGTGATAGACTGGATTAAGAAAATGTAGCACATGTACAACACGCAATACTATGCAGCCATAAAAAAGGATGAGTTCATGTCCTTTGCAGGGACATGGATGAAGCTGGAAACCATCATTCTAAGCAAACTATCACAAGGACAGAAAACCAAACACCACATGTTCTCACACATAGGTGGGAGTTGACAATGGGATCACATGGACACAGGGCAGGGAACATCACACACCGGGCCCTGTCGGGGGTCAGGGGCTGGGGAGGGATAGCATTAGGAGAAATACCTAACGTAAATGACGAGTTGATGGGTGCAGCAAACCAACATGGCACATGTATACCTATATAATAAGCCTGCATGTTGTGCACATGTACCCTAGAACTTAAAGTATATATATAAAAAAACTCTTCTAATTTATTCTCAAGTATTCTCTTTTATTTTTCTTTTTCCATGTCTCCAAAACTCATTTTCCTCTTTCATTTCTATTTTCAGCCTCTGTTCTCTTTCTGTCAAGTCATTTCTGCTTAATTTTCCTTTATCATCCTCACTCTCCTTGCTGTGGGAAGGTGGGCATCAGGACTGCCCATAATAATGTGAAACTAAGCATAGCAATAATCATGCAGGTAATGGGCAAAATGCTTGCCCAAATTATTTTTTTAATTATTAATATGTCATAACTTGGTTCAGGGTTCAGAGACAAAGATTCTTAAACCACTTTCTTTGAAATTATCTCTTAAGTTTCAATTTGCCTCAGGTAGAAGTTTGTTAGTAGACCTGGTTAGTGTACCTGAAGGCCATGAGGAGTCACAGAACAAAATGGACCAATGACTAGATAAAGATAAATTTCCTTCAAGTTTCCCTTGAATGAACAAGCAAATCAAGGAGATACTTTTACATAATGATATTTATGAGACAAGAAAGAAAAAAATTAGAGCCTCATTTATTTCTGAGGCCATAGGAAGAGTTCTGTTTAGATATAAGTCATTGGTAACAGACCTAGTTTGGTGAATGATGATGAACTACCTTAATTGGTTTTTACTTGATCCTGCAGTTTCTTGATTTCTTTTTTTTTTTTTTTTTGTGGCCATGATCCTCGAGAGCGGGCATTTGGCTTTTAGGGATCTATTGATATTAAAGCCTTTTCTTGTCTGGCAATATTATTCCAAACATGCTTCCTAGCACAAATTTATTTCATTGATTTCATCTCATTTTGATCTGAGGTAAAGCTTTTTTTTTTCAAATGTGTCTCTATGTGTGTGAACATGTATGTGTATGTGTGCATGTTTCTTCTCCAATAGAGGTAGGGGAATACATTGGATAAGCACGGGGGTATATTGCTTAAGTCTGAATCCTGGCTTAGAAGTTTACAAACTGTGACCCTGAAGAAGTTATTTCATCACTTTTTGCTTCAGTGTCCTCTCTGTAAGCAATGAGTAAGAGTAATACCTACTTCAAAAGTGGTGATGACTAAATGGGTTAATATGTGTGAAGCAGTTGCTACATGTGAAGCATGCAGTCAACAACATAGTATTTGTTTTTATTATTTGTATTTAATATCCATATTACAGTTATAAATATAATTTAAATAATATGTAAAAAGCTTTACTTAATATTAAGTTTAGCTTTTAGAGCTGGCTCTAGTTTTTATGGCCTAATCTTCCCAAAACAATATCTGGAAAAGAAAAATGGCAAATTATTTACAGTGAGCAACACATCGACATTTTTCTTGATGACTTTTGGGAGGCTAAAATTAAACAAAAAGTCCTTTGGGAAACTAAGCTACAGATAATAATCACAGAAACTTTTCAGGAAATATTAAAAGGAAAACAAGAAAGTCACCTTAGTTTATGTAGCAAATGACATGCTAATTAATTCTAATTAATTCTAATTAAATAACATTGATTTCCTTTTCTAAATGCCTGAGCATTGTAAGAGTTGACTCCAAATAGACTATAATCCTGACCCATTGCTTTTATATCCTCTTTCATTTCACCATCATTCTCTCATCAGTATTTAGGCAGGAGAATCGGAAACACACGTAAGGCTCTGGTTGTGTTCTTTGGTCTTTATTGTTCCTGAGCCATTAACAAGAAGGAGCTTCCTTAAGTTTATGCAATTTGCACTTACACAGTTGTCTCCTGCTCAATCAATCCTTCCTTCTCAGACTTTGATCTTCACCCTCATCTGAACTCTCTCTCTCCATTCGTACCTACAATAGGCCCTGAACCACTGGGTTTTATTTTCTTGGCATGGCTTCAAGATTCATACACTTTTCTCACTACTGGCCTGCTGCTAGCTGATCAAGAGCTCCCTAGTGAACATGGATCTAGATGCCTGTTTAACTTCTGTCCTCAGCATTTCAAAATTATTAGTCAGGATCTGGACTGGGGCCAAAAGAATATGAATATTTTAAGATGCACAGTTACTCCCATACTTCCCCCACCCCTGCATCTGGAAGACAGATAATGACTCCCCCAGAGTCTTGCTTATCCATACCCCATATTAATTTTAGTTACGGTCCTAAGTTAATAGCTCATTTCTGGCTATTAAGTTTAGAAAAGCTCAAGTGGATCTGGAGACTTCTGGCATGCTGAATTACCACAGAGTGGCTTTAGGACATATGGAGAGACTAGTGGAATTGAATTCTTGGGCCATGGAGTATTTGAAGCTTAAAGTACACCCTAAGTTCTCCCTCATATCAGCTGATTCTGCCATTTTCATTCCAATAGGATAGGTCCATGACAGTTTGGATTGACTGTAAGATAAGTGCAGTTCCAAGCCAATTTATTGTCAGTGTGAGCTTCTATTCCTAAAACCCGCTCAATCCCCAGGCACTTGTGGCTCCAGCTGCATCTCTATAAATACAAGGTCCTTGTTCTTGAGGAGCCCTACTGTTAAACTCATCTGCAGGTATGCAGTGCCTCTTGGAAGCCCAGTCCCTAGGCAGGCTTTCTATCTTTAATTTCTCCAGTCTCGGGTTTTTTTTCTCTCTGGGGAAAAATAACCCCGATCTCACTAACTCTTAATTTCTGGGAATATCACAACACATGCTGAATCTAAATAGAATACGGGTAACCAGCAATAGCTTTTCTGCCAAGACTTACACTATAAAGCTGCTGCCCCTTCATTCTTCAATAATCCATATTTGTCTTTTTCCTACTCCTCTCAGCTATTCCTCTGATGATTTGATTACTCTCTCTTATCTTGTTTTAGCTTTTCTAGGATCACCTAACTCTATTCTTTACTGTTTTCCTTCTTAACATTTTTTTCTTTCCTTTCTTTAGAAGACTTTCTCAGACAACCCCTATTTTGTATAAGAAATAGCTTGTGTTATATGTCAAACTTTTACTTTTCCTTTTGATTTACACAAAAAATAATATTTCATAAAATTAAAAAAATTAAAGCTAATTTGTATTTTCTTGACAGTAAGTATTCAACAAAATCTTTCTCACATAACAAAATAATTGTCATGTGGTTAGTGTATGACCTAGGTATACTTCTCAAGCTATGAGGAAGATCTATACATACTTTCTATATTTCCAGAAGAACAAAAAATCAAAATAAAAAAGTCATCATTGCTTATAAGTATATAGAATTATTTTTAAGTACCATATTTAAACCAGCAAAATCATTTCATAAAATGTAGAAAATATTCAATTTGAATATACTCTTGGATAGGGTGAAATAAAATCTTTCCTCAATTTTTCATGAGAGAAATAGACACTTTAATAAATGACATATAAATAATTAGAATTTACATTTTAAAACATTGGATATCAAATAATTGACTTCATATCAATAAGTTTAAAAAGCCAATTATGTTTTCTGCAATCAGAAAAAAAGTCAGCTGACAAAAAATATAATTTTTATTACATTTAAACTGTTAATTTATGTACCATTTGTATGATATATTTGACAATGGGAATACAATCACAAAATGTGGTAGGGTAAAATTCTATGATAAATAAATGATACATATTATCTTCTTAATACTTTGCCCAAAATGAGGACGTTTTAGAGTTTATGTACCATTGAATGAACAGAGAGGATTAAATCTGAGAATAAACACTGAGGATTAATCATTAATCAAATAGAAGAAATTACATTTTCCTTATGTACAGTAAGTTATAAAACACTATTCTGATTGTATTTTTAAATTCTCTGTTATAATAAAACGCACTGTGTACAAAAAAAGAAGATATCAAACAGAATCACATGCATGTCCATATTCGAAAAGCTTTTTTGATTCCATATTTGAAATGCTTTACATTGGCCATGATATTTTCTTAAATTTATCTTCTAGAAATAAATTTTAGACTTAAAAATATATGAGTATTCTTTCCTTATGTGCCTTTTGATGTCTCTTACAGGAAAAATATTTTGTTACTTGTGAATGGAAAGTAAATGAGCAGATTTTCAGATACAAATAAACATCAAATAATGTGAAGTTATTTGTAAACAGAATGAGCACCTGAACTCTTACAAAATAAAGTGAGGACACAGAACATATCATGTTAAAAGGTAGGAAGTTAGAAATAATGATTTGGGCTACCAGTTGATATCCACATTGTTGAATGAACGAAAAAGTAATGTACAGGGTAAGAAAAACATTAAATTGGAGAAAAGCATGTTTAACAATTTCTAAATTTTTTTCCAACAGGACATAAGTATTAATGTTCATGCTGAAAAGACTTTGGATATACAAAATTCCTGAAATATACTGGAAAAAAGTAAAACAATACCCAATTTGAGAGACCATCATTAATTAAAGATTTTCTTAGCCTTGGTTTTATACTAAAGAAGCAGGCACTTTGGTTAATGGCTCCTTTTGACAAAATATTGCTGTGACCAGCAGATGATCTCTTTAGGTAGCTTTTACTATGATGCATTTGAGAACAAAAAATCTGTCATTAACAAAGAATATTTCTAGTCTTGCAAGATTTACTGTGCTAGGTTCACTCAGGATTTGGAGTCATACCAATGACATATTGTTCTGAGGAAACCCAATAGTCATTATAGCATATTCGGTCGTATAATAACCCGCAAGAGAAAATATCTCCCTGTCCTTGACTGACCAACATCATCACTCAAATTAGAAGTGTTGATGGTCATCATATTTTCCTTTGTAAAGAGATGACTAAAATTTACATTAAAATATTTTGCAGTTTTCAAAATAATCCTTTCATATATAAAATTAAAGCAAATCAATTTAAACCTGGCAAAATTAATGATGTGATTTTGCATGTTCATTTTGGTTGAATACTTTATAATGATAATTTGTACTTGTATATTAAGTTCTTGTAAGTCATGCTCAAATACTTTATTTGTTGTCTTTTCATTTCACTAATTCAACAAATATTGATTGAGCATCTACTCTGTGACAAGCACTGGAATAGCACTAGAAATAGAGCAACAAACAAGGGCACAGGGCCCTGTCCTCAAAAACTTTACAGCCTCACAACATCATCCTAAAACCCCACGAGGTAAACCATAATGCCCATTTTACAGATTGGGAGAGTGGACTTCAGAGAGAGAGTATGTGACTTGAAAAAGAGACATATTTAATAAATACAGAAACCATGACTTGAAAGCTGGTTCACACATTCTTATTTTTTAATTCAACAAACCATTTGGCAATAGCTGTAAAAACACATGCAGTGATGTTCGGGAGTATGATTGGTGGAGAACTTCCAGATAAGGCTCCTAATATGACTTTCTGGCTACCTTGCAGAACTGAAAGAGTTGAACAATTCCTGCAGCACTATTTACAATAGCAAAGACTTGGAACTGATCAAAATGCCCATCAATGAGAGATTGGATAAAGAAAATGTGGCACATACACACCATGGAATACTATGCAGCCATAAAAAGGAATGAGTTCATGTCCTTTGCAGGGACATGGATGAAGCTGGAAACCATCATCCTCAGCAAGCTAACACAGGAACAGAAAACCAAATACCACATGTTCTCACTCATAAGTGGGAGTTGAACAACGAGAACACATGGACACAGGGAGGGGAACATCATACACTGGACCTGTTGGTGGGTAGGGGTCATGGGGAGGGAGAGCATTAGGACAAATGTCTAGTGCTTGGGGGGCTTAAAACCTAGATGACGGGTTGATAGGTGCAGCAAACCACCATGGCACATGTATACCTATGTAACAAACTTGAACATTCTGCACATTTATGCCAGAACTTCAAGTAAAATTTATATACATATATATATATTTTATACAATACACACACACACACACACACACACACACACACACACACACACACATATATATATATATATATATATATTTGAAAGATTTGAGCAATTCCATACCGTAACTACCTGAGGGGCTATCCTTTCTTCCCAACATCACCAGATGGATCATTGCTGCTTTGGGGTCACTGAGAAACTCAGACTTGTGGCACTCACATTGTCTGTTCCCTAGCTGCCTCTTGAGTCTTTATTGCTAAGTTACCCTTTTCTATTATAATTTATTAGAAGCAAAACACACTATGGCATATGTTTAGTGTCACTTTATGAGAACATCATTATAGTGATCCTGTTTTTGAAAAGGTTTTCATTCTCCTCTAACTTGTTGATCAAATTTCCTTAGAGATGCAAATTACTTTTGGCATGTATTCTCTGAATTAAGTCACTTTTCTTTTTAACATTGGGTAGTTTTGAAAGATTCCTTTCACATATGCTTTGTGGCTAGATCTTAAGGACTGAGAATTGTACAAATACCAGGGTAGCTGAGAGTCATTTGGCATGTTGACACTCTCTGTGAGGAAGTTATGCTTCATACCAAGACTCTTAAGCACTGAGAAAACAACTTGAAACTCTGGCATTTTCAGCTTTTAAAATATCAAGGTCCAGAATTAAAATAAAATACTCTTAAGTTTTCAAAGCCAGGCCTCTGGTTCCTGATAATAGATTACAATAAAATAGTGAAGTCAAAGTTCAGAGTTGGACAGATACAACTGTCCAACTATGCCTATAGTTATAACATTTAAGTAATGTTATGCCATATTTCTCCCAGAAAGGGCATACTCCTTTGGCATTTGTCTTAGCTTCTGCATTCTTGAACAAAGACAATAGAGGAAAAGGGAGGAAGAAGCCTTAAGAATCCAGTTGTCAGGGAACCTTTTAATGATCTCTCCAAAATTATACTCTGAAAGTAAGTGTTCTCTCTTGGAAAAAGGAATGGAAGTTTAAAGGCAGTAAATGACATTTTTTTCAATTTGCAAAAAAGAGTGGTACCTTAGATTATCATTTTCTAAACAAGAACAATAGGAAAGTCCTAAAAAACACTTTAGAAACATTTTGAGAAATAAAGTAATATAAACAAACATAATATTTCTAAAATAGCTAAATCTCTTCTTTAATTTTGTAAGCCCCATCCCTGTCAACACCAACCCCCACTGGCTCTGCCAAAAAATTTATTATCTCAAGAGGAATGATAAAACTCTCAAAATTAAATGGATTTTAACTTAGTTTCCAGAACATGTTACAGAAAACATTTAAGAGGTTCGTAAGGACAGTATCTTATTTACATTTGTTACTCCAGTATGAATAATGGAAACCACCCCTTTTTTTAACTAGTCAATTATTTAACAAAGCAAGAAAGTTGAAGAAGATTCTTAAAACTATCTAAAGTACACATAGATTTATTTTTAATATTGGAACTGTAATACATATTGCAGTTATATATTTGCATATATATATATACACAAAACGTATTTCTTATATTTTAGCTACTTGCTACTTTGTAAGGACATACCATCTCCTTTATAAGACAAGATCCAGAAACTCCAAGGAATGATACAGGAAGTACATGAACCTCATAATGACAGCTATTGTTTGAGGTATTTACCCTGTGAGTAGAACCATTTTAAATGTGTTCTCTATGTTCCTACACCATTTAGTATTTAGAACTACATTAATATATATTGGTTTTACTTCCATTTTGGTGGTCAGGAAAGAGGTTAGGATAATTAAATGACTTGTCCAAGACACATACTAAGTTCGTGCAAAAGTAATTGCAGTTTTTGCCAACTTTTGCACCAACCTAACAGATTATAAATGAAAAAACAAATGCTTAAACCCAAAGTCTGTCTACCTCCAGAGTAGTAGTGCCCTTAATCTGTACCCTGATAGCTGTTCATGGGAAGGAAAATGTATACTAAATAAACTCAGATTTTTTAATGACAATATTTTACATTTACTCATACAATCTTACAATGCTGTCTTCTATATAATCAATTTTGGAGATTAAATATTCAAATTCAGAGGCTAACCCCACTCTAAATCACTTTGGCCACTAACGGTTATGCACACTATCAAAACTAACTGTGGTTGCAATTGTGGACCCCTTTTTCAATTTTGCTGTTGATCATAGAGTAATTTTGAGCCAATTCAAATTATCTACTTTCTTCTTAATAAAATTAAGTGAAGGAAGCAAAATAGCCTCTCTTAAAAATCAGCCAAAAAGATTTTGAGCCAGATGATCTGTCATTTGGAGTTGGCTCATTTGAAAGTCTTTTGAAAATAAGTTATTTGAAGTTAGCTCCTCCCAAATCCTCTGCCTTTGATAATACTTCAGTCTATTTAGACTTAGGACTATGTATTGTCTTTAATTTCAACATCTTATTGGATAGTCTTCTATTTACTCAAAAGCTTTTTTATTCGAAACCTAATGAGAATGTAAACTTTGTAACAGCATTTTAAAAGACAACTAAAAACATATTTTCTCTGTTTACTAAATAAAATGTATTTTCACAGTTCCAAAATTAAATGATTTTCAAGAAAATGTATAATATTTGCTCCAGAGCTTCTTTTTGTTATTAACATAAAATTTATATATGGTAAAACTTTTCCTCTTTAGTGCACAGCTCTATGAGTTTGACACATACACACAGTTTTGAAACCATCACCACAATCAAGATGTAGAAAAGTTAAAACACCCCCCCAAATAACCTTGTGACCTCTGTTAGTCAACTACTCCTAAAACCCCAGTGGCTGGAAACCTGACTTTCTGTTCCTCTAGTTTTGCCATTTCCACAATGTCACAAAAATGAGTTCAGGTTCTTTCATTTAACCTAATGCATCTGATATTTATCCATGTTATTGTATCTAGAAATAGTGTCAACAAATGAATATTTCCATGTGTCTTCATGATAAAAGCTTTCTGAGCAAATTTTACAGAAACCTAAATTAAAGGACAGTCTTAGAGGTCAAAGGGTATTAGACCCAGAGCTCTTATTCACATTTAAAGAGTAATAAAATTTAAAAACTTCTGGAGCAAAATGCTAGCTTTCTGGGGTAGAAACTTTTCTCTTTATTTCCAGATAGCCCTTCTTTACTTTTCAAAGAGCAATAAAACCTCGAACAATAAAACTGGTGACTTAAATTTCAAAAGATTTTAAATAACCAGGGAGCAAGTATTTCTCTATCTCTCCCAGGAAAGGTGGATTGTGGTGGCCACAACTTATATAACCTCCAAGATTCATAATCTCCAATTCTTCTCTCATGGTGCAAGAAATCCTCTTTAGTATACATGCAGGGTCCATATGTCTCTCATCACAATGCCCCAGGAAGAGGAAGAATTAGGATGTTGGAAACCAATGCAGTTATTGTTATAATTAATAGTAATCTTTTCTTAATCTAGAAATCTGATGTTTACATTCAGGATAATATAAATAGTGATGTTAAAAATGTATCAAATAATTTATTTCTTTTTATCATCAAGTGGTATTCCATTGTGTAGATATTCCTTAATCCATTCTTGAATGAGCTTGGCAATTTGTGTCCTTAAAGGAATTGTCCATTTCATCAAAACAGCTAAATTGTTGAAAGTCGGTTATATTATTATTTTTAACAATATTATTATTTTAATATCTTTAGGATCAGTAGTAATATACTTTAATTGATGTGATCATTTACATTTAATTATTGATATGGTTAAGTTAGAATTTGTCATCTTGATAGATATTTCCTATTTGGTGTTTCTGTTATTTAGGGATATTTTTGTTGCCTTTTATTAAGTTAATGAAGTAATATTTATATTCTATTTTATCTTCAGTATTTTAGTTTTTCAGGGAATTCTAAGGTTTTCAATAAGCATCTTTCTTTAATAAAATATGGTCTGCTTTCAAATAGTAGTATATCTTTTCATGTGTAGTATAAGAAGCTAACAACAGTATATTTCCAATTCTTCCTTCATATCTTTTGTTTTTATTATTATAAATTTACATATTCTATAAACAAATAATACATTGGTACTATTTTTGCTTTAGACAGTTATTTTTAGAACAATTAAAAACACATTTACATTTATTTATTCCTTTTCCAATGTTTTACATTTCTTTTTATTGTTCCATGTTTTAATCTGGAATAATATTCATTCTGCATAAGAACTT
This sequence comes from Homo sapiens, assembly GCF_000001405.40. NCBI lineage: Eukaryota > Metazoa > Chordata > Mammalia > Primates > Hominidae > Homo > Homo sapiens. The sequence continues at coordinate 106,860,761 of NC_000004.12, read as the reverse complement.
TTAAACTTTTTTTAATAGTCTGGGTCTGTTCTTCATGAATTCTCTCACTTTTGTTTACATGGAAAAGTCTTTAATCTCCTAATGTCTCACAGACATTTTCACTGGGTATAGAATTCTGCATTGGTAGGGCTGTTCTTCCTTCCATTTCTTTATAGATGTTACTCTATTGTCTTTTGGCTAACATAGTTTCAGATTAAAAGTCTGCAAATATTTTTCTTTGTATTCCTCTGGGTAATGCATTCTTTTTCACTGTTAAGTTTGATTTCTATTTCTAGCATTTCCTTTTGATTCTTACTCAGAGTTTCTGTCTCTCTGATAAAATTTTTCATTCATTCATGTATGTCTACTTTTTCCACTAGTGATTTTAACATATTAGTCATATTTATTTTAGATTCCTTATTTGATAATTCCAACATATGGGTGATATAAGTCTGGTTCTGTAGTTGATTTATCTCTTGATAATGTTTTATTTTTCTTGTGTTTTATGCATCACATTAATTTTTGGTAAAATCTGGTTATCTTTTGTAGAATACAAAATAAGGAAAATAGTATTTATGCCTGGAAATGGCATGTTTCTGCTTTTATTAGACCTTTAGTGTCAGAGTTGAATCAATCTAGTCAAAACATGAGGTATGTTTGGGGTCTGTTGTTGCTATGGTTATTCTCAGTTTACAATAGACTTCAAATTAACTTGTGTATAAGATGGGAGCAGGCTTGCCAGAGTGTTTTCCTCAGTGTCTGTTTAATCACCAGCTTTAAATCTTCCCTCTGGCCCTGTGCTTCAGCAAGGGTCTCTCTCCATGCTCTTATTCTCATCCAGAACACTGTTACTTGTTACTAGACTGCTAGCCTTATGGTATGCAGTAGTGGTGGGGTCCCTCTCTGTTATTCCAGATAATTTTCTATGTTAGGTAAGCACTGTATCCTTGGGATTAGGGCCTTGTCAATGATACTGCCTCTCTTCTAGCAGTAGGAAATTTCTAGTTTTGGCGGCCCAAGACCTATCCATGTTCCTCCACCACAAGTCTTATCATTCCCCTTCTTCAACTGCAATTGGTCTTCACTTGTGACCTAATGTTAGACAGTTTGGTTGCTCTTCTCCCTAAGGTTTAAGGCTTTTGTTCCAAGAAAATATGGCGTAGAAATATCTTTGTGGTTTTTCTGGAAAGGCTGCTATTTTCCTCCCAAGATCACTAGGGAGGCTTTTTTCCCTCCCTTGACATGCATTAAGTCCTTGTTGTAAACATCATTTGAATTCTGTGAAAAAGACTCTAAGTGTATACAAATTGCCTTACTGTGTTTAGCTTGCAATGAGTGTATTCTCAATATAGACTACACTTGGTGTTTTGCAATCTTTTAAAATTGCTTCATTCTTCTGATCTATGTGGCTTTCAGTACTTGCCCAAATGAAGCAAGTGATAGGGTCCAATTTGTCTTTGGAAGCACCTGCCCTTCCATAGATGCTGAGCAATATGATTATGCTGTAACCTCAACTTTTAAGAAAAGTTGTTATTTGCAGATTATCTGTGTGGCTTTTTTGTTTATTTTTTGCTATAAGGGTGGGTCCAATGGTCTTTTCAGCTTTGTATATCTTAAGTCCAAGCCAGGATCCTAGAACAACATCTGTCCTCTTCTTTCTTCTCTTTCTTCCCTTTCTGCTCCTCCTCCAACTCTTCCCCCCTCCTCCTCCCCCTTCACCCTCCCCCTCCCCTCCCCCATCCCCTTACCTTTCCCCTTCCTCCTCCTCTTCCTCCTTCTTTCTTCTTCTTCTTCTTCTTCTTCTTCTTCTTCTTCTTCTTCTTCTTCTTCTTCTTTTTCTTCTTCTTCTTCTTCTTCTTCTTCTTCTTCTTCTTCTTTCTTCCCCTTCCCCTTCCCCTTCCCCTTCTTCTTCTTCTTCTTCTTCTTTGGGGAGCTATTAAATCAGTGGTACATTTCAAAATTAAAGTTATGGGGAATGGAGCAGTAAACCAAATAACTTTGACTGAAGTTCTGGAAGGCAGCTGGAGCACCTTTTTAAATCTAGTATGAGTATTCCTCATGGTTCTGTCCTTGCTGGTGGGAGTAGGGAAAAGGATTTATTTCTTTTTATGCAAGGCCCTGACCACTCTTCATGGCTATCTTCACCATCAGTGGTGATTTTGAATTGAGAACATATAGTAAATTAACACTCAATCCTGTTGGATGCTGCCAATTACAACTAAATCCACAGAGGTGATTGTCACGTAAATTATATGAACAGATACCATCTATTATAGGGTTAAGCTGTTAGATAAAATGTCAACTATTTTATAACTTAATTCCCATTGCAAGATACATACTGATTTCCAAAATGTGCTTTGAATTGAGAAATCATAGCTCTTTCCTTTAAGTACTTTAATAAAAGTGCCTTGATTCTCTTGGTACAGTTGAAACAGGCAGACTTTCAAAGAAACTTCAAAGACAATTTTAAAAAACTGAATAAACACACACCACACACAAAGAGGTTTGGCATCTTCCATAGCTGTATCTCTGAGAATTCCAAGCTATGTTCTTTAGTACATCTAGCTTCACTGCCTCACTTTCTGTTCTCCTTCTCTCTAATAGCCATCACTTAAACACCCCCCAGTCAGGAATAAACACCTTGACTTTTTATTTAAAGTTCATACAAAGGAAAAAAAATTGCCTTTCTTTCTATTGAGGGCCTTTGGCTTGGCTCCCATTTGGGTAGGAGGTACTCAGCTCTTCCCTAGATAATTAATATTACAGAATCCAAAAGCTTTATGTTCCTAGAAAAAGTTCAGAATCTTCCCATGCTGTAATGCTGCCACTTGTTAACTAAGAATAATAGTAGTTACCACTAGAGAAAATTTCTGTAAGAAGTCAATGAGATGATACATGTGAAGCACTTAACACAGGACCTAGAACAACACAAAAATTGTTAATTACTTTTATTATTGGTACTATTTTCACCACTATTACGAATACTAACATAACGCCACAACCATTACCTTTCCATATAAAAACAGTGTCTTGATTTTTCAATTTAGTAATGCCAACTAACTTGAGATGATAAATCAGCACCTCTTGGCAGTTAAGTGACTGCCAATCTTAGCAAAATTTTTAAAAAGTGTTAAGAGAAGGAAAAGATGAGCCACAGACTGGGAGAAGATATTTACAAAACACATATATAATTAAGAAACTTGTATACAAAATACACAAAGAACTCATACAACTCAACAGTAAGATAATGAACAAACCAAATAAAAATGGGCAAAGACAAGGAAGGGTGGGAAGGTAAGAGGAGGGTGAGGGATGAGATATTACCTACCGGGAACAATGTACATTATTTGGAAGATGGTTACATTAAAAGCCCAGACTTCACCACTCTACAATGTATCTATGTAACAAAATTGCATCTGTACCCCTTAAATTTAGACAAATTTTAAAAATGGGCAAAAGGATACTATTGAGAAAGTGAAAAGATCAGTGTTTGTCAGGAATTGGTGAGAGGTTGGGCGAGGGATAAATGGAGAAAGGAGGATTTTTAGGGGAGTGAAAATATTCTGTGCAATACTATAAGGGTGGATACATGAGAGTCTGCGTTTATTAAAACTGTACGAAACAAAGAGTGAATCCTAATGTAAACTATGGACTTTAGTTATTATTAATGTATCAGTATACATTCATCAAGTGTAACAACTATGTCACTTCAATACAATATATTATTAATAATAGGGAAAACTATGTGCTGGTGGGCTGGCAGGAAGAGAGGGGGTGTGGGGAGCTCTCTTAGCTTCTTATCAATTATTCTGTAAACATAAAACTGCTCTATGAAATGAAGTCTATTAATTATTTTTTAAAAAGTAACCATAGGGTTGATGAAGTTAAAGTCATAATGTTCTTACTTTTGCTATATGTTTAAGAATAATTTTGTTTATTTACCATCATTTTAATATTTGAAATTCTGGCATATTTATCTTGTGATTTTTGAGCAAAAATATACAAAATGTTGACTATTTGCAAACTATATTAGAATAATTAAGATAAATTAACTTGGTTAATTTATCTTTATGTTTAGGTTACCTTTAAAATTATGACTATGTTGGTACTATAAATTCATTGTTTGAAATATCTAGAAAATTTAAAATAATTTTGAATATAATAAAATTTTTAAATGCAGTTTAAAATGTATATGGAGTTTAAGTTTGTAACTCTATCTGATGATTTAAGAGTTTATTCTGTTCAATTTGATTTAGTATAATATCGTTTTTAAAAAATGATTGTGACTATTATTATTTAATAAGATCAATAAGTATTGTAGCAAGATTTGTAAGTTTAACTTGATGCAAAAATTCAGAGTTAAAAAAAATTAGTTGGTATAAACTGAGTATTATTTTAAAGCATAATTAATTACAAGTAACTTTCTATCCCAAAGTACCTCATCATAAAAACTCAGATTGTCAGCTGAATTGGTAAGATTTAAACATATTTCTTTATTCAAAATTCATTAGATCTTTTAATATTTTAACATAAAATTTGAATTTCTAAGAATTTACTGTAGTATGTAGTATGTATTTAGTTATTTGTCCATGGGAAACATTTTAATTTGTCATCACTATTAACATTATTATCTATTAAAAATGTTTTTTGGAAAAAGTCTTAGAAAGAAATATAAATGGAACAAAATCCCTTATTAAGAGAGAAAAATAAATGAGAAAATTTATTCAAATATGATTTCAAACAGATAACGTAACCTAAACAGTTAAAAATAAATAAATATATTAATATATTAATAGTAATAAATATATTAATATATTAATAGTAATAAATATATTAAGAAAACAGAAAAAAGTAAATCACAGGATGCAATATTAATATCAGAGTAAAATTTGCATTGAAAGCCCTAATATGACAGGATGTTGATACATTTTTCAATATATATTTGATTCTATCTAATTAGATTAAAGAAAATTTTAATAAGCCTATGATATAATTGTTCAAAACATGAACATATATATACATGTTCATAGACATATACACACATGCATATATGTGTTTGAATATAAATATTTATAGATTACATATTCTTGTATACATTCTCCCAACAAATTGATTTTTAATTTATGAAGCTGCATGTCCAGAATGCTCACTTTGTTCATTCTCAACCAGGTTGCAAAAGATTAGAGAAATCAGAAAATGAAACTAATTTTGTTCAGCTGTAGCCAAGGATATTTGATACACAGGATACATGGAAAATTAATAATACAATAAATAAAATTTATTTAATTGCCTCATATATTATACACTGACACCCACAAAGAAAACACTTTCTTCAATTCTTACGGTACTCCTAGAATTGATGATACATTCGGCCAGAAAGAATATCTTTCAAAAATCTGGAAATATCAATTGTACAAGTTATATTCCCCTTTGAAATGAAATAAAATCAGGTAATACTAGCAAGAATAAAAAGAAAAACAAGCAACTGTAATACTTATTCATTCAGAAATTTAATAGTACTCTCTTAAGTGACTCTTGTATCACTGAAAAATGTAAAGTGCAATTATAGACTATTTAGATACTGTAACTGCCCTGCAAGTTATGGAATGCAGCCAAAAGGAAAAAACACTGTAGCCTTAAATGCTCTTCCTATTAACAAAGAAAGAATGAAAACAAATTGAATATTCAGCTAAAGAAATTAGTAAATGCACCACACCCAACAAAAGCCAAGCTTAAGAAGCACATAAGAAAACAATAAAAAGAAGAGGAGAAGCTAACTGACAAGAAAACAGAAATACAGTGGAATTGCTCCTTATATTTGAGCTGTTTTTTTGAAAAGTTCTATGACATAAACAAGACTCTGGAATAGCTAGCAAATGCAAATACAGGCTATATAACCATGTATATGGAGAAACTACTTCAAAAATATATTAAAATATATAACTAAGCTATAAAACTTGAAAATTTAGACTACTTTAATGTTTCTCTAGAGTATGTAAATGACCAACATTGAATATGGGTAGGCTTCCCAAACCATTAAAATAAATGGAAAATACTGTCAAAAAAACTACCATCATATAGGTTCAGGGCCCAGATGTTTTATGGATGAGCTCTATCAAACCTATGAGAAACTGATAATTCCACTGAGTACTTATTTCAGATCACAGAAAAGACAGATACATTTTACCTTTATTTTAAGAAGGTAACATAAATCTCTTTTAATTTATTTTGTCGGGAACCTATAGAGCCATTTTAGTATTCATATTTTTACATCCTAGAAAACAATCTCTAATATGTATCTTTGATCTATTGCTTTTTTTTTTATTTGGTCTAAATATTTTCTCCAGAAGTATTGACTTTCAACTCCCTTCTTTGCAAACTCACTCAAATTTTTCCTACTAATTATTGGTTAAAATGTATATACTTTCAATATACAGTAGTACATGGTGAATTTTCAATCTGACATTGTTAGTTTTTCTTGAACTTCTTTTTAATCTCCTACCACCCTTTCACCCAAGTCTACTATCTTTTCTCTTTTTTGTCTCTTCTACTACTATGTTTTAGGTTTTCTGGTCTCTTCTGACACAATATTAAAGATTCTATAATTTCTTGACATTATTTCTGGATTTCACTGGAGACAGTTTTTAGAGGTAGCTTATTTCCCCCGTTCATCAAAACATTTTTTCTAGTGTTCTGTCATATTTTAAAATTGATTCTGGTGATATTTTTATCTGTACAAAGTTTGAAGTGGTGAATATCTGAGGTAGGGTCTGGGGCAGGACACACTGGGCTCTGCTGTCTTTCTCTACTGAATGATAATTGGGAGTTCAGACACTGGAGCCAGACTGCCTGGGTTCAAATCCCAATTTTATCATATACTAACACTGTGAACTTGACTTTTCTATGTTCCATTTTCCTCATTTGTAAAGTTTAGGTTATAACAGTACCTCCTTCATACATTTTCTAGAAAAATTAAATGAGTTAATTTATATAAAGAGCTTAGGATGATACCTGGAATGTACTAAATCCTGTTTTGACTTAGTTGAAAGGCAACCTTCTCAGATCAACAACAAAAGAACAGATCAATGTTCATAATTCTAATGTAATCTCTAGTTTAGGGAAAAGAAGTCTGCCATATAGACATGCTGTCTTCTCACAAACTGTTTCTCTGCTATTCTGATTTTTGGAAAAATGAAAAAAATAATATTCCCAGCAATTTAACAACTAATAATCTTCTTACCTTCTCACTATAAGACTGTCAAGTTTACACAACCCCATTGCTATGTCATTTCCTTTCTGTCCAATTGTTTGCTTGGGGTTACTACTTCTGTATGAATGTAAAATCATTACAGAAGAGGCTGGAGATAGGGATAGTCGACTGCAGAAACCAGGATTCTGACCTCCTCAGTAAGTAGCACCTACTTACTAAGGAAAGGTTACCCTAGGCCTTTTATCCAATTGGGAGTAGGCTGTGCTAGAGATACAGAGTCTTTCTATCTTCTCTAATTCTCTACTACATGTGACAATATCCAGAGGTGCCATGAGATCAAGACACATACGTGCATACATATATACATTCTTATCCTGGTTCCATCTGCCCAGTAGTTAGTGAAGACCTCAGCTAGGTCCAAGCACTTATCATCTTAATTGGTGTTCATTATTTTTTAAAATTTATACTTTTTTCTTGGTGATATTATACATATTTAAAGAGAAGCTTGCGGGATGCTGGGGCTATAAGGCAGATAATTGCAAACTTTGTATATTTTTAGTGTAACAGAATACTATATACAGGATTTTCAGCTTCAGCCTTCCGTATAAAAATAAGAAATATTTTTCTTCCTCCAATGTACTGCCCAGCATCAGTTCTTTAAAACAGGTAATAATTAGATGTTTATGTATGATGTATGTGTTAAGTTGATAAGGAGAAAAGTCTCCTTTTCATGCTTGTTCCCCCAAACTTAATAGTAATGAAATAAATAACCCTGGCTTAATACAAAAGTGCTGTTTGCAACTGTCATATCAGATGAATTACATTAAGAAAAATAACCACAAACTGTCATAGGCATATGTCTCCTATAAATAAGACTATTTAATACTCTTCCTCTTTCTCCAGGAAAACTCCCTTCATAAACACGCAATTTTGTAATAATTTCTCCATGTTTTTTCATGATCTTTCAGGCTTTCTAAATGAGAACTTCCCACTCTCCCACATTCCAGTGTCATTTAGTGTGATTTACCTCTTTCACACATGTGGTTTTCACTTGATTTCAGGATATTTAGCAGATTTTCTCTTAGGAAAGTTACATTAATTAATTGAAGCCAATTGAAACAAACAGTATGGCTTTTGAAAAACTATGATATCTGGTATCCTTTTTCCTCCAAAGTTCTCTTTAACCATCCTTTTTAAGCTTTATTTTCTCACTAAATAGAGACAGGCTAAGGAAACAAACGAATGTAACTACTTGGCTATTTGGGTTAATCTATTTAATTTAAATTAAAACCATGTGTAAGAAGGATCTCAACATCAAGGCAGGTATAATACAATGAAAAAGAAAGAAAGTGATGCTGTATGAAATTACAGAGTCCTTTTCTTTTTCTGGTTGAACTTTGAGCATTCTTATATTTGGATCTACCAAATATTTTCCAACTCCAGTAGTTGGATCTCTTGCTAATTAAAAAATAGTGACTCTGTGGTTGACTGGTATTCCAACCATGTAGCAGATGTCTATTGTGCACAAACAAGTCAGGAGCTTCATGGAGCAGCAAATTTCATGGCTTTTGCCTCTCCTGTACTTAATGCCATAATCTCACTTTTTAAAAGAAAAACACTGAAAGATAACTGGTGTTGATAGTCCTTCCCACTGACAAAAAAGATCTTGGTTGCATATGTTTTACATATTTTTAAGTAGCCATGAAGAAAAGTATTTTGTTTATAAAGATCACTGCACATATGGTCAACAACTGGAATTCACACAGAGGTTTCATCCGTGTAAACAATCATTGAAATAATAAAATTGGCTATTTTGGTCCTCTGGGCTGCTTTGTGAATCAGAGCTAGCAATTAATCATTTTCACCATTCTTATTAAGAAAAATTTACTAAAAATTTGAACTTCTGAGATATCTACATTGTTCCGTTATTCTCTAGCCTAACTGTTCTGCTTACAATATGAAAAACAGCACTTAAAATATCCTCTACATAGACAGTCTCCTACTCTAAGATTATATAGCATAATGAATACATTATTCCCATAGTTTTTCATAATACTGAATTTATACTTCTATTATAATTTACTTTCCATTCTAATAAGCTCAACTGGACAGCCATTTCATTTTCATGTCAGAACTCAGAAATAATAAGAGAGAAATCAAAATTTGAGACAACAAGCAAGAACATGACTGTATGAGACAGTTTCTTTCCTCTTCTCCTTCTGGAATTCATAAAAATAATCAACTAGAAGAAAGAAAGAAAATCAGAAAACTACATTTTAAAGAAAACTAAACATATATATATAGCCTACAAACTGCAAATTACATATGGGGGCTACCAAAACAACTGAGTTCAGGCAAAAAAAATGCAAGAGGAATTATAGAGAAGAATCTCAGAGACGTTTAATGTACCTCAAATTTACCAACAGATGAATACTTACCAGAAAAATATAGCTAGGGAGGAGATGAAAAGCATTATTTGTTTCAAAATTAAAATGATGCAATTTCCTCTAAAAAGAAATTTAAAATAGGGAGAATTCAGGAAAGAGATGTGAAAACAGGATTAGTCAAAATATGAGCAGGTGGGCAGGCAGAACTCATGAAAGAAGTTGAAGAATATGCAATGGTAGCAGAAATAATAATATTCAAAGGAGCGTGAGGAAGCACTGACACAGTTGAAAATACTGCATAGGCTGTAGAGAATGGAAATGAGTAAATGAATTTTAAAATACTGAAAATAAACGACTAAAGGGGAAATAGATATAGATGATAAGCAAAGAAGATTAAGAAGATACTATCTGATTTCCTGAACAAGACATATTTAAAGGCCCATATTTGGAAACTCTACTAAAATAAAAGAACAGCTTGAATTTACAAATTGAAAAGGCATACTGTGTATCAAAGGAAATAGACCAAGAGCATAATAATCAAAAACACTTAGCAGCCAAGCAGTAAGATTATCTAAGAAGTTAGGGAGAAATGTGGAGATTATATTAGAGCAACATATATAAAATAAACAAGTAAAGAAATTATGATCTAGGGATTTATATCTAGTCAGGTAGCTTTTAAGCAAAAAGATTTCAAAGATTTTGAACATGCAAGAATGCAGAAAAGATTTTTTTCCTGATCTCTTCTGAGGAAAATTCTAGAGAGTAAATTTCAGCTTACCAACAATAATTGCAGAAATAAACCAAAGGACTGGAATGAGCATTTAATATATTTGACCATACAACTAAAAGCTAAGGTATTAGTATGATATACATGTTTTATACAAAGACACTATCCAAAGAATAAAAGTAGCAAGAATTGGGAGAGGGAAGATCAAGGTGGTAGGCAACATAAATTTGTTGAATTTCCAGGATCCAAATGATCTCATTTAAAGCTAATAAATCATGTAAAAGAAATGTAAAGACATTTTATACCACAAAGGTAAACACTAAGAATGAAAACACCGTTGACTATATAGAAGAAATAGAAGGAAAGGATACGGAAAGTTCTCCAAAGTACTATTAAGTAAATGACAGTGATGTGGGATTTTTTTTCTCCATCCCTTTCCAAGTCGGGCACTTCCAGCCAATAACACCCCACCTGGATCCCACTTGGCCATGCTACCGTGCCCCAGCTCGCCTGTGTTATAGCTTGTACCCACATTTGGCAGTTCCCGAGCTCTTGTACTGAGCCCAAAAAGAATAAGGATATGCTGGACATCGAAAGGTGAGGAAGGCGGAAAATAATTTTATTGAGCGATGAAACAGCTTTCAGTGGAGAGGGAATGCAGGGTGGTCCCCCTACCCAAAGGCAGAAAAGTTCCGTCGTGTGGCTGGATCTGAAGTCTTTTATGGACTCAGAGTGGGGAGTGTGTGCTGATTGGTTTGCGAGTATGCAAAAAAAGGTTAAAGCAAAGACGCCACTCAAAAGGCGGGCATGACAGTGTAGTAAACCAATTAGGAAAGGGTAGGTATATGTAAAACAGATGAAGGGTGGGTACTATTCAGAGGAAAGTGCGCCAAACAGGAAGACAAGTTCTCAATCCAGGCCGAGGATCTAATTTGTAGCTTGGCTTTCAGGCTTGAAGCTATCTTTGGCTTGGAGGTGGGGTTTCACTGGGGACTAGTCCCTATCTGCCTAAGCATTTGGCTGCTTCCTGTCACCATCAATAGGAAGGTGCAGAATTATGTATAATATTCATCTTTTGTGTAAAAGGAAGGAGAAACAAGAACAATTATTTGTGCTTTCTTTATTTACATGAGAACATTCTGGAGGAATATATCAGAAACAAAAAGATTTTGTTCCTGGTGAAGAAGGAAGTACCAGGCAGATTGAGACATATGTGGGAGGAAAATTTATACATATATATATATATATATATATATATATATATATATATATATATAAACATTTGAATATACCATTCTGCAGAAAATTAAAATAAAAAAAGAATAAACTAATTAGTATTTGCTTGTCTTCCTAGGACTAGGCTATTATCAAAAGTTGACATCCTTCTTTATCCAAGGTTAGTCTCTTAACTATGTCTTTAATATGTCCTTGCAATTTCAGACCTTGCATTTTTTCCCAAGGTCAATCCATTCCCTAAACATTTGTTATCATTCCTCTAAACCTTCCTAACAGGTCCCTTCTAATTATCACCTCTTCCATGGAGCCCTCTTCCAGTCCCCTTACTCTGATTTTGTATCCCTTTTTTGAGATCTTTTTATGCATATACATTGTAATCTATTCCTTGATATTTTATTATCTATAGCTTTATAGTGTTCCCTAATATGTTTAAATATTTGTTCTCGTGTCCCCAAATATATAAGAAACTCCTTTAAAAATGGAGAAATGAAGGAGAAGAAATCTAGGATTCTATTCCTTGCTTAAAGAATACTTATTTGTTGTGTGAATGTGAGCAAGTTATTTTACCTCTCTGGTATCTCCTACATAGTCTTAAAGTCTCTTTTTTACCTAAAAACATTAGCAAATTCTAAGTCTTGACATCGTTTAGAAGAAGGAAATGAATCAGCAAGTGAAAAACAGTACTATAACTTCAGTGGAATAAAAACAGAGATCCAAAACACAAATTTATTATCCTTTTTAGTAATGTACCCTCATTCTTCTTTCAATCTCCTGACCATTCATTATTCGGTGAATATTTACTGAGTAACTTTCACATTTCTTGGGTAATTACAAGTAGCTACAAGCCTACCACTAGGCAAGAGTGATACAAGAAGAACAAATACTCTCAAGAAGTTTATAATTTTATTGTTGTGTATGGTGTTTATACTGGTGAATGTCTTTGTACAGGTGTGTTTGTGTGCATGCTTTAAAAGTGGCAAATGATTTAAAGGTAAAATTGATTTTTTTCAAGGTGTTTGGCTATTAGGCAATTAACAAACTATCTTCAAACAGTTATATTAGTATTTACACAGTCAAGTTGGTATTTTCTTCTTCAAAGCACTTATCTTTGGAGCCTATGAATGTAGTATGGATAAAACTAATATTTAAAATATTTTTAAAGCATTTTTCATCTTTAGCCATGAGCAACTTAAACTCAGAAGCATGACTATTACCTTGGAAAGAGTTAAGGAAAATATCTATTGTATTATTGACCTACTCTATAAACTATGAACAATTTATATAAGAAATATTTAGATCAAGAGTTCATCGGTGTTATAGTTATTTTTAATAATAATGTTAATAATAGCAGTTCACATTACTTGAATACATATTCTATTCCAGGCACTGTTTTAAGTGCTTTGCAAGTTTTGAATCTTAACTACCATTGTAGCTTATAGAATAAATAATACAATAGATACCTTGTATGATCAATATTAGTGAATCAATATTTTGAGGCATGGATAAAACTTAGAAATATATTAATCAAGAAATTTTTGGTTCTATGTATGCCATTAAAGAAAGATTTGATTTAGTCATTGGTAAGTGTTTGTAGCTTAAGATAAACCTTTATTGATACCAGCTCATTTTCAGGTCACTTAAAAGTAGAATGTTTAATTTTAGTGTAAGCACCACTGCTTTTGCACTATTGCCATTATCCTGAAGTAGTAACTGAAGAGAAGAGGTGGTGGTAGAGTTTGAACAGGTGAACTGAACAGGCCACATAAATAAAATGCCATGAGTGTGGAAACATGGAGTTAGAAAGATGCTTCATGTTGACATATTTTATTATTGAAAAATAAGGGGCAGTGAAATAATAATGAGGTGTGAGGCTGTAAGCTACTAAGAAATATTTAGATCAAGAGTCTGTCAGTGTTATAATTATTTTTAATAATAATAATTGCAGAGCATATTATTTGAATACATATTATGTTTCAGTCATTGTTCTAAATTCTTTGCATGTTTTGAACCTTAACAAACATCATAGTAGGTGCAATTATTATCTACATTTTACAGGAAAAGCACAAAAGATTGAGATATATGCCCAAGGGCAATGATACAAGTAGTGACACTTGCATGATTAAAGAGTAAAATATAATTTATCTTTGTGTGTACAAATTCTATTTTTTTAAAAGGCCTAAAGGAAATAAGGTAGAAATGTTGGAGATCCTTTGGCAAAGTATTGTGGGAAGGGTCAGAAGATGGAAAAAGATAGACTGCTAGAATAAAGGGTGCGGTAGAATGTTAAAATGGATTTATTGCATGCAAACAGAAAAACTACTACTTGCCTATGCTCCCTAGAAGACGCAGGGGACATTATTTATATTAAGGCAATAGGGATACTCTATGTAGTCAGGGTGCACTGGCACCTCTGAGAAGTTCAGAAATTGCTATCATCTGTACTGTGTAACTAACTGTATGCTCTCATGTCAATGGAGAAAATAAGATACGGAAATAGCAGAGCTCAAGTGGTAGCACTTAATTATTAGGAGCACAGTAGACATAATTACTAGAACTGGCAATTATGGGAGCATAATTGCTGATTATAATTATTAGTCAAAGAACGCTGCTTTGCTGGTCAAAGAACCCTGTTTGCCACTGTGGTACTATTACCAGAGTTCTTTGACTAGCAAGAATTTGTGACAATAACTAATATAACATTTTCTCTTAGGGCACCTGCTGGACTTGTATAATTGGAATAAATATATATTCCACTACAATGTGCAATTGCAATTCTTCAAACACTTTCAGCTCCTAGCCAGTTCTCAAGCCTAGTGCTCAATTAAAGAAGAGATTAAGTCATCTTGAGGAATGGCCTTGAAATAACACAACAGTATATACAGCAATACAGCAGTTATTTCCCAAGATTTTTCCCTCAAAAAGACCTGTAGCCATTTACTAGAATAACTATAACTTAGGGAAAAGGAAATAATCAGATCTTCAAGAGCATTTGATACAGAATCTGACCTGACATTGATACTGTGGACTTAAGATGACCTCATGTCCCGTGTCTAATTGGAGTTGTGGCATTTAGGGACAAGGTGATAAAGGACCCAAGTGTATAATGTAGTGAATCTGATGTGTCCCTGGTGCTCACTGTCTGATCCCTGAATACATAATTGTGATAATATACTTCACAACTGAAATAACTATCACATTGTTTCTTTGATCAATGGAGTAGAATTATTATGGTAGGACGGTAAAGTGAGGCTCTTTAAACTGCCAATTTCCTGCAATCCCAGCCAAAACATTATTGGAAGCAAAACCACATTCTCACTGAATTGCAGATATTTGTGTCACTCATGTAGTCTGGAGTGATGGCCCCATCATTCACCCATTCAATTTACCTAGTGGCCACTACACAAACTAGATAGACTGAGGTAAATAACAATGGATTATCATAATCTTAACCAATGGAAGTTCAAATCTCAATGACTAGGCCTGATGTGGTAGTTTAGTTTCTTCGGGCTTCTGTAATAAAATGCTGCAAACTAGATGATTCAAAAACAACTGAAATGCATTCTTTGACAGTTTGGGAGCTAGATGTCCAGAATCAAAGAGTTGATAGGGCCGTAATCCCACTGCAATTTTAGGTGGAATCCCTCCTTGCCTCTTCCTAGCTTCTGTTGGTAGCCGTGAATTCTTGGTGTCTCTTGGCTTCCAGCAGCATCACTTCAATCTCCATCTCTGCCATCACATGGCATTTTCCCTTTGTGTCTCTGTCTTCTTATAAGGACATGAGCCATATTGGATTAAGGCCCATCTTCATAACCTCATCTTTACTTGATTACATCTGAAAAAGACACTGTTTTCAAGGATGCTCACATTTAGAGGTACTGAGGTTTAGGGCCTCAACATATCTTCTTAAGGGTCACAATTCAACGCCATAGCTTATAATATCTGTACTGGAAAAGATCAACTCACCCTCTGGTACTTGATATGTACTTATTGATATGGTGAATCAGTTATTTTTATTCCCTTATGCAAGAGAATCAAAAGAAGATTGTTTTTATGTGAGAAAAGAGTATTTATTCAAACTCTTATTACAGAAATGTTAACTGTCCTGCTATTTGTCACCATATGTTTTTCAGCAGTCTTATTTCTCTTGATATTCCATCAACTATTATGCTGTTTCAATATTTGATGATATCATGCTCATCAGACCAGATATACAGGAGTGTCAAGTACTCTAAATACCTTAGTATTACGTGTATTCAAGAGGGTAGGGGAGAAACTCCATAACGATTTAGAAGCCTGCCACATCAATAGTCTTTTAGGGGTCCAATAGCCTGGGACACTCTAAGACTTATCTCTTAAATAAAGGACCAGTTGGAATTTACACTTCCTATCATTAAAAATGAGACAGTTTGGGCTTGGTGGCTCACTCCTGTAATCCCAGAACTTTGGGAGGCCAAGATGGGAGGATTGCTTGAGTCCAGGAGTTCAAGACTGGCCTAGGCAACATAGCAAGACCCCATTACATATATATATATATATATATATGTAATGGCAGTAGTCTGAACTGCCCAGTCTCAGGTATCTTTATCATCAGCATGAAAATGGACTAATACATAATGTTAACTGTGTTAATTCTACACCCACACGTGTGTGTGTGTGTGTGTGTGTGTGTGTGTGTGTGTGTGTGTGTGTGTGTGTGTAGAGAGAGGCAGAGACAGAGAGAGAGCTGGGTGTGGTGGCACATGCCTATAGTTCCAGCTACTCAGGAGGCTGAAGCAGAAGGATCACTTGAGCCCAGGAGTTTAAGGCTGCAGTGACCTATGATTGCCACTACACTCCAGCGTGGGTGACCAGAGTGAAATCCTGTCTCTCTCTTAACAAAATAAAATTAGCAAAACATTTGGTACACCTATTTGCTTCCTGGAAGTATGTATTGCACTTGGGAATACTCCTTGTTCTATTTAAAATATTTCTCAGAAGGTACTATTGAAGTATAAGGGGAAAAAAAGGATTCCAGTGCTGTTCTTGAGATAGTAAATGGGTCTCATGAGATCTGATGGTTTTAAAAAGGGAATTTCTCTGCACAAGCTCTCTCTTTGCCTGCCACCATCCACATAACATGTGACATGCTCCCCCTCACCTTCCACCATGATTGTGAGGCCTCCCCAGCTATGTGGAACTTTAAGTCCAGTTAAACACCTTTCTTTTGTAAATTGCCCAGTCTTGGGTATGTCTTTATCATCAGCGTGAAAATGGACTAATACATAATGTTAAATGTGTTAATTGTACTAAAAGTTAAAGATCCTTAGTTGTGTTTGGAAAGCTTCAGCTTAGGCCACTGTGATTTTGGAGTAAAGCCATTCCTTTAACATCCAAGAACTACGGATCATTTGAAAAGCTGGCTTTTAGCAGAGACTGGGTGACTGATAATAGGAGATTAAGGGAATATAGCTGCCTACGATGAACTGAGTCTTATCAAATCTGCCAAATCATAGTTTGGTGGGTAAAATAGCAAGCCATCATACACTGAAAAGATACTTTGGAAATCAGGTCTAAGCAGATATTGAGGACACATGTAAGTTCCAGCACTAGATTGCCCAAATCCCTATCTCTCCTATTGTTGTCGAACCGATGCCTCCCCATCTCACTTCTATGGACACATGAGTTTGTTCTATAACTTGCTTGGGAAGAAGTAAAGAAACTGAGATCTAGGTCACAGATGGGTTTGCTGCATATACGAGTGTTAGCCAATGCTGCCACTTGACAAATCAATTCATGGTGGTCTGAAGAATAGGAATGAAAATAAATCCTCCAAGGGGTCAGGGTGATGAGCAAATTCAGTCAAACACTTTGTATAGAAGAAGAAGTGTCTGAAGAAAGGCTGTCAGTCAACTGTTGGCAGTAGTGAATGGCTTGGCTATTTGGTCATGTGCCTAGAAAAAGCAACATTTGAAAATTAGAGACATAGAAGTCTATAAAAGAAGCATTAAATATACTTAGAGGAATAGGTACAAAGAATGCATATATCTGTGTCTTATGTGAATGCCCAACAAAGAACAGGTTTTGTTAGCTCTCAAAAACAAGGTAGGCAGAATAACTCATTTGATGGATGTTAGTCAGTTTTTGCCTGTTTTCAATGCTAGTGGTTCATAGAGATTATGGACAGCCACCTCCTTGAAAACTTAGTGGCAGTATGGATTACATGGGGCACACATAGACTGGAGTGAAACAAGACAGAAAATGTAGCAGATACTACCAATATATCCCACATAACAGCCCTTTAACCAACCTCCAAATCAGTCACAGATGTGGTCCCTATTACAAATGACCCTTTTTTCCTCAAGAGTTCACAGGATTCCTTTCTGTTTCTGTCTTAGGGTCTTCTCTGAAGCTGCAGAAGCCCATTTCACTGACTTGTAAATGCATGAAGCATGAAGGAGGTAATACCTCTGGGGACACCTTCAAGAGTGAGATAGAGGAGCCTGTTTATCAATGCTTCAGCATCCCATCATTCAGGTAGAAAATTTCAGAAGCATTCAGATTGCTTTTTAGAAGATCCTTGTAGAAATGAGCCCCCATTTTTGACAATCATTACCGTGAAAACGTACTCTTATATTGCCTTTTCTTACTATTTTGACTCAATTTTCTGAGTCCCCCTCTCCTTTTTCTATGATAATATCTCAAATATAATTTTTGTACCCTAATCTTTGTCCCTTGTTCTGCTTTGGGGGCAATCTAAACTAATCTACTTGCCATTAAGAGTAGTTTGGGATAATTTTGAAATATATTTTGGTAGTTAGATGTATGAGAACCAAATTTAGGAGGGTGGTTATGTTGTTGATGGCTGGTTCAGGATCTTGACCTTGCTGCAAAGAAGAATTTGAGAGTGAGTCCAAAATAAAAGTAGGCAAATAAGTTTATTCCAATGAAAGGGTACACTCTGATAGCTGGGTCAGCACAGGCTTCTCAGGAATGACAGCCCCATCTGACATTGGGGAATTTCTCTTTATAGGATGTTTGTAGGATTATTCATAAGAGGATGGGGACAGACATTGCTGTTAAGCATGTTGCTGGTGGTCTCCTGGGTGCACATGCACAATTGCTGTACATGCTAGAATATACCTCACGTCTCATTAACATCTTAATTATCCACTCAGTGCTGTGTTTTTTAGTATTATCATGAGCATACATCAACCCAAGGACACTAGTCATGGATTTTGTGTGCTTGCTCAAATTTGGGGATTTTCACTTCTGCTCTTCTTCTTCCTTGCTGCAGGATATTCTAACCACAAGCCCTGGATGCTGTTTGGGCACTATCGAGCAGTATGTTCTCTTTACCTGTTTGGCAACTTTGTTTCCCTTTAAGGGAGGCTATGACCACCCTATCTACCTACCTCAGTTTGGACCAAAGATATAAATTTGTAAGTGGTTCAATAGACAGTTTTAAAGCCACATGATTGAATAAGGTCACCAAGCTAGTGGAATTCTCTGACATAAAACAAATCTGTTGGATAAGGTATTGTCTCAGTTCCTCCAAAATTCTACTCCTCTTTTGAAATCTACCTGGATCTTCTGTAAATCTATTAATTTAACTCCATGATAGTCCAGTGTGTATTTGATTCAGGGAGGTAGTAGTAGGAAAGGGCAGTGATCAGCAAGCTGATAGAGTTCCCCCTTTCACTGTCACTTCAACCATAACACATGTGCTCATAGTTATTGTATGGAAAAGTTCACATAATATTTAATTAGCTGTTTTCAAAAAGTTCTTTTAGTTTGAAAATTGAATTAGAAGATCCGGTCCAGGAAAGGAAACTAACTTTTATTATAAATCTAACACGCTCTGAACACCATGTTATATATTTTTCCATTTACTCTTTCTACTAACCTACTTACTTTCCTGCCCAGGTAGGTGAAGGTCTCCAGAAGTTAACTATCTTGTCCAAAAGTATATGCCCCTTAAGTGGATTTGAATTTCCAGTATGACTCCTGAAAACTTTTTTTCCTGTGTTTATAAGTGTTTAAAAAAGCCTCCACGTGGTGGTTTGAGGTATGGTCTATTCTCAATATTTCTTTCCTTTTAAGCCTTAAACTTGTGATGCTTTCTATATTCCATTAAACTAAGTAAGATCTAATTTTCAAACATAAATAAATAAAATATAAACAAAAAAATCCTGTAATAATTGAGTTCAGACTCTGGCACTAGATATCCTAGTTCAAACAAGAATGGCAAATTAATACTTATGTGATTTTTCACAAACTACCTGCCAACTTTCTGTGCCTCAGCTCTTTCATCTGTAAAATATACAGGTCTATGAAACAGTGTTCAAGATCACTAATCATCAGGGAAATGTAAGTTAAAACTACTATGAGGTATCACCTCACACACATAAGAATAGCTGTTATCTAAAAGACACAAGATAAAAAATGTTGGTAAGGATGTGCAGAAAAGGGAACCCTAGTACACTGTTGATGGGAATGTAGATTGGAACAACCATTAAGAAAAACAGTATGAAGGTTCCTAAGGAAATAAAGAAATAGAACTACCACATGATCCAGTAATCATTTTTCTGGCTATACATCCAAAGGGGATGAAATCACCACCTTTTATAAGTTTCTGCACTCTTATGTTAGTTGAAGCATTTATTCACAATAGCCAAAATATGGAAACAACCTAAATATACATTGATAAGCAAATGAATAAAAAAAGTATTATATATATGCAATAGTTATTATCCAGCCTTAAAAAACCAGGAAAGCCTGACATTTGCCACAACATGGATGGACCTGGAGGAAAAAGTACTATCTCCTACATAATGGTATACTTATAAAAATTAATTAATATGAATAAGGTACTCAGAAGAGTAGTACTTAGTACATGAGTTTGTTTGGGCTGCTATAACAAAATACCATAAACTGAGTGGCTTATAAACAACATAAATTTATTCCTCACCTTTCTGGAGGCTAATAAGTCCAAGATCAAGGCACCAGATCCATTTACTCTTTCTATTTACTCTTCCATTTACTCCTTCTATTATCCCACTTACCTTCCTGCCCAGTTAGGTAAAAGTCTCCAGAATTTAATTATCTTGTCCAAAATTATGTGCCCCTTAAGTGGATTTGAATTTCCAGTATGACTCCTGAAAATGTATGATTTTCTCCAGGTCCATCCATGTTGTGGCAAATGTCAGCCTTTCCTGTTTTGGTTTTTTTTTTTTTTAGGGCTGAATAATATCCATTGTGCATATATATCACATTTTCTTATTCGTTTGCTCAAGGCATTCAAAATATAGCCTAGCTGCTTCTAACAACATATGCTCATATGCATTAGCAAAGAAATGACCTGAAACTGGACCTTATATTTAAAGGGGAAGCAGAGTGTAAAAGTTTGGAAAATTTGCAGCCTGGTCATGTGGTAGAAAAGAAAAGCCCATTTTCAGGAGAGGAATTCAAACAGGCTACAGAAATTGGCATAAATAAAGAGGAGCCAATTGCTAATAGCCAAGGCAAAGAGGAAAGGGCCTTCAGGGCATATCAGAGACCTTTGCGGCAGCCCCTCCCATCACAGGCCCAGAGGCCTACGAGGGAAGTTTCATGGGCCTGGCCCAGGCCCAGGTCCCTGCCACCCTGCACAACCTCACAACACTGCTCCCCACATCCCAGCCACTCCAGCTCCAGCTGTGGCTCAAAGGGGCCCAGGTACAGCTTGCGTTGCTGCTTCACAGGGTGGAAGCCATCCACGTGGTGTTAAGCTTGTGGGTGCAAAGGGTGCAAGTGTTGAATCTTGGGAGCTTCCACCTCAATGTCAGAGGACATGTGGAAAAGCCTGGATGTCCAGGAAGAAGTCTTCTGCAGGGGTGGAGCCCTCATGGAGAACTTCTACTAGAGCAGTGCAGAGGGGAAATGTGGGGTTGGATCCCCAGCAGAGTCCCCACTGGAAAACTTCCTAGTGGAGCTGTAAGAAGGCCACCGTCCTCCAAACCCCAGAAAGGTAGATCCACTGACAGCTTACATCCTGCACCTAGAAAAGCCACCAACACTCAACGCCAGCCCTTGAGAACAACCATGTGGGGTGAACCCTGCAAAACCACAGGGGTGGAGCTGCCGAATACATTGGGAACCCACCCCTTGCACCAGTATGCCCTCAATGTGAGATATGGAGTCAAAGGTGATTATTTAGTAACTTTAAGATTTAATGACTTCACTGCTGGGCTTTGGATTTGCATGGCACTGTATATCCCTTCTTTTGGCTTAATTTTCCCTGGAATGGGAGTATTTACCAAAGAGTATTTATCTGTACCCCCATTTTATTTTGGAAGTAGCTAACTTGTTTTTTGATTTTACATGCTCATAGGCAGAAGGCACTAGCCTTGTCTCAGATGACACTTTGGACTTCGGACATTTCAGTTAATGCTAAAATGAACTAAGACTTTGGGGGACTGTTGGGAAGGATGATTGTATTTTGAAATGTGAGAAGGGCATGAGATTTGGGAGGGGCCAGGGGTAGAATAATATGGTTTGGATCTGTGTCCCCATTCAAATCTCATGTTAAGATGTAACCCCAGTGCTGGAGGTGGGGACTGGAGGAAGCTGATTGGGTCATGGGGGTGATTTCTAATGGTTTAGCACCATCCCCCTAGTGCCATTCTCCTAATAGAGTTCTCATGAGATCTGCTTGTTTAAAAGTTTCTAGCACCCTCTCCCTTTCTCTCTTGCTCTTTCTCTAGCCATGTAAGACATGCCTGCTTCCCCTTCAATTTATGTCATCATTGTAAGTTTCCTGAGGCTTCCCCAGAAGCCAAGCAGATGGCCAGCATCATACATCCTGTATAGCCTGTGGAACCATAAGCCAATGAAATCTCGATTTTAAATAAATTACCCAGTGTCTGGTATTTCTTTTATACCAGTGTGAGAATGGACTAATACAGCCAATGTGTACTGAGACTCTCTGTGAGAGTCTGAAAAGATGACAATCCATATTATTCTGGGGTAAAACATTTAGTAGAAGTGTCACCTGTCGTAACTTGGAAGGCTAGTAATGTACTGATTCCATTTGTGGTTTTAGGTGGAGTGATTAGTCAGTAATGTTATACTGTGCCTTCGTTGCACACAAATAAGGTGATACAAGAAAGGTATGAGCTCAGAAGTGAATTGGTTACTTTTCAGGAATGAAAGAAAACCATATATTCCAGATAGTTCAACACTTTTAGGGACACTTTTATAATGTGAGTGTTTCTCATCTTTGACAAGGGCAATGAAAATAAGAAGGCCTTAAGCAATAAAGGCCAATTAAAACTCCTACTGGTGGCAACATCAAAGGTACAGTATTAATACTCTTTGTTAAAATATTTATTATTATGTGGCACTGAGCAAGTCCTCTATTGGACAAAGTGGCTCAAGGAAAAGAAATAAAATACAGTTCTTCTGGGAAAGACTGATAATCTTAAATTACTGATAATGAAGTAAAGGGAGAGAAGATTATCTCTCTCAGAAAAAAAACACGTGGGCATGGCTATTGGCACACATAATAAACATAAAATAACCTGTAATTATTGAATATATAAGAATAATCTATAATGGAGAAATAAGAAGAATAAAATAGATAAAAAGAACTAAAATTACAAATGACCTAAGTGGTGGACAACAAATCCCATTATGCTAACATCCATTATGGACACTAAACAGTTTGATCATTTATTTTTTTTAATCAGCACATATTAATTACTATTTTTATGGCTAATCAGACAGATGAAATAAAACATCTGTCTTGACCTAAATTCTTCCTTGTAAGAAGGGCTGCTTGGTGAATTTGAATTATCTATTTCATGAAGAAATGTATCAAGTTACGTATCGGGGTGATTCTTAGATACTAATAGTATTATCACTGAAATATATTTTAACTCTATATCACATCACAATGAATAACATGCTATTTGAAGAGTTACCATTTCCAAACAATATTGAAATTAAATGCTCAGGCTTTTAGTCCACTTAGCTGGCTTGCAGACAGCTGTTTTATCCCTGTGTCTGTCCTCTCATGGCTTCTTCTCTGTGTATGTGCAGAGAGGGAACAACAGAAACAGAGACAGAGTGCTCTGGTGTCTCCCCTTCTGCTAAGGACACCAGTCCTGTTGGAATAGGGCACCACCCCTGTGACTGCATTTAAACTTTATTACAGCATCTCCCTAAAGATCCTGTCATCAAATAGGTGGCTAGGCTTCAACTTATGAATTTTGGGAGGCCACGATTCAGCACATAATAAAAGTCATCTGGAAAGAGGTCAGACGTTTCTAATTTTTTAGTCATTGACAAGGGGAGATATGATCCTAAGAGAAAAAATACAAATTTGAAAAACAAATACTTTATGTGGCCAATGAGAGATGTGCTTTGTCAGAAATACTCCTTAATCTCTATAACACAGACATTCAAGAAATGGGAATTCCAAAAACTATGACCTATCCTAAGCAGAACATATATGAAGAAATGCAGCCACATTATTAAGGGCCTAAATTTGTCATGAGATAATTTACATTTCCCAGGATTCCTGAATAGATACACTCAGAAGTTTGAAGTCTCACTCTGACGGAATATGATGTTTCTCTTATGCTGCTTGAAAACTCAATTACTTATGTCTGAGAAGACAGAAAACCGATACCAGAGACATATTGCAACTAAGGGAAGATAATAAAGAAAACAGACATAGCCTTTGTGAAGAGACATTTGATATTTAGAAAGCTCTCTGAATAAACGTCTTGACTGATTATAATTGAAATGCTTGATTTTAATATTCTTTTGTAAAGAAGTAAAAGAAGACCTGTGTTATCTTTATCCAAATAAAATTCCTTGAACATATATAAAAACTATTTTAATGGTAGGTATTTGTAGGGGTTAGCTATCCTTTATGTTAAAACAAAATATAAATCAATAAGCCAAAACCATAAAATTCACTCACCTCAAATTGTTTGTTATGAGCTAGACTATGTAACAATGCTTTACTATTCCTGAGAGTAAGTCCTTTATAAATAAAAGAGTAAATACACTTAATATTTTATTGTTTATATTAGCAAGCACAAACTTAGCCATCTTACTGGTCACATTTTCCTAAGAAAAGAGCTCTACTATTTTATGTGTGACTGACTAGGAATGTGGAAATTGTATTTTCAGGCTGTTTGGATCTCTGCCACACCCTGATTTTTAACAGAGCTCAGTAAATTGAATTTTTAAAATTTAAACTATTTTACATACCAAATATAGACATAACAAATCTAACATTTGAAGGGCAGTTGTATTGCCCAAAGTGCCAGCAGTATAGATTATAAAATATAGTGAATGCTTGAGACCTTTTGGCTCTCAAGTTTCTATGGGCACAGCTCAGGCTAAGGAAACTGTACAGTACCTAGTGGGGCATATTCTGCAATGGCACCTTCACATGTAGCCAAGGAAAAAACGAAGAAACTAAGGACCTTCCTGAGGGTAGAGACTGTGGCAATAAAACATTAAAATAAGTTGACTCAGGAGCTACACTTAGAAATCCAACTCAGAATCTAATCAAGAATATTACTCATTCTCAGGGTATAGTTAAAACTACCACGTAAAAAAGGAAAAAAAAAAAAAAACTTTTGTAGAGAAATCTGACAAATGCTACCTTAACCAGGTGATTAAGGTTAGCTTCAACAGTGACAGGCCGGATGCAGTGGCTCATGACTGTAATCCCAGCACTTTGGGAGGCTGAAGCGGGCAGATCACTTGAGATCAGGAGTTCGAGTCTAGCCTGGCCAACATGGTGAAACCCTATCTCTACTAAAAATATAAAAAATTAGCCAGGTGTGTGGGCCACGCCTGTAATTCCAGGTACTCAGGAGACCGAGGCACAAGAATGGAGAACCACTTAAGCCTAGGAGGTGGAGGTTACAGTGAGCAGAGATTATGCCACTGCACTCCAGCTAGGGTGATGGAGTGAGACTGTCTCAAAAAAAAAAAAAAAAAAAAAAAAAAGAAACAAAAAAGTGACAAATTTTGTTGACAGACAATATCGTTCTTGATATATGATTAAAATAATACTTTACCTCTATAGTGTTCCTTTCAAAACATATAAATCGAGTCTAATTATGAGAAAAGCATCAGAAAAATTCCAGTAGAGAGGCATGCTACAAAGTAACTGACAAGTGTTCCTCAAAAGTGTCAAGGTAATCAAAAGCAAGGAAACTCTTAGAAATTATCCCATCAAAAAGGAGCATAAGAAGCTATGATTACTAAATGTAATGTGGTATCTTGGATGGGATCCTGGAACAGAAAAAGGACATTAGGTTAAAAACTAAAACAGTCTTAGTTTTTAAAGCATGGACTTTAATTAATAATAATGTATCAACATTGTTTTTTTGTAAAAAATGTCCCATACTGAAGTAAGAAGTTAATAATGGAGAAAAATTGTGTGTGGGGTTATATGGAAAATCTATACTATCTTTCCAATTTTTTTAGTTCCAAAAATGTTTTAAAATAAAAATGTTATTAAAAGAGAAAAATTAAAAAGAACAGTTTTGTATTCATTGTGTAGGTTTCATTTTTTGCCCAATATTAAGTTTCTGATATCCATGATGTTGACATTTGTAGCTATAGATATTTATTTTTACTGCAATATAGTATCTTGTAAATGAATATACCATTTCTATTTCTACGTTCTTATTGTTGTTGACATTAAATTATTTCATATTAAAACATATCAGTATAAGTAGTTCAGTCTATATCTCTTGACATATTTATATCAGTTTCTTTGGTTTGTTTGTTTTTGTTTTTTTCTGAGATGGAGTTTCGCTCTCGTTGCAGCGTACAATGGTGCAATCTCGGCTCACTACAGCCTCTGCCTCCTGGATTCAAGCGATTCTCCTGCCTCAGCCTCCCAAGTAGCTGGGATTGCAGGTGCATGCCACCATGCCTGGCTAATTTTTTTTGTATTTTTAGTAGAGACAGGGTTTCGCCATGTTGGCCAGGCTGGTCTCGAACTCCTGACCTCAGGTGATCTGCCCACCTCGGCCTCCCAAAGTGCTGGGATTATAGGCGTGAGCCACCGTGCCTGGCCAAAAACTTCTTTAGAGTGTATACCTAGAGGTAGAATTGTAGGATTGTAGGGTAATTGCATATTCAATGTCACTACATAATACTGTATTGTTGCGTGAATTTATTCTCTCATTGGCAACGTGTAAAAGTTCCTGTTACTTCACAAATCATTTAACATTTTATATTGTCACAGTTTTTGTTTTTGTTAATGTTTTAGATGTTAAATGAACTTCAGTATAAACTTGCATTTTCTAGATTATTAATGAGATTAAATATTTTAAAATAAGATTATTGCCTATGTACATATTTTAAAATCTGTGATATATATATCCATTTACTATTAGGAGTCTCTCTTTCTCATCGATTTTTTTAGTATCTACTGTCTCAATTTTAATCTTTTGTCACTTACTTGTGCTGCAAATGTATTTTTCAATTAGGTTGTTTAGGCTGGGAGCCGTGGCTCACATCTGTAATCCCAGCACTTTGGGAGGCCGAGTCAGTCAGATCATTTGAGGTCAGGAGTTCAAAGCCAGCCTGGCCAACATGGTGAAACCCCGTCTCTACTACAATAAAATAAAATAAAATAAAATAGCCAGGGTTGGTTGTGGACGCCTGTAATGCCAGCTACTCAGGAGGCTGAGGCAGGAGAAGCGCTTGAACCTGGAAGGTGGAGGTTGCAGTAGTGAGCAGAGATCACATCACTGCACTCCAGCTTGGGAGAGACAGTGAGATACTGACTCAAAAAAAAAAAAAAAAAAGGTTGCTTATATTCTCACAGGCTTTTGGTGTCTTTGATGAATAGACATTTCTAATTTTAATGTATTAAATGTATTTAAACTTATTTTTCCCTTATCATTTATAATTTTTGTGTCTTACCTCCTGCTCATAAATATATTTCACATTTTTAATGAAAAATGTTAAAGTCCATGCAGAATTAAATTCATTCACATATAGTAAATTTTATTTTCTTTTATTTCCACACTTTTATGAGTTTTGGCAAAAGTATGAGTCATGTAACCATCTTCAAGACAAGGTATAGCAGATTTCCATCACCACAAAAAGATTTCCACATGCCATTTGTGGTAACGTTCCCTTCACCTCCTCACTCTCAGCGCCTGGGAAACACTCATCTATTTTTTACCTATAGTTTTGCAATTTCCCAGCACAATGAAATAGTACAATATATAGTCTTTGCTGTCTGGTTTCCTTCACATGGCAAAAGGTTTTTTAGGTTCATCCATATTGTTGCATGTTTTAATTCATTCCATTTCATTGCTAAGCAAAATTCCATTATATGAATGTAGCAAAAATTGTTCATTCACTAACTAGTTTGTGAACCTTTGGATTGTTTCCAGTTTTTTATTATAAATAAAGGAACTATAAATATGATTATACAGATATTTGTGTAGATATGTTTTCAATACTTCTGCATAAATGCAAAGGAATAACATTATTCATTCATACAGTAAGGGTATGCTTAACCTTATAAGAAATGGATACAAACTAGTTTTTCTAGTGGCTGTACCATTTGCATTCCAACCAGTAAAATGTACAAAAATTTAAATTGCTTCAAATTCCCTCCTACCTTTTGTATTTTTAGTTTTTGTGATTTTAGACAGTGTAGTACTGCCTAGTAATACCTTATTGTGGTTTGCATTTGAATTTCTCTAATGAATAATGAACTTGAGCATCTTATCTTGTGATTACTAGGTATCCAAATCTCTTGTATACAACTATTTGTCCAGTATTTTAAGGATAGGTTGATTTTACATTATTGAATTGTAAAATATCAGTCTTTAATCTATCTATCTATCTATCTATCTATCTATCTATCTATCTATCATCTATCTATTCATCTATCCTGAATATAGACCCTTTATCTAATATGAGATTTGTAAATATTTTCTCTTCATTTATTGAACTTTTTTTAAACTTTTATTTTAGGTTCAGAGGGTACATGTAATACATATATAGATTTGTTACATGGGTAATTGTTTGTCACTGAGGTTTAGTGTACAAATGATTCCATCACCCAAGTAGTAAACATAGCACCAGATAAGTAGTTCTCAACCCAAGCCCCCACCCTGGCCTAACACTTCAAGTAGTCCCTGGCCTGTATTATTCCCATTTTTGTACCTATGTGTACTCAATGTTTAGCTCCTGCTTATAGGTGAGAACATGTGGTATTTCCTGTTCTTGCATTAATTTGCTTAGGATAACGGCCACCAGCTGTGTCCATGTTGCTGCAAAGGTCATGATTTCATTCTTTTTTATGGCTGCATACTATTCCAAGTATTCAATGGTGTATGTGTATCATATTTTCCTTATCCAGTCCACTGTTGATGGACATCTAGGTTGATTCCATGTCTTTGCTATTATGAACAGTGCTGCTGTTGAAACTAGCCCAACACTCCCATAGAATTGATGTTTACTGTTTTGTGGATAATGATAAAAATTGACCCTCCTGGTCTTAAAGCTCAAACCTACATTTGTCTTATCTGAGTTTCTTCCCCAGGAACACCACCCTTGGCCTCCCAGATAGTATTCAGGAACTGGACTCACCAGATCACTACATCCAGACAATGAGATGCCAGAGCCCTCATTCATCATGATTCTTGTTTACCAACTCCTCTTCTTACCTCTCCCTGATTTCTGCTTTTCCACATATAGTTCCATTTCTTCCTTGCTATATAAACTCCTAATTGTAGTCAGCCAGGGAGACAAATTTGAGTCTCATCTCCCATTTCTTCTTGGCTATAGCACTCAAATAAAGCCTTCTTCCCTAGCAATACTCATTGTCTCAGTGATTGGTTTTCTATGTGGTGAGCAGCAGGACTCACACCAAACCCCTGGTGTTTCAGTAACAAAATGAAGATACATATGCATGTGACTTTTAGATAGAATGATTTATTTTCCTTTGGGTATATGTCTAGGAGTGCAACTGCTGAGTGAATGGTTGCTCTGTTTTAAGATTTTTTGAGAAATCACCAAGCTGCATTCTACAGTGACTGAACTAATTTACATTCCCACTAGCAGTGTATAAGTGTTCCTTTTTCTCTGTAGCCTCACAAACATCTGTTATTTTTTGACTTTTCATTCTGACTGGTGTGAGATGTTATCTCATCATGGTTTTGATTTCCATTTCTCTAATGAGTAGCTGAGTATTTTTTCATGTATTTGTTGGCTGTGTGTATGTCTTCTTTTGAGAAATGTCTGTTCATATCCTTTGTCCATTTTAGATTGAATCTGTACATTGCTTTGGGCAGTGTTGCAATTTGAATGATATTGATTATTTCAATCCATGAGCATGGAATGTTTTTCCATTTGTTTGTGTCATCTTTGGTTTCTTTCAGCAGTGTTTTTTAGTTCTTGCAGAGATCTTTCACTTCCTTGGTCAGCTGTATCCCTAGAAATTTCATTCTTTTTGTTGCTATTGTAAATGGGATTGCATTATTGATTTGGCTCTCAGCTTGAACACTATTGGTGTATAGAAATGCTACTAACTTTT
The DNA here is from genome assembly GCF_000001405.40 of Homo sapiens. NCBI lineage: Eukaryota > Metazoa > Chordata > Mammalia > Primates > Hominidae > Homo > Homo sapiens. The sequence goes on along the minus strand of NC_000004.12, from coordinate 106,830,666 downwards.
GTACATTGATTTTGTACCCTGAAAGTTTACTAAAATTGTTTGTCAGTTCTAAGAAGTTTTTGATGGAGTATATAGGGTTTTCTAGGTATAGAATTATATCATCTGTGAAGAGAGATAGTTTGACTTCCTCTTTTCCTATTTGAATGCATTTTATTTCTCTTGCCTGACTGCTCTGGCCAGAACTTCCAGCACTAGGTTAAGTAGGAGTGGTTAGAGAGGAAATTCTTGTCTTCTAGTTCTCAACGGAAATGCTTCCAGCTTTTGCCAATTCAGTATGATGTTGGATGTGGATTTGTCATAAACGGCTTTTATTATTTTGAGGTATGTTCCTTCAAAGCCTAATTTGTTCATGGTTTTTATAATGAAGGGAAGTTGAATTTTATTGAAAGCTTTTTCTGTATCTATTGAGATAATCATGTGGGGTTTTGTTGTATTGTGTTTATGTAGTGAATCACATTTTTTTTGCATATGTTGAACCAACCTTGCACCCCAGGAATAAAGCCTACTTGATTGTGGTTGATTAACTTTTTGATGTTCTACTGGATTCAGTTTGTTATTATTTTGTTGAGGATTTTTGCATCTATGTTCATTAGGGAAATTGGCCTGTAGATTTCTTTTTTCAGTGTATCTTTGCCAGGTTTTCATATCAGAATTATGCTGACTCCATAGAATGCATCAGGGAGGAGTCCCTCCTTGTTGACTTTTTGGCATAGTTTCAGCAGAATTGGTACGAGCTCTTCTTTATGTCTGTTAACACTCAGCTATGAATCCACCTGGTCCAGGGCTCTTTTTTTGGTTGCTAGGTTTTTTATTACTGATTCAATTTCAGAATTCATTATTGGTGTGCTCAGGATTTCAGTTTATTCCTGACTCACTCTTGGGAGGTTCTGTGTTACCAGGAATTGATCTATTTCCTCTAGATTTTCTAGTTTGTGTGCATAGAGGTGTTTGTAATAATTGCTAAGTGTTTTTTGTAAGGTTTGTGGTAATGTCCCCTTTGTCATTTTTGATTATGCTTATTTGGATATTCTATTTTTTTCTTTATTAATGTAGTTAATAGTCTACCGATCTTGTTTAATCTTTTGAAGAACTGACCTCTAGTTTCACTGATCTTTTGTATAGATTTTTGCATCTGAATTTCATTCAGTTCAGCTCTGGTTTTGGTTATTTATTTTCTCCTACTAGCCTGGAGTTGGTTTGCTCTTGTTTTTCAAGTTCCTTTAGATACAATGCTAGGTTGTTAATTTGAGATCTTGCTAACTTCTTGATGTTAGAAATTCTGTGATATAAACTTTCCTCTTTACACCGTTTTTGCTGTGTCCCAGAGATTCAGGCATATTGTGTCTCTGTTTTCACTAGTTTCAAGGAATTTGTTTATTTCTGCCTTAATTTTCTTCTTTATCCAAAAGTCTTTCAGGAGGAGAAAGTTGTTTAATTTCCATGTAATTATATGGTTTTGAGACATCTTCTTGATATTGATCTCTATTTTTATTGTGTTGTGTTCCAAGAGTGTGGGTGGTATGATTTCAATTATTTTGAATTTGTTGTGACTTGCCTTATAAATGAGCATGTGGTTGATCTTGGAGTATATGCCATCTGGAGATGAGAAGAATACATATTCTGTTGTTGTTGAGTAGGATATTCTGTTGATGTCTTTTGAACTGTGATGAAGTCAATTTATAAATATTTTTCATTCATGGCTTTAGTTGTTGTGTGCTAAGAAATATTTACCTAATACAATGCCACAGAGTTTTTTTTAATCCCCCAGAAGTACTACAGTTTTAAGTTTTACATACAGTCTATCACCAACTTTATGTTATTATATAGATTATAAGAGTTAAGATTATTTTTTGCATATGGAATCCCAATAGTTCCAGTACCATTCGTTGAAAATATTTTTTTCTTTCCATTGAAATTATTTGGCAACTTTGCTGAAAACAAATTGAGCATACATGTGTGGATGTATTTATATGCTCCCTCTTCTGTTCCATTCATCCATGTAACTATCCTTATACTATGCCATATATTTATCACTGTTACTTTATAGTAAGACTTGAAATCAGGTACTATGAGTCTTACAGTATTCTCTTATTCAAAATTGTTTTGTGTCTTTTAATTCCTTCACTTTCCCAAGTAATATATAGCCATTCAACTTGAAAGAAAAAGTCTAGTAGGATTTTTATTGTGATTAAATTCTTAGATCAATTTAGGGAGAATTGACACAATATTCAGTCCATTAACATAGTATAATTTTGAACACATTCAGGCCTTTTCAAATTTTTGTCATCGATGTTGTTTATTTTTCCGTGTTCAAATCTTAGTTCCTTTTGATATATCCCTTTTTTCACACTTTCTGATGCTATTGTAAAGGGTATTTTATTGTTAATTTTCAGTTGTTTATGTCTAGTATGTAGAAATTCTATTTTTTTGTAAACTGACCTCATATCCTATATTACTGCTAAGCTTATTATTTCTCATAGTTTTTTGCAGATTTTTAGACATTTTCTAAAGAGCTCCCTCTTTTGATAATGGCTAATTTTAAAGTTTGTTGTTGAATATCCAAATATTTGGTAATTTTCTAGGTAACTTTTTATTGTTGATTTCTAGGTTATTTCTCTTTGGATCTAAGAGTACACTTTGTATGATTTCTAAAAATTTGTTGAAATCTCCTTTATAGCCCAAATCTCTTCTATGTTGTTAAATTCTTAGTGTGCACTTGAAAAGAACATTGCTACTGGTTGAAGGAGGGAGGAATGTCTTATAAATATTGTTTAGGTCAAGTTGTTTGATAATTCTGTCCAAGTTTTTGATAGCATTATTGACTTACTGGGTTTCTGTTTACTGAATAATCACTGAAAGAAGATTGTTATAACTGGATTTTCTATATCTGGATTTTCTATATTACCAAATTCCATTTTATTAGGTTTTATTATATGTATTTTGAGATTTAATTTTTGGTTGAATACACATTTAGAATTGTTTCGTTTTCTTGGTGAATTGAAACCTTTGTTATTATATAATGCCTCTCTTTATGCCTGTTTAAAAAGTATTTTTAATTGTTGCTATTAATTCTCATTTGGTTTCTGTAGTTTATTGTTTCTCATTATTTTTTGGAAATTTTTGGCCATTTCTCTTCACATATTTCTACTATCCTGTTCACTCTCTTTGTCTTCTTCTGGGTTTCCATTTTAATGTATCACAAATCTTTTGATTTCTTTACAACTCTGTGAGGTTCTGGGTTTTTTTTTTTTTTTACTCTTTGCCTTTCAGATTAGATAATTTCCATCGATGTATCTCTCAGTTTACTGATATTTAATTTAAAAATTTCTAGTATTGTGATAATTCTATTGAATAAATTTTTGATATCTGATACTGTGTTATATATTCCTATAATTCTATTTAACTATTTTTATAGTATCCATCTCCCTATGGAAATTCCTCATGAAAATCTATCTGTTCATGCATGCTGTTCACCTTTCTAACTAGATCCTTTAATGTATTAGATGTAATTATTTTAGAATCTTTGTTAGCTAGTTCTAACATCTGAACCACTTCTGAGTCTGGAAATATTGACTGCTTTATCAGTTGAAATGTTTGTATTTTTTAAACCTCTCTTTTATGTGATTCATAATTTTTAATTGAATGCTTGGCATTGTATTAAAAAATTAGAGACTGAAGTAAATAGCATTATTTATGAAAACGGATAATCTTCTGTCAGGGTTTTAGTGTGGGAGTATGAGTCAATTTATCAATAGTTGAGAAGTGTTTAGGTTTTTTTTTTCCTCTCTTTGCTTTTGGTGCAAAATAAGCTTTATATTTTTCAGTGGGGGGTTGTTGATACCATGTGCTTAGTGTCGAGTCAGGGTTTGGAAGCATTTTTCTCAGTGTTCTTGCTCTCCCATAAGGTAAGCAGTCCCTGCATGCCTGAGCCTTAAAAAAGATCTTTCTCTATGTTCTTATCCCTTCCATACTGTTGTAATGCAATTACTTTTTATCCTGTGTTTGGCTTAGGATGGAGCATAGGAGTAGTGTTTCTGTTTGCTTGGTACAACATTGGTTTTGGGCAATTCCTCTGTGCTTAGGCCTCATTGGTGGATCTCTTAATTTCCCTGACCCTCTTTCTCAACCTGGGGCAAACATACTTTGCTTTATGTCTATGGTGGCTCTTGGTCAGGATAATTTTTCTTCTCTACCCCAACTGTTGCTTTGTGCCCATGCAAGATCCTGAGCTCAGTAAGTTTTACTACACTTCCCCAAATGCAGTGCATCTTTGTCTAGGTGCTAGTAGCAGGAAGGTTTGCTGAGACTCCCCCGAGAACTTAAAACTTTGTTTCATATGAGAAAGGTTACAGGAAAGTGAAAAGTTTTTGATGTCTGTCTTCTAGTAGAAGTCAATCACTACCTGCATACCTTTGATACTATGGGACTATATCTCTCCAGACTCCTTATCCTCTCCAGCCTTTCTCAGAAGAATCCAGTAGAGGTCTGTAAAAAAGTTTCTTGTGTTGAGGGCTCCAAGTTTTTCTAAACTGACATGCTGCATCACAGCAGGCCTTTAAGAAATTTTAAAATTTTAGCTGCTTTCTTTTTATCCACTCTTTTGGTAGTTACCTCTTCCTGAGCTCTGTTTGTGTGCCTTATGTACCTAAGTGTGTAGGGCTTTGTCACTGTTTGAAATTCAGTTCTCATATGTGTATGTGTGTTTAATGAATTCAGTGCTTTAAGAAAAAAAATCAGATTATCTGAAATTTTTTTTGATTTTTAGGGTGGAAGTAATATTTTTTCTCACATCTTTGCTATGTGAAAATGAAACAAAATTAATTTTTATAGATAATTTAAGGTAAAAATTATATTTTAATTTATTCTCTGTAAAGAATCAATTATCTCTGAATCGTTAGTTCAACAAATTTTCTATTTCATATTTTTCTCGTTTGCTTTACTTTGAAGTGTTTGAAATCTTCAAACCATGTAATTAATTTATTTGTTCTTGATTCTGATGTAATTACATTGTGGTCAGAGAACATGGAATGAATACCATTTCTTTGAAATTTGGCGAAACTGCCTTGATGGGATAGTATGTTTTTATTATTTGAAATAGTCTATGTATGCTTAAAAATAAGTACTTTCTCCAGTTGTTGAGTTTATTATTCTACATATGTACTTCAGAAAAAGCTTAACAACTAGGTTGTTCGCATCTTCCACATGCATATCTTATGTCTGCTCAGTCTATCAATACTACAGTATGTATATTACAGTTTCCCACCATAATAGTAGATTTAACAATTGCTACTTGTATTTTTGTCACTTTTTCCTTTATATGTACCTGTTTTACGTGTTAAATGGTGTATACACATTTAAAATTGCAATAGATATTTATCAATAGAAATAGTACTCACGTACAGAGATCTCACATTTTTATCTTTAATGCTTTTGTTTCGCCTTAATATTTACATTGTCTGTAACTCATATTGCTACTCTAGGCTACATTTATCTGTTTTTTTGAGTAGTTTAAGTTCTTATATCCTATTATTATCATACTTTTTGTGCCTTATGTTTTAATTTTTTTATAAATACATATTTTGTAAATTTTTATTTGTATATACCTGGCAATCCTTATCCATAAACTTGAGTGTTTAGTCTATGTGTTTCCATTACAGTTTATTTTATGTATATAGTCTTGCTTTATGCTTCCCACTTATCCCAATTTTTCTCTTTCTTTATTAATGCATATTTTTCTCTTCTATTTAATGCTGTATTTTAATAATATTTTAACTTTATTTTTAATAAATCATATCAATTAGAAATTATGGGGTTCTTTACTGTTAATATTTGTTTTATCATATCTGCATATTTGCCAATATCTTTACTTTTGATCTTTCTTGAATATCAGAACTTCCATTTAGGGATTTTTTTCTTTGCATGAAGTAGCCACTTTAGAATTTCCATAAATGAATGGTTACTGGTGATAAACACTCTGTTTTTCTCTGTCTGAAAATATTTTTATTTTGTCCTCATATTTGAAATATAATTATTCTATATTTCTATGCTGACAGTTATTTTCCCTGAGCACATTGAAGACTATTCCATTGTCTTGTGCTTCCAACACAGATATTTGGATAATTGCCTCCTTTTTGGTAGGTAATATGTTTTGCCTTCTTATTTTCTTTTAAAATGTCCCCTTTGCTTTTGGTGATTCCGTTCCATTAATCTGAATCTAGTTGTGGTAGGCCAAATAATGCCTCCCTCAAGATGTCTACACCATAATCTCCAAAACCTGTGGACACACTATTTAGTTGCTAAATAGAAATGAGAAAAGGAAAATAAAAGGAAAGCCTTAAAAATAATCTAGTCCTTTCTTCCACACAGGGACTTATGTCCCAAGAATCAGGTTTCTTCCAGTAACTAATTTACTATCAGAAAAAATAGAGATAGTGGGGCGGATGTCTAATTTTAAAAGGTTACGAGCCTGTGTCTCAATATGTACCAGTGATGTCTCTGTTCTCTGTTACCTCATATATTGGTACTGGTAGAGTGGGGTGCTGCTGTAAAGATACCTGAAAATGTGGAAGAGACTTTGGACTGGGTAACATGCAGAAGTTGGAATAGTTTGGAGGGCTCAGAAGAAGACAGGAAAATGTGAGAAAGTCTAGAACTTCTTAGAGACTTGTTGAATGGCTTTGACCAAAATGCTGATAGTGATACAGACAACAAAGTTCAGGCTGAGGTGGTCTCGGATGGAGATAAGGAACTTGTTGGGAACTGGAGTAAAGGTCAGCCTTGGTATGCAAAAACACTGGTGGCATTTCACCCCTGCCCTAGAGATCTGTGGAACTTTGAACTTCAGAGAGATGATTTAGGGTGTCTGGCAGAAAAAAAATTCTAAGCAACAAAGCATTAAAGAGAAAAAAGAGCATAAAAGTTTGAAAAAATTGCAGCTTGACCATGCAGTAGCAAAAAAAATAAAACCATTTTTCTGGGTAGAAATTCTTGCCAGCAGCAGAAATTTGTATAAGTAACAAGGAGCCAAATGTTAATCAACAAGACAATGAGGAAAATGTCTCCAGGGCGTGTCAGAGACCTTCAAAGCAGCCTCTCCCATTACAGGCCCAGAGCCCTAGGAGGGAAAAATGGTTTCCTGGGCTGGGTCCAGGGCCTTCCTGCTGTGTATAGCCTTGGGACTTGGTACCCTGCCTTGCAGCCACTCCAGCCATGGCAAAAAAAGACCAACATACAGCTTGGCCGTAGCTTGAGAGGGTGCAAGCTTAAAAGCTTGGCAGCTTCCATGTGGTGTTGGTCCTGTGGGTACACAGGGGATAAGAACTGAGGTTTGGTAACACCACCTGGATTCCAGAGGATGTATGGAAATGCCTGGATGTCCAGGCAGAGGTGTGCTGTAGGGCTGGAGCCCTCATGGAGAACTTCTACTAGGGCAGTGCAGAAAGGTAATGTGGGGTTGGAACTCCCACAGAGAGTCCCCACTGGGGCACTGCATAGTAGAGCTGTGAGAAGAGGGACACCATCCTCCAGACCCCAGAATGGTAGATCCACTGACAGTTTGCTCCCTGCCTGTGAAAGCAGCCAGGCTGGAGAGGGGTGGACACCTAAGCCATACCCTGTGAAACCACAGGGCTGGAGTTTCCCAAGGCTGTGGGAGAAACCTCTTGCATCAGTGTGCCCTGGATATGAGACATGAAGTCAAAGGAAATAATTTTGGAACTTTAAGATTTAATGACTGCCCTATTGGATTTCAGACTTGCTGAGTCTTCTGGCCTTCAATTTACTCCTGTGCTGGATGCTTCCTGCCATTGTATATCACATTCGAAGTTCTTCGGCTTTTGGACTCTTGGACTTACACCAGTAGTTTGCCAGGGGCTTTTGGGCCTCTGGCCACAGACTTAAGTCTGCACTGTCGGCTTCCCTACTTCTGAGGTTTTGGGACTCTGACTGATCCACCACTGGCTTCCTTGCTGTTAAACTTGTAGACAACCTGTCATTGGACTTTACCTTGTGATTGTGTGAGTCAATTATCCTTAATAAACACCCTTTCATATATACATATATCCTATTAGTTTTGTCCCTTTAGAGAACCCTGACTAATACACTTCACTTTAAAATGATTTCAATCACCATGCATATTATATTAATAGGACACAACTAGGGTTTCCTGAAAAATGTGAGAGGACTTTTCAGAGCTCTCACATCTATAATGAACACAATGAAATATATTGTTGGGGTTTCTGCAAAATAGGTACAAATAATTGATCTGGTAGCAATTGCCTGAAAGATTATTTTAATTGAGTGTGTTTTGCTGTTGTCTCATGTCTCAATATCTGCCTATTATCTGCAATATTGAAACTGTATGGCATGATATGACAGGCAGGAAAGCTGCATATGTCTTTTTTGCCCTTGCTACTTCTCATGCTCATATCCAGCACTGTCTCTTTGTATCTATTTCCTCTTCTGAAAGTTTCCCTTTCCTGCCCCATCCTCAGGTACAGTCCCCAGAGAGCAACTCTTATTCTTCTATGTCTCCCCAACCAGATACTCACAGGCATTACTCTTTCTGTTTAGTTACTAGGCACCAATTTTCCATTTTTATTATTGGAAATTCATTATACTATACAAGATTTAAATTGTTCTCTGCTTGAATTTTATGTGCAAATTTTTCCAAATTTGCCACATAATGCCAGCCTTGCATATACAGAAACAGGTATTTATATATTTAGATTGAGAGGAGATAGAATCAAACTACTCTTAAGTTTAACTTCATTAAATGATTAAAATGAAGGGTCATTAACCATTGGTAAATACAGATTGGATTAAGAAATAAATTATAAAGTTATTATATAGTTGATACTCTATTGATTACTAAATATCATAACACTATATAAAATATAATTGAATAAAACAAGCATTTGTTCTTTTCTGATTATAACATTAATGTACAATTATTTGAAATATATTTCCCTAAAGTATAGTAAAATTAATATTAAAACTCCAGAATTATATGCTGCTTTTCCAAAAATTTCAAAACATTTACATACAAATTAAATTATTTACAGAAAAACATCCAGGGCACACTGATGCAAGAAGTAGTCTCCCACGGCCCTAGGCAGCTCCAGCCCTGTGACTTTGTAGGGTTCATCTCACACCCCCATCTCCCCTCCATCCTGGCTGCCTTCACAGGCTGGTGTTGAGTGTCTGTGGCTTTTCCAGGTGCATGGTGCAAACTGTCAGTGGATCTACCATTCTGGGGTCTGTAGGATGGTGGCACTCTTCTCACAGCTCTGCTAGGCAGTGCCTCAGTGAGGACTCTGTGTAGGAGTGTCAACCCCACATTGCCCTTATGCACTGCCTTAGCAGAAATTCTCTATGAGGGCTTTGTCCCTATAGCACACCTCTGCCTGGACATCCAGGCATTTCCATACAGCCTCTGAAATGCAGTGTTCATGAATTTGCAAAATAATTTTGAAAAAGAACAAAGCAGAAGATTCACACTTCCCAATTTCAAAACTTACTACAAAACTATGTTGATCAAAACAGTATTGTACTGGCACAATGATAAACTTATACACCCATGGAATACAATTTAGAGAGCATAAATAAGCCCAGATATCTATGGCAAACTGCTTTTTAACAAGAATGGCAGGATCATTCAATGGGAGAAAAATGGCCTATTCAACAATTAGTACTGGGACAACTGGATAGCTACCTGTAAAAGAATAAAGGTGGACCTCTCCCTCACTCTGTAAACAAAAATTAATTCAAAATGTATCAAATACCTAAATATAAGAATGAAAACAATAAAACTCTAACAACAAAATAAAACAAGAAAACACAGGGGTAAATCTTCAAGACCTGCAATTTGGTAATGGGTCTGTAGATACAATATCGAAAGCATGAACAACACAAGAAAAAATTAGACGAATTGGATTTTAGCAAAATCAAAAACTTTTAAGTGTCAAAGACATTATTAAGAAAGTGAAAGGACAACATATAAAACAAGAGAAAATGTTTGCAAATTATGTATATGATAAGGATCTAGTCCATGAATAAATAAAACCTCCTACAACTCAACAATAAAAGGAAAGCAACCCAAGTACTGGAATAGACGTTTTCTCAAGGAAGATAAAAAGGTAGGCATAGAAAAAGATGCTTTACATTATTTGCTATCAGAGAAATGCAAATTAAAACCACAGTGAGATACCATTTCACACCCACTGGGATGTCTATAATTAAAAAGACATACAAGTGTTAATCAGGATGCAGAAAAACTAGAAGCCTCATATTTTGCTGGTGGGAATGTAAAATGATGAAACATGCTGTGAATAAGTTTGGTAGTTTCTTAAAAAGTTAAACATAGAATGACCATATGACCCAGCAATTCTACTCCTAGAGAAAATCCCAAAAGAATTGAAAACAGGTACTCAAACAAATACTCACATGAATGTTCATAGTAGCACCATTCACAATACTAAAAGTAAAAACAACCAACCAGACAGATAAAAAAATTGTGGTGTATTCCTAAAACAGAACAATTTTATATCATAAAAAAGAATGAAGTGATAATACATGCTACAAGGTGGATGAATCTAAAAAACATTATGCTATGCCAAACCAGACACAAAATGTCACATGTTTCATGATTCCACCTATATGAAACATCTGGAATAGATACATCCACGGAAGCAATGAGCAAACTGGTGTTTGCCAGGAACTGAGAGAAGGATGAACGGCAAGTAACATTTTACTGGGTATGGGGTTTTATTTTTGCGTGATACAAGTGTTTTGGAACTAGGTGGAGGAGGTACTGGTATACAACACTATGAATATACTAAATACCACTGAACTGTTAACTTTAAAATACTTAATTTTATGACTTAACACCTTCACCCTGTTAGGAACTGGAATTTCTGTCTCTCTAAATTTCATATGTTGAAGCCCTAACCCCAATGTGATGGAATTAGGAGGTGAGGCCTTTAGAGTTAAGTAGGTTTAAATGAGGTCCGAGGGTGGAGGCCCCTTGATGGGATTAGTTCCCTTACAAGAAGAAGAGGCACAAAGCCTCCTCCCTCCACCAACTGAGGACACCAAGGTACAGTGGCTGTTTGCAAGCCTGGAAGAGAGCCCACACCAGAATCCAACGATGCTGATGATCTGGTGTCAGATTTCTAACCTCCAAAATAGTAAGAAATATATTTTCTGTAGTTTAAACCACCCAGTCAATGATATTTTGTTACAGTAGCCAGAGCTAATAAAGATATATCTCAATTAGAAAATAATTTAAAAATTATGAATCTGTCTATAGAATAATTTGCATTTCAAAACTAATTTGATCACTTTTGCAGCCATTAATTTGATATTTCTATTTCATTTAAATCTAATGTGAGAGGATAAAGAGATGAGCATATTTTAATATTTTTTTCTTGTTTGCTTGCTTTGTGAGAAATTTTCTTATGAATTTGGATTGATCTAATTTGAATAGAGGATTTACTTAGAATAACACATTTTGGTAGAAATGTAATTTACTTGAATTATACTTAGTGGGTTAAAATTATTTTTAAAAGTTCATCTTTTTGTTACTGAATTGTCTAAAAATATAATATTTATTTAATCCTTAGAAAATCTTATGAGGAAAATGCTGTATGATTTTTTGAACTGAAAATATTGCCCACCAGAGGGCTCTCAGTTTTCTTCTATTGTGCATTTTGGAAAAATGAAAGTTATATTTTAATAATCATAGCTTCTATTATTGAGCAAATCAAATATATTTTGTGAGTATATATATGCAGCAGCTTCCTGAACAGTAATTTAATTACAATTCAATACATTTAAATAAGTGTAGTGAACACATTAAGTAATTAAGTACATTTAGATAAGCTTGTCGTAATTGAGGTACAAATAAAACATACTTTAGATGTACACACTCAGTGTTTTCTGCATTTCTTTATAAAACTCTCTGTGAAAAGGAATTTGTAATGTGAACTGTTATGATTTATCAAGCAGAAAATAAAACAAATTCTGCCTTTGGAAAGTCATAGAGATCAACCTCCAATGTATAGTTAAGTTTAAGTATTAATCTCCATTGAGATGGAAAGAACTATTCCAATCTGGATCTGAAAATTGATAAACTGAATTTATGTGTAAAAAATAATTTTAATGCACTGATACTATGTCTTCAGGATATATGAGTAATTAAGATACAGATACTTTTCTTGAGAAGCTCAAACTATAATAAGAAATAAGCCCATGGATAAATTATCATATCATTTAATGGCAATAAGAAGTATGTCCAATCAAAACATTGTATCACTAAATCTCAGGGAGAAGTGAAGACTGGGAATGTAGTATATTTTGAAAAGGTATCTCCAGGCATTCTCATCCCTCTCACATTCCACTGTTGAGAACCAACGTGCTAAGTGAAGATTGTGAAGGGAGTTAGTTATAGTTAGTTAACCGTACCTAGGCTATCAGGGAAGTTTCCTGAACCTGAAATTAAAGAGTGTATTAGATAGATAAAGGGTGGAAGGGGCAATCCAAGTAAGGGGAAGAAATTAATCAAAGCCACAGAGCTAAGAAATTGATAAGAAAAAAAAATAGGCAAAGGAAAAAACATCTGATATTTTTACAGATCAGCACATGATTCAAGTGTCTGGGGAAATGCTTTGGCCATGTAAATGGTGAAAGATGCCGCCACTGGAGAGTTTGGGATCACACCTTCCAAAGCCCTGAACGCATGCGAAAGAGTTTGACTTTACCTTAAAAGTAGGAAGTTTAGAGTCAGAAATCATCTTTAATCAGGAGAATGGCTTGAACAGATCGTTAATTAAACAGCTAAGTTTGAGGGACCTGGAGAGTAAATTAATGGTATGAAAAAGCAGAAGCAATAAAATGTGAGACATAGAATCTGATTAAGAAGCAATTACAACTGTTGAAAAAATTAAGAAACTTTAGAAGACCTGGACCAGTGTGGATAATGAAAAAGAGACTGAGGAAAAGACATTAACATCATTAAAGAAACATTTTACCAAGCTTTAAGCTAAGCATATAACTTTATCTGCTCAATGACCTTGAGCTTGCTAGAGGTTATCCAACTCATTCCAGAACTGTCTGTAGTTCTGTGGGGTAAACCAGAGAAATGACCAATCCCTAACAATACTTTTTTATTCTCACCTCTACTAATCAAATGATATTCTACTTTGTTCAGGGAAAATTTCCTTTCTTTATCCTGTTAAGTGATATGGTGAGGTGAGACCTATAAAAGGGCAGGACGATGTCCCATTAGAATGGAGAACGAACTTCTAAGCAGAAAAGAAACTGGTATAAAATAATGGTGACAGATTTAACAAATCAGGCTAATTCATTAAGCCTCATCCTAGGATTATGGTAAATTTGTTAGCTAATATTATTGTGAATTCACTATATGCCATGCACTACTCTAAGCATTTTACATGTACTAATTTATTAAAACTTCACAATAATTTTATTGGGGAAAAGTTTATTGTTATGCCCATTGTGCAGATTAAATAGTGAGGCAATGATTGATTAAGTAACTTGCCAAGCATACTCAGCCAATGATCACAAAACCATTAGCTGAATCTAGGCAGGGTATATCTTTTGAATACTACTCTATCCTACCTCATCAACTAGCAGGAGGTCAGATATGACAGAGTTAATTGCGGGCTAAAGAAAATCTTGGCCTCCATCTACCAGGCTTCCTGGTAAACATGCTAATGTTAGATTTTTTGGAGTTCTTATCTAAAAGATGATTTAAGCAGGTGTGCTTGGTCTGTCTATACTGATTATGGTAAATAAATCTTAAACTTATATAATTATATAATTATGGGAATATAGCTGGCTGGAGAATGGAATGAGTCTTATGCTATCATTGCCCAGGAATGACTACCCACATTATAAAAACTAAGCAGCTTAAAATCTGAATGACTTGCTCTGAGTTGACATACATACCACGCATTGTTAGTGCTTGCTTGCTACTCTCAGTATGCAAAGGGGATGATTAGGATGCTGTTTTGAAGGCTAAAGCCCCTTAAGAAAGAAATATGCATGTGTGTCTGCTTCATGCTTGTGTCTTTTGAATCATTAGTAATTTGGTATTGGGTAAGACCTATGATTTGTATGAGTTTGTTTTGACAATCTTACCTTTTTTGTAACTCAAGAAGAGCACTCTGGTGGGTGTTTGGCTTTGAGCAGCTAGAGCCTTGCCCTAAGTTAACCTATTTTTTATACAGAATTCAATGTAACACCTACTTATACTTACACACATACCTGCAGTATCAACAATTCCTAAGCTTCCTTCTAAGAGTCATAAGTCCAGTTCAGGTCTTTAGTTTGGCAGAATGGGAAATACAAATTTTGGCAGGTACAAATTATTTGTTTTAAAAAAGCCAATGTTATTGTTTATTTATCTTCACTATTAACTTGTTTACTTTTCATAGTCACCTTATAAGATTAGTAACCTTATTATTGCTGTTTTATAAGTGGAAAAACTTAACATCTGCATCCCAATTATTGTGCTCCGTCTGGCCAGTGCTTCCTTCCTGCAGAGGGGCGAGGAAGCTGGTGCAAGGAGTGGGAAGAAGCAGTCACCCCTTCCCTCAGAGGTAATGCTGGTGTCTCCCTCAGATTCTATCTCCTGTTTAGTCAACCCATATGGTTGTATTAGTCTGCTGGGGCTACTATCACAGAATACTGCAGACTGTGTGGCTTAAGATCTATTTATCAGAATTCTAGAGACTAGAAGCCTAACACTGAGGTCCAGCAGGTTTTGGTTGGTAGATGGACAGATGGACATCTTTTCACTGTGTCCTCTAATGACCTCTTCCCTGCATGTGGAGCCAGAGAAAGCTCCCTGGTGTCTCTTCTTATGAGGACCCTCATCCTATCGGATTAGACCTGCCCTTATAACCTCATGTAACCCCAAGTATCTCCTTAAAAGCTCTCTCTTCAAACATAGTCACATTGGGGGTTAGAGCTTTGACATAAACCTTTTGGGAGGATATGATTCTGTCTGTAACAGTGGTTCCTTTATCTTTCTGTCCATCCACTCTTCCTTTTCCAATTGCCTCAAACCTTTTGAAAACCTCTATCTTCTTTGCCTTGATTTCAGCCTCATGGTCCTCACAGAGGTGAGAAATAATTTTGCCACTCTTCCTGCTGAGAACAGAGGAATCAGACTTGCTTCTGACTGAGCTCCCTGCCGTCTCGCCTTCTCTCTCTGCCTCCCCGGTATATTTTTCACATGGCCACCATTATTTTCCTAAAAATGAATTGGATGCTCTCAATTAGCTAGACAACAATATCAAAATTCTTAAGCATGGTTTCACAGTCTTGCCCAATCCACTTTCCTTGCCTCATCAGCCTGTGTTTCAGTCTAGATTTAACACTACTGGCTGATCTGTCGCTTCCTGCCATTCAGTGCTTTGCACCTGCCTCTGCCATGACACTTAGATCCTTCCCTTTTGTATGCTACTAGTTGTATATATCACTTTTATAAGATTATAAACCTCAATAGGTCAAATCAGTATTTATTTATCCCTGTGTACTTATCTTGACAGGGGTGTGTAGAGTCTCAATCTTAAATTTTAAATTATATGATTACTTATTTAATAAGTATTTATTTGATGCCTATTATATACCAAATATTCTGCTTCAAGCTGAAAGCTAAAAAAAGAAAAATTCTATTAAACTGTTTTTCAGTAGGAAATGGTCTTTTAGTTTAGGCAACAACTTACAGGGTAGAAACAAATATTCAAAGGTTTTGGAATCCCTAGTTGAGGTTTCAAAGAATGCTATTAGTTCTCTTTTGTATCCATTAGGATTAGGCTTAGCTGAATGTAACTACATCATAATAGAGTAGTTTACAGTACCTTCCTCATACACAAGAAAAATAAGTCCAGAAGTAAAAAGGTCAGAGCACGGATGCAAGGGAGGGGTCCAAGAGTGTCAGAGACCCACATCACTTAGATGTTACCCTGCTTCCATGGTGCTCCAGCCGCCACATCTGCTTTCCTTGCTGTCAAGCATCTGTCTTGCAAAACAAAATGTCCATTTAAATCTCACTGGCCAGCATAATCATATGGCCAGACCTACATGTAGAGTAAGTATGAGAAATATAATCTTTTAGCCAAACACATTGCCACGCTGAATAAAATCAGATGCTTTATTAAAAGAGAAAGAATGAATGGATATGTGGGTGTTGTTTTTGTTTGTTTGTTTTTTTGTTTGTTTGTTTTTGAGATGGAGTCTCACTCTGTAGCCCAGGCTGGAGTGCAGTGGCGGGATCTCGGCTTACTGCACGCTCTGCCTCCTGGGTTCAAGCAATTCTTGTGCCTCAGCCTCCCAAGTAGCTGGGACTACAGGCAAGTGCCACCATGCCCAGCCAATATTCAGGTTTTGATAGAAGTACATGTAAAGTTCTTTAACCAAAGTAAGCAAATCTGTAAATCTGAAATGAAATGGGATTGAAAAATGAGTTTTTAGATATAACTGAGCTGAACTTGGAACTGTTTACATTCTATTAAATTGCAGCTTAAATAATCAGTCTGAAAATTAAAAAAAAAACACAAGCAAAAATCATTGTCAGTTAAAATTTGAAGTTTAATTGGCCAGTGGGCCAAATACATAACTCTCTCTTCTTCATCTATTGTCTCCTGTCATCTCCTGACAATTTACTCACCCACATTATTATCCATTTACTTTTATGTCCTAAGGACTATTTTCCCAAGAACTCTCCTACACAGCCCCTTTTCTTGGCATCTATTGCCTCTTATCACCCTTGAAGTGCTTAAATGTATGCCTAAGTAGCTTTCCCAGGCAGAGTTGGGATGAGTAAGATTTATTTGCTGAAAAGCCATGAAATTAATTATTCTCCTCTTTGGGGAAGGACATGAAATAGTCTTCCTAGAAAAATAGCACAGTAAGAGTTATAGGGTTGGTAAAAAGGAACAGAAGAGCAGAGCAAGCAACTGATCGCAAACTCCTACACTGGCAAGTGCTATCTTGAGATAAAAGAACAAAAGACTTCCAAATGGGAAAAATGTAACTGCCATTATAGCCCATTTCATTTTCATTCTGTACTTCCAGAAAAACCAGTGTTGTTTTTCCTAAAAATGTGTCCAGAAAAATATGATAAATATGTATGTACAGTATTGCAATACAAATGATTTGAATGTTATCTAAGAAAAAGTGGGAAATAATAGGCTGCTTTTCGAAAAGCTAAATTCTATGTGATTATAATGAGTGCATTTGGGAGATGATTATCCAAAATAATCCATCCTCTTTGTCTCTTAATGCTAGTGTTTCCACTAAACATGTTCAAAATGAAAAATCAAAATATCTTTTCCTCCTATTGATAATTCTAAACTATATGCAACTAAATTTTCCTCTTAATAGTAGCTCTAATACAAAAAAGTTGAACTAATTTTTAAGACTTTTTACAGAGCACAGAAGATTAAACATGTTTATTTCAACACCTCTTAAAACTGATTTAAATTATAGCAAATAAAAATTTAAAAATATTAAAAATGCATGGTGGATGAGAGGAAATACCAGTAGATGAGAAATGTCACCATATCTTTGGAAGATACAAGGTGAATTGATAAGTGACAACTGACTTTGTAGGTGAAATCCAAATGCCTACAGAGGGAAATATCAACAAGTTCAAGATTGGAGGGATCTGGTATCACAGATAGAAGTAACAGAAGAATAGGAAATGAGCCTATTTAGGAGTAATTAGATCCCAGATACCCTTTCACACTATACTTCTATAACCTTCCTTTACTGCAGCAGAAAATTGAAGATTTACTCCCTGGAGAAATTACATGAGAAAGTCTCTCTGTGCAGAGGTGAATGACAGGCTGGCCAGCCCTAGAAATGGAGAAAGTACCTGGGAATATCCTGTGGACAAGTGGGAGAAAGTTAACACACAACTCACTTCCCTAAAGTTGGTCCTAAGTTTGGGCAGCAGGCCTCATCCCCAGTAGAATTATTTCCAGGAGAGAATGACTAGCTAAAGAGAGAGGACTGTCATTTGCAGAACTGCTCATTAAACAGATGGACTTGGTTTTATTGCCCTATGTGAAGCCAACCAGTTGAGAAAAACCCTTCCACACACATAGTTTCCAATGAGCTTTTTAAGGTCTCCTTCTCAAACATTAAAGGCTAGCCAAGAGCGCCAGGATGATTAAGAAATCCGCCACATAAAAAATGAAAGAAAAACACAATAAAATAGAGGAAAAATTCAAAAGAATACAGAAGGAAAGAGGGATGGGGGGAAATATACATATATATACACAAACGCATATATATATATATATATATGTGTGTGTTTGTATATAGTATTATGCATAATTTTTAAGAATTGTTTCTTTTTCTCTGCACTCTTTGTTTGCATCTTTTCAGATGTCTTCTTCCCTACTTCGCCATGAATATATTAATTATTTTTTAAAGTTTTATTCTCCTTTGTCCAAAAATGGAATTGATAGAGTACCTGATGCATGTGACTACACTGAGAGGGCTTTGGCTGCTCAATAGAAAATTTGAGAAGTATTAGTAGTAGTTACACCGAAAGTTAAGCAAACAAAACAGAAGGTGACTGTTAACTCCAAGAAAAACAAGTTGTAAAGGAAAGGAAACAAAATAATACCACACAGTGTGGCCTAGCTATGAAACTTGCTTACTTAATCACAATGATGTAGACATTGAATATCGATATAATAAGAAATTGTGGTATAATGGAACATTACGAGAAAAGGGTATATGTATGTGTGTACTAAATTTGAATCCACTTTACCAAGCAGAAAGTACATAATAAAAAAATTCAAGGAATAGTATTATAAACATATTATCTAGAAATGTAGAGGCAAATAAAACAAAAAGTTAAACATTTTAAGGTATGGTAAACTTGGGAGAAAGAGGAGTGGGCAAATTGCCGTTTTCTTTCAAGACTTTTGTACTGTTTGGTCTTTTTAAACATATATCTATGTATTAATTTAATATAATAAAGTACTCATTTTAATTTTGCTTCTATTTATCTATTACATGACTTGACTTATCATAGATAATTTTATTTCAGTTGCAAGATCTCCTCCTCGTAAAGTTTCATCCATAAAAATTATTTCCGACCAGAAAATATCAATAATTTCTATTTTTATTAATCACATTTAATATTAAGTACCCCACAGCATCTTTACTAGTTATTGAGCTCACATAAGAGATGAAAAATTGATTTATCATCATTAAATTTGTATTTATTTGATATGTGATTAATAATTAAAGATAAAATTAAACTGCCAGCCACAGTTCTAAGTCCTTTGTATACATTAAGTGCTATGCATATAGTTTACATACATCAATTCGCTTAATATATGAGGCATGCATATCATTTTGGAATAGATTTGGCTGCAAGTGAGAGAAAGCCTAAATAGCAGTGCCTTCAACAAGAGGGCAATTCATTCTCACATATAAGAAACGTGTGGGCCCGGTGTAGTGGTTCATGCCTGTAATCACAGAACTTTGGGAGGCTGAGGCAGTCAGATAGCTTGAGCTCAAGTGTTGAAGACTATCCTGGGCAACAGGGTGACACCCCGTCTCTACAAAAAATACAAAAATTAGCCAGGTGTGGTGGTGCGTGCCTGTAGTCCCAGCTACTTGGGAAGCTGAAAGGGGAGGATGGCTTGAGCCTGGGAGGAGGAGGTTGCAGTGATGAGAAATCACATCGCTGCCCTCCAGCCTGGGTAACAGGGCCAGAACATATTTCAAAAAAAGAAAAAAAAAAAAAAGAAAGAAAAAGGAAATGTCTGGGGTGGGCACAGTGGCTCATGCCTGTAATTCCAGCACTTTGGGAGGCTGAGGCTGGAGTATCACTTGAGGCCAGGAGTTCGAGACCAGCCTGGGGCAACATAGAGAGACCTGATCTCTACAAAAAAAAGAAAAAAAATTAGGCCAGCGTGATGGCATATGCCTGTAGTTCTAGCTACTCTACTCATGAGGCTGTCAGGAGGATCACTTGAGCCCATGAGGTGGAAGTTGCAGTAAGCTATGCTTGCGTCACTGCACTCCAGCCTGGGTGGCAGAGTAAGACTCTGCCTCAAAACAAACAAATAAAAAATAACAAAACAAAACAAAAAAACTAAAAAGACACATAATTACCATTATTAAATCAGCTGATTCTGTCATTTGAAACTGGACACTGTCTCTAAAAAAGAGAAGGAAGAAGAAGGAAGAAGAAGGAGGGGGAGGAGGAGGAGGAAGAAGAGGAGGAGGGAAAGGGAGAGGGGGAGGAGGAAGAGGAGGGGCAGGAAGAAGAAGAAGAAAGAGAAAAGAAGGAGGAGGAGGAAGAAGGGAAGGAAGAGGAGGAAGAAGGGAAGAAGGAGGAGGAGAAGGAGAGAAGAAAGAAGAAAGAAGGAGAAGAAGAGGAGGAAGAGAGTGAGGAGGAGGAGGAGGAGGAAGGGGAGGAAATGTGTCTGAAGATAACAGGGCAAGGGGCTGGTGAAAGGTTCTGCTTCAAAAAGCCTTCAAGAACCCAAGGTCCTCCCAGCTCTTCGCTCTGTCATGCCCAGAGTATGACCCTTATTTTTATGGTTTAAGATGAACACAGACAACCTATGGGCTACAGAATAGAAAAATGGATGAAGAAGAGAAGCAAAAGGTGAACTTCATCTTTTACTTGAGGAAGGCTAACCAAAACTGTCATAGGCCGGTCTAGTTCAGTTTCCTTTGGCTATGTTCAAACTACTCTTGGTAACTTTTTACAAAGAAATAGAACACTTTAGTTCTAAATGTTTCCAATATTTTAAATAATAGTGTACTGTTACTTAAATATATATATTTAATATACAATATATATTTAATGTATTATTATACATGTTAGTGCTCTGATATTTTATTTATTTCTATATTTCTAACTATCAGT
The DNA here is from genome assembly GCF_000001405.40 of Homo sapiens. Lineage (NCBI taxonomy): Eukaryota > Metazoa > Chordata > Mammalia > Primates > Hominidae > Homo > Homo sapiens. The sequence continues at coordinate 106,809,734 of NC_000004.12, read as the reverse complement.
AAGGGTTTTTATGGTTTTTAAAAATATTTTCAAAGGTCATTGAGCAATTGTAATCTCCCTTATTAATTATTAAGACAATCTTGCATGTTCCTACTTACATGGCTATTATGATATGTGAGTACTGATAATCAGAAATTGTGGTATACTGGAATATATATGTATATATGATTTGATATATCATGTGCAATGTGAAGATTGTCTTTACAAGAGTAAATAGGCAATGGCAAATGGCTTGTATAATTGTCTAAGGGTTCTGAAAAGAAAAAGGAGAAAAACTGAATAATGAGAAATGAAGATGTTCAGGACAGAGGCATGTAGTTATGGGAAAAAGAACAAAGTGTGATGATTTTGGTTTTGCAGTTTAATGCGCATTACAGATTATCCCCTACAGAAGTGAATGAAACCATCAAGTTAACAGAATGACTTGACCAGTAGATGTCAGCCAGACTCTATCCTTAGCCACCCTACTGCTCCTACAATGAGATCACGACCTGAGAGTAACCATACTGGCAGAGATGGATGAGTTTTATAGGCCAAAAAGCATGAGCTTTTAGGCCTATTGCATTTAGCTGGACTATTCAATGTCCAATATCTCATCAAGGCATTTAGTCATCCAACTATTTAATGTTCAACCTGCCAGCAAAATAATCCAGTGTTGATCTTCTACTATGGTAACATTCTCTGAGGAAATCGAAGCCACTTATTATTAGCTGTAGATGTTTTATAGATGACCTATATCCACAGAAAGTCCCTTTATTCTTAGTTTTTATAATGAATGGGTGTTAAATTTTGTCCAATGCTTTTTCTTCGTCTATTGTGATTGTATGTGTTTTCTTAGTCTGTGAATATGGTAAAATATATTGATTGGTTTTCAATTGTTAAACCATCCTTGCATCCCAGGAATAAACATCACTTGGTAATGATGCAACTTGTTAATATGTTTAAAATATTTGTGCCACCTATATTTGTGAAGAATATAGGTTTGTGGTTTTCTTTTCTTATGTTGTCTTTGGTTTTGGTGTCAGGATTATGTCAGTCACATTAAATAAGTTGAGAAGTGTTCTCTTTATCCTGCGAATAAGTTTTGTGGTATTTTTTTCTTTAAATGTTTACAAGAATTCAGCAATAATGTCATCTGGGCCTGGAATTTTCTTTGTGGGAAGGATTTCAGTTACAAACTTCTATAGTAGAGACGTATCGAGATTTTTTTTTTCCCTGGGGTCAATTTTGTTAGTCTTTCAAGAAATGTGTCCATTTTATCTAGGTGATCAATTCATTGACATAAAATTTTTTATAACATTATTTTATTACCCTCTTAATGTAGGATCTTAGTGCTGCCCCCTCTTTCCTTTCTAATATTGACAATTTATATCTTTTTTCCTTTTTCTTCATCAGTCTAGCTACAGGGTTAACAATTTTCTTGATAGTCTATCTGTAATATTCATCCATTTTCTGTGTAAGTTATTTCTGATTCTATATTCATTATTTTCTTTTTTCTGCTCACATTGATTTTAATTCTTTTTTAGCTTCTTAAATTGGAAGTTTTGGTAACTAATCATCTTTAATATATGCGGTTAGTTATAAATTTTCCTCTAAGTATTGATTTAACCATATTTCACACATTTTGCTAGACTTGATATATTGTGTTTCATTTTCAGCCAGTTCAAAATATTTTATACTTTCCATAGATTTTTTTTCTCTAATCCATGGTTTATGGAGCAAAATCTGGCTTAATTTTCTAATACATGGTGATTCTTAGATATCTTTCTGTTATTAATTTCTCACAATTCCCTTGTGGTCAGGGAACATGTTCTGTATGATTCAACTCTTTTCAATTTATTAAAACTTGTTAATGGCATAGCTTGGAGCACATTTGATCAATGTTCTACATGTACTTGAGAAAAAGAGTGATGCGCTGTTGTTGAGTGAAGTTTCTATTAATATCAGTTAGATCAGATTGGTAGATAATTTTTTTAAGACTTTTTATTCTTACTTTCTGCTTTAGTCATTCTACAAATTATTGGGAGAGAAATATGAACATAATTGCAGATTTTTTTGTTTCTCCTTCCTGGTGTATCATTTATGCTTCATGCACTGTGAAATTGCTGTTATATGCATAGACACTTAGCATCGTCATGTTCTTGTTTTCTCAATCCACTTGTTAGGAAATATTTCTATCTCTGGTACTATTTCTTTTTATGAAATATGATAGTAATATGGTCCTTTGGTTTTCTTATAATTGTTTCCATGGGATATATTTTTCATCTTTTTAATATATCTTTTAGATTTAAAATGTATCTTCTATAGACAGTGTGTGTTTACGTGTGTGTGTCTGTGTGTGTATGTGTGTGTATATGTGTAAATAGCTGGGCCTTGCTTTTTTATCCAGTTTGACCATCTGGCTTTTTATTGGTGTTTGCCATTTATATTTAATTTAATTACCAATAGAATCGAATTTACATCTGCTATCTAATGCAAAATCACTAAATAAAATAGCTAAAGATTAAGCTATAACAATAAAAATCTGATTGCATCTATCCTAAAAATGTAACATTTAACTAGGAGAATACCTGTAAATGATTTTAAAATCATTTCAATGAGCTGCTTAAGAAAAAAAAGAGCTAAAAAGTTTATAATTTATTTTGAAAAATTACATATGTTTGAAATTTAAAATAACAATAAAATTTATCTCTTTTAAACATACTATTAACCCCACAATTACTGGAAAAAGTATAAAACTATATCCATATAAATTTTAAAAGCATCAACTTTTATGGTTTATAGCTTCTTTATAGTTTCATCATATGAGAAAACAAGAACATGACAATGCTAAGTGTCTACGCATATAACATATTGTAGTTTCATCTGTATCCTTAGACACTATGGTATGTCATTTTGCATAGTTAAAATGTATATGAATGAAATTATACTGCAACAAGATTTTTCATGAATTACACTAATGATATTCATTCATGTTGATTTATGTAGTTATAGAGTATTTATTTTCCTATCTGTATTAATATGACAAAACATATATATCCTTTTTACTGTGTATAGACATTTTGGCTGTTAGTCATTTTTCTATTATAAGTAAATGACTAACTACTACTCATACAAATCCAGGAGATGCTTATCATATAGAATACAATGTGAAGAGTATCTCACTGAAGTTGAATGGTACATGGATTCTTACTAGCAATACTAACAGAAAATTTTTTTTTATATGTATCTCTTGCTGAGTTTGTGCAAAAGTTTTTTCTGGGATATATCTAGAAGTAGAGCTGCTACAATAAACAGTATATGAATTTTCAAGGATACTTTGACATCACTTCACTGTTTGCCAAAGTGGTTACACAAATTTACACTCCCATTAATAGTACTTGAGTTTCCATTACTCTACAATTGGAATGTGTAAAATGGTGAAGTGGTATTAAATTGTGGTTTTAGTTTGCATTTCCTAACTATGAATGAGGTTGTTCATCTTTTACTGTTTATTGCCCATTTGTGTTTCTTCTATTTTTTTGTCCAAGCCTTTGGCTCATTTTGTATTGGCTTGTTTATCTTTTTCCTATTTATGTTTTTATATATTATAGGTTCTATTTATTTATTATATGTGTTGGAAATTACATCTACCTATATGTGGCCCATATTTTCATTATATGGTATCTTTTCATGAACAGATAGTTTAATTTTAATGTATTTTTAAACGTTAATCATCAGCTAGTCTTCTAGAGGTTCTTCTTCTGTGACTTAAGAAACCCATCTGTACCCCAGGGTCCTAAAGAATGTCTTCCTATATTTCTTCTAAAAGTTTAATAGTTGTGCTTCATTAAGTCTTTGATGAATGTGGAATTTATTTTTGTATATGGTGTGAGCTAAGGATCTAATTTTATTATCTCCCATATTACAACCAATTTTTCCATCACTAGCCGTGTCACAAAGGAAGTATTCATATGTGTGTGTGTTTCTTCCTGCTATTGCTGTGTCACCCCATGGTAGAAAGCAAAAGGGCAAGACAGCAAGAGAGAGCAAGAGAATGAGAGAGGACCAAACCCATCCTTTTCTCAGGAAATCCACTTCCAGGATAATAAATGCATTCCCTTGATAGCGGCATTAATCCATCCATGAGAGCAGAGACCTCACAATCTAATCACTTCCTAAAGGTTCCACCTCTCAATTTTGTTGCACTGGGGATTAAGTTTCCAACGCATATACTTAGGGGTGTAGCAGGACGAGTCACAGACAAGAACCCCTCCGACACTGAGTTGTAGAAGGAAGGGCTTTATTCAGCTAGGAGCATTGGCGGACTCAAGTCTCCAAAAACCAAGCTCCCTGAGTGAGCAATTCCTGTCCCTTTTAAGGGCTTACAACTCTAAGGGGTTCCACGTGAGAGAGTTGTGATCGATTGAGCAAGCAGGGGGTATGTGACCATGACCAGGGGCTGCATGTACCAGTAATCAGAATGGAACAGAACAGGAGAGGGATTTTCGTGATGCTTTTCCATACAATGTCTGAAATCTATAGATAACACAAGCAGATAGGTCAGGGGTTGATTTTTAACTACCAGGCCCAGTGCGCAGTGCTGGGCTATCTGCCTGTGGATTTCATTTCTGCCTTTTAGTTTTTACTTGTTTTTTTCTTTGGAGGCAGAAATTGGGCATAAGACAATATGAGGGGTGGTCTCCTCCCTTAGGGGGACACATCCAAACCATAGGAAGTCACTTCCATTTATGTATGTATGTTCTATTCTGTTCCATATGTCATTTTTTTCTATCCCTAGCCCAAAATAAATTATAAGAATATGTTATTGCTAATAAATATGATTTGGAGAATGTGGTATAGGTGTGTAGCAACAAAGGGCTTTTTACAACATAGCAATAAAGGGCTTTTTACAACATAGCAATAAAGGGCTTTTTAGAACTGTATCCCAGAATTGAACTTATCTTTTCTGTCACAGTTCTAAACAAGCACAGGTCTTTCTATATTGGATTGGGGTCTGCCCTTGTAAAACTTATCACGCCAAGTTGCAGAGGAGAATGTCTGGCTCATGTTAGCAGCTTGCTCTCAAAAAGAGGTAAAAGGCAGGAGAATTCCAAATTTCTCTTTTCAAACTTGCTAACTGGAATTCACTTACTTCCATAGGAAGAGTAAATAAGGAGGGTAGAAAGGAATAACGTTGTTATTATAATAGAACTTCTTCCAAATGGCAATTCAGCCTCAGGGAAAGAAATTTCCCACATTTTTTCAGGGTTCCCAGTTCTAATTGCTATATCTGGTTAAATTTCTTCCCCATTAATGAATGAAAAAGCACAGGTGGGAAATTTGAATGAAGAACACATGACTTTAAGATCACAATAGGATACCTTTGCCAAGGCAGTTAATATATTCAGTAACTCCCTGTTACCTGGACTTACTTAGTCTTTTACCATCATGTTCCAGAGTTAGGTTGAGGATTTGGCCTCTGAAGAAATACAATCTTCATTAAACACTCAAAAATAAACTCAAGTTTTAAGGATGCAAAATATATTATTAACATATTGTTAAAGAAAACCAGAGCTGGACAGTAGTTAAAGTGGTAAAAACAAATTGTATTTAGGAACTATTAGGATAGGATAAAAGACCTAGGTAAAGAACTGGGCTCAACTCTAAGCAAAACATGGACAAGTGAGGATTTATAACTGAGGAACAGGGCGACGGTCAGTGGATGGAAAATTACTGAGAGGAAACATCAGGGGTGGTAGTGGTAGGGATTCTAGTTATCTGGACCTAATGAGATTTTTGCTGAAGTCAAGCCAGGGTGATCAGATATTGCCTGGGGGATGGTGGAAATTGAGGACTTTGATCTGATTCCTAGGGTGATCAGATAAGGGCATGAAGGGGATTCTTCCTAAACTGATGTAACTGGATTCTTGCTATAATTGGATGATGCAGGACTGATAAGGATAATGCCAAGGTTGAGGTCTAGTGGGCTTAGAGGAGCCTGACTAGAGTTTTGTTAATATTTTATGCATCGACGTATCCCTCCATCAATTACAACTAAGACGTTGAAAAAACTTCATCTTAACCAAGTCAATACTGTGAAAAACTTCATCTTAATTATTAACAATACTGGAAAAACTAATATAATGTGGCCCCTAATAAGATGTACTGAGAAGGATATAACATTATTTCAGTGCCATTCCTGCCAGAATACCCACGAGCAAAATCTAATCATGAGAAAACAAGAAAATAACACATATTTTTATTTTATAAAATAACAGGCCTGTACTTTCAAAGAATTCAAGGTCAAGAGAAAAAAAAAGGCTGAGGGGCTGTTCCAAGTTAAAAAGACTAAAGAGACATGAAAACAAAATATAATGCAAGATCCTGGATTGGGTACTGGACTGGGGAATAAATAGCTATAAAAATGTCACTGAAACAATTCATCAAATTGGAATGTGGACAGTGGATTGGATTGTATACTGTATCACTGTATTACATTTCCTGATTTTGATGACTATACTGAAGTTATTTAAAGGAATTCCCTTGTTTGGGGGACATATACGCTGGAGAATTTAATGTAAAACAGCACTATGTCTCCAACTTCCAAATGTTTTGGAATAAATAGAAATGTGTGTGCATACATGAGGAAAGAGGGAAGAGGGAGGGGAGGGGAGAGGAAGGGAAGGGAACGGAAAGGAGAAGAAAGGAGAGGAACAGATGGTGTAAACATATAACCAATTGGTAAATGTGGACAAAGGTCATATTTGAGTTACTTGTAATTTTTTATTAGGACAAAAGGATAACAAAGTAATTTAACAAAAGGTACCATGAAAACTTCTTAAAGAGTTATAGGGCTGTAGTTGGTAGGATGTGACAAATGTCATTAAGAACAGCTATGTTTCTGTTTCTGTGAACTTAACTGTTCATGAATTAAAAGGTTCTGAATGGCAGACTCAATTTACAATAAAAATTAACACTCAATTTATAATAAAAACAAAAGCAATCATTCTTTATTAAGGCTCTATTTTGTGCCCAGCACTATACTAAGAATTTTATACACATTGTGTTTAATTTAAACAACAGTCCTATAACATTGAACTATAACAGTGCTCATCATACAGATGAAGATACTGAAATGATGAGAGGTTAAGCAATCTGCATAAAGCCATACAGCTAGTGGTGGAGATGTCAGGATTTGATCTCGAGACTATATCACCCTAAAATACATCCTGTTAAACACTACATTATACTCATTTCCAAATATAGTATACATGTTTGGAAGATCAGTCCATTAATTACTTGAAGTTGGTGCACTGAGGTTATGGGTTTTGTTTTCCAACAGCAAGACACAGTACTTTTTTCTCTTTAGCAGAGGATCTGCTCAAGCTTTTCTAAAACACTGTGGTCTTTGGCTCACACCATCTTAATAAAACCCAGGTGTACTTAGCCAGATTATATGACACATGTTCAGGTTCATGTTTGATTTCAAATTAAGCATCTAGATGATTTATGGTAAAGAGTTTACCTCCTTCTTTCCCGTGGGGATTCTAATTCTAATCTTCAGCCTGCTCTTCCAACACTTCCAGCACTTAAGAGTTTTCCCACTTAAACCCTTCGTTATTTCTATAATCACAAGAGACTTTTACCTAGCCTAGCACCTGTTATTATTTCCTTAATTTTTTTTCTTTTAGAAAAGGGAATGTGACTACACCATATTTTACCAAATTCCTAGGGAAAAGCATTGCTTTTTTGTTTCCCTAAATGTATTTGATTACACCAGTATGTAACTATAATAACAGAAATCATTTAAGCAGTATAAAATTTTAAGTCATTTCCATTTTAAATGTTGAAATATGTAACTATAGGAAATTTATTCTCTACACTTCTCACATTTTGAAGTAAGGTATAAAGGCAAAGACAGTTACATTTTGGGGACAGATAACTTGAATTCTAGTATGATTGATGAATCAGATTACAAAAAAATCTAAACATACTGTAGTTTTCATCACCATGATGAACTGAAAACCAAACCTACATGAAAGTTCAAAAACACTTCATAACTGATTTTATTCATTCTATTATTTCTACAGTTCTTGATTAGTCTAACGCCAGAGTCACTATTTCCACAATTGTGTAAGACAAGCTTTTGGGCTGACTAAAATTAGGAAGCTGAGAAAAGTCTCTGGCCAAAGGCTGTTTTCCATTGACTTTATTTTACTGCAGTTTTTTGTACTTGAAAAACCAACAAAGAGAAAATCCTCTTTCATGAGATTTCCAGATTTTTTCCGATAAAAAATTCAGTAAAATACGTAAACATGGGCATTGTTACTAAACTCTGAGTTGTTGAGTGTCATTTTTATTCACTATATATGGTCTAACAATTTCAGAGAAAGTGCCAGCCAGCAGGTAAAATTGTTTCCAATGCATAATGTAAATGGGAACACGGTTTTACTAGAATATTTGCCAATATGTTATATTATTGAGAGGCCTGAGTCTATCTGCCTTAAGCTAACTTTCTTTCCCTAATAAGAGGGATTCAAAGATGAGCAGGCCAGCCATTAACTCACTTATGCCATTTTTTTTTTTTTTTTGGTGAAAAGTCACAAAAAGTTTGCAAATTTTTTTTTGTGAAAAGTCAGGCCTTGGTGATGACCTTGAGCAGTAGGATACATATAACTCCTACAAGCTTAGCGTTCCAATAATGGAACACTAGGCATAAATAGGTTAATAAGCTTTGGATTAGTCACTGGTGTTTTTTGCTTGTGCCACAGCTAAATTTTGCTGTAATTGGGGACCTACACAAGACCTTAAAGATAAGCAAATCCATAATTTTGAGTTTATGTTTGAAAAACTGAGGCTCAGATATATTGACCTGTACATAAGAAACTGGGTGTCAAATTAGAACATAGAATGCTTATTTCCTGATTTAGGACATGTTTTGTGTTTTTTATTTGTTTATGGACCCACAAAAGCAATTGCTTTTGAAATTTTAACTAATTTTCTCCCTGTGGAAATGTGAGATGCCTACAGGAACTGCCAGGATCACATCCTCCATGCCTCTACTCAACAAGAATAACCCCGAAGCAGGCAAAATGGACAAGTACCATATCAACAATGAAATACCCACTGATTATGCACTGACGGTTTTAATTGTTGATGATCATGTTTGTATTCCACATCAGAAGCTTGATCCCTTTCATAGATAATTAGGACCAGGAGAACAATCTGAGCAATGAACCAATTCACACATGTACCATCAGTAGAGCCTCCACATTTACCCCCCTCTTGATGTCCTCCATGTAGGGATGTTAGTCACTAGTACAAGAGAGGTAACCTGGGTGCTCAATTACATGATTTATGAATTACACTGATCTGAGCAGAGACAGCAGGTGAAGCAACTTGGGTGTAGTTCCAAGATATATATTCTAGTGAATAGACTTGCATCAGCCTTTTTTTTCTGCTCACAAACCTGTCCCTCACTTCTCCACACATCTTCCCACAACACTAACTGCATTGTTAATTACCTTAAGTGCTTTATATTACTTACTCCGTTATATGCCCACTTGAGTTTTATCAAAATACAATAAGGTAGGTATTATGTTTTCCATTTTACAATGGAAAAAAACTGAGTCATTAAGTGGTTAATTTCTTATAGTCTTCTTTCTTGTTCATTGTGAAATAACAGTTCAAAGTCCTAGTGTCTAATCATTATCATCAGGCCTTATATCTTCAAATGTGATTTTTAAAGTTTCAGGAATGGAAATACAGTAATCACTTTAGGATTAAACATACTTATGGTTAGGATAATCTCTAATTAAAGTATTGACTTTGAAGTGTAATGCTCATGGTATTTTAAGATTTGGAAACAAAAATATGAAAGAAATAAGCTACAATGTTCCATAAAAAGATTAAACTAGTTGTTACCTTCTAATTTAATTAAAGAGTACATTGGCACTACAAAATAACTAGATCAGGTAGTAATTCATCAAGAATTTCTATACGGCTAATAATACCAAAAAAGCTGTATAGATTTTTTTTTCCAACTTGTTTTCATTTATCCTAAACCAGACTGTACATTAGTATTGGGAAATCTTTAGAACTCTAGTAGGTTATTTGTTTGCCCTAATAACTAAAATTCACTTAATTAAGGGAAAGTACGTATATGTGTTGGGAAGGGAGTGAAAGTAATATGCATTTTATGTGTACTAAGAAAACCAAAGAAGTGCTTCTTACATAACTACAACCACACTATGTATTTACGATATGGGGAGGAACGAGATAGCAAGAAGGAGGGAAAGAGAAATAGGGTGAGGGAGGGGGAGACAGAAGTGGGAAAGTGTTATTATGTACATGTACATCTTAGATCAAAATTACTTTAATATGATAGCAGGGTTCTTTTCCTATCAAAGCAACAGAACACTTTATTTTAAAACAAAGAATCAGTACTTTCTCTTTGTCATAAGAATACCATTCTATTAACTGCCACACTGTCCTGCTCTTGTTCACATTCATGCTTTTGTTTTTGATGTAACACAAATGGGATTGCATAGTTGAGAGCTGCTAAATTCACTGCTTTTCTTTAAGTCTTCTTTTGGCTGAAGTAAGTTATTTAGTCAGTGATGGCTACCATAATTTTATTGTTTGAGATCTGTAGCCACCTTTATTACTCTTTAAAAGGAGAAGCTCTGTGCAAATGACAAATACCCAATTTAAGAAAATACCGACAACTTTTACCTGTTCATCGAGAAAGTTTACATATACCAATATTCTATCTACAAGTACTTACACATCATCTAGATAGCTTGCAAAATCTTGTTTTAATGAAACACATTTGGAATATGATTTTAATGGAACACATTTACACCTTTATGTCATGGTTTGTGAAATAAAATACAGGTTTGCTGCACTATGTGTGGCTCATCAATAACCTGCAGGCAACCTTGGCTGTTATCAATCACCTACATGCCTATCTCTCTCATCAACGCTTTCATTTCCTTTGGCTTATTGCAAACCACTTCACATTTCCCAAGATGAAAAGTAAGGGGAAAAAGCTTCCTTACTTTAAGTTTAGAATTGAATCTTTTAATAATAATGTTTTATATGAACATAGTACTTGTCTCCCAAATATAATCTATACATACAGTAAATAGATCTTCTCCCTGCACTAGCATTATTTTTAAGGCAATATAAAAATGTTGAAAAGGATGGTGTATGTTGGAAAGATCTTGCACAGAAGAGCATAATCTGAGGAAATTGTCATGGGATATTCAAAAACCCAGGAAAATACATTAGCTTCTACTTGAAGAAATCCTTGAATGATTCAGAAATTGCTACATAAAAATAAAGCTCTTCTGTCTTTAAAATTAAAGAATGTTTGTTTCACAAATTGTAATAAACAAGTATATCCTCCTCACTTGTTATTACCTTAATAACAAGTATAATATATAATAACAAGTGTATGTCTTAATAACAAGTATAATCTATAATACATTAAAAACGTATTATAGAACAAGTGAATTATAGGTGAAAGAATTGATATAAGTAATCTTTATATTTTTTGCACGCTGAGACTAAATAGACACAGTACTTAAGTTCCCCTTCCTCTAAAGTCACATCATAATATTTGAGTGAAATGTATGAATGTAGACCAGATCCAAATTTTGTGAAATGAGTATATTTGAATTGATGTTATTCTGCCAGGACATCTTTTCAGCTACTCAACACACCTATGAACTCCAGTAAATAGTAATTAATTGTGACAGGTCACTCTAACTTTGTGATCTGTGTAAAATACCTGTCAAAGGTTTAACAGAAACACACTGTTTAGTGATAAGACCTTGTAACTCAAACACCAGATGCTTTATTCTACACTTTTTATGGCATTTTAGTATGTAGAGCTATGCCAGAGAGAATCCAAAGCATATACAAAAATTACTACTGCTTTTTAAAAGGTAAACATTTCTTTAAGCCTTAAAAATGTTTCAGGAAAACAATTGAAGATAAAATGCATCAACCCGCTTTAGGGAAGAAAAAAAATTTAGACAGATATGCCCACTTTGACTAATCAGAATGTCATATTCTAATATTAATATAAAAAGTGGATATACTTAAAGTTTATGTTGAATTTGAAATATTTTGTTTCATCATTTACTACCGATCATTTCTTCAATCTGGATGGCAATAATTTTAGATTGTAAACTTTAATTCTAGTTACTTCTTTTTCACTCTGTATATGATCTCCTCATATAATTTCCTAAATTTAAAAAGTTATGTTAAATTTCTATAATGAAGACTATCAAAATGATTAACGTGAAACCAATAATTTCTGAGCCTATTGCACTTTTATATTCTTTCTCTTTCATGCAGATGGTTAATGATGATCTATTAGCATATTCCATTTGTATTCTAGTTTTTTAATTATCCCTTGATGGCTTGAAAAATAATTTAATGCCTTCTGTGAAGTAAAAAAAAAAATGAAAAAACCCCTTAACACATTTGAATGCCTGCTGTTGAACATGCTAAATGAGCTAAATAATGGGAAACACATTTACAATATACTTTAATGGTGAGCCTATCCAATTTGTGATTTAAGAGGTCAAACTATTGGTTATTTTTGCATTCTTGGTAATTTAAAGAGAAGCAGACTGGGAAATATGCACTCATAGGCCTTATAAAACTGCTGCAGTGATTTTGACTAATAGACATTTATTGCCAATGTTCTGCTGTTAGAAAAACAGCCTTGTAAGGTTGTAAACTAGTAGGAGAGCTCACAGAACCTTGAAGTGTCCACAGCCACAATTGTGTAAACAAAGCCAAGCCAGAAATGAAGGAATCTTCTGTGTTTGTGAATTTATACAATGTGGATAACCCATTAACAATCCAAGGCTGCTTCGTGTGTATGTGTCCACACATATGTGTATATGTTTAACCTTGGTCACCTAAGTCAACAGATAAGATTTAACCAGTAATTTTCTATCTCCTGAACTCTTCCCTTATTTCACATTGTTCTCCGTTGATTAATAGAGCTCCCCTTTCCCCCACTTGTATCCTGTGATCCAGTATGGGAAAAGCTTGTGATTAATAAATGCAAAAACTACAATTAATTTTGCTATGCTAAATGAATCTTCAAATAGAGCCAATAGGAGAAATTTCTGTTTTGGTGACATTCCCAGAGAAAATTACATACCAGAAATTATAACCGATGATAAATAGTTCTTAGGTACAAACACATCCCTGTTTGCCCAAAGGCTTTCACTTGAAGAGTGAGAAAGAGACGAGAAACAGAACATTAACTTTCCAACAATTGGGTAAAATTTGTCATTTCTGTTCACATATTCCCATTCCTAGTCTTTATGGGGAAAAATATGATTTGTTAGGACAATATGAACATTCTCAACTCATGCAAATGTTGTAATAGTTTTCATTTCATTCTTTATTAACATTTTAATGTTTAACATATTACACTCTATTTATGAATAGTAAAAGCATTATTTTTCAACATCTTTTATATAATGTACTCAATAAAATCATTTTAATCCCTGCCTAAATCTCAGACACAGATGAAACTATGAAGAATGATACAGAAAACTTTGATAAAGAAAATTATTTGAATTTTTCTCTCCAAGAGTTTAATAGTTTATTTTAACAAAGAAAATTTTCTATGCAATTGAAAAACAATGTTGTTAATATAACAATCTTTGTTCATAATATATTGGAGAATATAAGGAGTGAAATGCTTAAAAAAGAAATAGGATGAGAAAGAATAGGGATAAAAGACTTTATAGATTGTTGAAATAAATACAGATTATCTAAAAATCTACAAAGACAGTTAAATCTGGCATAGTATATTTTCAAGTCCATGGACACTACTACTTAAAAGCACTTATTACATACCAAGCTTTATCAGTATTCATGTGATTACATTTACAACAATCCTATGAGTAGGTATTAAAATTATCCCCAGTTGTTGATGTGGAAACTGAAGCACTGAGAGGTCAAGTAACATATCTAAGGTTATTAAAGGTCAGGGGGTCAGTGGGTAGACACCAGCTGCTCTCCACTGGATCTCCAGACCACTCCCTACCTCCAAACACTGCATCTTAAGATGTACTTTTATCAAAATCCCTGAGACCAAATATTATGAATATATATTTAAATAGGTTTTGAGGGTTTGAAGTTTTCAGGGCTAAGATACGTTATTAAGAAATTTAAAGTATGTCCTGTCAGCACATTTTAACCAAGTTGATTGTGACTAAACATTCCTTAGCTGCACTTCTACTCAATTTCAAAAGAATATTTGTTTCCACTAAATTTTAACTTTCTCTACTTCATTTTGTCAATGCTGTATTTTAATTGAAGAAAATGTTTCTGAAAAGTTATATCTTTGGGTACATACCCAAAGTTGTTACCAATTATTTCCTTTCTTTTGCTCTTAAGGGAGTCTATTAATAAGATAAAATCCAGTGTAGTCAATCCAATGGCCTGGGATCTATATTAACTAGTAAATTGTTTGGCAACAACAGTCTTGCATTAACAACTGAGAGAACTGTATTATTAATGAAAATTGAAATGAGAAAATACCTATAAATTCATGCACAAAATATGTTTTAAATATTATGACATTCAATATTGTAATGCCATATAAATGTTTCAACATTGCCTTGTGAAGATAATTTCATTTCATATTTTCATATAACATTTCTGAAAAAATGATAGGATTCTGAATTACTAAAGTAATGGTCAATGATAATGCAGCTGCACTACTTGGTTGATTGGCCTAAGGATAAGAGGCCAAACAGCCTCTTCCTAAATAATTTTTAGCACCCTATACACACCTCTCATATGTATAAAACTTTAAGGATTTATTTAGAGAAGTGTAATATTTGTATCCTGTCAATAAATAATGACAAAGATTATGGAGGCTAAAGCAATTCCATCTTGGATGCTAATCTGCCATGCTGATTTCCAGTTAACCCCAGTTGCAGGAATATCTCTAAGATTTCTATATTATCTATTGTTCTTTGTGTAAGAGTATATGTACTTACCATAAATCTCTCCCTTAGGTCAAAAAAAGCTTGATGCTATCCTACTTCAATTGGCCTCTGCGTACCTTCTGAATCACATATATACTTTTCCTATAATATAAAAGCCCTAGATTTGCACAGGTAATAGAAGAAGGATCCATCATCTTGTTTCACCGGCCCCTAAGAAACAGACGTGGCTTCTATTCATAAGTCCCTATTAAATGTTTCTTTCTAAGAAACTGGATATGTCGGCCTCCTTCTTTGGTATCTCAGCTTCCTCACACTTTGGGGTAGGTCTGTATAGACCTGCCCACCACAGAACAAGGATTAAACAATAATATCAGTGTAAGTTAGGGTTGTTAGCTGCAAGCAATAGAAACCTACTATATGAGGGGAAAAGGAATTTACTGTAAGGAAATTAGGTAGATCCTAGATCTATATGAAGACCAGAAAATCAGGCTAAGCAAACAAGATGAATTCAAATGAGGCTTTGCAGCAAAAATAATCTAGTCAAAAACACTAAGGTATCCTTACTCTTTGGAAACCTAACCACTGACCACAGACCTAACAGCCACAAATCAAATCTCAACTTTCAGTAGTCTTTCTAGTGCTTATTCAAGTTTCAAACTCTTTAGGAAGAGAGTACCATTGCTGAAGCTATCATTGTGGACTGGCTGCTTCCTTGGTAGGACATAATGATTTCACTTCTGCTGTTTGGGGAGGGGGTGTGTGGAGAGGGGAGGGGTAGGAATATGCCTCCCACCTCTTATACATTGGGGAATTCCACAATATAAGAATGGTTGGCCCAAGGCTGGGAAACTACTGATTATAAAAAAACAAAAGTCTATAAAACAGTTTTCATAGAAACTATAGCAGATATTTTTTCTGCTCCATTTCATCTTTCCCACATGAAATGTTTATCATCATAATTGCAGGGCGAAGATCAGTGTTCTGTATGAAGGCACTGAAGCTCCATCTCCATTCTCCAAATTCCCAAGAAGGGAAACATTTAATAAGGGTTGTAAATGAGACAGATCATCAATGACATATAAAATCAACTACATAAAAAGTAGGTCTGTTTTCTCTATAATTGTAATATTACTATTTTCCTACCAAAATAGGAAATTAAAAACAAAAAAATGCTATAATTATGGCATAGTTCATCTGGTGATTGATTATATTTTAATTTGCCTCCTCTAGAAGACTGGGTCCTGCCGTTTCACCTCTCCCACTAAGTATCCTGTGGTTTTCAATAATACTAGGGGAATTCAAAACTCCACTGAAAGCATCACACATTACTGAGGTAGAAAACTAACAAAGAAATTCGGGACTAAACTTTGACACTAGACAAATTGGACCTGATAGACATCTACAGAAAACTCCACCCATCAACCACAGAATATACATTCTTCTCATCTGCACACAAAACATACTTCAAGATCAACCACATTCCTGGCTAAAATGTTCAGCTAATACCAATCATACTCTCAGATCACTGTGGAATAAAAATAGAAATCAATACCAAGATCTCCCCAAATCACACAATTAAACAACTTATTCCTGACTGAGTTTTGGGTAAGGAATGAAATTAAGGCAAAAATCAAAAGATTCTTGAAATTAAAGAAAGCAGAGATACAACATACCAAAATCTCTGAGATGTAGTGAAAATGTGCTAAGAGAAAAGTTTATAGTGCTAAATGCTTACCTCAAAAAGTGAGAAATGTCTCAAATTAGCAACCTTATATCACACTTAGACAAACTAGAAAATCAAGAACAAACTAACCCCAAAGCTAGCAGAATAAAATAAATAAATAATGTTGAAAGAAATTGAGACCCAAAGTCCATGCAAAGAGAAATGAAACCAGAAGTTACTTCTTTGTAAGGATAAATAAAATAGATAATTCACTAGCTAGATTAACAAAGAAAAAACAGAGAAGATCCAAATAAGCACAACCAGAAAGAAAAAGTAACATTACAACCATTCCCACAGAAATACAGACAATCCTCAGAGGCTATTATGAACATTTCTATGCACACAAACTGGAAATCTAAAGGAAATGAATACGTTTCTGGAAACTCAAAGCCTCCAAAGATTGAATCAGGAAGAAATTGGAACCCTGAATAGACCAATATCAAGCTCCAAAATGGAATCAGTAATAAAAAAAACTACCAAACAAAAAGATCCCTGGACCAGATGGATTCACAACCAAATTCTACTAGATATACAAAGAAGAGCTGGTCCCAATTCTATTAAAACCATTTCAAAAAATTGAGCAGAGACTTCTCCCTAACTCATTCTATGAAGCCAGCTAATTACCCTGATACCAAAACCTGGCAGAGACACAAAAAAAGAAAATTTCAGGCTGATATCTCTAATTAACATAGACATAAAAATTCTCAGCAAAATTCTAGCAAATTGAATCCAGCAACACACCATAAAGTTAATTCACTATGATTAAGTAGGCTTTATTCCTTGGATACAAATTTGGCTCAACATATGTGAATCAATAAATGTGATTCACCACATAAACACAATTTAAAACTATATGGTCATATCAATAGATGAGAAAAGCTTTCAATAAAATCCAACATTCCTTCATGAAAAAAACCCTCAACAAGCTAAGCATCAAGGGAACATAACTCAAAATAATACGAATAATCTATGCTATTACAAATCTATATCCAACATCATACTGAATGAGTAAAAGCTGGAAGCATTCTCATTGAGAACTGGAACAAGACAAGGATGCCCACTCTCATGACTCGTATGCAACATGTACTGGAAGTCTTTGCCATGGCAATCAGGCAAGGGAAAAAATAAAAGGCATCCAAATAGGAAGAGAAGAAGAAAACTCTTTTTGCAGATGATATGATTGTATACCTACAAACGCCTACAGAGTCCAGCAAAAGGCTTTTAGAACCAATAAATGATTTTAGTAAAGTTTCAGGATACAAAATAAATATACAAAAATTAGCAGCATTTCTATACAATAGCATTCAATCTGAGGACCAAATCAAAAACACAAACCCATTTATAATATGAACAAACAAAATCAAATATCTAGAAATAAATCTAACAAAGAAGGTAAAAGTGCTCTACAGGGAGAACTACAAAACACTTCTAAAAGAAATAATACATGACATAAATAAATGGAAAAACATTCCATGCTCAAGGATTAGAAAATCAATATCACTAACATGGCTATATTGCCCCCCAAAATTTATAGATTCAATGCTATGTCTATCAAACCACCAACATCATTTTTAACAGAATTACTGTTCTAAAATTTATATGAAACCAAAAAAGAGCCTGAAAAACCAAAGCATTCATAAGCAAAAAGAGCAAAGCCAGAGGCATCACATTACCTGACTGTATACTATAAGGCTGCAGTAAACAAAACCAGTACCAAAACATGGTACTAGTACAAAAGCAGACACAAAGACAAAAGGAACAGAGTAGAGAACTGAGAAATAATACCACATACATACAAACACCTGATTTTGACAAAGTCAACAAAAATAAGCAAGGGGGACATGATTCCCTATTCAATAAATGGTGCTAGGACAACTGGCTAGCCATATACAGTAGAATGAAACTGGAACTCTTTCTCTCACCATTCACAAAAATTAACTCAGGATGGATTAAAGATTTAAATGTAAGACCCCGAACTATAAAAATCCTGGAAGAAAACTTAGGCAATACCTTTCTGGATATAGGCAAATAATTTATGACGAAGTCTTCGAAAGCTACTGCAGCAAAAACAAAATTTGACTAGTGGGACCTAATTAAACTAAAGAGCTTCTGCACTGCAAAAGAAACTGTCAGCAAAGTAAACATACAACCTCCAGAATGAAAGAAAATGTTTGCCAGATCTATAAGGAACTTAAACAAATCAAAAAGCAAGGAAAAAAAAAAAACACCACACACACATATAAAAAGTGGGCAATTGACATGAACAGATACTTCTCAAAAGAATACATACAAGTGACCAACAAAAGTGAAAAAATGCTCAATATCACTAATTATTAGAGAAAAATTATTAGAGAAATGCAAATAAGAACCATAATGAGATACCATCTCACACTAGTCAGAATGGTTATTATTAAAGTAAAAAAATAACAGATGCCAGTGAGACTGCATAGAAAAATGTATGCTTATACACTGCTGATGGGAATATAAATTAGTTCAGCCACTTTGGAGAGGAGTTTGAAAATTTCTCAAAGAAAAAGAACTGAAAACAGAACCCTAACCCTAACTCTAACCCTGCCCAGTACCATAATCTGGGCAGCTTATAAATAACATAAATTTATTTTTCACAATTATGGAGGCTAAGAAGTGCATAATCAAGGCACCAGAAGATATGGTGTCCTGTTCCTTGTAGACAGTACCTTCTCATTGCGTCTCCACATAGTCGAAGGGGCAAACAAGCTGCCTTGGAACCTCTTTTTTAAGGTCATTATTTCCATAATGAGGACCCTTTTCTTATGACCTAGTCACCAACCAAAGGTTGCACTGCTGTTATTACACTGGCACTAGGTTTTGACACACAAATTTTGGGGGCACAAATCTTCAGACCACATTATGTGTCAATCAATAGGCAGAGATCAGCAGAATGAATTTTTTGAAAAATATCCAAATGTATACCTCTAGGAGAAACAAGTTGATAAGTAAGATAAAAATAAATTGAAAGTAAGTTGATGTGAAGAAGACAACATATAAACTATAATCACCTGGAAAGCTAGAAGAGCTATACAAATAGAAATAAAAAGACTTTGAGAATAAAATTATTAATAAAAATAAAAATGGATATTTTATGCTGATAAAAGTGCCAATCCATGAAGAATACATAATTATAAACATATGTGTACTTACAGAGCCCAAAAATACATGAAGAGAAATCTGACAAAATTGAAGGAGAAATAGATGATTCCACAAAAATAATTGAAGATTTTAATAGCCCAGTTTTAATAATAGATCAAAGAACCAGACTGAAGAACAATAAGATGAAATATCGGAACAACACTAAAAATCAAATAGAGCTAACAGACAACTATAGGACAGTCCATCCCCAATTGGGAAAATACACATTCTCCTCAAGTCAACCTGAAACATTCTGCAGGATAAACTATGTTTGGTCATAAATATGTTGCAAAAACTTAAAAAGCTTAATGTTATTTGAATGTTTCAAAGACAATGCAATAAAATTTAAAATCAACACAACTGACACAGTAAGATGGCAAAATAGGAGTTTCTGGCCCTCATCCCCCAATCAAAACACCTATTTAAAATCATCCATGGATGAAAATACCTTTATGAGAGCTCCAGAATACAGGTGAGAAGGTACAGCATCCTGTTAGAGCACAGAAAGGAGAAAAATGCATTGAAAATAATATTAATAATAATAAAACAAAAACAGTTTCACTTTACCTGCTTCACTCATTTCCCAAATCTGACATGTCAGGACACAGAGAGCACCTCAGCCTGCAAGTTGTCCTATGGAGAAAAAGAGAATGAAGTGAGCATCTGACCTCCCTAGTCTTTTGGGGCACACCTGACTAGCTTGCCTATATCACACAACACACAGAACATTGAGGGAATCAATATGGCTTGATAACCTGGGGACAGCTAAAGACAAAAAGGGATAGTAGTCTTGATAATCAATTTGGGGACCTTGACAGCCATCTTGTGACCCGTGATAACAGTCCCTTCCCCACCTCCCTGGGACCCTAACAACATGCCTGCTGATGCACAGACCTTAGAACTGAGCATACCCACCCACAGAGGCCAGCTGTGAATCCAGAGCTGTCTGTTGACCACTTCAATAGGCACCCAGACTATTTGGTCACACTGACTACACTGACTAGTGAAGGACTTTAGCCAGTCTGTATAGACCAGAAGAGCTAAATTCTTCCTTAAATTAACAGATACTAATGCAGGCTACAGGCATTATAAAGAATCAGGAAAACATGACATCACCAAATAAATAAAAAATAAAAATAAAACTCTAATATATCAACCCTACAGAAAATGAGACCTGTGCAATGCCTGACAATGAATTCAAAATAATTGTGTTGAAGGAGCTCATTATGCTACTAAGAAACAGAGATAGATAGCTAAATAAATCAGGAAAGCAATAAATCAACAAAATTAGAAGCTCAAAAAAAAGCCTACCCAGAATCAAACCATAGAGGTTAAAAAAAAAAAAAAAAAAAAGAAAAACAAGAAAAGAGAAAAAAACAATTAAAAGAACCAAATAGAAATTCCGGTGCTGAAAATACAATAACTGACCTAAAAAATTAAATAAAGAACTTCAACAGAAGTTCAATCAATCAGAGGAAAGAATCAGTGAACTTGAAGATAGATTGTATAGAATTATCTAGTCAAAGTTGCAAAATTAATGAAAAAGAGTCAAGAAAGCCTGTGGGATGTATGGGATATAATCAATAACACCAATATATGCACTATGGCAATGCAGAAGGAGCATACAAAGAGAAAGGAGCAAAAAGCTTATGTAAAGAAATTTTGGCTGAAAACTTCTCAAATATTGGGATGTAAATGGACATTTAGATTCTTGAAGTTTAAATAAATTTTAGATTAAGCCTAAAGAGGTCTACATGGAGACACGTAATTATATTGTCAAAAGTCAAGGGTAAAAAAAAAATTTGAAATTAGCAAGAGAAAAGCAATTCATTAAGTAAAAGGGAAATTCCATACGGCTATTAGCAGAAATCTCAGCAGAAACCTTTCTGGCCAGAAGATAGTGATTATATATTCAAATTTCTAAAAAGAAATATTTTTCAAACTGCCAACCACAGATGCTATACGTAGCAAATCTGTTCTTTAAAAATGAAGAATAAAGACTTTCTCAGACAAAGAAATACTGAGGGAATTTGTTACCATAACACCTAAATTACAAGAAGTGTCAAACAGTTTTTCAAGTTGATATAAAAAGACAATAAACAGCAACACAAAAGCATATGGAAATATAAATCTCACTGGTGAAGATACCTATATAGGCAAAAACAGAATAATGTAATAATGTAATGGTGGCAAATATCTTTTTTTAACCCAGGTATAAAATTTAAAAGACAAAAGTAATAAGAATAATTATAACCACAAAAATGTGTCAATGGATTCACAACATAAAAAGAAGTAAAATCTGACATCAATGACATAAAATGTATCAGGGGAATAAAACTGTAAATTTTCTGTATGCAATTGATGTTAAGTATTTATCAGATTAAAATAGATAGTTATGACAAGAATGTTTTATGTAAGCCTCATGGTAACCACAAAGTGAAAATATATAGTAGATACACAAAAAATGAAGAGAAGAAAATAAAAGCACACAACTGCAGAAATAATCCATTCACAAGGAAAGACTGAGAGGAAGAAAGAAACAACAGAACTACAAGAAAAAAAACAAATCAAAAGCAATGAACAAACAGGCAATAGTAATTCCTTTCTTATCAATAATTACTTTAAATTTAAATGGACTGATCTCCCTCAATCAAATGATGTAGTGGCTGAATAAATAAAACAACAACGTTTAATATTAATGCTACCTACAAGACTCATTTCAGATTTAAAGACATATGTAGGTTGCAAGGAAATGGGGTAGAAAAAGATATTCTACACATTTGTTAACCAAGAGAATACAGGATGTCTATACGTATGTCAAAAAAAAAATGGATTTTAAGTCAAAAACTGTCACAAGGGACATAGAAGGTCATTTATAATGATAAAAGTGTCAATTCAACAGAATGATATAACAATTATAAATACTGCCCAACATTAGAGTATCTAAGCATACAAAGGAAATATTGACAGATCTGAAAGGATAAATAGACGGCAATACAATAATAGTAAAAGACATTACTAACTCCATTTTCAGTAATTAATAGATTATCTGGACAAAAAAATGAACAAGAGAAGACTTGAGCAACATTATAGACCAAATGGACCTCATAAACATACAAAACATCTTAAACAACAATAACAGAATACACATTTTTCTCAGGTGACCACAGAACATCCTCTAGAATAGATAACAAGCGAAGTCATAAAACATTAAAAAAATTTAATAAGACAAATTATTCTAAGTGCATTTTCCAAACAACAATAAAATAAAACTAGAAATCAATAGCAAAAGAAAAATGTAAAAATTTATGACTACATAAAAATTAAACACACACTCTTGTACAACATATAGGTTGAAAAAGAAATCAAAAGGGAAATTGGAAAACATTTCAAGACAAACAAAAACACAACATAACAAAACTTATGGGATACAATGAAAGCATTATGAAAAGGAAAGTGTACAATGATGAATGCCTACATAAAAAACATCCCAAATAAAAATCCAACTTAACACCTCAAAAAAAAAAAAACCTAGAAAAAAGAAAAATAAACTAAGCCCTAAGTTACCAGAAGGAAAATAACAGTAAAGATTAGAACAGAAATAAATACGAGAACAGAAAAATATTACAAAAATTCGACAAAATAGAGTTGGATTTTTAAAAAGGTAAACAAAAATTTAAAACTCTTAGCATGATTTTAAAAAGAGAGAAGACTAAAATAAATGAAATAAGACATGAAAGAGGAGACATTAAAACTGATGCCGCAGAAATAAAAAATCATAAGGCACTATCATGAATAATTATATGCCAACAAATTGAATAAACAAAAGAAATGGATACATTTTTAGAAGCATACAACCTATAAATAAAGAGGGGGAGAGGAAACGTTTTGACGTAATGGATATGTTTATGTTATTGATAGTTATGATGATTTCCTAGGTATATACTTACCTCCACACTTATTAGGTTGTATACCTTAAATATGTGCTGCTTTTTCTATGTCAGTCATACCTCAACAATGCTCTTTAAAAATTATAAAATAAAACAATTTAAAAATTAATAACGGGAGGGATAGCATTAGGAGAAATACCTAATGTAGGTGACGGGTTGATGGGTGCAGCAAACCACCATGGCACGTGTATACCTATGTAACAAAACTGCACATTCTGCACATGTACCCCAGAACTTAAAGTATAATAAAAATATTAAAAAATAAAAATAAGAAAATTTTGAAAAGTCATCAATATGTAGATATTAGCATTTCTAAATAACCAATGGGGCAAAGAAGAAATCACAAAAGAAATTAGAAAATACTTTAAGATGAATGAAAATTAAAACATGACAAATACAACATGCCAAAACTTACTTGATGTACAAAAGCAGTAGGTACAGGGAAATTTATAGCAATAAATGTCTGTATTAAAAAAGAAGAAAGATAACAAATCAATAATTAAACCTTAATAAATGAGAAAATAAAAGGCAAACTAAAACTGAAGCAAGCTGATTTAAGGCTATAATATAGATCAAAGAGAAAATGAGTGCAATAGAGAATAGAAAAAAAATTTAATTGAAAAAGACCAACAGTGCATTCTTCAAAAACAATGAACAAATTGACATTCCTTTAGCTAGACTGAACACTAAATTAAAAAATGAAAGCCCAACTACTAAAATTGGGAAGGAAAGAGGTAACATTATTACCAAACTAATAGAAATAAAAATGATTGTAATTGAACACTATAAAGAAGGTATGCCAAGAGATTAGATAATATAGATTAAATGGAAAGATTCTTATTATAGAAAGACAGAAACTACTGAAACTATCTCACAAAGAAAAGGTCTGAATATAACCACAACAAATAAAGATAATGAATTCATAATCAAAAATGCCCCAGTAATGAAAAGCCCAGTAAAAGATAACTTCACTGGTGTTGTCTACATAATGTTTAAAGAAGAGTTAACATTTATTTTTCCCAAAATCTTCCAAAATAAAAGAGGAGCAAAAGCTTCTCAATTCATTCTATCCAGACAGTATTACACTGCCACCAAAATCACACAAAGACATTACAAGAAAACTACTGACAGATATCACTTAGGAATAGAGACATGCAAATTCTTAACATTATATCAGCAATCAGAATCCTGCAACATATAAAAAGGATAATACAACATAACCAAATGGAGATTATCCCAGAAATGCTAGGTAGGGTGGTTCAACATAGAAAAATCAAAGTGATACATCTAAACAAAAATGATCATCTTGATAAATAAAAAAAGCATTTGACAAAATCCAAATCATTTAATGATATAAGAAAACACTCAAACTAGAATAGAAGGGAACTTCTCCAACCTGACAAAGTGTATCTATGGAAAATACAAAGCTATCATTATACATAGAGATAAAGACTTCATTATAGTGAAATCTTTTATTTCACTATAATAACAGGAACAGGACAAGGCTGTGCTTGCCACTTCTTTTTTGCATTTTTTTCATTTTTAATTTTTGTGAGTACATAGAAGGTATGTATATTTATGAGGTACATGGGATATTTTGATACAGGCATGCAATGTGAAATAAGCATATTATGAAGAATGGGTTATCCATCCCTTCAAGCATGTATCCTTTGAGTTATAAATAACCCAATTACAGTCCTTAAGTTATCTTAAAATCACAACTAAGTTATTGCTGACTACAGTTACCCTGTTGTGCCATCAAATATTAGGTCCCACTCATTTCTTCCAACTATTTTTCTGTGTACCCATCAACCAACCCCAGCTCCCCTCATCCTCCCACTACCCTTTCCCAGCTTCTGGTAACCATCCTTCTACTTCCTATGTCAAAGACTTCAATTGTTTTGATTATTAGATTCCATGAATAAACGAGAATATTCAATGTTTGTCTTTCTGTGCCTGGCTTATTTCACTTAACATAATGACCTCCAGTTCCATCCACGTTGTTGCAAATCACTGGATCTCATTCTTTTTTATGGATGACTGGTACTCCATTGTGTATATGTACTACATTTTCTTCATCCATTTATCTGTCAATGGACACGTAGGCTGCTTCCAAATCTTAGCTGTTGTAAACAGTGTTGCAACAAACAGGAGCGCAGATGTCTCTTCAATATACTGATTTCCTTTCTTTGGTGTACATACCCAGCAGTGGGATTGCTGGATCATATGACAGGTCAAGTTTTAGTTGTTTGAGGAATCTCCAAACTGTTCTCTAAAGTGGTTCTACTAATTAACATTCCCACCAACAACATACAAGGATTCCCTTTTCTTCATATCCTTGCCAGTATTTGTTGTTTACTGTCTTTTGAATATAAGCCATTTTAACTGGGGTCAGATGATATCTCATTGTAGTTTTGATTTTCATTTCTTTGATGATCAATGATGTTGAACCCTTTTTCATATACCTATTTTCTATTTGTATGTCTTCTTTTGAGAAATGTCTATTCAAATCTTTTGTCCATTTTTTTGATCAAATTATTAGATGTTTTTCTTACAGAGGTGTTTGAGCTCCTTATATATTCTAGTTATTAATTCCTTTTCAAATGAATAGTTTGCAAATATTCTCTCCCATTCTGTGGGTTGTCTCTTCACTTTGTTAATTGTTTCCTTTTCTCTGCAGGATCTTTTTAACTTGATGTGAACCAATTTATCCATTTTTTGCTTTGATTGCCTGTGCTTGTGAAGTATTGCTCAGACAACTTTTGCCCAGTCCGATATCCTGGAGATTTTCTCCAAATGTTTTCTTGAATTAGTTCTATAGTTTGAGGTCTTAGATTTGCCTTCAAACCACTTTGATTTGATTTTTGTATATGATGAGAGATAGGGGTCTAGTTTTAGTCTTCCGCATATGAATATCCAGTTTCCCAGCACCATTTATTGAAGAGACTGTCTTTTTCCTAGTGTATATTTTTGGCACCTTTGTCAAAAATGGGTTCACTGTAGGTGTGTGGATTTGTTTCTGAGTTTTTTTGTTGTTTTTTGTTTGAGACAGAGTCTCACTCTGTTGCACAGGCTAGAGTGCAGTGGCATGATCTTGGCTCACCGCAGCCTCTGCCTCCGAGGTTCAAGTGATTCTCCTGCCTCAGCCTCCTGAGTAGCTAGGATTACAGGTGCATACCACCACACCTGGCTAATTTTTTGTATTTTTAGTAGAGACTGGGTTTCACCATGTTAGCCTGGATGGTCTTGATCTCCTGACCTCGTGATCCGCCCGCCTTGGCCTCCCAAAGTTCTGGGATTACAGGTGTGAGCCACTGCTCCTGGTCTGTTTTTCAGTTTTCTATTCTGTTAATCTATGTGTCTGTTTTTATGACAATGCCATGCTGTTTTGGTTACTATAACTCTGTAATATAATTTGAAGTCAGGTAATATGATTCCTCCAATTTTGTTCTTTTTGCTTAAGATATCTTTGGCTATTCTGGGTCTTTTCTTGTTCCATATACATTTTAGAATTGTTTTATATTCTGTGAAGAATGTCTTTGGTATCTTGATAGTGACTGCGTTGAATCTTTAGATTGCTTTGGGTAGTATGGACATTTTCACAATATTGATTCTTTCAATCCATGAATATAGAATACTTTTTTCATTTTTGGTGTCCTCTTCAATTTTTTATCAGTGTTTTATAGATTTTATTATAGAGATCTTTCACTTTGGTTAATTCATAGATATTTAATTTTATATGTGGTTATTGTAGATGAAACTACTTTTTTAAATTTCTTTTTCAGTTTGATCACTGTTGGCATATAGAAATGTGACTAATTTTTGTATGTTGATATTGTATCCTGCAACTTTACTGAACTTGCCACTACTAATCAACACTGTTTTGCTCCAGACCCACTCCAAAAAATATGCAAGAAAGAGGAAAGACATCCAGATTGAAAAGGAGATAGTAAAACTGTCTTTAATTGTAAATAATATAAATTTGTTAAGTGGAAAATCCTAGGGAATCCACCAAAAGCATCAGAACTAATTATCAAGTTCAGCTAATTTCAAGATAGAAAATCAAAAAGCAAAAATCAATTATATTTGTATAAACTTGCAATGAACAATCCAGAATGAAATTTAAAAACAGTTCCATTTACAACAGCATCAAAACAATATCATACCTAACATGAATTTCACAAAAGAAGTATAAGACTTGTACACTGAAAATTACCAAACTTCATTGAAAGAAATTACAGAAGTCCTAAATAAATAGAAAGATATTATGTGTTTATGGGTTTGAAAACTTAATACAGTAAAGAGGGTAATATTCCAAGTTGGTTTGAAGAGTCAATGAAATCCCTATTAGCTGCCTTTTTTTTCCTTTGCCAGAATTTCCAAAGTGTTCCTAAAATTCATATAAAATTTGAGTGCTAATTTACTCAAAAACAATATTGAAAAAGAACAAATTTGAAGGACTCATACTTCTCAATTTCAAAACTTACAGTACTCATAGCTATAGCAATCTAGACAGTGTTGTACTAGCATAAAAATAGACTTATGATTTGAGTAGAATTGAGAGTCCAGAAATAAATCCTTACATGTAATTCATTTCCAGCAAGGCTGCCAAGACAATGCAATGGGTCAATAATAGTTTTTTAAGAAATGGTATAGAAACAACTGAATTTCCTCAAGCAAAAGGATGATGTAGGACAACTTCCTCACACAGAATATAAACAGTAACACAAATTAAAGACCTAAATGAAAGAGCTAAAAGTATTAAACTATTGAAAGAAAACATAGGTATAAATTTTAGTGAACTTGGATTTGGCAGTTATCTTTTGGAACTTACACAAAAAGTACAAGCAGAAAGAAAAAATATATATATAAAATGAATCTCATCAAAATTAAACACTATTGTGCTTCAAAGGACACTATAAAGAAACTGGAAAGGTAACCCTAGAATAGGAGCAAGTATTTGCAATTCACATATCTGATAAGAAAATAAGTATCTAGAATATGTAAAGAATACTTATACAAAGATAAATAACCCATTTTAAAAATAGGCAAGCATTTGAATAGACATTTCTCCCAATGAATATATTCAAGTTGACAATCAGCACATAAAAAGATGCTCATCACTGGCCATCAGTTAGATGCAAATCAATGTCACCCTTAGATACCACGTCATACCTACTATAATGGCTAGAAACAAAGATATAAACAATAACAATTTTTTTTTTAGGATGTGGAAAAATTGGAATCTTTACAGTGCTGGTGAAAATGTGAAATGTTGTAGCTACTTTTGAAAACATTTTGGCATGTCCTCAAAAAGTTAAACATAGAGTTATAATATTACCCAGCAATTCCATTTTTAGGTTTATACCCAAGACTAATGAAAACATATCTCCACACAAATATGTACATGTATGTTTATAGCAGTGATATGGTTTGGCTGTGTCCCCCACTGAAATCTCACCTTGAATTGTAATAATCCCCACATGTCAAGGGTGGGGCCAGGTGGAGATAATTGAATCACGGGGGCAGTTTCCCCTATACTGTTCTTGTTGTAGTGAATAAGTCTCATGAGATCTGATGGTTTATAAAGGGGAGTTCCCCTGTACGTGCTCTCTTGCCTGCCACCATGTAAGACATGACTTTGCTCCTCATTCACCTTCCACCATGATTATGAGGCCTCCCCAGACATGTGGAATTCTGAGTACACTAAACCTCTTTCCTTTATAAATTACTCAGTATCAGGTATGTCTTTATTAGCAGTCTATTAGCGTAGACTAACACAAGCAATATAACAGCATAAAAGTTAAAACAACCAAAATTCCCACAAACTGATGAATAAGAAAAATGCAGTATATTCCTAAATTGAAAATCATTTAACCGCATCAGAGAATGAAGTATTCATACACGCTATAACAAGATAAACCTGAAAAGATTATGCTAAATGAAAGAGGCCAGACCCCAAAAGCCACATATTATATGATTCAATTTTTAGGAAATGCTCATAACAGGAAAATCCATAGAGATAGAAGATAGATTAATGACTGTCAGAGGCCATGGAGCTGAGGAGTTGGGGAATGTCAGCTAATGAGTATAAAGTTTCTTTTTGTGGTGATGAAAAACATTCTGGAATTTGATAATTGTGATGGTTGAGAAACAACTGTACACTTTAGAAGGGTGAATTTTATGGTATGTGAGTTATATCTCAATTAATTTTTTACAAAATATTGTCTTTAAAAAATTAACCATTAAGTGAAAAGTGATCCACATTCAAAAATGTAATTGACTTGGTGCAATTTTTAGAAATTTAACTAGAAATTCAAAAAGCTCAATGTCATCTATTATTTTATCAACTTTCTCTCTTTTGATTACAGTTATTTAACATATTCTTCAATATAATGATTCTTACATTTTAGAGCTTTTATATACGTTATGACGTGGCTAATCACAGCAGCAAATGTAGACCATTCATTTTCTACTCTAAATAATCAAATGTCACTATTGAGCCAAGATTGGTAATCAAATTGCTGAAATTTGAAGAACTCAATGGGATTGTGAAACAACATTTGAGCAACTGATGTTTTTGGCATGATCCATAAAAGAAAGAAATAATTGATAAGCTAGACATCATTAAAATTAAAAATTTCTGCCCTGTCTGCAAAAGACATTGCCAAGAGAATGAAAATACACACCACAGATACAGAAAACATTTGTATAATACTATGTATCCACCTTTATAGTATCATACAGACAAGGTTTCCTGCCTGAAAAAAATTTCTGTGCTCTTCCTATTTATCCCTCTCTCCTTCCCAACCCCTGGCAACCACTGATATCTTTATCATCTCCAAAGTTTTAACTTTGCAGAATGTCATATAGTTCAAATCCTACAGTATGCAGCCTTTTCAGATTGGTTTTGTCCACTTAATGTGTGTTTAAGTTTCCTTCACACCTTTTCATGGCTTGATAACTCATTTCTTTTTAGTGCTGAATTATATCTAATTGTCAGGATTAACTACAGTTTATTTATCCATTCACCTACTGAAAAACATCTCAGTTGCCTCCAAGTTTTGGCAATTATGTATAAAGCTGCTTCAAACATCTGCGTGCAGGTTTTTGTGGGGAACATGTTTTCACCTCCTTTGGGTAAATGCCATGGAGCATGATTGTTGGATCATATAGAATGCATATACTATTTAGTTTTGTAAGAAACTGCAAAACTGTCTTACAAATTTTCTGTGCCATTTTGCATTTGCACCACTAATGAATGAGAATTCCAGTAGCTCCACATTCTTATCAGCATTTGGCATTGTCAATGTTTTTTGATTTTGGACATTTTAATAAGTGTGTAGTGGAATCTTGTTGCTTTAATTTGCATTTCTCTAATGACATATGATATGAAGCATCTTTTTATAAGTTTATTTGCCATCTCCGTATCTTCTTCAGTGAGCTATCTTTCAAGGTCTTTGACCCATTTTTAAAAAGTGTGTTGTTTTCTTATTGAGTTTTAAGGGTTCTTTATGTATTTTGAATAACAGAATAACAGCTTTATATATTTTGAAGAACAGTTTTTTGTTTGTTTGTTTTTGAGACTAAGTCTTGCTTTGTCACTCGGGCTGGAGTGCAGTGGCACAATCTCAGCTGAATGCAACCTCCACCTCCTGGGTTCAAATGATTCTCCTGCCTCAGCCTCTTCAGTAGCTGGGATTACAGGCTTGTACCACCACACCCTGTTAATTTCTGTATTTTTTAGTAGAGACGAGGTTTTGCCATGTTGGCCAGGCTGGTATGGAACTCTTGACTTCAGGTGATCTGCCTGCCTCGGCATCCCAAAGTACTGGGATTACAGGTGTGAGCCACTACGCACAGCCTGAATAACAGTTCTTTATGAAGTGCATCTTTTGGAAACATTTTCTCCCAGTCTGTGGCTTGTCTTTTCATTCTCTTCCCAGTGTCTTTTGTAGACAAAATAGAATTTTTTAAATTTTAATACAGTTCAGCTTATTCTACCATTGATCATGCCTTTGGTGCTATATCTAAAAAGTTATTGCCAATCCCTAAACCACTTAGTTTTTCTTTTATGTTATCTTCTAGATGATTTATAGTTGTATATTTTACATTTAGGTTTATGATCCATTTTGAATTAATATTTGTGAAGGGCATAAGGTCCATGTTTGGATTTATTTTTTGTGTGTAGATGTCCAGTTATTCCAGTACCATTTGTTGAAAAAAAAAAAACACATCTTTTCTCCACTGTAATACTTTAGCCTCTTTGTCAAGGATCAGTTGACTATATTTTTGTGAGTTTATTTCTCAGCTGTCTATTCTGCTTCATTGACCTGGGTGTCTATACTCTCACCAGTATCATGCTGACTTGATTATTAAAGCTTTATAGTAAATCTTGAAGTCAGGTACTGTCAGTCCTCCAACTTTAATCTTCTCCTTTAATGTCATGTTGGATATTCTGGTACTTGTCTCTTCATATGAACTTTAAAATTAGTTTGTCAATTTCCACAAAATAACTGGGATTTTGGTTGGAATTCCACTGTATTTATAGATAAATTTGGGAAGAACTGACATCTTGACAATACTGAGTCTTCCTATTTATGAACATGAAATATCTATTTGTTTGTTTAGTTCTTCTTTGATACCAGGCATATTTTGACCATGAAAAAAATCTTAATTTTATAAAGCTGTCTTACCAGTCAAGACTTAGCTTTATAAGAAGAAAATAAATTTTTCACGTTTAAGCCACTATCATTAGGTCATAAGGACTTGCAGCCAAAAATACAAAAAATTCTAACTGATTTACTTCCACTGTACCATCTCCTAGTTATCTCTGTTATCTTTAACATTTTAGCCATGCAATTCTTTTATTTGATTATGTTCAAAGTGTCTAAGTTATGTAATAAAATTTATTTTCTCTAAGTAAGAGTCTAGTTTTGAATACCTTAAAAGCTGCAGATGTAGTCATGTGAGAAAATAAATATTATGGATGCTTCAACATGTTATCCACTACAAACAGGTAATAGATGTATTTTATATGTACTAATAATGCTCAGCTAAGACTCCAGACTACAGCAGGACTACCATATTAATTTAACTATGCTCAGCTTGAGAAAGGGCCCACCCATAAAATTGTAACTCTCCTAAATAAATGTTAGACATTTGTATGCATGCTATGATCTAATTAACTTCAGATGCATATGCTCAAAATTGGCACAATAAGAAAGATATCATAGCCACAGATATTTTTAATTATGAGAACTTAACAGTTATCATGAGAAATGGCCCAGTTCCATAGGGAAGGTCTTAATCAAGAATTTAGAAAGTTTATAATAATTGCAATTTTATAATTCAATATGATAACCTGAATTAAGTTTTATGACTCTAGAATATCAAATTCAATTTAGAAATTAATGTATAGTGGTTAAGTAAAGCAAAGTGACACACTTTCATTAAAATTAAAATAATACCTATATACTAATGTTACAACCATGGGAATGTTTATAGCCTACTTACAACTGTATGATAGTAACATATATCTCAATCTAAAATTATTATATTCATTATAAAAGAGTTAAAAAATACAGACAATTAAAGAAAATTGTTATTGTGTATATGCATTTGTTTGTGTGGGTTGTGTTTGAATACACACTCACACAAAAATTGAAAGTGTCCATTGCTCTGAAAATGACAATCGAATTTAGTAAACATTTTCATGTAGGGCTATCACTCCTTTTTCTTTTTGTTTGTTCCATTTTTTTCTTTGTTCAGATTTATTTTTCTTTGGTTTATTTTAGCATGTTCATACTAAATATTACAATAAATTACTTATGACATTTATAATCATTGAAATAAATCTATGAAATCCTTTATATATCTCTGAAAATCTTTTCCTGACACAAGGGGGAAAATTAAACTCCTGCAAAAAGAACAGTTTTGAAACTACCAAGTGCAGTAATTATTTCATTGTAACATAATAGAAATTAGGTATTTGACAGCTTCTTTGATGAATTTCAGTTGCCAATGACAATCTGCAGAATTGTAAACATATAGCACTTATGCAATTTCTCTGATGCCCTTTGCTTGCTAAACCACAAAGGAAGTTAATATTTAGAACAAACGAGTCTTTAAACTATACCCTTCAATTCAACACAAAGAGATATTTCAACACAAAAAAAGCACACACTGGGGCAGAGGAAGTGTTTTATTGTTTATTTTTCTTTTATTTTTTACCTCAAAAAAATTCTTTTTTTGATGCAATTTAGAACATCTTAATGAGACCTTAAAATTGGTTAAAATTTGTTAGCAGGACATACAAAAGGATTAATCATTAAATTTAATAATTTACATTTATCAAGAAATACCACTAAGAGAGCAAACATCACCTGCAGATTGACCGAAATTCATATACAACACATATCACACGCCAAAGTCTTGTATAAAGAATAGAAAAATAGAAAAAAAATACAGAAAAATGCAAACAACACAATAGATAAAAAAATTGAAAATAATATTGAGAAGTCATTTCATACAAATAAAAAGACTATCAAACAATGAATAAACATTCTGAGAGGAAGTTCAGTTTCTTTATCTGATAAACCACTGTGAAATACCATTAAACACACACACACACGGTAATGTTTACAATTAAAAAGAGAGAAAAGGCTAAATGCTGGCAAGGATATAGAGCAACAGGAATTTAATTATATGTGTTTTTTATTAGTGTAACTCAACATAATCACTTTGAAAACACTGTTGGCACTATACACTAAAATTGAACTAAAATATATCCTATCACCAACAATTATCCTCCTGGGTATTAATGTGGATGACCTTTGACAGCAAATATTCCTAAGAAAAAATTTGTATTTTAAAATGGTTTTTATAGCTTAGAACTCATACATACTCCTGTACCTATGACAAAACTATAGTTCTATATCCTTATTTTGTATCTAACAACAACACCTACAGCAAAACTTTAAAACAATCATGACTGAATCTTTAAAAAATAGAAAAAAAATGGAAATTTTATATATATGCTTAGAGAAAAACATATACAAGAATATACATAGCAGCATTATTTATAATAGCCTAAAACAGAAAACAACACTGTATTAGTCTGTTCTCACACCGCTAATAAAGACATATCCAAGACTAGGTAATTTAGAAAGGAAAGAGGTTTAATTGACTCACAGTTCAGCATGGCTGGGGAGACCTCAGGAAACTTACAGTCATGGTGGATGGGGAAGCAAACACATCCTTCTTGACATGGCAGCATTAAGGAGAAGAATGAGAGTGAAGCAAAGGGAGAAACCCCTTATAAAACCATTAGATCTTGTGAGAACTTACTATCATGAGAATAGCATGGGGGAAACCGACCCTATGATTCAACTACCTCGCACCAGGTCCCTCCCATGACATGTGGAGATTATGGAAACTACAATTCAAGATCAGACTTGGGTTGGGACACAGCCAAATCATATAATTTCACCCCTGGCCCCTCCCAAATCTCATGTCCTCACATTTCAAAACACAATCATGCTCTTCCAACAGTCCCCCAAGTATTAACTAATCTCAGAATTAACTCAAAAGTCCAAGTCCAAAGTCTCATCTGAGATAAGCCAACTCCCTTCCACCTATGAGCCTGTAAAATCAAAAGCCATGTTAGTTACTTCCTAGATACAATGGGAGTACAGGCATTGGGTAAATATTCTCATTCCAACCGGAAGAAATTGGCCAAGACAAAGGAGAACAGGCCCCAAGCAAGTCTGAAATCCAATATGTCAGTCAGTAAACACTTAAAGTTTCAAAATGATCTCCTTTGACCCCATGTCTCACATCCAGGTCATGCTGATGCAAGAAGTGGGCTCCCATGGCATTGGGCAGCTCCACCCTTGTAGCTTTGCAGGGTACAGCCCTCCTCCTGGCTGCTTTCATGAACTGGCATTGTCTGCGGCTTTTCTAGGTGCATGTTGCAAGCTGTCAGTGGATCTACCATTCTAGGGTCTGGAAGACAGTGGCCCTCTTCTCATAGCTCCACTAGGCAGTGCCCCAGTGGGGACTTTGTGTGAGGGCTCCAACCCCACATTTTCCTTCTGCACTTCCCTAGCAGAATTTCTTCATCAGGGCTCTGCTCCTGCAGCAAACATCTGACTGGACATTCAAGCATTTCCATACACCCTCTGAAATCTTGGCAGAGGTTCCCAAACCTCAATTCTTGACTACTGTGCACCCACAGACTCAACACCATGTGGAAGCTGCCAAGGCTTGGGGCTTGCCACTCCCTGAAACAACAGCCTGAGGTAGACCTTGACCCCTTTTAGCCAGAGCTGGAGTGGCTGGGACACATGGCACCAAGTCCCTAGGCTGTACACAGCAGCGGGGGCCACATCTCTCCCCACACAACCTTTTTTTCCTCCTAGGCCTTTGGGCATGTGATGGGAGGGGCTGCCATGAAAGTCTCTGACAGGCCCTGGAGACATTTTCCCCATTGCCTTGGTGATTAACATTGGGCCCCTTGTTACTTATGCAAATTTCTGCAGCTGGCTTGAATTTCTCCCTAGAAAATGGGCTTTTCTTTTATGTCACATTTTTAGACTGCAAATTTTCCAAACTTTTGTGCTCTGCTTCCTGTTGAATGCTTTGCTGCTTAGAAATTTCTTCCAACAGATACTGTGAATCATCTCTCTCAAGTTCAAAGTTCCACAGATCTCTAGGGCAGAGACAAAATGTGGCCAGTCTCTTTGCATAGCAAGAGTGACCTTTACTCTAGTCCCCAACAAGCTCCTCATCTCTGTCTGAGACCACCTCAGCCTGGACTTCATTGTTCATCTCACTATCAGTATTTTGGTCAAATCCATTCAACAAGTCTCTAGGAAGTTCCAAGCTTTCCCACATGTTCCTGTTTTCTGAACCCTCAAAGTATCTAGAAAGTTCCAAACTTTCCCACAATTTCCTGTCTTCTTCTGAGCCCTCCACACTGTTTCAGCTTCTGCATGTTACCCAGTTCCAAAGTCACTTCCACATTTTTGGGTATCTTTAGAGCAGCACCCCACTCCCTGCAGTATCAATTTACTGTATTAGTTCATCCACATGCTGCAAATAAAGGCACACCCAAGACTGGGTAATTTACAAAGGAAAGAGGTTTAATTGACTCACAATTCAGCATGGCTGGGGAAGTCTTAGGAAGCTTACAACCATGGTGGAAGGGGAAGCAAACACGTCCTTCATCACATGGGAGCAGCAAGAAGAAGAATGAGAGCTGAGCAAAAGGAGAAGACCCTCATAAAATCATCAGATCTTGTGAGAACTTACTATCAAGAGAATAGCATGAAGCAAACTGCCTCAGTGATTCTATCACCTCCTGCTGGGTCCCTCTCATGACAGGTGGGATTATGGGAACTACGATTCAAGAGGAGATTTGGGTGGAGATAGAGCCAAACCATAACAAACACAAACGTCTATTGATAGAATATATAAATTATGGCATATTCATATAACGGAATCATATACAACCATAAAAACAAACAAATTCATGCCACATACAAATGCTATGTGGATTATCATAGAAGTCTCATAAGTGAAAGAAACTAGATACAAAAGAGTATATACAATCTATGCTAATTCCATTTTTGCAGAGTTTAAACTCAGACAAAACTAATCCATGATAATTGAACGTTAGGAGTTTGGGATGGAGAAAAGTTGTAATTATGGAGATAAACAAGAAGAGGACTTATGGCTTCCTAATAAAGTTTCTTTTTTAAAAATATTAAGTGGTAATTACATGTCAATTTTTATTTTGTGATAATTTTTGAGCTGTACACTTATGAAATTGCACTTTGTATGTTATACTTCAATACACATTTTAAATTAAAAATGAAGTTGTAATGTCATAATCATAGCATTGATATAGATATTTATTTTCCATAATATGTATATTTAATGCAAGTGTGCATTTATATATATATACACACACACATATGCTAAATTGAGAGTCAGAGTTATTTTACAATTTATTTATCAGGTGGTTAGTAAATATGTTAAAAATAAAACAATTCAAATTTGTGTGCATGTGTATAAGTCATATTTTCTTAAGTTTTTTTTTAGTTTTTGTGGGTACAGAGTAGGTA
Organism: Homo sapiens; assembly: GCF_000001405.40. Lineage (NCBI taxonomy): Eukaryota > Metazoa > Chordata > Mammalia > Primates > Hominidae > Homo > Homo sapiens. The sequence continues at coordinate 106,771,789 of NC_000004.12, read as the reverse complement.
TATATATTTATGGAGCATATGAGATATTTTGATACAGACATGTACTATGTAATAATCACATAATGGATAGCAGGGTGTTCATCCCTCAAGCATTTATCTTTTGTTTTACAAACAATCCAATTATACTCATTTAGTTATTTTTAAATATACGATTAAATTATTATTGACTAGTCACCCTGTTGTGCTATCAAATATTATGTCTTATTTATTCATTCCAACTATTTTTTGTACGCATTAACCATCTCCACATATCCCTCACCCCTCCACCACCCTTCACACCCTCTGGGAACCATCGTTCTACTATCTCCATTGGTTCAATTGTTTTGATTTTTAGATTCCACGAATAAGTAAAAACATGCAATGTTTGTCCTTCTGTGCCTGGCTTATTTCACTTATCATAATGATCTCCAGTTCTATGCATATTGTTGCAAATGTCTGAATCTCCTTTCTATAGCTGAATAGTACTCCATTGTGTATAAGTACCACATTTTCTTTATCCATTCATCTGTTGATGGAAACAGGTTGTTTCTGAATTTTGGCCATTGTGAACAGAGCTGCAACAAACATGGGAGTGCAGGTATCTCTTCAATATATTGATTTCCTTTCTTTTGGGCATATACCCAGCCGTGGGATTGCTGGATCATATGGTAGCTCTATTTATAGTTTTCTGAGGAACCTTCAAACTGTTCTCCACAGGGGTTATACTAATTTATAACCCACCAACACTGTACGAGAGTTGCCTTTTCTCCACATCCTCACCAGCATTTGCTATTGCCTCTCTTTTGAATACAAGCCATTTTAACTGGGGTGAGATGATATCTCATTGTAGTTTTGAGTTGCATTTCTCTGATGATCAATGATGTTGAGTACCTTTTCATATGTCTGTTTGCCATTTGTATGTCTTCGAGACATGTCTTCAAATATTTTGCCCATTTTAAAAATAGCATTATTCTATCTTTTTCCTAGAGAGTTGTTTGAGCTCCTTATATATAATCCCTATTTAGATGAGTAGTTTGCAAATATCTTCTCCTATTCTGTGGGTTGTCTCTTCACTTTGTTGATTTTTTGTTGTTGTTGTTGCTGTACAAAATATTTTTAACTTGGTATGATCCCATTTTTCCATTTTTTGCTTTGGTTGCCTGTGATTGTGGGGTATTAGTCAAGAAATCTTTGCTCAGACTGATGTCCTGGAGCGTTTCCCCAATGTTTTCTCATAGTAGTTTCCTGAGTTTGAGGTCTACTATTGCTTTCACTGTGTCCCATATATTTTGTTATATTGTGTTTCAACTTTTAAGAACAATTTCAATTTCTTTCTTAATTTCTTCATTGGCCTGCCAGTCATTTAAGAGCATATTGTTTAGTTTCCATGTATTTGTAGAGTTTGCAAAATTCCTTTTGCTATTTATTTCTAGTTTTATTCCACTGGGATCAGAGGAGATGCTATACATAATTTTTTTGGATCTTTTAGAATTTATTTTGAGAACCAACATATGGTCCATCCTTGAGAACAATCCATGTACTGAGGAAAAAATGTGTATTATACAGCCATTGGATGAAATGTTCTGTAAATACCTGTTAGAATCATTTGGTCTATAGTGCAGATAAAGTCTTATGTTTCTTGGTTGATTTTGTGTGAAAGATCTGCTCAGTGTTGAAAGTGGGGTGTTGAAATATCCAGCTGTTACTGTGTTGAAGTCTGTCTCTCTCTTTAGCTCTAAAAATGTTCACTTTATATATGTGTATGCTTCAATGTTGGGTGCATATTTGTTTAGAATTTGTATGGCCTCTTGCTGAATTGACCCCTTTGTTATTATTTAGACCTTTCTGTATCCCTCTTAGACTTTTGGCATTGAAATCTATTTTTCTGATACAAGTAAAGTGGCTCCTACTCTTTTCTGGTTTCCATTGGCATGGAATATATTTTTCCTTCCCTTTGTTTTCAGTCTATGTGTGTCTTTATAGGTGAAGTGTGTTTCTTGTAGGCAACAGATTAATGGGTCTTGCTTTTTAATCCATTTATCTACTCTATGTCTTTTGACTGCAGAGTTTAGTTCATTTATAAAGTTATTGTTGATAAACAAGGACTTACTCCTTCCATTTTATTTGTTTTCTGTGTTTGTGTGTGTGTGTGTGCGTGCACGCACGTGTGTGTGTGTGGTCTTCTCATCCTTCTCTCTTTCCTTCCTCTCTTCCTTTGAGTGAAGGTGACTTTCTTTCTCACTAATTACTTCTTCTACTTGACCAATTCTGCTATTAAAAGACTCTGATGCATTCTTCAATACGTCCATTGAATTTTAAACTCCAGAACTTCTGCTTAATTCTTTTTAATGATTTCAATCTCTTTTTTATCTGGTAGAATTCTTAATTCCATCTCTGTATTATCTTGAATTTCCTGGAGTTTCCCCAAAAACTATTTTGAATTATCCGTGTGAAAGATCACATATTTCTGTTTCTCCAGGATTGGTCCCTGGAGGTTTATGTAGTTCATTTTGTAATGTCATGTTAACTTGGATCATCTTGATACTTGTAGATGTTCATCTGTGTCTGGGCATTGAAAACTTAGATATTTATTATAGTCTTCGCAGTCTGGGCTTGTTTTTACCTTGTTTTTCCTTCTTGGGAAGGCTTTCTAAATATTCCAAAAGACTTGGCTGTTGTGATCTCAGCTTTATCTGTTTTAGGGGGAACCCCAAACCCAGTAGTGTTGTAGTTCTTGCAGACTCATACAGGTACCACCCTGATGGTCTTGGACAACATTCAGAAGAATTTTTGGATTATGAGGCAGAGACTTTTGTCCTATTCCTTTACTTTTTTCCCAAACAAAAGGAATCTCTCTCTGCTCTGAGTAACCAGAAGCTGGGGGTGAAATGAAAGAAACACCCCAGTGGCCACCACCACTATGACTCTGCTGCGTCAGACCTGAAGCCAGTATAGCACTGGATCTCACCCAAGGCCTGCTGTAACCCCTCCCTGGCTACCATCTATGTTCACTCAAAGCCCTGGAGCTCTAAAATCACCAGGTGCAAAGCCAGATAGTTCTGTGTCCTTCCCTTCAGTGCAGTGAGTTCCCTCAGTCCCCCTGGCAGGTCCAGAGGTGCTATCTGGGACCCAGGGACTAAAGTCAAAAACCTTACATGTCCACCTGGTATTCTACTGTACTTCAGCTGTGTTAGCACTCAAACCATAAGATACAGTTCTTCCCACTCTTACCTCTCCTTTCCAAAGGCAGAAGAGCCTTACTGTGTAGCCACCATCACCTTGGGCTTAATACTACCAGACTACCACCAATATTCCCATAAGGCTCAAGGGCTCTTCAGTTAGTGTGTGGTGAATGCTGCCTGACCTGGGACTCACCCTTCAAAGGAATGGACTCCCCTTTGGACCAGAACATGCCCAGAAATGCTGTTCATGAGCCAAGTCCTGGAATTGGGGACCCTAAGAGCCCATTGGTGTTCTATCCTCTGTAGCTGAGCTGGTACCTATGGTGCAAGACAAAGTCTCCTTTACTTTTCCCTTCACTTTTCTCAAGCAGGAGGAGTATTGCCTCATGGTCACAACAGCTGGGAATGTGCTGAGCCTCACCCGAGGCCATCAGGTCTCAGAGCCTCACCCAAGGTCATTGACATACTATCTGGGTATCACTGCTAGTTACTCAGCGTCCACAGGCTTTTCAGTTAGCTGGTAATGAATCCTTCCAGGACTGGGTCCTTCCCTTCAAGGCAGTGGGATCCCTTCTGGCTCAGGATATGTCTAGAAATGTCCAAGAGCTAAGGCCTGGAAAGGGAGCCTCAGGACTCTGACTGGTGGCTTATCTTGCTGTGGCTGAGCTGGTATCCAAGATGCAAGACAAAGTCCTCTCCACTCTTTTGTCTCTTCTTCTCAAGCAGAAGGAAGGGATTTCTTTTGGAGCTGTGAGCTGTGCAGCCTGGGGTAAGGGGCTGCCCCAGGTTGTGTCTTAGTAGGTTGTATCCCCCCTACCTTCCAAGTCCACAATCTCTAGGCCCAGTTCAGCCCTAGGATTTGACTAGATGTTGCAGTCTTTATGGCCTGCACTGCCTTTCAGGTTTATTTGGGGCCTCAGAGAACTTTAGCTCGCAGTGGCAAGGCTTACAAGAACTCACACTTTATGACTGGAATTGGCCATTCCCCTCTGGTTTAAATGCACCCTCTGTGGGTGGGTATCAGCTGAGTTTAGTCCAGTTTTGCAAAATTTCTGCTATAACAAAGGTAGCACTGAGTTCAATGCCTCACAATTGCTGTCTCTCCTTCTCTCCAGGCACAGAAATGCTCTCCACACCACATAGCTGCTGTGGGGAATTGAGGGAGGGGTGTTGTCAGTGAGTCAAGAGTGTTTTTCCTACCTTTTTGGTGCCTCTTTCAGCAATATGAAGTTAAAACTTGGTACTATGAGTGCTCAACTAATTTTTGATTCTTACAAAGGTGCACTTTTTGTATGTAGAATGTTAAATTGGTGTCCTTGGTGGGGAAGGTGACAATCAGTGGAGCTTTCTATTCCATTTCTATGCCATTTTTCTCCACTCCCAGGTTCCAATAATTCCAATTTTTAAATTCCTGTATTTGGATGTGCATATGCGCATGACAGAGGGGGAGGAATGGATGTTGTTTTCTAGCAACAGTTGTTAGAAAAACATAGAATATAATACTACTAGTGAAATTTTTCAGGAGAACACTTTGTGATAAGATTAAATTTGATTATCAATAACTCTCTTCAATAAAATTAATATGGAATGTAACACTTTAAGGAAACAAAAGATATAAGTTAAATTGATAAACCTAGAAAATTTGAAAAATATAAAAATAAGGAGAATCACAGAACTTGATCTCACTCAGTTCAATCCTTTCATTACACAAATAAAGCAACAGATCTAGATAATATAAATTAATAACCAGCTTGTTAATGCAAAGTTAGGGATTCTGATACCCCTGACATGTAGAGCACTGTTTTTTTCCTATTCATCAATGAGCCTCTCAACATGCATGTATTGTAATGTGTCTGTGGTTAGAATACAAATTTTAGACCTAAATTCCAATGAGCCTCTATTTAAGTTCACATAGTTTCAATTCCATTCCCCTGCCTCCCAAAATTCTTCAAATGGCTGTGGTACTCTCAGCCTAATCCAATATTATGTTTCTCTATATGATGAATTGCCATATTGACTATGAGTCTGTTAAAAAAAAATACATTTTTAATAAAGCAACAACTCATACTAAAGTATAATTTTAAACACATCTTTTCATGGTAATTGGAAATTAATGCCCCGAAACACAACTGCCATGAGGACACCCACTGAATTACTAAAGCCAAGCTTCTTAAAAAGGAAAAACCAGGAGTAATGGTTATCTCTTTAAAATTTTGTTTTAAAAAGATTAAATGATGAAATATATTGCAATTATCAGTGATTACTAGTAATCTGCTACAGTTTTTCAAAAATAAATCATTGCTTCTTTGGTTTTAATTATTTCTCTCTATGGCAAAAAATAATTTTATTATATTATTTATTTATTTATTTTGGAGACAGAATTTCGCTCTTGTTGCCCAGGCTGGAGTGCAATGGCACGATCTTGGCTCACTGCAACCTCCCTTTCCTGGGTTCAAGCAGTTCTCTGTCCTTAGCCTCCCGAGTAGCTGGGATTACAGGCGCTCGCCACCATGCCCAGCTAATTTTTTTTATTTTTAGTAGAGACGGGGATTTACTATGTTGGCCAGACTGGTCTCGAACTCCTGACCTCAGGCGATCCACCGGCCTCGGGCTCCCAAAATACTGGGATTACAGGCGTGAGCCACCATGCCCGGCCAAAAATACAAATTTTATTGTAGTGTCAGATGCAACTTCAACCCTTATCACGTATCATAAGGGTTACTAATGACTTTATGTCATACAGGTGGCTCACAACTACCTATCTCTTTTTTTCAGTTCCTTTATTCAATAAATATTAATGGGTAACTATGATATACAAATCAGTGTGCCATTTTTTTAAAGGAGCATTAATTAACTCTTCCAAAAGATATCTCAGCTGCTTTTTTAGGAGTTCACAATTCCTTAAGCTCATGGTACACATTGTCTTTCAACAAGACTCCAAAAATTATGGCATGTAAATGATGAGGTTTTCAAAAATTTTGAATCATCTATCTTTTCATACCACTGCTCCAGATAGACACCAGTGTTGTGGAAACACCCTTGTCCTATCAAATAACTTTAAATTTAATTTAAATAAATGTTCATATCAAATGACTACTGCAACTGAGGCAATGTCAGGTATTCACATTGGAATGTGATTTTTTTTTTTCTATACAGGAGTCCCCCTTATCCCTGGAGATATATTTCAAGACCCTCAGTGGTTGCCTAAAACTGCAGATAGTACCAAACCTAATTTCCATCAATTGGATCATGTTTCTGTTCACATCTTCCACCACAAATATAATGCCTTTTCCATCTTAACTAAGAATTTATCATACACTGTGGCTATAATTTTTGCAGTATGAGGTGTGACAGCAAAACTAGCATAGATTTTGCTTTTCCTTCACAATTTTGCAGTTAGATTTGTTTTTACTGCAGATCTTAGCAACTTAACCATATAATTTTTTTCCTTATTAAGTTGAGAACTTTCACCTTTTCACTTAAAGGAAGCATTTTACAGCTTCTCCTTGGAATATCCAAATTGCTAGCACCACTACTCTTGTACTTTAGGATTATTTCATTCAGGAAAATAAGGGTTACTTATCACAAGCACTGCAATACCCTGACAGTCTGATAACAGACAACTACGGAGTGACTGGTGTGGATATCCCGGACAAAGGGATGATTTGCGTCCTGGGCAGGACAAAGTGTATGGCACTACTCGCAATGACATGCAATGTGAAACTGATGGTTTATTTCTGGAATTTTCCATTTAATATTTTGAACTGCAGTTGACTGTGGATAACTAAAGCCATGGAAAGTGAAACAGTGGATAAGGAGGGACTACTGTACATTTTTTATTCTATTATTCAGCTTACATGGGCCTTGTGAAAATTTTGAATTTATGATCTATGTTAAGTATTTTCTTGAAGTATTGTTGAAGCCATATTCATTTGTATTCTGTTCTTTCTAATCCTGCAGAAATATTAAAATGTGAAGTTAATTTCTTTAAAGCATTTTAAACATATTTCTTTTCCAATAGCAATAAGTTCTGGCTCTTGAATGTATTCTGCTGAGATTTTCCATGCCTGAAGTGAAATTATTGAACTCAAAGTACATGGAATAAATATTGCAGTTAAACTCACTATAGGCAACATATTAGATCCATAAAATCCCACTGTATCTCAGGTGACCCAATATTAAAGGTATTGAAACAGACATCATGGCTGTTTTCAACTGCAGAGAGAACAATTCTCAGTGGTATTTCATCAATTGAATGCTTATCTTATGAACTGGTAAAGGGCTCATGCCTAAATTTTAGTCATATGCTGTGCATACACAGCCTTAGAAATTTCAAGGAGTCCTGCTTTCTTCTTTGATTTTTAAAAACTCCATCATTTTATTATTCCAAATTATATTTCAAGAAACATATTTGCAAATGGCGGGCATTTGAAAGTGATTTCTTAAATCAGTAACTTTGTGGTTTGGGGATATTTATTATAATGTACCCTTGTGAGCATATGCAGACAGATGCATTAGTGTCAGGATGTGGGTTTTCACAGAGTGCAGTGTTTCCCAACTTTCATATTTATAAATATATATATTTTTGAAATATAACAGGTATTCAAATTTGAAAATGTGACCCATACTTATTTAACATTGACAAAAGTGTTGTTGCTATTTACGTTTCATAATAGATTTTAAACCACTGAGGAAAATACCAAATGAAAAGGTTTCTTTTATTGAAAACATCTATAACAGACTCAAAATTATTTCAAAGATTCATGGAAAGTTCTAGAAGACAAGCTAATGATTGAAATGGTAAAGAATTTATAGGATTTATATATCAAAGTTTTAAGATAAGCAGATATTTTCACTTTCTACATTTGATTTGCATGGGCATAGTGTAAAAAGAATGTGTTTCTGGGCATTTTAATACATGTATTATGAAGTTGTTCAGAAGCTGTCACAGACATATTCATATCTTAATTGAAAATAAAGGAAAAATCTATAATGGACAATGTATAATAGAAAGAGTATGGGGGAGAGGGGTAAAATACATAAGACCTGACAAATCAATAACACTTTCAAGCCCCAGTTTCCTAATTTATAAAATTAGGAATATAAATATCTGTGATAGCCTCCTCACAAGGTACTTACTGTGAAGGCTAATGTGTCCATACAATACAAAAGCACTTGATAAACTGTAGAGTGCATTAAACCTGAGATTCGAAGGCATCTGTTCAATTACATGAGCAAGGCTTCAGCCCATAAGTAAATAAACAGCTTGTGTGACATCTTCCTTGGCAACAAAATTTCTCCCCTAGGACTCTCCCTAGTGGCTCAATTCCAGGACACTGAGCAGAACTCTATGGGAAAATGCAGAACCAAATTTGGCCTGTTCCAAGGGCAGTGAGAGTCTTCGTGGCACAGCAGGCTTTTAGAGGAAAGCCTGCATTGGTGTCCTGGGGAAAGCAAAGCCATGATCCAAAGAACAATCAAGACTCCACATGCTCCAATAAACCACAATTGGGGAAGAAATGCTCATCGACCAGATTAGTACTGAGCTATTGAGAAACATACACACCTCACCTCTTTCTCTGCTTTCTCTCATAAATTGTTGTGCCTACTAGCACTAATGTTTTCCCTTGTTTTTTTTTTTTTTTCCTTCTTTTTTCTCATTTACTCTAAGTGCAGACAGCTTAGCAAAACTGCAGATGTTAGCCAAAAAAGTTACTTCATTTCAGAACCAGGGTTATAGTTTTTAAATTAATATTCACTTTGGCCCATATTTCACTGTTGTTTATATTTTTCTCCAACAATATAAGTCATACTTGAAAAGAATCATTTACAAAGCAGCACAGGACGCTGGCTTCCAAAAATAATGGAAATAAAACCTGACATCCACAATAATCAGATATGCCACGTGAAGGACTCTAGTACAGCCTCTCAGAGTTAATTCCTAAGAGCTTCTTTATAAAATGTACTGACATAAATGCATATTGAAAGCTGAAGGTTTTTTTAACTTCCCATTTTTCATACTTTATCTTTTTGAAAGATTGGTCCACAAGTGGGGCTTTATAAGAAATTTAGGAAGAAGGTTGAAATCTACAAGGCATTTACCTACAGAGCTTGATGACTGAGATCATTAATTTGAAAACCATTGATTTATTATAAAATATGCAAATGTGACAGAGTTCCAGAAGTTTCAGAACACCTGTTTTTTGTGTGGTACCCACTGAAGAATGTTAACCTTGGCAATAAAAGAACACATTATGGAGATTCTTCATAATAGATATCCTGATTTCAAAACACTGTCAAGCCTGTCAAGCAAATGTGTAAAAAGAGATTATAACCACAGAATGTCTATAGCATTAAAATGATTAGATTGCTTTTTATGTCAACTATCAGTAAAATAGACAAAAATAGTTTTCTTGATGTTATCATGGGTAATTTCACCTTATTTGTTTAAAGAAACAGTTAAATTGGACCACAGAGATGTAAAAGTCACATATAGATATTAAGTATTTCAAATGCTTTATTTTGCCTTGCTGTGTGGTTCTAGGCATTCTTCTAAATTTCCACTTCTCAACACCTCCTTTCTGACCACATCTTTCTCTAATTATCTTGACTTCTCTCCCAATTTTCAATGACCTCTTATCGGCTATCAATTTAAGTCTACAGATGTAAACGTATAGTCAGCTTTGCCTGCCTGGATGATAGATGAGGCCCTCCATAGAAGTTACCAAACCCTCAGCTGAGTTCTAGATCATTCCCATGGACACTTCTTCCTTCATGTCTGCATATAAATTTGTAAGAGGAAAAAAACACAGAAACGTGAAAATGTACCAGATGAAATCAAAATCAGTTAACTTATTATACTACATTAATTTCTTAATTTTGTATAAGGTTCTGTAAAACGTAACATTAGGGCCAAGTGGGTGAAGGGCATATAAGAATACTTTGTACTGTCTTTGTAGCTCTTCATCAAGTGCAATATTATTTCAAAATACAAAGTTTAAAAAAGTACCAGATATTGCCATTTAACACAAATTTAATATATTTTGCCAAATTCTATATACTTTTTTTCTATCAATTTCCTTAATATTTTATCACTGCCATGTTAATTTTGGCTCAGGAAGTGTATTCCCTTTGCTTAATTTTTCTCATAATTCATACTAATCTTTAAATATGTCTCCCTTCGAACATTGTTTACATTTTTTTCCTCATAGGATTTACTGCCCCAACAGAAAGTATAGGAGTTAAAAACATTAGGAATGAAAATTATTTTTTTCCAATCCAACTTCTATCTTCCATTGCAAGAAAATCTTTATCTCATTCCAATTACTTAGAAATCTTATTCTCCTGTTCTGAGATTTATACCCTGTTATCTCCTCCTTTACTAATCAAGTTTTGCAACAGCAAGTGTTTTTACTAACCTGAAACTATTTGTGTAGAATTATATATTTCTTAGAACTTTCTTCCTAATCTCGTCATCAAATTTAATGATTATTTATATATTTTCCTGTCTAGATCTATAGAGTCTGATAAAAGTAAGCATTAGCTCCATACAGCTACTGAGCAATTGAAGTGGGGCCAGGCCAAATACAGAAGTGCTATAAGTGTAAAATATATACCAGATTTCAGAGACTTAGTATGAAAAACAATATAAAATATACCATTAATAATCTGTTATATTGATTACATTTTGAAATGATAATGTGGATATATTGAGCTAAACTATTGAATTAAACTTACTTTTACCTATTTCTTTTTACATTTTTTTTTTTTTTTTTTGAGATAGAGTCTCGCTCTGTCACCAGGCTGGAGTGCAGTGACACGATCTCGGCTCACTGCAACCTCTGCCTCCCGGGTTCAAGTGATTCTCCTGCCTCAGCCTCCCGAGTAGCTGGGACTACAGGCATGCACCACCATACACAGCTAATTTTTGTATCTTTAGTAGAGATGGGGTTTCGCCATGTTGGCCAGGATGAACTCGATTTCTTGACCTCGTGATCTACCTGCCTCAGTCTCCCAAAGTGCTGGGATTACAGGCGTGAGCCACCGTGCCCGGCCTCTTTTTACATTTTTACATGGCTACTCAAATATTTAAAATTAAAAATATTGTTCGCATTATGTTTAATGGGACAGTACTCTAGATATTTATTTCCCTCCTTCACTTTCTAACCACATTAAACAGGATTAACCATCTTCTTTCCATCCTTACTGATCTTGGTTATGGATGCTCTAGAATCCTTTACTTCTTCCCCTGCTTCTTTTCTTCTTACTCTACTTCTTTGTCAACCCCTGACCATTCTCTCAACATCTGTCAAGATCAACTGCCTTGGATCTTTTGCACTATTTCTATATCTGCTTCCTTAAAGAGGTTGGGTTTGTTTATTTTGCCTTTTTTTTTAATTCCTTAGCTGTTTGCTGGTAAAGATAGCTCTCAAATTTCTGCTGTAATTTCAGTTTAGGTCTCAAATGATAACCTCATTTCCAAAAATTTCCTTAGGCAATCTCCATTAGTAAATTTTGTATGAAAACCAAACTTTCAAGTACATAATTCTGAATGTGTTAACTTTCCTAACAAGTCAAGTCAGCACTTGCTGTTTTCCAGGGCCATGACCTGTGTGTTATTTTTCTAATTTATTTTCCCTCATTTCACTAGAGTCCAGTCTTGAGTTCCTGGAACCCAGCAGATTGGACAGCTTCTTGCATATTCCATTGTATAGAGAGGAGGGTGTTCACCACATGTTTTTTAATTGACTTGAACTGATCCAAATTGATGAAGTGTTTTGTTGGTGTTCATGTTGGGGGTCTTTTATTTAAGGAAATTTTTTTTTCATTTCTTTTTTCTTTTCCTGATCAAATCAGGATTTTTTTTTGCATTGTCTTCTTAATGATTTACACATCCAGATTATTCTTTCTAATCTTCAACATATTATCACAAGGTGAATTTACAAGCCAACCTTTTTGACCAGTCTATAACTCTCTTTACGGTTTTCTAATGGTTATTTTGCATTCAAGAGATGGAATTCTGGGTTCTATTGTATATTTTACATGAACACTATTTAATTTTAATTATATTATTTATCACGTGATACTTATTTTAGCTATAATCTATCTTTGCCATTATTTCTTCTGCTTTCTCCCTATATGCTTCCCTGCACTTTTAGCTACCTGATTGGTATAAAAAAGTGTTCAGCGTATGAGATTTTAGCCTATTTGTTAATGTTTCCTGAATACTGCCAAAATATACTAGATTCCTGCATCAATTAAAAAGGACTTTGTTACTCAGGCCTTCATTTTCATTTCCATTGGTTCTCCAGGTTCTTCGAGTCCCACAGGGAAGAATGGTGCTGGTGATCCTAAATGATACCTTCACGTTCAGTAGATTGCATTACAGGAGAGGAACCCTGATCTTGGAGGATTTACTGCTTTTTTAATGAGCAGAAGTAAACCTCTCTTTGTCCAGAGAGAGATGCTATTTCATCATCTGAGGTTTGCTCTAAAGACAACGCTGAGCAAATAATTTGGGCAAAGAACAGTTAGAGCCTTTCATTCTTAAGATACTCACCAAGAATGAGCAGGAATGCTCAGTGACCATGGCAGATGGCCTCTCCCAACAATTGACCAGATGTTATTGAATTTCCTATATACTTAGCATTATATCAGCTATGTGCAATGAGAAATAAGAACCAATTTGTCTTACACTTTATATATATATATATATATATATATATATATATATATATATATATATATATATTTTAAATCTTCTTCTAAGTTTAGGCTTATTTTGCTCTTCTTTTTCTAGTTTCTTGAAATTTTCTGTTAGGCTGTTTATTTGAGATATTTATTCTTTCTTGATATAAGCATTTATTGCTATAAGCTTCCCTCTCAGGACTGCTTTTGCTGTATCTTACAAGCATCGGTATGTTGTATTTCAAATTTTGTCTCAAGATGCTTTCTAATTTCTCTTTTAACTTCTTTCTCTTTTAATGACTTCTTAGATCTATTGCTTGTTCAGGATCCTGTTGCTTAATTTACACATATTTGTGAGTTTTCCAAAATTCTTCCTGTTGTTGATTTCTAGTTTCATGCCACTCTGGTCAGAAAAGATATTTGATGTGATTACAATATTCTGAAGTTTGTTAAGACTTGTTTTGGAGCCTAACATATGATCTACCTTGGAGAATGTTTTGTGTGTACTTGAGAGCAATGTGTATTCTGTTGCTGTTAGATGAAATGTTCTATAAATATATGTTAGGTCCATTTTGTCTAAAGCATACTTCAAGTCCAAAATTTCCTTGTTGTATTTGTCTAAGTAATTTGTCCAATGTTTAAAGTGTGGTATTGAAGTCTCCTATTGTTACTTATTGCAGTCTATCTCTTCCATCAGATCTCCTAATATTTTATATTTTTAGCTACTCCAATATTGAGTGCATGTATATTTATAATTGTTAAAACTTCTTGATGAATTGACCCTGTTACCATTATATAATATACTTCCTGTTCTCTTTTTTCAGTTTTTGAAGCAAACTCTATTTTGTCGGATATAAATATAGCTCCCTCCACTGTCATTTGGTTTTCCTTTGCATAAAATGTCTTTTTCTATCCCTTTACTTTCAGTTTATATGTGTCCTTAGAGGTAAAGTCAGTCTTTCCTGCAGCATTTAGTTGGGTTTTAAAAATTAATTCAGCCTCTTAATGTCTTTGGATTGGATAATTTCATTCATTTGCATTAAAATATTATTCATAAATAAGGGCTTATTATTGCCATTTTCTTCAAGGTTTTCTGGTTAATTTGTAGATGCTTTGCTTCTCTCTTCTCTTGCTGCCTTCCTTTGAGGTTTGATAATTTTCTATGGTAGTATTTAAATCCTTTGTTTTTATCTGTTGTGTATCTACTAACTATTTTTGCTTTGTGGTTACTATGAGGTTTACATAAAATATCTTATATTTAAAACAGGCTATTTTAGGCCAATAACAACTTTTATCACTTGCACAAACTCTACACTTTTACTTCCCCCTCACAATTGGTTTTTGATGACGTTTTATATCTTTTATAGTTTGTGTCCCTAACAACTTATTGTAGCTATAGATATTTCTAATAGTTTTTCCTTTTAACTTTCATACTACAGATATAATTGATTTTCTTTCTTTCTTTCTTTTTTTTTTTTTTTTTTTTTTTGAGATGGAATCTCACTCTGTCGCCCAGTGGCTCGATCTGGGCTCACTGCAAGTTCTGCCTCCCAGGTTCACGCCAGTATCCTGCCTCAGCCTCCTGAGTAGCTGGGACTACAGGTGCCCACCACCAAGCCCGGCTAATTTTTTGTGTATTTTAGTAGAGACGGGGTTTCACCGTGTTAGCCAGGATGGCCTCGATCTCCTGACCTCGTGATCTGCCCGCCTCGGCCTCCCAAAGTGCTGGGATTACAGCCATGAGCCACCGTGCCCAGCCAATATAGCTGATTTTCATACCATCATTAAAACCTGAGTGTTCTGAGTTTGATTATATACTCACATGTACAAGTGAGTTTTAAATTTTTCTGTTTTTATGTTGCTACTTAGCAACCTTTTTGTTCAGCTTGAATAACTCCCTTTAGCAGTTTTTGTAAGGTAGGTCTAGTAAGGTAGGTCTAGTTTTTATAAGGTAGGTCAGGTTTTGTTTGCCTGAGAAAGTTATTTACCTTACTTTTCATTTTTGAAGGACAGAATTGCTGAATATATCATTCTTGGAAGGAAATAACAAAGATCAGAAGAAATAAAATAGAGACTAGAAAAATAGAAAAAATCAACAAAATGAAAGTTGGCTTGTTTTTTGAAAGATAAACAAAATCTACAAAACTTTAACAGAAAAATGAGAGAATACTCAAACAAAATCAGAAATGAAAGAGATGGCCTCACAACAGATACAACAGAAACACGAAGGTTTTTAAGATACTACTATAAACAACTATATACCAAAAAATGGATAACATAGAATAAAATGATGCATTTTAGAAACATGTACCCTACCAAGGCTGAATCCTGAAAAATAGAACATCAAAACAAACTAATAAGTAAAAAATTAAATAAGTAATAAAAAAAATCTTATCAAACAAAAGCCCAGGACCTGATGGCTTTGCTGCTGAATTCTATCAAACCGCTAAGGAAGAACTAATATCACTCTCACTAATTCTATTTAACATAGTATGGATGTCCTAGTCAGAACAATTTTGCAAGACAAAGAAATAATAGCCACCTGTATGAAGAAAGGAGGAAATAAAATTGTCTCCATCTACTGGACATATGACTCTCTCTATATATAGAAAACCATAAAGACTTCACCCAAAACTGTTTGAACTGATAAACAAATTTACTAAAGACACAGTTTACAAAATAAGCATACAAAATTAGTTTTTATACACTAACAGCAAACTACCCACCCAAAAAATTAAGAAAACAATTCTATTTACAATAGCATTAAAAATACTTACTAGTAAATTAAACCAAAGAAGTGAAAGATCTGTACACTAAAAACTATAGAACATCAATGAAAAAAAATTGAAGAAGACACAAACAGATGAAAAGATATTCCATGTTCATGGATTAGAATAATTAATATTGTCAAAATGTGTATACTATCCCAAGTGCTCTATAGAGTCAATGCAATATCCATCAAAATTCCAGTGTCACTTTTCACAGAAATAGCAAATTAATTTTAAAATTTGTAGAGAACCATAAAAGACTATGAATAGCCAAAGCCATCTTGAGCAAAAAGAACAGCTGGAGACATCACATTCCCTGATTTCAAAATGTATTATAAAGCTATTGCTATAAAAATTGCATGGTACTGACATAAAAATAAATACATCAACCAAAGAAGCATAATAGAAAGCTCAGAAATAAACCCAAGTATTTATGATCGATTGATTTTTGACAAATGTGCCAGAATATACAGTGGGGAAAGGACAGTCTTTTTAATAAATGGTGTTGGGAAAATTAGATATCCAGATGAAGAAGAATGCAATCGGGCCCTCATCTGACATGTTACAAAAATCAACTCAAAGTGGATAAAAGATTCATATGTAAGATCTCAAACTGTAAATCTAATAGAAGAAAACAGAAAATTTTCCACAACATTGGTCTGGGCAATTATTTCTGGGATAAGACACCAAAAGCACAGATAACAAAAGTATAAATAGACAAATAATACTGCATCAAACTGAAAAGACTTCTGCATACCAAAGAAACAATTACAAGCATGAAGAGACAGTTCATGAACTGGGAGAAAATATTTACAAACTATACATTTGATAAGGTGTTAATATACAAAATATATATATAACTAAAACAACTCAGGAAGAAAACAACTCAATTAAAAAATGAACAAAGAATATGGACAAACATTTCTAAAAATAAAATTATAAATGGACAGCAGATATATTAAAATCTTCAACATCTCTAATTATCAGGGAAATGCAAATTAAAACTACAATGAGAAGATATTAACCTGATTCCTTTCATCATGGCCATTATCAAAAAGAAAATGACAACACGTGTTGATGAGGATATGGAGGAAAGGGAACCCTTGTGCATTGCTGGTGGGAATGTAAATCAGTACACCCACTATGGAAAACTGTATTGAGTGTTCTCAACGAACTAAAAATAGAACTACCATATGATCCAGCTATCCCACTTCTGTGTATATATCCAAAGGAACTGAAATCAATATTGCAAATAGATATCTATACTCCCACATTCATTTCAGCATCATTCACAATAGCCAAGATATAGAATCAACCTGTGTCCATCAACAGATGAATGGATAAAGAAAATGTTATATATATACACAATGAAATACAATACTGCCTTAAGAAGGTAAGAAATTCTGTCATATGTAATAACATAGATGGAACTGGAGGACATTATGCTAAGTGAAATAAGTCAGACAAAGAAAGACAAATACCATATGAGCTCACTTACATGTGGAATCTAGAAAAGTTCAACTCATAGAAACAGAGTAGAAAGTTGGTATCAGAGGCTGAGGGTAGAAGGGACAAGATAGGGAAAGGGGTTATGTTGATCAAAGGGTATGAGGTTTTGGTTAGACTGGAGGAATATGTTTTAGTGATCTATTGTACTGCATAGTGACCCACAGTTAATAATAATGTATTATATTTGAAAAATAATTGTATATTTCAAAATTGTTTAAAAAATGGATTTTTAACGTTCTCACTACAAAAAAAAATGACAAATTGGTGAGGTGTTGGATATGTTAACTCATTTAATTGAATCTTTCTATAATATATACATAGATCAAAACACCCTATTGTACTCCATAAATAAACATAATTGTCAGAAACAAATAGGCAAATAAATATTTAAGCACTTCATTACATAGTTTACAGTTTGGTAAACACATTCATGAAATTAATAACATAACAACACAGCTTGTAATTAATATTCTTAGATTCATAAAAAAAGCAATCATTTTGAGGAGATTAGATGACATAGTTAAAAAGAACTAATAAAACACTTAAGATCTGAGGTAAAAAATAACACTGGCATAAAATATTAAGAAATAACAAATGAACCCAAAGTATATCCCTTATCCATTTGATAATTGATTTAAACATCTCTGAACTAACTCTATCTTTCTAAACACTTACTTTTACAAAATAAAATGCATGCATCTGATTACCTTCCAGATCAATAAATAGAATATGCAATTTATCCCAGAAGCCTCATGACAACTTTTGGTGAGAACTTGAAGTATCCTCTCAATTTATACAGGTCTTATTTTAATTTCTCTCACTAATGTTATGTAGGATTTTGAGATCTTACTCATTTTTTTTGTTTTATCTTTTCTTAGTTTTATATTTTTTGAAGCTATGCCATCAGGGAAAAGATTCAAAATTATGACACTTTCCAGTGGATTAGCCTTTTGTCATTAATACATGTCATTCTTTCCTAGGTCAGATTCCTTTGGGGAAGAGCACGAGCTAAAGATTCTTGTGTAAGTGATTTATTGAGTGCTCTTTAGAGAAAACTGCAAGGAAAAGAGAAGCAGGAAAGCAGAAAAGGAGGAGCCAAGCATAGGTTTGGGTTCAGCTAGAGTCTAAGCTCAGCCAGATCCCATAGGCACTTTCGATAACGAAGGGTGCTCAAACCTGACCTTACTTAAGGAATTTTGGTTTTAATATACTTATATCTGTCAATTATTGGCTGCATTTTTTAAGAGAGTAAATTTCATGTTACATGTTTTTTAAAAATATTTATTGGCTAGGAGTCACCCTCAGGAGGGGATATAACCCCCAGCATCTCTGGGTGACATAGTTTTGGCATTTCTCCAGAGCAAGTACAGTTGTGAACTGGTAGCAGCCAGGACTCAGAGGGCCCAAGGGACAGGGCCTCTAGCATTGGAAAGGGATCTGCATTGAGCACTGAGAGCATACAAGATAGGCTTCCAGTCTACCAACTCTGTCTTCACTGTGTACCTTGTGCCATTAAACTGATCCACTGACTTCTTACGGTCAGTGTGGGTATTTTTCAGTTCTACAGTGCCTATTTTTTTTCTTATATTCTATTTCTTTGGTGAAATTCTTCATTTTTCATCTATTTTCTTCAAAATAATAATCCATTTTTTTTCAAGTTTGCATTTGATAACTCCAATATCTGGGTCAACTGTGGGTCTCTTCCTAGTGTTTCTTTTCCCTTTGGTTGTTTTGAGGTTTGTTGGTAATTTTTATTGAAAATCAAATATTTTATATGAGAAATAACTGAGGTATTGGTAGAAGTTATCTCCCTCAATAGTGAATTCACCCTTT
Organism: Homo sapiens; assembly: GCF_000001405.40. Lineage (NCBI taxonomy): Eukaryota > Metazoa > Chordata > Mammalia > Primates > Hominidae > Homo > Homo sapiens. The sequence goes on along the minus strand of NC_000004.12, from coordinate 106,752,831 downwards.
TTGTTGGAAGGCAGCTAGAAAAGGGACACATTAGCTCAGTCCAGCCAAATGCTGAAATGATTGGGGTTGAGCTATACTCCTAGGAAGATACAGTCTACCTTTGATGTACCTCCTAGGATATTGCTCATGGTGGTTTACAAATGAAATTCTTGAGTGCTGCTTCCCCTTTAATGGCCTTAAATTGGAACTTTTACCTTTCCAGCATTACAATATGATTAAAAAAGAAACTCAGCTCTTCTTTTCACCTATTTTCTGCTTGACATTTTAGACTCCCTTTCCATGGAACTTAAAAATCAGCAAATATCTTGAGGGAAAAACTAGTGTTGAATGTTGGGTTTACTCCAGATCTCTAGTCCCTCCAGCCTTGGCTGCCTTGGCAGTCTCATTCCAATTTCGGTCTCCCCCAAAACTATGAAATTGCTGAAAGTTCTTCTGGGTTTTCTGCCTCTGAGCAGCCATCTTCTGCCCAGAATTTTGGCCTCTCTCCTATTCCTTGAGTTGAGAAATGATCTAAGAAAAAAACTCACATAAAATATTGGGCTCCCCAAAATGCAACTCTAGACTCTGCAATATGTAGGCTTCCTACACCATTTTTCTGATGCCTCCCTGCTCTCTGTGACACAACAATATTAAACTTAGACCAATTAACAACCTTACAATGGCCCCTGAGTGTTTACTTAAAAAGAATGAGTCACATGTATTACTTTAAATCAGAAGGTAGAAATAATTAAGCTTAGTGAAGAAGGCATGTCAAAAGCCAGGACAGGAGGAAAGTTAGGCTTCTTGCATCAAACAGTGAGCCAAGTTATTAATACAAAAGAAAAGCTCTTAAAGGAAATTAAAAGTGCCATTCCAATGAACACATGAATGATAAGAAAGCAAAACAGCTTTATTGCTGACATGGAGAACGTTTTAGAGGTCTGGATGAAAGATCAAACCAGCCATAACACACCCTTAAGCCAAAGCCTAATCCAGAGAAAGACCTTAACTCTCTTCAACTTTATGAAGGCTAAGTGAGGTGAGAAAGCTGCAGAAGAGCTGAAAGCAAGCAAAGCTTGGTTCATGAGGCTTAGGGAAAGCTGTCTTCACAACATAGAAATGAAAGGCAAAGCAGCAAATGCTGATACAGAAACTGCAGCAAATTATCCAGAAAATTTTGCTAAGATAATTGATGAAGGTAGCTACACTAAACAACAGATTTTCTATATAGACAAAATAGCCTTTTATTGGAAGAAGATGCCATCTTGGACTTTCATAGCTAGAGAGGAAAAGTCAATACTTGGCTTCAAAACTTCAAAGGACAGGCTGACTCTCTTGTCAGGGAATAATACAGCTGATGACTTTAGATTGAAGCCAATACTCATTTACCATCCTAAAATTCAGCTCCTAATAATGATGCTAAATGTACTCTGCATGTGCTCTATAAATGGAACAAGAAAGCCTGGATGACAGCATATCTGTTCACAGCATGGTTTACTCAATATTTAAGCCAATGTTAAAACCTACTTCTCAGAAAAAAGACTCCTTTCAAAATATTACTGCTCATTGACAGTGCTCTTGGTCACCCAAATGCTGTGATGGAGACATACAATGAAATTAACATTGATTTTCTGCCTACTAACAAGTAAACTTTTTTTCGGCAGCCTCTGGATCAAGAAGCAATTTTGACTTTCAAGTCTTATTATTTAAGAAATACATTTTGTGAGGCTATGGCTGCCACAGATAGTGATTCCTCTGATGAATCAGAGCAAAGTAAATTGAAAGCCTTCTGGAAAGGATTCACCATTCTGGATGCCATTAAGAACATTAGTGATTCATGGGAGGAGGTCAAAATATCCACATGAACAGGAGTTTGAAAGAAGTTGATTCCAACCCTCATAGATGACTTTGAGTGGCTCAAGATTTCAGTGGAGAAAGTAACTGTGTAAGTGATGAAAATAACAAGAGAACTAGAATTCAAAGTGGACCCTGAATACAGGACTGAATTGCTGTAATCTCATGATGATTGTGATTATGGATGAGCAAAGAAAGTGGCTTCTTGAGATGGCATCTACTCCTGGTGAAGCGCTATGAATGATGTTGAAATGACAACAAAGGCTTTAGAATATTACCTAAACTTAATTGATAGAGCAATGACAGAGTTTGAGAGGATGAACTTCAATTTTAAAAGAAATACTACTGTGGGCAAAATGCAATCAAATAGCATCACATAGTACAGCGAGCGAAATCTTTCCTGAAAGGAAAAGTCAATTGATGTGGCAAACTTCATTGTTGCCTTATTTTAAGAAATTGCCACAGCTACCCTAACCTTCAGGAACCACCACCCTGATCAGTCAGCATCCATCAACATCAAGGCAAGACCCTCCACCAGCAATAACATTACAACTCCCTGAAGGCTCAGATGATTGTCAGCATTTTTAGCAGTAAAGAACTTTTAAATTAAGGTCTGTATAATGCTACTGCACAATTAATAATAAACATAACTTTATATGCACCAAGCAACCAAAAAATTTGTGACTCACTTTATTGTGATATTCACTTGATTTTACTCGTCTGGAACCAAACCCACAATATCTCTGAAGTGTGCCTGTATGTACTTAATATTTGTTAGATTTTTCTATCTAATTTCTGTTTGGCTATCTACCATTTTATCTAGTCTGTAGTCAAATGGCCTTTAATTTTCCTCTGTAATTTTTAAATATACATGTTGCAGTATTAATAACCATAAAAATATTTTCCTGTTTTACAGGCTCTTTGAGCTATAAATGCCTTGAGAGTGGAGATTGAACTCACATTATATGAAGCATGAAGCCTGGGTTAAATAAGTCCTCAAAAATTAATCAGTAATATAATCTCATCAAATAATATTTGTCTTCATCAGTGGAAAAATTATTTTTTTATTGTTTTGCCATGTAATCAAGAACAATGTAATTTGTATGTGTGCACAGAGTTTAAGTAAACAATTCTCCCCAACAATTTATTTCTGGTATCTTTGGCTTGTGTGTTCTTTTCTAGAAGGAAACAGGTAGATAAAATTATTTCTCCAGACTCTTTTTAGACTTCCTCAGGAATCTATGTTCTAATATCTCTCACATTAGCACCTTTAACAGAGTTCCCGGTTAACAGAGAGTTAACATGCATCCCTCATACCTGGTTCTGTTTGGGCTGTGAGAGCAATTATAGGTCCCTAGCCAAGGATAACATCTAAAGTTGGACAAATGCTTAGTTCTTCCAATGCTGAAATGAAATATTTTTTCTTTCATCCATGATAGTACCTGATATTTCTCCAATCCTCTTTTCACTGGAAATGTCAAAGCCACGAACACAGTTATTAGGATACAAAATGGTTGTACTACCTGACCCCATAGTGTATCTACGACACAAAGTTTTCAGTATCCTCAGAAACACACTCTCAGGAAAATAGTATTAGGGTGGCTTGTTTGCAAATAAATCTCAAAGTGCCTTTTGCATCTTTATCGACTAGGAAGATGAATTAGTTTATGTCATATGAAAATCTAAAATAAATATAGTAAAAGCTCTGTTTGTTGACAAAGGAATGCTGGTCTTAAGGAGTTACGTAAATTTTGTTGGATGTGATATTATTATGTTTAAAAAAGAGTCATAATTTACTTGACATACATAATGAATTATTTATGCTTAAATAATATGATTTTAGGATTTTATTTCAAATAATTGGGAATATAAATACCACAAAATGGGGGCAATAAGTAGAATAAAAATATGTAGGAAGTTGATGATTATTCAAGCTAAGAAATGGTAGTTTTTCTTTACGCTCTTCACTTTTGTGTGTATTATACATGCTTCATAACAAAAACTTTAAAAACCTTTTCCCTTCTCATGATGAAAAAAATGTTAGTTTCATTTTTAAAAGTCAGCATATGAGATACTATAAGCCCTCAATACAACTGAAGAATTTGTTTTATAATTTTTTCCTAAACAACTTAAACTTGCTTAATTTTTTATAATTTGGTTCATCGTTAGATCAAATCATAATAAGTCTTTAAGAATTCTTTAAGCTCTGAAATCTATATGGGAAAAAATGAAAGAAATGTAAAATAATTTAACTAGTTTTCTCTGCAACATTTTATTGCATGAAAGGAGCACCTTTCACCCTCACACCCGTTTCTTTCCACAGGCTTTTGTCTAAAGACTTCTCTAAACCATTGCTAGCTTCTGTTCCTTGTTCTTCGATCTTTGTCTTCAATCTTACTTTCTTATTTGTCATATCATGATCTTCCTTAGCAACCGATACCTCTTCTACGCAAGTGGCTTATTTCTCCTAAACAAACATTTCTTGCTGCTGCTTTGTACTGACCCTACTAATTGACTGGATCATAATTCCCTGTAATACTTTCCTTTCTGATAACAATATTGCCTATTAACTCCTCTGCTAGGTTTTGACACCCCTCCTTACTCTGGCCTTCTTCTCATGTTTCATCTCTAGACAAATTGCCTTACTTAAGGCTTCTTTCCAGCCTTGATTTCCAGGTTCCTCGCATTGATTGTATGTAATCCATTCTGGTGTTTAACCAAGTGTTGCCAGTTTAGCAGTGGTATTCTCCATCTGCACGTGTCTCTGTGAACCTTCACCATATGCTGAGTCTCCTGGGTCTCAAATGTATATCACTATTAAGTCAAAATTGAGATAAACGTTTATTAACATTTTACATGTTTCCCAAAATGAGCCCAAGCAAAAACTCATTTCATATTAGCCTCCTCTAAGACTATCAACAATATAAAGGAAAAATGATCAGAAATACAGTATTTCTTATAAAAGCCAAACATAATAATTTCTATAGTAATTTCTAAAATAAGTCCTTATATGTCTTAATAAATCATTTAAAATATAGTATAGTATATTATTATAATTGCTAAAATTTGAGCATATTTTCTTATTGCAAATGATTCAGTTGTTTGGAATTATATTTTTATACTTTACATATAGAAACTTTTTTATATTTTTATATATAAACTTTCAAAATTATAAACTTTCAATGAAGTACAAAAAAATCAGAGAGCATAAAATAAGACAACCAATGTAAAAATATACATATATTATCACAATTTTAAGTTGGTTAACACTCATCTATTAAAATACTTTAGAACAAAACACACAAACAAAATATTATGTATATTTTCAAAAGCTACATTGGCTTATAACTTCCCATGTGTAGAAGGTAACTTGTTAGTTTTGATCATCCAAACTCCATTTCCCATTTCAAATAGAACCACAAATTTCTTTCTTACTCCCTAGTAAATGATCTATACTTCCATAATTGGATTCTATCTTCTGGAGATTTAAATATTGAAATGGTTATGCAAGGATAGAAGAAATACCATTGCTCATACAAAGTGGCAACACCCAGTCCATGTTGTTATAGATCTCTTCCTGGAATTTGTGATTCTTGGGTCCCCAAAATGCCTTGATTACAATTAATTTTCAAACCTTGCTCTCTAACCTTTTCAATAATTCTATAACTCCCTTAGGTTTTCAGCAAATTCAAATTCACTTATTAAGTTAGCCAAAATCAGTTTCACTTGCTTGCAAAGATCTGAATTGATACAGATATTGGTACAAAAATGAGAACTGATAATATCTAGGGAATTGTAGACTGTTTGGGACTGTGCTGTTGACATGGGGTAGAAGAGAAATACTTTCCATTAATATGTGCATATATGATTCCAGGATAGAAAATTTGGAGTCTTATAACAAAATAGCCAATTAAATATTTACTTATTATGATCTAGAACAAAGTCTTACTGAGAGCAAGTTTCAGAAGGAAAAAGTTGTGGGCACCATAAAATATTTTGAAGAGCACAAGAAATGTGAGTATCCCTCTGGTAGGGTGGCTGATTTCTATGACATTGCGAAAGAATGACAGGCTTAAAACCCCAAACTATCAAATTAAAATATGAACTGATGCTCATGAAAAAGTAAGAATTCAACTGATTCTGTAGTTTAGCACATATAGCCTAACTCTTTGCTTTTTATTTGTGGCCATAAGGCAATGATCACAAAAACAGTACTCTTAAAAGGGGAAAAGAAACAGGAAGGAATGACTCACTGCATCATCTCCTATGAAGCACTCTACACTGTCATTGCCTAAGAAAGAAATTATTTTTATTATTTGGAAGTTGCTCTTCTTCCCTGGCTTTAAAAAAAAAAAGAAAAAAAAAAGCTGCTGTTTCCTTGCCTGAGGAGTCTCCCTTATATGTGGTAATTATTCCTTTTCTGCCTTAAATCATTGTCATTAAACCAGTAACTAGAACCAGACTCAAGAATGCCTGGGTGTATATGTAAAACCAAACTTGTATAGAGAAGACCAACAAACCAAAAGAATGGCAAGAATTTGCTGGTTTATACTGTTATAAATCTGTTATTTTGGCCTTTAAGAGTACATCACCAAGGAAGGCAAAGTAAAATTTAGATTGGTCTGAATTTCTCAAAATCCATGTACTTTCAAAAAAATATACCTACCATATGTCTTCTGAAACACCAAGTATGTTCCTAAACTTTATTAGTATTTTTTAATGAACCTAGACTGAACATTGAAATTCTCTAAAGAAATGTGACATGCCAGAAATCCTATGGCATAGAGGCCAGAATTCAGAGGAATTTAAAAATAATAAAAATGGAGTTTTGCTTTTACCAATTGTATTAGTCTGTTTTATACTGCTATAAAGAAATATCTGAGACAGGGTAATTAATAAAGGAAAGAGAGGTTTAATTGACACACAGCTCAGTGTGGCTGTTGAGACCTCAGGAAACTTATAATCATGGTGGAAAACAAATGGGAAGCAAGATCTTCTTCACACGGTGGCAGGAGATAAAATTTCAAGCCAGGCAAATGTTAGAGGCTTATAGAACAATCAGATCTCCTGAGAACTCACTCACTATCATGAGACTAGCATGTGGGAGATGGCCCCAATGATCCAATCACCCCCATCCCTCTACACCTGGGGGTTACAATTCGAGATGAGATTTGGGTGGGGACACAGAGCCAAACTGTTATCACCAATCATGTATATTCCCTCTTTTCTCTTTAATTTTGTCCCTAAAGAGGGTTAAAAACCTATCTTTTGCATGCATTGGTACAAGAAGTGTCAGTATCCATAAAAGTTACTTTGTTGACTGTTCTGAAGCTTAGGAAGAGTGTGAAAGATAATAGAGTTAAAACAGGCTCCATAATCTTAGTGGGAATGAAAATACCCTGTATAGGTAGAGTCCAGAGGACAATACCAGAAGGAAAGTGGCTGAGATAACTATAATAGCTAGTGGTGATCAGAATAGTCTGAACTGTATAAATCTCTGGTGGTGGTTAATTAATCATGAAGTCCCTAAAAATAAATTAAACTTGTAAAATATTAGGGTTTTACTGTTTTATGTGACAAAAATATAAATTTTAAATTTTGATTAAAAAAAGAAAATAAGAAAATTTCAATCTGGGAATGTAGACTGAAAATCACAAAGAGGAGGCTAAAAACAAACAAAGTGATACATTGGCACTGACCCATCTTTTGCCATGGGAACATTTGTGAGTATTGGTAACCAAAAAAATTAAGCTTTAAGGATTTTAAAGGACAATTCACACACACACACAAAAATCCAATAAATCTCCTAAATAATCTCACATTAATTGGGAAAATGCAAAGTAAAACAAAACTGAGAACAAGCTTTGTACACATCAGAAAAGTCTTACAATATTAAGGCTTACACACTGTTTTGTAATTATATATTTTATACAACCTTATTAGAGAACTACTATCTAATAAAACTAAAGACATATTTTCCCTAAAACCTAGAAATTCTGCTTTTAGGTATATAAAAAATTATGTGTACAAAAGACATGCACAGAATGTTCACTATAATGTTGACTATAATAATATAGAAATAAAAACTGTAAATAATCTAAATTGTTCATCAAAAGAGGAAGGACAAATTATGACATATTCATACAATGGAACAATATGCAGTAGTTAAAATGAATGAAATAGAGATAACTTTACCCATATAAATACCAAAATTATAATGTTGAACAAAATAAACATATTACCTAAAGATGTACAAGATATTATCTATTTTAGATGAGGTTTAAAAACATAAAAAATCTATCTAGTGAGTATTAATGCTATATTTATAGAAAAATTATGAAAAATATAACTAGAAATCGTAAACCACAAGTTCAATAATTTGGGTATGTCTACAGGTGTTTATTTCTTAAAAATATAGAAGACCTGACACCTTTGAAGTGTCTTCCAGGAACCTTTATCATTACAAGTCAAATGATTAAAATTGATTCCTAAAAGAAGTCATCCCAAAGAATTCCTGGCATTCCATCCATTTTCCCTGACCCTTATTTCTCCTAGATAATCAGATCTTCAGAGAGTCCCCAATAGCAAGAAGATTTTCAGCAGATATGGCTTTTTGCCCTTGGACTTCTCAGCCTCTATAACTGCAAGAAATAAATTTCTTTTCTTTATAAATCAGCCAGTTTTAGGTATTCTATTATAAGTAACAGAAAATTGACTAAGACAATACTAAAACTTCTAGTCTATTAGATCAAGAGTCTCACAAATGGGTACTGTGGGAGACCAGAATATGCCACCCCAAAATATGAAGAATTGTGGAGGAGCAGATACAAGAAAGCTGTCTGACCTCCCTGTATTTGCCACAAAGCAGGACACAGATTTACAAAGACAAAAGGTATCCTGTCCCCGCTTCTACCATGGAGAACAAAGGTTAACCACTGAAGACAGCTTTGAACTCTTATCAACCTGAAGATGGTACCACAGGAATCTACTTTAGTAAGCTTTACTAACTAGACATTATCTGTCATGTATTTGCTTTTCCACAAGTTGACAACCCTGGAGACTCAGAGTCCATCTTCTTTGCTGTGTCACTTTTCTAAAAATTTACTGTTCTTTGTTGAAGGTGCTGTATAAACTGGAATTCAAAGCCACCTCTTTGAGAACTACTCATTCCCTGGGTGTCCCCCATGTGTGTATGAAATGTACATTTATAAACTTCTGTTTGTTTTTCTATCTGCCTTTTGTAACAGGGGTCCATTCCAACTAAAAACCGACGGAGATTATTCTTCTCCTACAAGTCAAAACTTTTTCTGAATCTGGCAAAAGGTTTAATAGTGAGAAGAACTTGCCTCGTGTTTATATCTTCAGTTTCCAAATCTATGGCTGTGAGAAAATTAGCACTGTTTATATTGGTCACCAGATCTACACAGATACTGCATTTTGTGACCCAATTATGCATCTGAGCCTTTGATATATCATTTTTAAATACTATACAGCCAGGTGCTTTTAGATATAGGAGTTATTTAGTGAAGTCAGAAATGTATGTGTTGTATTACTACATGCATCAGTATTTAGTAAGTTCATATAAGGTAATGCTTGCAGAGATATACTAATTAGGAAAAACAAATGTAAGTCTAGAAAATCTCCAGTGAGGACAGATATTTGATTCTTTCAGGATAAAAGTATAGAATAATTAGCCTGAAAACAGGGAAACAGGGAACTGACACCTGACCCCAAGACACAATACCATCAAGAATCACCAAAAAAATGAACTCTTCCATAATACCTGACTTGTCTCTCAATTAGGTAAGTGCCCTAAAATGTCTTCACATAGCAACTAGTACCATAGTTTTTACCAATATTTATTATAAATATTTTAAGTGTCTATTGTTACTATTTGACTAAGTGGTATGAAGAAAAGAACTTTACTTACCATGTTTGCCACTAAACTTTAAATTCCTAGGACAATGTCTGGCATGTAGTAGCTGCTTAGTAAATACTATTGAATGAGTGTCTGCTCAAGAATTGACAGATATCAATAAAATATTCCAGTTCATAAGAAAATAAAATGCATTATAAAAATTATATTTCCAATGATCAAAGAAAGGATTTCAATTTAATAATAATAGATAACATTATAGAGTGTTTGCTACTTTCCAGGCACTGTTTTAAGCACTTTCTAGTAGATTATCTCATTTAACACTCAGACACCCAAAGAGCTCACATTTATCATTAGAATGGTTAAGTACCTCAGATTTTGGTCCACAGACATATTTTGAGGATTTACAAAATACAATGTTAAAATTTTGAGTGCATTAAGATGAACAATATGACAGAAATTCATAATACACTCTCCTCACCACCTATTGCATTTTACTTGCCAACTTCAAGGTTTTTTGTCACCTGGCTGGTGACCAATGCCATAATAAGTAAAAGTAATTGCTACTTCTTTCTACTCACACGGTAATGATCTTCCAGCTTTCTGCAAGTGAGTGACTATAGGTAGTATTCCCCAATGCATTAGATGCAGAGAACCTATTTGCTGCAGAGAGTGGAATAATTAGTTTTTTTTTTAAAGGATAGTTTAACTTACTAAATATAAGGGTGGGGAGGGGTTCCAAAGGCAACTTGTATTGGTTGTGATAAAATTTCCATCTTGGGTAGAAAAAAATATTCCTAAAGGAAGGTGAAATAAGTACCCACCAAACTAGCTTAAGAACAAAAGCTAGCCATATGCAGAAAAAACTGGCTAGCCATATGCAGAAAACTGAAACAGGACCCCTTCCTTACACCTCATAAAAAATTAGCTCAAGATGGATTAAAGACTTAAATGTAAGACCTAAAACCATAAAAACCCTAGAAGAAAGCCTAGGCAATACCATTCAGGGCACAGGCATGGGCAAAGACTTCATGTCTAAAACACCAAAAGCAAGGGGAACAAAAGTCAAAATTGGCAAATGGGATCTAATTTAACTAAAGAGCTTCTGCAAAGCAAAAGAAACTATCATCAGAGTGAACAGGCAACCTACAGAATGGGAGAAAAATTTTGTAATCTAATCTGTCCATCAGACAAAGGGCTAATATCCAGAATCTACAAGGAACTTAAACAAATTTATAAGAAAAAAACAAACAACCCCATCAAAAAGTCGATGAAGGACATGAACAGATGCTACTCAAAAGAAGACATTTATGCAACCAACAAACATATGAAAGAAAGCTCATCATCACTGGTCATTAGAGAAATGCAAATCAAAACCACAATGAGATACCATTTCACACCAGCTAGAATGGAAATCATTAAAAAGTCAGGAAACAACAGATGCTGGAGAGGATGTGGAGAAATAGGAACGCTTTCATACAGTTGGTAGGAGTGTAAATTAGTTCAACCATTGTGGAAGACAGTGTGGCGATTCCTCAAGGATCTAGAACTAGAAATACCATTTGACTCAACAATCCCATTACTGGCATATCCCCAAAGGATCATAAATCATTCTACTATAAAGACATATGCACACGTATGTTTACTGTGGCACTATTCACAATAGCAAAGACTTGGAACCAACCCAAATGTCCATCAATGATAGACTGGATAAAGAAAATGTGGCACATATACACTATGGAATACTATGCAGCCATAAAAAAGGATGAGTTCATGTCCTTTTCAGGGCCATGGATGAAGCTGGAAACCATCATTCTCAGCAAACTAACACCAGAACAGAAAACCAAACACTGCATGTTCTCACTCATAAGTGGGAGCTGAACAATGAGAACACATGGACACAGGGAGGGGAACATCACACACCACGACCTGTTGGGGGACTGCAGGGCTAGGGGAGGGACAGCATTAGGTGAAATACCTAATGTAGGTGATGGGTGGATGGGTGCAGCAAACCACCATGGCACATGTACACCTATGTAACAAACCTGCACGTTCTGCACATGTATCCCAGAATTTAAGTATATAATAAAAAAAAAGCAAGTGTCTGTTAATTCAAACTCTAGTTCTTTCTGAGGCCATAAGTGTTCTATTAAGCGCAAGTAATACAGTTAATTTATTTCAAAGAAAAAAAAAGAATAGTAGTTTGATATAAAAGCAATTGGATGGCTCTGAGTTTAGTAACTTTTCTCCAGCAAGCTCCTAGTTGCTGAGTGGAGAAAATGAAACTATAGCAGATGTTACTCATGGTCAAAGGCAAAACCTTAGAGGAATTTATTAATACCTTATACAGCTCATGGCACAAAGTAAAGCCCTGATCCATTCAAATCCTTATTCAAAAGACAGAGTTTAATAGCTCCGACAAATATGTAATTTCCCAAGTTCCTCTCAATTCCTCCATCTTCCAGAAAAACCTAATTAATTTACTCACTCATATCATACCCAAACATAGATGAGGGTGATACAGAAGGCAGCAAAGAGGTTCTTATCTGAAAAAATAACTTTGCTTTTGCCCTAGAATTTCTCCTCTGGCTTTCTTCTTTGAGCTTATGTCACCTTAAATTTTTGAGCATGCAGGAAGGAATCCAAGTGTTACTAGAAATCTTGGAACTTCAGTTTCTTCCTAGGTCCAGCATTATCACATTATTGGATGTCAACAAATATTCAGGATTATATAGACCACAAATTATCTTGGTAAGAAGTGAAATGTCAGAAGCTTCTCAGAGGGTGGCTCCCTTAACCAGATAAAATTCAGTCTTGAGAGCCACGTATTTCCTAACTCTGGCACAACAGGACTCTGGACATTAGAATCCTTCCCCAAATACCTTTGAAGGCATCCTAACATTTACATCTACCTGAAAAGTCCTAGTCAGATTTCAAGTCAAAATTCAAATGTACCCTTCTCAATAAGGCCTTCACAAGTTCATTTCATCACAATTTGTCTCTCTTTCTCAACCCTCTTAAGACTTCGTTTTACTCCTATAAAATTGTCACCTTTGCCATATGCATTTTATATTTGTTTCCTCAACCAGACTATAGCCTCTGGGAGAAAAGATCAGTTTTGTATTCAGCAACTTATTGAATGCAATTGACTTCATAGATGCCTGAAACTCTTTGAGGAAAAGTACAGTATTTTTTACTCTTTCAGTCTGTTCCAGTCAAAAGTTGCTCACCTATGGCAATCACACATGAGGTACCCTGGACCCAAACCTACCTCAAAGTTAGAATCAGATAGCTCACCAATGAAGAAGAAAAAGGTCTTAGTAGTTTAGTTTTTCTCATTGACTATATCTTGATGCAGGTCTCACTATTACCATCACTTTCATTTATTAGTAACAAAGGTGGTTGGTAAAGTGCAGAGACAAACTGTTCATGTGGGGAAAAATATTCAAACTGGAAAGTATAATCCACAAATTAGGAAACAAGGGAAATTGCTTCACATGACATATCATGACACTCAGGAAGTACATTTCATAGGAAGGAAGTTATTAAACAGCATAGGTGACTCAACTAACACCTAATTTTTGGAAGCAATCAAGAAAAGTAAATACAAATGAGAAGTCTCTTAAAATGGATTCCAATATTCTAATAACTTAGAAAAAGACACACTAACTAAAAACCCTGGATATTTTTCCTAAATAGATATTCAATTTTCCTCTTGTTTATAAATCTTCAAAGATTAATCATAATGGATATATTTTTCTAAAAGAACATTTTAAAAGGGATGAATCCATTTCTTGTCTCTACAGATATAACTGTTTAAGCAAAAGAAAAAACATCATTAATTCCAAGAGCTATAAAATTATAAAATTTTATGTAACAATGATAATAATGCATAATTAACAAAAAATAGCTAATTCTGAAAATAACAATGTTTCTACCATAACAAGGAACTCAAACATCTAATGCTTTTAACTCAACTATTCAGTCAGAACTCAATTTGAAATGGTAGTGAACAGGAGGCAACCTTGATAATGAACACAGCAGTAAGTTTATTATTGTTACTGAAATGTTATTTTTAATTATGGGAACACTACGTACTTATTGTTTTAAGTATCTTTACCATATATTTATTGATAATAATCACGAAACTGTATAGAATTAAGATTTCAAAATTCCAAAACATAAAGCAGCATATTTTACTAAAGTTCTCCCCCAACCCACACCCTCAAAATACTTCACTTCCAGAAATGCACTTACTAACACCTGCTAGTATAATTTTGGTTAATCATCGCTACTAAAATGTTAGTAAAAGTTGAAAATAAGTATCATCTCTTCCACAGTCACTAGAGTATTAACTCTCCTCTAAATCAATCATGCAACTATTATACAGGTTCTAATGACCAGATGTCTTATGCATCCTCAATCATCTGATAGCTTAAGAAACAGTCCCCAGATAATTAATTGATTTTTTTTCCCTTTCCATTCTTTCTGAAGCTCATGGGAGTCCACTTATATTAAGCAGCAGGAACAGAATAGAACTTTTCTGACATTCAGAAAGACTTTAATAAAGCATAGTTTGAAATTCAGCTAAAAAATTCAACCTGTATCAGCACTGGAATTATCCTATGATCGTTTTGCTGCTAAATGGTAGACTCAAACACATGGTGCTATGCAAACCTGTGTCTCTTTAAACCTCAAAGATTTCCATTAGGCTTTTATTCTGTATGCTACTTCCTCTTGTCTCCTTCATTCTTTTTTTTTTTTTAAATTGTGGTAAGAACGTTTAAAATGAGATCTACCCGTTTAACAGATGTTTAAGTGCGTGTGAGTATTGTTATCTGTAGGCATAATGTTGCACAGTAAATCTCTGGAATTCATTTATCTTGTGTAACTGAAATTGTATGCCCGTTGATAAGGAACTCCCTCTTTCCCTCTCCTGACAGCTCCTGGTGACCACAATTCTATTCTTTGTTTCCATGAATCTGACTATTTCAGATACCTCATATAAGTGGAAGTATTTGTCTTTCTGTGACTGTCTTATTTCATTTAGCATAATGTCTTTCAGGTGTATCTACGTTATCATATACTACAGGATTTCTTCTTTTTTAGGGTTAAATCATATTCCACTGTGTTATATAACACACTTTTAATCCATTTATTTGTTAGTATACATTTAAGTTGTTTTCACATCTTGATTATCATGAATAATGCTACAACGAACATAGACTCCTATGTATCTATTCTAGTATCTGTTCAAGATCCTAATTTCAATTCTTTTGAATAGGTACTCAGAAATGGAATTTCTGGATCATACACATATTTTAATTTTGAGGAACCTCCATACTGTTTTCCACAGCAGTTGCACCATTTTGCATTCCCACCAACAGTGTGCAAGGGCTCGAATTTTTCCATATCCTCATCATTTGTCTTTTCTTTTTATATATAACAGCCATCCTGCAAGATGTGAGGTGATATTGTGGTTTTGATTTGCATTACTCTAATGATTAATGATGTTGGGCATTTGTTTCATATACATGTCAGCTGTTTGTATGTTTTCTTTGGAGAAATATTCATTCAAGTCCTTAGCCCATTTTTAATTGGATTGTTCATGTCTTTTACTACTGAGTTGTGGGAGTTCTTTATATATTTTGGAAATTAATCTCTTATCAAATATACAGTTTAGAAATATCTTCTTCCATTCTATAGATCGCTTTTTCACTCTATTGATTGCTTTCTTTACTGTACAGAAGCTTTTTAATTTAACATAATTCCACATGTCTATTTTTGTCATCTCCATTCTGATAATATAAAATATACATTCACTATGGATTCTAAATTACTGGTCAGGTAAAGAGTATGGGTTAATCAGTTCATCACCTCTTTATGCCATTCTTTGCGTATTTATTGAGTACGTGCAATGTGCCAGACACTGTTCTAGACACTGCAGATAACAATGGTGTAAAAGATAGGCCATGCTCATGCAGAGCTTATTTGCTTGGGGGAGAGAGACAACAAAAATGTAAAAAAGCAAATATATGTGGCAAAATGTCAGACATTCTTTGTTTTGTAAAAAAAGAAGCAGGATAAAGTAGTAGAGAAAGACCAAACTGCTTTACTTTATTGCTTGTATTCTATCCCATTAAATCCACTTAACTTTAAGGTTTTTTTTGTAAGATAAGTAGCAAAGCCATAAGTAACGAAGCAAATTAACCAAAAGCATGGGATTCAAAGAGCTAATCAACACTAATCAAATTGTCCTTCTGCTGACCTGCATGAAAATCTGATGGGAGAGCAAGGGGACAGAAACCCTCAAGCTAATCACCTTTTAAATTTCTGAAGATAGGTAATTCTTTATTCTTTTTTATTCTCTTGAAGAAAGTTAGATTTCTGAACTAAAAATTCCAAGATGAAAATAAGACATTTGACCTCTGCCACCATATTCTTTCATTCTTCCCATCTATAATTCTGAAATCCTTAGGTATAAATATTAAGGATTTACCAACTGTTAAGTATTTATCAACTCATACTATCTTCCTTTAAAAAAATCAAAGGAACTTATGAAAAGCTTACATAAGGATTTTTGTTTGTTTTTTAATGAGAAGGCTTATGACTGACATCATTTAGTACCTTAAAAATGCTATCCAAGTTCATTTTTATATTGGCAAATGAAAAGTACCCTTATATCAAACATGATATTTAATCACAAAATGTTCATAGTAAGCATTGTCAAGAAAGAAAACCTGGATTCAATCAGCATGGCCTATGAAAGAAGCTAGGATGTTAGTATCTTGCGGCTAATGGAACTTTGGTAAAGTAATGCATTTATATAGTCATGGTGTTTCTGCAAAAACTATGCATTTTATGTAGATTAAATCAAAATATTTGGGGGAAACTCACTAATGAAAATGCCCTGTTGTTAGAAAAGTTAAAAGTGAATAAAATCTACCACCAATCATGAACTTCATTATTTTCTTTTCCTTTTCAATGACATCCCTCAAAAAGGACACTCAAACTGTCCTTTTTGAGTCTATCTAGTATTCTACTATTGAGTGTGAATCTGTTTCTTTTTTTTTTTTTTTTTTTAGACGGAGTCTCGCTCTGTCTCCATGCTGGAGTGCAGAGTGCAGCGGCGCGATCTTGGCTCACAGCAACCTCTGCCTCCCGGGTTCAAGCGATTCTCCTGCCTCAGCCTCCTGAGTAGCTGGGACTACAGGCCCTCACCACCACACCTAGCTAATTTTTGTATTTTTAGTAGAGATGGGGTTTCACCATATTGGCCAGGATGGTCTCAATCTCTTGACCTCATCTGCCTGCCTCGGTCTCCCAAAGTGCTGGGATTGTGAATCTGTTTTTTTATGATAGGCAAGAAAGGTAGGGGCAGTCAGCCCTATGATACAGGTATCTGATTGACATATCTGGAGCTGCCATTTCTTTCCTTGTTTACTAGGTGCATACATATGGAATATTTGAATGGAGATGCAGCCCATCAATGGCAGCTACTGCTGCTATTTACCTAAACATCTCTAATTCTATTCTGTGTGTGTGGAAGGACTGGACTTCCTGATCCATTTGTAGGTTGGTAAGGCCATGTGAGCAAAAAGGAAGTGGACTTCAAAGAAATTTCACTTTAATATGATGTATACACCTCTTATGTGAATTTAGCTCTGTTTCTAAACCAGAGTACTGAAAGATATTTAATATGAACAGCCATAATTATAAGCCAATTTTTAAAGTATTGGAGTCTAGAAATAGAAATATTTGCCTGTAAGCTTATTTATACAAATATGTAAATACTTAGATATTTCAAAATGTTTTAAAGCTATTTTCAGTATAATATATACATTCATTGAGAATATAAACAACAATATCACATTTTATTTTTACTTAATACATGTGTAACAGCTACGAAAGGAATTCAAAAATTCTAAGACTTGCAGAATTGAGATAGAAAACAGTAAATAAAATACATAAATGCATCAACAAAATGACTATTTTTAATATCTTGATTATTCAAATGTGGCATCTGTTAATTTTAAGAGATAGCCACTCACTCTGACCACCTGGGTCCTTGCTCTCCTTTTTAGCATTACAGCATTTTAAAATTATTCAACATCACATTCTGAAAAACAGCATATAACCATGATTCATTGGGCAGGTGATTTTGTTAATACCTTGAAAGATAACTGAATCTGTCTTTAAAAACTTTCTTACAATAAGTTTCATTTTCGTTGATTTTGGTGAATGCTGAAGTATTCCACTGTAATGAGCCTAGCGAATTATTCAGGGGGCAGTCTTTGCCACAGTAATAGAGAATCTTTCACAGCTATCCTTAGAGCCCTTTAGACAGGCCTCAGACAAAGGAAACCACTAGGTTTAGTCTCTCTTTTTCATCTTCCTTCTACTAATTTCAGTGTTCTATTTAGAGAGGTGCCCTCAACATGGGGGGAAAGTCATGAAAGATCTCAGGGGATCTTCAAAATGACTCAATCCACATATTTTGCAGGAGAGGGCACCAGTATTCACTGGGCATATTCTAGAAGGAATTTTTCATAGAACTTTAATCTGAAGAAAATCTTCTAATAAGTCTCCAAAACATACTAATGGTTTATAAGTTCAGAGGATCTTTTCATGTCACATAAATGTTAGGTGAGAAGAGCATTACCGCAGCAGAATATTGTTTAGTGTTTTTTTTTCTTCTCTACTAATAAATTACTCAGATTTGCTCAGCGGAAAAGTTAAAATTTGGCAATTTGTGCATTTGCAACAGTTTTTTTTTTTTTTTTGTCAAAGTTAATGTTATGATCTTCAGAGCTACACAAATACTCCCCGAAGTACTGTTTTAGTTCTGTGATATGTATTTTTTCTTTCATGTGTTTTGCTTAAATGCATAACTCATAACAATAGCTACCATATATAAAGTAAAAAATGCCTCATGTACATCATACACCAACAAAGTTACAAAAGATGGTGTAAATTCTAAATATAGTTGAGGAAATTGAGGCTTAGATAAGTTAACTGCTTACAATTCCATAGTAAGAATTGGAATGGTGATTTGAACCAGAGCTTTGATTCTTGTGTCTTATCAAAATATTATTACAACATTATTTTACATATATATTAGGTGAATAACATATGACATATATAGTATAATATTTTGTCATATTTTGCTTTCTCAAAAATATAGTTGATACTAACCTTGAGAAATAACATACATGAAATTTATTACTTTCCAGATACAGTGGATCTGGTATTAACAGAATAATTATATTAATAATAATAAGTTCTTGGACAGGGAGATGGTAACTGGAGGCAAGTATATTAACAATATTTGTGTTTTATTGTATTTCAGCCAAGAATAATCAATGAGGTAGAGAGAGTGTGAATCTGAACTACTAAACTAAAATTTATTCTGAAAGTCAGGAAAATGTAATACTTGGTTAAAACTATTTCCTCTCATTGTTCTAATGACACTTCTCTCCTTTACTGGAATTTTTAAAGTATTGCTACTGTTTCTATTTTGAAATAGCACACTAGAATCTTTGAAAGACCACATTTTTCTGCCTTTTCATCACTGCACATTTGAAAGCTTGATGTGACAAGATTTGATTACAGGTCATTCTGTTCTTTTTTTGGGAACCAAAAGTACCATAAGTCTCAAAGAAATTAGTTTGTGAAGTTTTGATTTTTTTCATCTCTCATCCCTACCCATATTAAATTTTCCTTATCATTGTACACAAGTATGGAAAAAAAAGCAAAACCACTGTATTAAAATGTAATCCTACAATTATTTAGACCGTGATAATTTGTGTGGCAAAAATCTTTATCACCTTAAGAAAACATTCTTCTACCATACTTATCCTAGTACATGGGAATGTATTTTTAAGGCATGGACAAATTAAAAGAGGAGAATTTAAACGGCATGGCCTTGGACTCCATTGTAAATTGAAGCTAGGTAAAGAGATTGAGATATATTTAGAATTATAATGTGAATTAGTGGGAAAATATGATTCAATTTGCTAAAATTTCTAGGAATGTGGAAGAGGAAGGTTATTAGCAGTGGACTATACTGATTTACATTTATGTCACTAGAAGCAGATGTAAAACAAGAAAACTAGTGAAACCTATCAAATGATAAAAACAATTTCTCCCTACTCTTCTCAACTGGACACATACAAGCCATGAGAAAATCCGTCTGGAAACTTGGCAGTAGAAAAATTCGGCTTTTCCCGAGTTCCTCAGAACCGGTATGGCTGACTAGGCTTGTCCCTAGTTGGGAGTTAACTTTATAGCATCTTGTCTCATTTACCTGACTTTCTGGGCTGAGCTTTGACATGCTTGTCAGTGGACCTTTTATCATTTTATAGGAGATAAATTTTCATGTTACAGGAAGTATTTTCTCTGCTCACTGACTTTATAGTTGTTTCAACTATATCCTACTAATTATTTTACTGTAATAGAATTATGCTGTCTTGATTTTTAACCCCTGACCAGTCAGTCTTCAGGGAATTGCTTCATTGCATTATAATTTTATCTTTTATTTATTATTCTTTCAACAGTATTTAAAATTTAGATTTTTTAACCTTTATGTGTATGTTATTAGTCCCTAAGTATTACTTTACATAACTTTGTTACAGTGCTTTAAATTATGGCTTTAAACTGCTCTTACTATACACCCCAAACCTCTGACCTAACTTCTCCACTGAACTGCAGATCCATATATTAACTACTTTCTGGAGACATGTACTTAGACATCCCCAAAATGTTTGAAACTCAAGATGTACAAAGCAGAATTCCTTGATTCCCCATTAATTCTGATCTACCTGTCTTCGCCTACTGGAGACCCAGTGTCTCATAACAAGAAACTTGATGATAATCCTTGAATTTACCTTTTCGTCAATGACCATAGCCCGTAAGTCATCAAATTCTGCCAATGCTACTTCCTTAAGCTTTCCCTATACTTTGCCTCTACTGCTTTAATCTCTCCCTATGCTTTACCTCTACTGCTAGTGATATTACCATAGTTTGAGTCCTCATTATTCCTCTTCTCTTCTGGACATGAATTCAAAACCTATCTGCAACCTTACTAGTTGTGACTTTGAATAACTTTAACCTATCTGAACCTAAGTTTTCTTACCTGTTAAATAAAATATATTAAATTCTGCATACTGGTTTGTTTGTTTTTTTTGACTATAAATTGTGTTAATATAGGCTAATCACGTGGGCAATGCCTAATTTACAGTAAGCATTCATTAAAGCTGTATTTGCGATAGCTTTTTATTGATATATCAAAAAATACAACTTGAGAGACTACTATGTTTCAGGCATCTGGCAAGATAGACAAGTAATTAGGCAATTTTAATACATGTTGCAAGTGCCCCAGTAGGCATGGACACATGGGAATACACAGGCAGGACATCTAACCAAGTCTTTAAAAATCTTGGAGATTGATGAGTAAGCTAAAAGCTGAAGAATTAGTAGGAATTAAAAAAGAGGAAAAACTTTCAGGAGATAGAATGGCATGTGGCAACAAGTGAATGAACAAGAGATTTATTTCTAAGTCTTTAAATTTAGTATTGTTGAAGCCTAGCAGTCATAAAGAGGAGTGGAAAAATTATTATTAGTAACAACATATACGTGGACTATCCCCAAAATAAATAAAGAATCCTTCAATAATAAGAGTGTAAAATGAGATAAATACATTAAAAATTCATGCATACACATGTATGCATGCATATGAACACACACAAACACAGAGAGAGTTTCCCTGTATTTCTCAAATAATTAATGTAGTAGGTAGAAGATTCCATGCATAATTACAAAAAGTACACAAAATATGTAGGATTATAATATAAATATAAATGACTATAAAGAAAATGATGAGCTCTATTGAGGATATCTATGAGATCTTGAAAGACCGATGGAGATTCCATGTATATGAGAGGAAAATCTCAGTGTTATAAAGATACCAACTCTTTCAAATTCAACTTTAATGTATAGTAACCAAAATCCAATGAGCATTTCATGCATTTATTTTAATATTAAAAAGATGTTTCTAGAATTCTTTTGTAAAAACAACTTTTGATAAGAAGAGCCAGTGAATTTCTGATAAAGAAAGTTAGAAAGGAATACTTGCCTAGATAAATATTAAACCTAATATAATTGACAGAACAATAAATAGAGGAAAAATACCCTTGAAACCACAGGTATTATATATACATACATATTATATATAATATATATATGATTTTTGTTCATAGTAAAGTTAGACTGTAAATTCAATAAGAAATAAGTAATTCAGTAAATAATGTGGATATTTCTATTTACTTCACAAAACTTGAATGAAACTAAAATAAAGTTATATTCTACCTCATATCTAAAATCAAAGTAATTCCAGAAGGAAGAAAGCATAGATACATTTGTTTAATAAAATTTGAGTGGAACAGGTACATCCTTGTACAGCACCAAAAGCAGGAAGTACCAAAAAATGGATAAATTTGATCACATAAAAACCTTCTTCAAAAAATTAAAGGAAAACAACAAACTGGGGTGGTGCTGTTAGCCACCAGTTGTGAAAATGCATGATGATGTGTAGTTGTCACTGTCTTGCATTATACAGAGTTCTTAGTAAAGGTATCTGGCAAGCTGTAACGCTTAAGGAAATCATGTCCTTCAGTTCTGGACATTTTTCTTGAATTATGTCTTTAATTATGTTCCTTTCTCCTATTTCTTCTGTCCCTCCTTTGTAAATTCCTATGATTTTAATATTGGATTATTTGTACTAGTCCTCTAATTTTTTTCCCTTATTTTTCATCTATTTATCTTTTTGCTCTATTTTCTTGGGAAGTTCCTCAATTTTATATTCTATTTCTTCTAATGAATTTTCAATTCTGCTATCATATGTATAATTTCCAAAACTCTTTTATTTTCTAACTTTTGTTTTTAGCATCCTGTTATTATTTAACAGATGTAATATACTCACTTTCTACCTTTAATCTATTTCTGCCAAGTTACTTTTGCTTTGGGCTCTGTTTCCTTACAGAACTAATATTATTTTGTTATTTGCTCCTATTTATATGTGGGAAGCAAAAAAAGCTATACGCATGAAACAAGTAATCAGCTGTTGGCTACAGGATAATTTACCAGGTCATTTCAATAAGAAAACCCTCACATCTTAATCTTTAGGTCTTTCTATTGTATTGTTTAGATTCTCAGAGAACACACTATAAATCTGCTTCCTAGAAAGAGTAAGCAATTCTGTGAAAGGGGAATGGAAAGAAGTCTGGGGAACTGCAATATTAAAAACATAAACTTTCACTTAACCCCCTTTTAACCATAGTATCACCTCCCAGCTGGGACTAGGTTCTACAGTAAAAAGAATAAACCTCTGGTCATCTCTGGAGAGAGAAAGTCTTCTTCCTGAGCAGAATGGAAGAGAAAATCAAAAGGTCCAACTGATTTTTAATCTGATCTTCAAACAATTAACCATATTTACTACTACCTCCAAGGTAACTAACACTGCCATTTTCTGTAGTGTAAGTTGGAATGCTCTGGGCTTTCTCCATAGCAATCTTACGATTTAATTTTCTCAAGTCTGCATCATTTACCACTTATCCATCTGCTTTCTAGCTTCCAAAGATGTTTTCATTTTTTTCATTATTTAATATCATTTTACAGTTTCAGGAGGAAGCAGAACCAAATGAAAACATAATGAGTGGTTCAACATACCATCTTCAACAAAGCAGTCCTAATGCTGAAAAGTTGAAAGTCTGCGTTCAGTATGTGATTATTCATGTAGCCCAGGCAAAAATGAATCAACCAACAGAGATAAATTCTCCAGCTTCAAAGGAAAGAAACTTAGGATCAAGAATCCAGATAGATCTTTCTTTATACTACAACAATGAAAGTACTGTATTATTGTTAAACAGATGCCTAACTACATTCAGAAATCCTATTACTAGGGAAAAAAAAGCTAAAAATTTCATTAACATTAAAATGCCACGATGCTTTTTCCTGTTTTCTTCTAAGAGTTTTATAGTTTTACTTTTTATGTTTAGGTCTTTGACCTGCCTTGAGTTAATTTTTCTATACGGTGTAAGTTAAAGATCCAACTTTAGTTCTCCCAACACCATTTATTCAAAAGACTGTCCTTTCCCCCATTGAATGGTCTTGGCACTCTTGTCAAAAATACATTTACTGTATATGTGTTTATTTCTGTGCTTTCTATTTCATTCCATTTGTCTCTGTGTCTGTCTTTATAACAGACTGTATCTTTGCAGTAAGCTTTGAAATCAGGAAGCACAAGACCTTTGATTTGTTGTTTTCTCTCTTTTTTGGCTACCCAGAGTATCTAGATATTCCATATAAATTTTCAGATGGATTTTTCTATTTCTGTAATCTAAAAAAAAATTCTGCATCTTAAAAAATAGGAAGTCATGCAATCCATAAACATAGATGTCTTTTTTATTTGTGTCTTCTTTAATTTCTCTTAGCAATGTTTTATAGTTTTCAGTGTACAAGTCTTGCCTCCTTGCTTAAGTTCATTCCTAAATTTTTATTCTTTTGATTCTATTGTAAATGGAATTGTTTTCTTAATTTCCTTCTTTATAATATTCATTTTATTATATAAAAATCCAACTGATTTTTGTGTGCTGATTTTGTGTCCTTCAACTTTGCTGAGTTAATATTATTAGGTAAATGGGATTTTTGTGAAATCTTTAAGATTTTCTAAAATATATAAGATCCACTCATCTGCAGAGAATTTCAGTTCTTGCTTTTCAATTTGGATGCTTTTCATTTCTTTCTCTTCTCTAGTTGCTCTGGCTAAGACATCCAAGACTATGTTCAATAGTAATGGTGAAAGTGAGCATCTTGCCTGTTTTTCGTCTTAGGGGAAAAGTTTTCAGTCTTTCACCATTGAGTATGATGTCAGTTGTGAGATTTTCTTAGGTGGCCTCTATTATATTGATGTAATTGTTTTTCGATTCCTAGTTTTTTTAGTTATTTTTAATCATGAAAGGGTGTTGAATTTTGTCAAATGCTTTTTCTGCATGAGATGATGAAGTTTTTCCCTTGATCATGTGTTTACAACTATAAATTTCCCAGTTAGCATTGCTTTTGCCACATCCCATCTGTTTTGTTATATTCTGTTTTTCTTTTCATTTGTCTCAAGGTATTTTCTAATTTCCTTTTGACACGTTGATTTTTTTAGTGTATGTTGTTTAAGTTCCATATATTTGTGAATTTGCAAGTTTTCCTTCTGTTGATTTTTAGTTTTATTTGATTGTGATCAGAAAAGGTACTTTGTAAAATTTCCATTTTAAAAAACTTGAGATTTGCTTTTTGCGCTAATACATGGTCTCTTATGGTGAGTATTCTGTGTGCACTTGAGAAGAATATGTATTCAGCTGGTTGAGGGTGGAGTGTTCTGCATATGTTTATTAGCTCCAGTTAGTCTATAGTGTTCTTCAAGACCTCTACTTCCTTACTAATCTTCTGTCTGGTTGTCCTATCCATTATTTCAGGTGGTGCGGTAAAGTGTCCTACTATATTATTTTAGAGCTTCCT
This sequence comes from Homo sapiens, assembly GCF_000001405.40. NCBI lineage: Eukaryota > Metazoa > Chordata > Mammalia > Primates > Hominidae > Homo > Homo sapiens. Next base: position 106,727,558 of record NC_000004.12, on the reverse strand, counting down.
ATAGTTCACTTCAATTCTGTCAGTGCTTACTTTGCACATTTTCAAGCTGGTGTTTGGTGCATATATGTTTATAATCGTTACACTCTCTCATTAAATGGACCCTTTAATATAATATCATATTCTTCTTTGTCTCTTAAAACAAAAAAGTCTATTTTTATAATATTGGTATAGCCACTCCTACTCTCTTTTGTTACCATCTGCATTGAATATCTTTTGTCCATCCTTTCACTTTAAGACTCATGTGTGTCTTTAGATACAGAGAGAGTCTCTCTCTCATACACAGCATAGAGTTAGATGTTGTGTTTGTTAATCCATTTTACCAACTTATGTATTTCGACTGGGGAGTTTATTTATTTGCTTTTAAAATTATTACTAATAGGAAAACACTTGCTTTTGCCACTTTATATTTGTTTTCTGTATGTCTTATAACTTTTTTGTCTCATTTCTTTTATTAGTGCCTTTCTTTGTGTTTAGCTGAGTTTTGGAATTACATATCTTTACTCCCCTCTCATTTCCATTTGTGTGTATTCTATAATTATTTAATGATTATCATGGGAATTACATATAACATCTTAAAATTATAACAATCTATCTAAAACTGATACCAGTTTAACTTCAGTCACATACAAAAACTCTAACCCTTTATATATCGGCACCCTCACTTTATTTTCAGAATTTTATTGTAAATTGACAAGTTATAATTGTATATATTTAAGGGGTACAATGTGATGTTATGTTATATGTATATAATGTGGAATGAGAAAATTAATCTAATTAATAATCCATCCCCACAAATACTTCTGTGATGAGAATATTTAAAATTTACTCTCTCAGCAATTTTGAAATATATATTAACTATAGTCACCATGTCATACAACAGATCACTAAAAATTATTCATCCTGTCTAATTGAAACTTTGTGCCCTTTCACCAGAATCTCCTCATGCCTCCCACCTCCAGTCCCTGGTAACTATTACTGTATTTTCTGTTTCTATAAATTCTATTATTTTAGATTCCACATACAAGTGAGATCATGCAGTATGTCTTTCTGTGCCTGACTCATTTTACTTACAATAATGTCCTCTAGTTCATCCAAATTGTCAGAAATGACAGAATTTCCTTTTTAAAGGCCAAATAGTATTCCACTATGTGTATATACGTACATCATTTATTCTTCATTTGATGATAGATTTTTCTATATTTTGGCTATTGTGAATAATGCTATAATAAACATAGAAGAGCAGATATTTCTTCAATATTCTGATTTCAAATCCTTTAGATCAGCACCCAGAAGTGGGATAGCTAGATTATGTGGTAATTCTATTTTTGAGAAACCTCCATATAGCTTTCCATAATGGCTGTACCAATTTACATTCCCACCAGCAATGTACAAATGATCCCTTTTCTCTGCCTCCCTGTCATCACTCATCTTTCATCCTTTTGATAACAGTCATTCAGACAAGGGCAAGTTGACATTTTGTTGTGATTTTAATTTACATTTCCCTGATTATTAGTAATGTCGAGTAATTTTTTACATATCTGTTAGCCATTTGCATGACTGCTTTTGAAAAATATCTATTCAGGTTCTTTGCACTTTTAAAAATTATATTATTTGTTTTATTGAGTTGTAGGAGTTTCTTATTTTTTTTATATTAACCCATTATCAGATGTATGGTTTGCAAATATTTTCTCCCAATCTATAGGTTGTCTCTTCACTCTGTTTATTGTGTCCTTTGCTTTGTGGAAGCTTTTTAGTCTGATGTAATTGGTTTTGTCCATTTTTTCTTTCGTTGCCTGAGCTTTTAAGGTCACATCTAATTACTCAGACTAATTTTGTGTAGCTTTTGCCCTATGTCTTCTTCTAGTATTTTTACAGTTTTAATGTTTAAATTATTAATCAATTTTTGTATATGGTGTGAGACAAAAGTCCAGTTCTATTCTTCTGCATGTAGATATCCAGCTTTCCTTACATTTGTTTTATTGAAGAGACTGCCATTTTCCTATTGTGTGTTCTTGACACCTTTGTTGAAAATCAATTAACTGTAAATGTATGGGTTCATTTCTGGGCTCTCTAGTTTGTACCATTGGTCATTGTATCTATTTTCAGCCAGTGGCATGCTGTTTTTATTACTATAGCTTTGTAATATATTTTGAAGTCAGGTAGTGTGATGCCTCCAACTTTGTCCTTTCTGCTCAATATTGCTTGGGATATTCAGGTTTTGTGGTTTCATATAAATTTTGCATTTTTTATATTTTTAAGAATTCCATTATAATTTTGATAGGGATTACAGTAACTGTGTATATTACTTTGAGTAGTATGGATATTTTCACAATATTAATTCTTCCAATCTATGAATAGAAAATATCTTTGTACTTATTTATATCTTATTCAATTGCTTTTGTCAATGTTTTATAGTTTTTAATTGTACAAATATTTTACTTCTTTGGTTAAATTTATCCTCTTGCTTTATGTTATGTATGTCACAGATTACATCTTTATGTATTGTGTATTCATTAACAGCTTTATAATTGTTTTGTGCATTTTTTATTTTAAATCTTGAACATAAATGTAGTTACAAATAAAACTGAAATACTATTTTTTATATTTTTATGTAGTTATCTTTATTGATGAATTTTATATGTTTGTATGACTTAAGTTGCTATCTAGCATTCTTTCATTTCAACTTGAAGAAATCCCTTTAGCATTTCATGTAAGACAGGTTTAATGGTAATGAAATCCCTCAGCTTTTTTTGTTTGTCTGGAAATGTCTTAATTCCTTTCACATTTCTGAAGGACAGAATTGCCAAATATGTAATTCTTAGTTGAAAGGCTTTTCTTTCTGCACTTTAAATATACCACACAACTGCTTCTTGTCTGCAAGATCTCTGCTGAGAAACTCATTGATAGTCTTACTGAGCATCCTTGTTCATGATAAGAATAAGAAAGTTTGCTTGGTGCTTTTAAGATTTTTCTCTTAAGTCTTTGGCTTCTGACAGTTTGATTATGTGTCTTGGTGTGTCTAATTGGGTTTAAACTACTGTGAATCTGTTGAATTTCTTGGATTTGTATATCCACATATTTTCTCAAATTTGGGAAATTTTCAGGCATTATTTGCTCAAATAATCCCACTGCTCATTTCTCTCTCTCATCTCCTGTTTGGCCTCTCATCCGCCAGTTGGTTCACTTGATAGTGGCCAGTAAATTCGGTAGCCTCTGTTCACTTTTCTTTATCATTTATTTTTCTTTATGCTATTTACATTTGATGATTTTAAGTGATCTGCCTTTAAATTCATTGATTCTTTCTTCTTCTGTTTGAGTATTCTGTTGAACCCCTCTGGTTAATTTTTCATTTCAGTTATATTTTTCAGCTACAGAATTTTCATCCAGTTCTTTTAAATAAACTCTGTCTGTTGAGATTCTAATTTTGTTCATATATTACTTTCTTATGTTTTATTCTTTGCCCACATCTTCCTTTAGCTCTTTGAACATATTCGACACAGTTGTCTTGTCAAACATTTGTCCAGTAAGTCAGATGTATGTTTTTGTTTTTTGTTGTTGTTGTTGTTTTAGGAACATTGTTATAGACTGAATTGTGTCTACTCCCCACAAAAACATTTAAATGTTAAAAACCCTAAACTTCAATGTGACTATATTGACAATAATGCCTCTAAGGAGGTAATCAAGGTTAAATTAGGCCATAATGATAGGTCCCTAATCTAATAGGACTGGCACTTTTGTAACAAAAGAAGTCAAACCAGAGATTCTTCTTTCTTTGTGCAAACACACAGAGGAAATGCCATGAGAGGACACAGTGAAAAAACAGATATCTACAAGCCAGAAAGAGGCCTCATCAGAAACCAATCCTGACACCACCTTGATTTATTTTTAGCCTACAAAATTGTGAGAAAACTAATTTTTGTTATTTATGCCACCCTATCTGTGGTATTTTGTTATGGCAGATGGTTTCTGGTGATTTATTTTGTTTCTTTGAACAAAAGGTTTCTGGTGATTTATTTTGGTTATTTGAATGATTTGTTCCCCTGTTTCTTTATATGCTTTGTGATCTTTTCTTGAAAATTGAACACGAAAAAAAAAAAAAAGAAACCTCTCTCATTTTTGCATGGAAGACCTTCGCTAATTATCAGGCCGCTGAGCCTTGAGATTACCCCATAGTGAAGATTTAAGTTCTTCTTAGGTCTTCTCAGGCCTGTCAAAGCCTGTATGTGCTTTTTAAAAAAAACTATTTTCCCATGCTGCTTTTAAACGTCTTAAATTTCCACAGTCTGACTTCAACTTCTTCTCAAGGCCCTAGATGTTTCATTGTATTCCTCTGCCTATAGTCTCTTGCCCTCCAGCAATCCATGGGCCTGAACATCCCCTTTATACATCATGGTAATGTATATTTTGAATGTTATTTTAATCTTACACATTTTTTCTATATTTGTTCATGTAATCCACAGATATAAATTATTTTATCAAATTTTTGCCTTATAGTTTAATTTTTTAAAGGAAAAACTGTTACAGTTGATTTTTTTACAAACTTGTAGCATTGAGACATATTCATGTTTAATTAGAGTCATTGCTCATAGTCATACTAGATCAAGTTAACACCTTAATTTTACTAAACCTCTAATCTATTGGCTTATGTATTAAAAGTCATATATTAAGTTGGAAATAGAAAAGAGGAAGTCAAATTGTCCCTGTTTGCAGATGACATGATTGTATATCTAGAAAACCCCATTGTCTCAGCCCCAAATCTCCTTAAGCTGATAAGCAACTTCAGCAAAGTCTCAGGATACAAAATCGATGTACAAAAATCACAAGCATTCTTATACACCAATAACAGACAAACAGAGAGCCAAATCAGGAGTGAACTCCCATTCACAATTGCTTCAAAGAGAATAAAATACCTAGGAATCCAACTTACAAGGGATGTGAAGGACCTCTTCAAGGAGAACTACAAACCACTGCTCAATGAAATAAAAGAGGATACAAACAAATGGAAGAACATTCCATGCTCATGGGTAGGAAGAATCAATATCGTGAAAATGGCCATACTTCCCAAGGTAATTTATAGATTCAGTACCATCCCCATCAAGCTACCAATGACTTTCTTCACAGAATTGGAAAAAACTACTTTAAAGTTCATATGGAACCAAAAAAGAGCCTGCATCGCCAAGTCAATCCTAAGCCAAAAGAACAAAGCTGGAGGCATCATGCTACCTGACTTCAAATTATACTACAAGGCTATGGTAACCAAAACAGCATGGTACTGGTACCAAAACAGAGATATAGATCAATGGAACAGAACAGAGCCCTCAGAAATAACGCCATATATCCACAACTATCTGATCTTTGACAAACCTGAGAAAAACAAGCAATGGGGAAAGGATTCCCTATTTAATAAATGGTGCTGGGAAAACTGGCTAGCCATATGTAGAAAGCTGAAACTGGATCCCTTCCTTACATCTTACACAAAAATTAATTCAAGATGGATTAAAGACTTAAACGTTAGACCTAAAACCATAAATCCATAGAAGAAAACCTAGGCATTACCATTCAGGACATAGGCATGGGCAAGGACTTCATGTCTATAACACCAAAAGCAATGGCAACAAAAGACAAAATTGACAAATGTGATCTAATTAAACTAAGGAGCTTCTGCATAGCAAAAGAAACTACCATCAGAGTGAACAGGCAACCTACAAAATGGGAGAAAATTTTTGCAACCTACTCATCTGACAAAGGGCTAATATCCAGAATCTACAATGAACTCAAACAAATTTACAAGAAAAAACAAACAACCCCATCAAAAAGAGGGCAAAGGACATGAACAGACACTTCTCAAAAGACATTTATGCAGCCAAAAAACACATGAAAAAATGCTCACCATCACTGGCCATCAGAGAAATGCAAATCAAAACCACAATGAGATACCATCTCACACCAGTTAGAATGGCAATCATTAAAAAGTCAGGAAACAACAGGTGCTGAAGAGGATGTGGAGAAATAGGAACACTTTTACACTGTTGGTGGGACTGTAAACTAGTTCAACCATTGTGGAAGTCAGTGTGGCGATTCCTCAGGGATCTAGAACTAGAAATACCATTTGATCCAGCCATCCCATTACTGGGTATATACCCAAAGGACTATAAATCATGCTGCTATAAAGACACATGCACACGTATGTTTATTGTGGCACTATTCACAATAGCAAAGACTTGGAACCAACCCAAATGTCCAACAATGATAGACTGGATTAAGAAAATGTGGCACATATACACCATGGAATACTATGCAGCCATAAAAAATGATGAGTTCATGTCCTTTGTAGGGACATGGATGAAATTGGAAATCATCATTCTCAGTAAACTATCGCAAGGACAAAAAACCAAACACCACATGTTCTCATTCATAGGTGGGAATTGAACAATGAGAAGACATGGACACAGGAAGGGGAACATCACACTCTGGGGAGGGATAGCATTAGGAGATATACCTAATGCTAAATGATGAGTTAATGGGTGCAGCACACCAGCATGGCACATGTATACATATGTAACTAACCTGCACATTGTGCACATGTACCCTAAAACTTAAAGTATAACAATAAAAATAAAAAAATAAAAAATAAAAGATGGAAATGGTATGTATGGCTGGTGTATTTTCTGACACATTTAAAAAATATTTTTTGTTGCCTTCACATTTTTCTTCAAATTTCTGTTGACTTTTTCCTTTTTTCTAGGAATTAAGTGTCATAAAGAAGAATGAGGCTAGTTGGACTTTTTCTTTATACATGGCATGTTTATCCCTGTTTCACCAGCCAGAATAATTATAGGGTTTTATCCTTATTTAATATGCTTAAAGATTCCTTAAAGACTTTTTTCTCCTAAAACTTCCCGAGTCTGTTAATCTGTTAATAACAGTGTGTTATTTTAGTTCAGAAATGTGTTTTATCAAGAATTTGATAAGGCCATGTTTCTTATAATTTTAGACCCTCAAACTCATATCTTCTAAAATATTCAAAAATATGCAATATGTAATATGCACTTTGCCACTCACAGAATACTAACAAATTGATCATTTATTGAGCCATATATTAATACTTCCTAAAAGTGGAAATCGTACAGGCTTCATTTGTGATTACAAATACTTTACATTTTTAAATTAATAAGAAATTATATTCTTAAAAAACCAACAAACCATAAGGCAGTTTTCAGTCTGTTACATATCTTTTGCACCAATGACAATATTTTTAACATACAATAATTTCAAAATATATAACACAAAGAAATAGAAGCCTTGAGTGGAATTATCATCAAGACAGAAGCTAAAGTTTATTCAACAAACTTTGTTCACAAAATGTGCTAGCCTCAGTTGTTTTACATGTGAGTTTTCTCAAACTCTCAAGGAATAGATAATTTCCCATATACAAAATATTTGGGAAAATAGTTGTTATTATGATTACACCTAACAAGATATATAAAATGAAGCAAGCCAATATTATTGATGAATATAAGTACTAAAATTCTAAATAATATTTCAGCAAATTAAATCTCACAATCTTTCATGAAATAATACATAGCCAATTTTATTTCAGAAATACAAGATCTGTGTCCATTATTCTCAGCATTTGATTTTGCCTCTTACATCACTTAGAACACAGAGTTCATGTACTGTAAATGCTCTGAACTTCTCCCCTTCAATACTAAGTGCCTTTCCAATATTAATTGTCCAGCTGGCCTTTCAATCCCAACTCTTTTTGTTTCCTTTAGAATTTTTCCCAACACTTTGTTTTCACCTCAATTTCCTACAACTTCAATAAGTCCTTTTGATTGATTTATTCCTTTACTTCTATATCGAGCTGTTACCAATTCTTCTTCCTTTCTTCACAGAATTCCTTTTCTACCTCCACTCCCTTGTCATATACTTACTCCTTAACCATCTGCAATATATATTCTGTCCCACTTATCCCAAGATCTTAAACTTCTCACAAGTCCAAACAAGTAGATTTTTATCATACTCTGCAATCATTGACTGATCTATAAAATTAATGCTGTTGACCACTTTCCTTTTACTATAGTGCCTCTGTTCTTTACTGAGTTTCCTTCCTCGTCTCAGAGCACTTTTTCATGCTTCTTTGCAGTTTACTCTTCTGTAGCCATCCCTATGAAATGTGTCCTTTTTTTTTTTTTTTTTTTTTTTTTTGAGATGGAGTCTCGCTCTGTCAGGAATCTTAGGAATCTACTTGGTGCTCTATTCTACTGTGGCTGAGCAGGCATCAAAGCCACAAGACAAAGATTTTTCCACTTTCCCTCTCCTTTCCTGAAGCAGAAGGAGTCTCTCCCCATGGCCACCACTGCCCCAGGCCTGTGGCGAGTACTACCTGGCTACCAAGGAGTATACTCAAGGCCCAAAAGCTCTTCAGTCAGCTTGTGGTGAATGCTGCCAAGCCTGGGTCTCTCCCTTCAGGGCAGTAGGCTCCCCTCTAGCCCATTGCAAGTCCAGAAATGCTGTCCAGGAGCCAAGGCCTGGACAAGGAGCCCAGGAGCCTGCTTGGTGTTGTACCTCGCTGTGACAAAGCTAGTACCCAAGCTGCAAGACAAGACCCCAGCTGCTAGAACCCTCTACTCTTCACTCTAGTTTCCTCAAGTAGGAGTCTCTTCCCATGGCCACCACAGCTTGAAATGTGCTGGGTCACACTTAAAGCCAGCATGGCACTGGGTCTCCTGCAAGGCCCATGGTGAGTACTGCCTGATATTTATTCAAGGCCCCAGGGCTCTTTAGTCAGCAGGTGGTGAATCCTGCCAGGAATGGGTCCTTCCCTTCAAGGCAGCAGGTTCCCTTCTGGCCGAGGGTGTGTCTTGAAATGTCTTCCAGCAACTAGGGCCTGAAATGGGAGTCTCAGGACTCTGCCTGGTGCCCTATTCTACTGTAGCTGAGCTGGTATCCAAGTTGCAAGAAAAAGTCCTTTTTACTCTTTCCTCTTCTCAAGAGGAAGGAAGGAGTCTTCTCTGGACCTGGGAGCTATGCTGCCTGGGGTGGGGAGAGCGATGATGCAAGCACTCTCTTGGCCACTCTAGCTGGTATCTCACTAGGTCATGTGCACCCCAAGTCCACTGGCTCTAAATTCAACACAGCAAGGACTAGACCAGGAGTTGTAGTCCTTTTGGCCCAGACTATCTTTCAAGTTTATTTAGTAGCCCAGAATACTTTAGCCCACAGGGCTGGGGCAAGCCAGAACTCAGGTTCCAATGACTGGGATAGATTATTTCCCTCTGCTTAGGACTAGTCTTAATGTTCCTTCCATGGGTGCCAGCTGAATTCTGCCACATGTTGCTTTCTGCTGTGACAGGACAGCACTAAGTTCCAATGCGAAGTCTCACAATCACTGTGTTCTCCATCCCCCAAGCACATAGATTCTTTCTCCCCACCACATGGTGCTGCCAGGGGATGGGGGAGGGGCTGTGGAGGCCAGAGGATGGGAGGAGAGGCTGTGTAGGCCATTCAAGATTGTCTTTCCTACCCTCATCAGTGCCCCTTTCTTTAATATGATGTTTAAAACCAGGTACTGTAATTGCTCACCTGATTTTTGGTTCTTATAAATATGCTTTCTTGTGTGGATAGTTGTTCAATTTGGTGTTCCTGGGGGCACGGTGGATGACAATCACTGGAGGAGTTCTATTTGGCAATCTCGCTCTGTGCAGTCCTTCAAACTGATGATACTCTTTACTTATCAGGAGCTTTACATGTATTGGCCAACATATATTTATTGAGCACTTTGAAAATCTTGATAATCATGTAGGGACAACTGTTTCTCTTCTCTTCAAGTTTATGACTTCCGTAATACTGAAAAAAAAGTCTGAATGATTCTAAAGAAAATGAGGTTTAAGTTCTTAGATTCCTTGAGTTGACAACAAGTTATCTTTGCATCCATTTGCCGTTTGTCAAAATACAAACCCTGACACCTGTTCCAGTGTAATTTATTATTAAGCAATATATTCGTCTATATTCATCTAGACTGCAAGCTGACATTCCACTGAAAACTTGGAAAACTTTAGGCCCAACAGATGCGTAATACGTTTTGCCCATCAATCTGGCAGACTTAGAATAATTGTTTCCCATAACACATTTTGAATACTGTAGAGATTTCAGTGCCAGAATTGATGTTGGCTCATTAAGACCTGCGGAAATATCTACAAAGTACGTATTAGCCCAGCAGGCCTTTCCCTGGAATCAGTATCTCAGAATAAGCACATAAATTTGGTTTGTGGTTGTTCAAATTCCTATTATTATACCAAATACACTGTTCCCATGGAACCAGATAAAATAACCTCTGTGGAATTTAAATGGTTTAAACAAGTAGAGGTGCCATGACTATGCACAACATCAAACTTTTCTCCACATTTGCAAATGTTATTAATAATGTTATGATTAACAAAAGAACTGAAAGCAATATCTACCAACTAGTTTTGGCACTTGGCATTCCTGATAGTTATTCCCACTTTCCTCTACTTATTTGGAAGTTGCTAAATTTTTGCCTGTTGAAAACTTTAGAAAGCATGTCCATTTTATTAAGTAAGATACAAAAGAAATAGTGGTGATTGCGGAGGAGGCCATTTTCCTAGACCCTTAAAACTGATCTATCTTAAAGGCCTGACAAGTGTGCTCTCTACATTGAATCTTTGTTTCCATTTGCTGTGCTATCATCCTAAGAACGATCTTTATTAGCTCTTTCACAGGATATTAAAGTAATTCTGTTTATTATTTTTATCCTTTCTCCAATCAGTCTCTACCTCAACAAATCCTTTTATTATAGTCATTTTACTATGTATTTATTTGATAACAATTGAGAGGGAAACTTCTAATGGCTCTCTGATACCCTCCATAATAAAATATTTCTCTAAAGTTTTATTACTTCCAATAACTTAACTCACTTAAAAAACTAGTCTTTCAGTACCCAGTTTTCCCCTCAATTTTTTTCTCTTTTCACTTTATTAACTTAAAAAGGTTTTCTTTTTCTTCTTTTCCTAGCTGAGATCCAATTTTTAAGAAAAAGATTAAATCCATTTACTTCACAAAACTTCTAGATTAAAATGACGTTTCCCTTAAGTAACATAGAGCAATCACAGGCTGTATAATCTGAGGATTTTTAAAAGTCTCAGCTAGGTAAAGATTAAGAATAAGATGCTTCTTATTCCTCAAAATAGCCATTCTAGTTATCATCTCTCTAGGATAACTATCTGTATGGCCACTTCCATGAATAGATGAACAACTAACTTACTCTTGCATTACAGCTCATTTACTTAAATGTGCCTTTATCCCAGAAGTTAAAATAACATTATTTAAGAAGATCATTTTTTTAAAAGCCATTCATCTTACTTCATTCTCATTTCTTTGTTCTGCAAAATGCATTATAGAGTCTCTCTTAATAGCAATAATTTATATTTGTCATTCTTGTAGGCAGGAACTCAGGCTCAGAAGCTGGTCAAATGCAATTAGCTTGAGAATTTCAGGCCTCAGATTTGCTGAAGTATTATATCTACAATAAAGAAAGCTCCACATAGTCTCACAGTAATGAAATCCACAGATTGCCATTACAACTGCAGGCATCATCTGAAACTATTTATTGATATAATTGCATTCTTTGGGCTGCTTTGGGATATCTGTACTGAGAACTGTACTTTCTTAAGTATACATTCAAGACCCAAATCAGAATGTATAGATTTAATATTTGAGAAGATGATTTTAAAAAAGAATTTTACAGCAAGACAGTGAGCTTTGAGATGTGGTGGAAAAGATGACTGAACTGAGGTGGAAAGAACAAGTTAAATTATATGACAAATTGGCTGGGTGCGGTGGCTCACACCTGTAATCCCAGCACTTTGGGAGGCTGAGGTGGGCGGAACACGAGGTCAGGAGATCAAGACCATCGTGGCTAACACGGTGAAACCCTGTCTCTACTAAAATTACAAAAAATTAGCCAGGCATGGTGGCAGGCGCCTGTAGTCCCAGCTACTCCGGAGGCTGAGGCAAGAGAATGACGTGAACCCAGAAGGCAGAGCCTGCAGTGAGCCGAGATCGCGCCACTGCACTCCAGGCTGGGCGACAGAGTGAGACTCCGCCTCAAAAAAAAAAAATTATATGACAAATCAAGAGAGGTGGTCATGCAATTTTTAGGTTGGAATATTGTTTTAATTTTTTTCTGTCAAGTCCAGAAATATTTTTCAAATAATGGTTTTCATAAATTCCCTTATTTCCATTAACATGTATTACTTTGATTTAGTTAAATGTTACAAGTTTTTACTTGCATCTCAATATGTACAGTCCTTTTACTATGCAAAATTTTATCATTACAAAGAAAAGTATTCCAAGTCCAAGCAGACTGACGAAGTCATAGTGTTTTATGGATTTATGATAAATGTCATGATGGTAAGGAATGTACACTGGGAGTCAGGCAAATACATTCAAATTCCAGGTCAGACATGAATTGTGAAGACTTGGACAAGTCATTTAAAATTTCTGAGCCTCAATTTCCATTTACATTAAATGATCCTCAAACTTGTTTGACTAGCAATGCTCTTAGAAAATGTATTTACATTACACACTATATATAGTACACTATATATTATATTTATTTCCATTATGTAAACTTAGAACAATTTTGTTTCTACAAAAACGTGAATTTTTAATATAAATACAGGTCTTGACATCTTAATAAAACCATTTTTTTGAGAATAATTAAGAAATTACATTTCTGTGGATTTGGGGTGGAGAGTTCTGTAGATGTCTGTTAGGTCCACTTGGTGCAGAGCTGAGTTCAATTCCTGGATATCCTTGTTAAATTTCTGTCTCATTGATCTGTCTAATGTTGACAGTGGGGTATTAAAGTCTCCCATTATTATTCTGTGGGAGTCGAAGACTCTTTGTAGGTCTCTAAGGACTTGCTTTATGAATCTGAGTGCTCCTGTATTGGGTGCATATATGTTTACAATAGTTAGCTCTTCTTGTTGAATTGATCCCTTTACCATTATGTAATGGCCTTCTTTGTCTCTTTAGATCTTTGTTGGTTTATATCTGTTTTATCAGAGACTAGGATTGCAACCCCTGCTTTTTTTTGTTTTCCATTTGCTTGGTAGATCTTCCCCCATTCCTTTATTTTGAGCCTATGTGTGTCTCTGCACCTGAGATAGGTCTCCTGAATACAGCACATTGATGGGTCTTTACTCTTTATCCAATTTGCCAGTCTGTGTCTTTTAATTGGAGCATTTAGCCCATTTACATTTAAGGTTATTATTGTTATGTGTGAATTTGATCCTGTCATTACGATGTTAGCTGGTTATTTTGCTCATTAGTTGATGCAGTTTCTTCCTAGCAATGATAGTCTTTACAATTTGGCATATGTTTTTGCAGTGGCTGGTACTGGTTGTTCCTTTCCATGTTTAGTGCCTCCTTCAGGAGCTCTTGTAGGGCAGCCTGGTGGTGACACAATCTCTCAGCATTTCCTTGTCTATAAAGGATTTTATTTCTCCTTCACTTATGAAGCCTAGTTTGGCTGGATATGAAATTCTGGGTTGAAAATTCTTTTCTTTAAGAATGTTGAATATTGGCCCCCATTCTCTTCTGGCTTGTAGAATTTCTGCCAAGAGATCACCTGTTAGTCAGATGGGCATCCCTTTGTGGGTAACCTGACCTTTCTCTCTGGCTGCCCTTAATTCTTCTCAGCACCACATTGCATTTATTCCAAAACTGACCACAGAGTTGGAAGTAAAGCAGTCCTCAGCAAATGTAAAAGAACAGAAATTATAACAAACTGTCTCTCAGACCATAGTGCAATCAAACTAGAACTCAGCATTAAGAAACTCACTCAAAACTGCACAACTACATGGAAACTGAACAACCTGTTCCTGAATGACTACTGGGTACATAACAAAATGAAGGCAGAAATAAAGATGTTCTTTGAAACCAATGACAGCAAAGACACAACATACCAGAATCTCTGGGACACATTTAAAGCAGTGTGTAGAGGGAAATTTATAAAACTAAATGCCCATAAGAGAAAGCAGGAAAGATCTAAAATTGACACCCTAACATCACAATTAAAAGAACTAGAGAAGCAAGAGCAAACACATTCAAAAGCTAGCAGAAGGCAAGAAAAAACTAAGATCAGAGCAGAAGTGAAGGAGATAGAGACACAAAAAACCCTTCAAAAATTCAATGAATCCAGGAGGTGGTTTTTGAAAACATCAACAAAATTCATAGACTGCTAGCAAGACTAATAAAGAAGAAAAGAGAGAAGCATCAAATAGACGCAATAAAAAATGATAAAGGGGATATCACCACGGATCTCACAGAAATACAAACTACCATCAGAGAATACTATAAACACCTCTATGCAAATAAACTAGAAAATCTAGAAGAAATGGATAAATTCCTGGTCACTTACACCCTCCCAAGACTGAACCAGGAAGAAGTGGAATCCCTGAATAGACCAATAACAGGCTCTGAAATTGAGGCAATAATTAAGAGCCTACCAACCAAAAAAAGTCCAGGAGCAGACGGATTCACAGCTCAGTTCTACCAGAGGTACAAGGAGGAGCTGGTACCATTCCTTCTGAAACTATTCCAATCAATAGAAAAAGAGGGAATCCTCCCTAACTCATTTTATGAGGCCAGCATCATCCTGATACCAAAGCCTGGTAGAGACACAACAAAGAAGAGAATTTTAGACCAATATCCCTGATGAACATCGATGCAAAAAACCTCAATAAAATACTGGCAAACCAAATTCAGCAGCACATCAAAAAGCTTATCCACCATGACCAAGTGGGCTTCATCCCTGGGAAGCAAGGTTCAACATATGCAAATCAATAAACGTAATCCAGCATATAAACAGAACCAAAGACAAAAACCACATGATTATCTCAAAAGATGCAGAAAGGCCTTTGACAAAATTCAACAGCCCTTCATGCTAAAAACTCTCAATAAATTAGGTATTGATGGGACATATCTCAAAATAATAAGAGCTATTTATGAGAAACCCACAGCCAATATCATACTGAATGGGCAAAAACTGGAAGCATTCTATTTGAAAACTGGCACAGACAGGGATGCCCTCTCTCACCACTCCTATTCAACATACTGTTGGAAGTTCTGGCCAGGGCAATCAGGCAGGAGAAAGAAATAAAGGGTATTCAATTAGAAAAATAGGAAGTCAAATTGTCCCTGTGTGCAGATGTGATGATTGTATATCTAGAAAACCCCATTGCCTCAGCCCAAAATCTCCTTAAGCTGATAAGCAACTTCAGCAAAGTCTCAGGATACAAAATCAATGTGCAAAAATTACAAGCATTCCTATACACCAATAACAGACAAACAGAGAACCAAATCATGAGTGAACTCCCATTCACAATTGCTTCAAAGAGAATAAAATACCTAGGAATCCAACTTACAAGGGATGTGAAGGAACTCTTCAAGGAGAACTACAAACCACTGCTCAATGAAATAAAAGAAGACACAAACAAATGGAAGAACATTCCATGCTCATGGATAGGAAGAATCAATATCATGAAAATGGCCATACTGCCCAAGGTAATTTATAGATTCAATGCCATCCCCATCAAGCTACCAATGACTTTCTTCACAGAATTGGAAAAAACTACTTTAAAGTTCATATGGAACCAAAAAAGAGCCCCCATTGCCAAGTCAATCCTAAGCCAAAAGAGCAAAGCTGGAGGCATCATGCTACCTGACTTCAAACTACACTACAAGGCTATGGTAACCAAAACAGCATGGTACTGATACCAAAACAGAGATATAGATCAATGGAACAGAACAGAGCCCTCAGAAATAATACCACACATCTACAACCACCTGATCTTTGACAAACTTGACAAAAAGAAGAAACGGGGAAAGGATTCCCTATTTAATAAATGGTGCTGGGAAAACTGGCTAGCCATATGTAGAAAGCTGAAACTGGATCCCTTCCTTACTCCTTATACAAAAATTAATTCAAGATGGATTGAAGACTTAAATATTAGACCTAAAACCATAAAAACCCTAGAAGAAAACCTAGGCATTACCATTCAGGACATAGGCATGGGCAAGGACTTCATGTCTAAAACACCAAAAGCAATGGCAACAAAAGCCAAAATTGACAAATGTGATCTAATTAAACTAAGGAGCTTCTGCATAGCAAAAGAAACTACCATCAGAGTGAACAGGCAACCTACAAAATGGGAGAAAATTTTTGCAACCTACTCATCTGAAAAAGGGCTAATATCCAGAATCTACAAAGAACTCAAACAAATTTACAAGAAAAAAAGAAATGACCCCATCAAAAAGTGGGCGAAGGATACGAACAGACACTTCTCAAAAAAAGACATTTATGCAGCCAAAAAAAACACATGAAAAATGCTCATCATCACTGGCCGTCAGAGAAATGCAAATCAAAACCACAATGAGATATCATCTACACCAGTTAGAATGGCGATCATTAAAAAGTCAGGAAACGACAGGTGCTGGAGAGGATATGCAGAAATAGGAACACTTTTACACTGTTGGTGGGATTGTAAACTAGTTCAACCATTGTGGAAGACAGTGTGGTGATTCCTCAGGGATCCAGAACTAGAAATACCATTTGACCCACCCATCCCATTACTGGGTATATACGTAAAGGAATATAAATCATGCTGCTATAAAGACCCATGCATACGTATGTTTATTGCGGCAGTACTCACAATAGCAAAGACTTGGAACCAACCCAAATATCCAACAATGATTGACTGGATTAAGAAAATGTGGCACATATACACCATGGAATACTATGCAGCCATATAAAAGGATGACTTTATGTCCTTTGCAGGGACATAGATGAAGCTGCAAACCATCATTCTCAGCAAACTATCTCAAGGACAAAAAAACCAAACACCGCATGTTCTCACTCATAGGTGGGAATTGAACAATGAGAGCACTTGGACACAGGAAGGGAAACATTACACACTGGGGCCTGTCGTGGGGTGGGGGGAGGGCAGAGGAATAGCATTTGGAGATATACCTAATGTAAATAACGAATTAATGTGTGCAGCACACCAACATGGCACATGTATACATATGTTAGAAACCTGTACGTTGTGCACATGTACCCTAGAACTTAAAGTATAATAAAAAAAAGAACTAAGAAAACAAAATAAACTATATAAGTAAATGTAAAAAAAAAGAAATTACATTTCTAAATTTTCCTTTTTTTATTTGTAATTTGGGCATTCATTTGTTACAGCTCAAAAAAAGAGCATTAAGTGAGTTTTTACATACTTCCCTATATCACAAAGCTAATAATTGGCAGAGTCAGGATTTAAACTCAGGCCCTGAACACTGAGCTGTTCTTTGAGATACTCTGAACTACATGATCCCTTTAGCACTAAATTCCAAGATTACATTATTAATAACTCCAACAAATGTGTATTGTTGATGTTCACTATATTATACTGGGGGTGGGAATACCAATATGAATCTGATGTTTGGTCCAGCCTTGGGGAAGTATAGGAAGAGAAAACAACATGTAGAATGGGAGCAACAGGGCACTGTAATGTTCCAGCTGAAAGAAGGGAGCTCCTACTTGGCTTTGAGGAAGGCATGATTAATGAGGGGGCATCTTCCTAAAAAAGATGACTCTTGGGATAGTGTAATTTGAGAGTAAAGATCAGGTTGAGAGGAATAGGAAGATAATGATAGTATTGTTTTGGAAATGTTGCTGTAGATAAGCACAATTGAAAATATGAAACTGTGCTGTAATCCCAGCACGTTGGGAGGCAGAGGCAGGCAGATATACTCAGGTCAGGAGTTTGAGACCAGCCTGGACAACGTGGCAAAACCTCGTCTCTACTAAAAATACTGAAAAAAAAATATTCTGAAAGTATGAAACTGAGGAACAGTGACTTAAACTATACTGAGATAAAGATTAAATGGTCAATATTCCTTAGATTGTGGTTGAACTCAAGAGAAATTATTCTCTCAGCTTCTGTGGGCAGGTAAGAAGAGGAAAGGGCCTAAAGCCGTAATCCTAAGAAAACCCATGTTTAAGGAATTGGCATTAGAAAACAAACCCACAAAGAGACTAAAACAGAGAGAAGGGGTAACCTAAGAGCGAGATGCAAGTGCTAAGGGAGAAGAGTTTGTCACAAAGATGGCAGTAAATGGTTGGATGCCACAAAGAAATCAAATAAGTTGAGAGATTTTTTAAAAAGACTTATTAGTTTTAGAATTGAAGGATCCAGGGTTTTGCCAGGGGGACTCATCACCCAGATTCAGAAACCATCAAGGCATAGCCAATTTCACTTCACCCTAACCTCCACCCAGTTCTCCCTTTCCGGCATTATTTAGAAGCAAATCCCAGATATCACATCAACAGCAGATATGTTTTTAATATGCATTACCAATCAGACACATACTTTGCCAGAGTATTTGCAGAGGGCCTGTGTGTGAGGCATACTGATGGCCAGGGTTACGGCATGAGTGGGAACCAAAGAACTGAACTCCCTGAGAGCAGACTCTTCTTTGAGGAACAGCAGAGAGCAGGAGAGAGAAAAAGAAACAAGGGGAGGACACAGAGTCAAAGCAATCAGAGGGAGGCATTTGCTTTTCTTTGTTTTAATTTTTAACCTAGAAAATACAAGAACTTGTTTATGGACCACTGGAAGGAGGCTGTAGTAATAGAGAGACAGAGGCGTACATACACACACATATGGAACAGCCGGTAGAGGTGGCGTTTGGGTTGTGGATTCAAAATACAGAAAAGGGAAGGGCTGATAGCGATTGTATAAGAGATGAAAAGGGACCAGCTCAAAAGCTGTGGGACTGACCATGAACAGACAAAAAAAAAAAAAGCTTCCGTTTTTCTGAGACTGGAGAAAAGAAGTGATAGTAAAGGCAAATGTCACTTTATTTGAACAGTGGGAGTCCAGAATAAAGAAGTTCATAATTGCTAGCCTTCGTTTTCACAAAGAGGAAGAATACATTCATGTTTTAACAGAGATGAGGACAGTGAAAGTAAAAGGGCTTGAAAGAGTGGTGAAGTTGTCAAATAGTTACTAAGGGGAAATGGAATAAGAACCTGCACAGAGACAAGCAGAGGGGTCTCTCAGTGTGCCCGAGGGCCCAGGGGAGAGTGGCCACAGTGAACACTAATATAATCAACCCACCACAGGCACCTGGCTCAATTAAAGTTCTACTTGGCCTAGTCTATCTGACATGTTCCTCTATATGACTAATCTGACACCACAGGCTGGCTGGCTCTCAAGAAGGAAATACTTTCCTCAGAGAAATTTCCATTCTCAAAGTATATCTTGCTTGCTCATGTGCTACTCCTGGTTTGCAGAGGTCAAGATTCTGCCCAATATCTCAGCAGCACTGGCATGGGCTGCAGACAATATGACCAAGAGGGGTCCACTAGCCAGACATGCTCTGCAAATGTTTTGCTCAATCTGCACAGGGTTTTAAAATTAAGGAAATTAAACATAAAACTCTGGAGTTTCCCCTTTTGTTATAAAAGTCCAGAGAGCTCTTGGTTTGTGTAAGGGACTGGCTGTAGGAGAATTCAGAAGGTCCACATGCTGTTGTTCACCACAAGTCCCACCACATCCTTCCTCATCATCTTAATTCACTTATACTTGTTTCTGCTAGAAAGGGAATGGTATTTATTAGGAAGGTTACGAGGAAGTGATATTTACTAAGAAGATTACTAATGTCACATTTTCACCTTTACTACAAAATACACATAAGACCATAGAAGTCATCTTTAAAAGAAGAATTTTAAGCAGCTTATTGATAAGAAGATAAAGGCAATTCTGGAGCTAAAAGGTCTTTCCTCTATTATCTAATAATAGCTCCTCCTCTATTATCTAATAAAACAATGTATCCCTACTCAACAAGTGAGTGCCAGGACATTGTAAAAGTTGTGAATTGTGTTTGCTGTATGAAATCTCACCTAGACTATCACAATAGCCTCTCATCTGAGATTCCTGAGCTCTTCTCTTACAATTTTCTTCTCCACCAGCAATACTGTTCACAAATGTTGTTTGACAAATGAGGAGAACACAGAACAAAGAGGTCAAATAACTTACCCTATTATACAGCTTCTGGGTATGGTACCGGGAAATAGGCCTTCCTGTTTCTTCCCATACTCTTCATGGTCTGTCTTGTTTTCTAGAATGCTGTTTAATCCCTGAAAATGGAAAACATAATTTTTTCCTAAACTTTTTTTTCCAAAAATTAAATACTGCTTGTATTTCCTTGTATAAGATTTTAACTGCTATGGTTGTATCTCCTGTACCCCAACTTATACACATACCATCTCATTTGGTAGTGAACACATAGTAATGGCTCCCATAAAATGAGGCACATTATACACAAATAGGGTAGGCGGTCTTGAAAAAGATATTTCTACGTCAGGCATAGGATAGACAAATGTAGCACATATTAAAATGTTTTGAAACAAACTACTTTTTCATTAATATATCTTATGTCATTTGGATACTGTTATAATAGGGTTACATAGCAAATCTGTATCTTATTTGCAAAAAGTATTTTGGGGGCCTGTATAAATCCAGCCAAACCTGTGTTCTAAAATCCTCTTCTTCCTTTCATATTCTGGACTCTAATACATTTTACACTGGCCCTTAAAACTGTGTAATTCTAATTTTAAAGTATCATGGAATTGGCAAGATGAAAGTCTTTTATTAGAGAACTATTCATTGTAATAGCTACACTCTGCCTTTCAGATTACTAGGGAATTAACCACATAATATTCCACCATATATAAATTTTGAATGGCATGTGTGCAAGTATAAGAGTAAGTATTTAGAATAAATATTTGGATTATTATTTAGATTGTGTGATAAAAATGTAGTACAATTCCCTGAAAGTTTTGCTGATAACTATATTAGTCAAATTCAGGGGTTTTATAATCTGGAAAGCAGCACATTCAGTCTTTTTCCTGGCTGATCATGACAATGGAGGACAGAGATGTGTTAAGCACTCGATTGCATTTACTATGTGACAAGCAATGTTCAAAAGGCTTTACCAATAATCAATAATTGAATCCTTTCAACAAATCTATGAGGTGCATACTGTTATTATTCTCATTTTACAGATGAAGAAACAGAGCTATAGAAAGATTAAGTAACTTGACAAGATCATACATCGAACAATTACTTCTTTCAACTCATAATTTTGTAGTTGACGGTTTAAATGTATTCATGTGACACTAGGAGGAAAAAAAAACTGAATGAATAAATAAGACAAAGACAAGAAAAGTAAAGCTGTAAATGAGAAAGACACAAATCCAGACAAGAACAAAATACACAGCAGTGAAAAGTAGCAATACTGTGCTAAAAAAAAATCTAAAACCAGAAGAGAATTACAGTTCTCATTCAGTCTCTCAGTTTTTAAATTGGATGTTGAGGACTACAAAAGTACGGTATTGTCTTCACACTTCCACAAATGATTAACATCAGGGTCTAGACTAGGAGTCTGACAGACACTCTCATTGAGCACCATCTCTGAGCCAGGCCTACACTGAGCACATAGGGTAAAATCTAAACTAGTCAGAGTCCTCACCCACCAGGAGGTCACCGTTAAGAGAACAAGACCAACAGATGCATAAATAATAACTCTAGTGTGAGGTAAGTGCTAGTAGACCTCTGGACAAATAGAAAGGATTAATGAAGAGTTCTTGGGAACCGCAGGAAACATTCTACAGGATAATTGACTATTAAACAGATATATAAAGGAAAAGAAAAATTTTGCCAGGCAGAGAAAAGGGAAAGTCATTACAGTTGAAGGCCAAAGCTCACAAAACAGACTAGAGTTCTGAAGCACCATAGCATGTTCCATGCACACTGTGTGCATTAGATGTATTCATTCAAATATTTTTTATTCAACCAGCATTTGTTGAGAACC
Organism: Homo sapiens; assembly: GCF_000001405.40. Lineage (NCBI taxonomy): Eukaryota > Metazoa > Chordata > Mammalia > Primates > Hominidae > Homo > Homo sapiens. The sequence continues at coordinate 106,705,601 of NC_000004.12, read as the reverse complement.
TACTATATAGCATGGAGAATAGTGTTTCATACACCCATGATAAAAATGGTGCTGGTCAGAGAGTTCTCAAGTCTAATTAGGAAAGCCAAGTCTCCAGAGAGTTCACAGTTTAATTAGGAAAGCCAAGTGAGTAAACAAATTAGACTAAGTGCTAAGAGAGATGTCTTGGTCTACTTTGGGGCTTAAAGTTTAAAGAGGTAATTTCTACTGGACAGGAAAGGTTGGCAAGGAAAGGCTTCAAGGTCAACACTTAGTTTGTGTCTCAAGAAATGGGTAGCTATTTGGCAGGAATGTAGAGAAATGAGAAGAGGTGTGAAAATTTGATATAAATATCTTGCTAATGAGACAAAAGCTATCTAACTTGATAAGAAGGCAATGTTGGTCATTACCTCATAACTGGCTCCTCCTGGCATCTGGATTCACGTCAATTAGCTAGACTTTTAAGAGAAATAAATAATTCTAAATCTATAAACCTCAAATATAGCCCATCATCTTGAATGGTGCTGACACCAGACCACATGAGGTGGCAAATTCTTTTTAAAAACACTTTCCAGATGAATCAATCACAAAATAAAATGACCCTAGCTACAGAAAACAAATAGAAATCCTTGTCTATTTTATTCTTTTACTTTACACTGTTGGGAAAGCTCAAACCAGCAGTACAGTTTCCTAAACCACACAGGCCTCACCACACACCAGTCAGCATTGTGCTGGTGTCCAAGCCCTTGGAGCAGGGGCTTTGCCTTCATCTCTTTGGGTGGCAACTGAGAAATGGTCCACGGAAAATAATAGAAACACATGTGGAAAGAAGCACAACTGTGACCCTTAATTTTGCAGGCTGAAAACACCAGATCATCCCCAAACCCTTCCTGTTTCACAAGAAAGACGTAGGTGGTAAGAGGGATGACAAGAGGGTTGCAGTTTACATGGATGAATACCTCGCCTCAAACGCAAGCAAGTTGATGACTAAATCTGTAGTCAGGGATCACCTAGCTTCTGATGGGGATTAATTAAGTGCAGCAAGGACACTTTTCAGCAATGTGCTTGCCACCCGTCAATAGCGTCTAACCAATCTTAGGCATCTCTAAGTTTGCCTTAAAATCCCAAATTATTTGTCAAATACCATGCATGTCTAAGAACATGCTGAGTCAGGCTGTACACCAGTAAATGCCTTGGGATTGTAAGCATTTTTGAACAAAACATCACAGAAGAAGAAAGAGACTACCAAGAATACATAAACTATAAAAAATGAAAATGAACAGAAGGAATAAACATTTTGAAGTTCACATCATCAAGCTAATCAACTAGTGACTAAAACCAGTAATTCATCTGCAGCCTCTTTAAGAAGGCCACAAATTGTCCCTGCTGAAGCAGCATAACTGACGTAGTTTGCTGGTTGGAACTGTGAAGACTGGACATCAGTTCTTCAAGAAAAATTTTGGAAGAAGCAAGTCCAGTAAATAACAAGCTAGACTCATTATCCTTTCTAGCAGATTTATATTCTAGAAAGAATACAATGAGATCGACATGGTCTAATATAAATAATAAAACTCAGGTCCCTCACTTACCTTATGAGCTTTTCATAAGTGGTCTGTATTTTCTGTTCTAGGGACTTTAACATAACTAAAGGGACTGTTTGCTTTTCAGGTTATGTTAGATATAGTTACACATAGTGAGTGAGTGAGTGACAGTTTCTGTGAGGCACGTGAGGTCAGAGGTAAATAATCTCATCATTTTTCTCCTAAAATTTGCTACAATATCCTATGGACCTTAATTAAAATTTGTTTACACCAAATAGATTAAGTTTTTGAGAACTTTTGTCCCAGATAATTTTTTTAATTGTACTTTAAGTTCTGGGGTACATGTGCAGAGCATGCAGTTTGGTTACATAGGTATACACATGCCATGGTGGTTTGCTGTACCCATCAACCTGTCATTTACATTAGGTATTTCTCCTAATGCTACCCCTCCCCTAGGCCCCCATCCCCCGACAGGTCCCAGTGTGATGTTCCCCTCCCTGTGTCCATGTGTTCTCATTGTTCAACTCCCACTTATGAGCGAGAGCATGCAGTGTTTGGTTTTCTGTTCTTGTGTTAGTTTGCTGAGAATGATGGTTTCCAGCTTCATCCATGGCCCTGCAAAGGATATGAACTCATCCTTTTTTATGGCTGCATAGTATTCCATGGTGTACATGGTGCCACATTTTCTTTATCCAGTCTATCACTGATGGGCATTTGGGTTGGTTCCAAGTCTTTGTATTGTGAACAGTGCTGCAATAAACATATGTGTGCATTTGTGTTTATAGTAGAATGATTTATAATCCTTTGGGTATATATCCAGTAATGGGATTGCTGGGTCAAATTGTATTTCTGGTTCTAGATCTTTGAGGAATTGCCACACTATCTTCCACAATGGTTGAACTAATTTACACTCCCACAAACAGTGTGAAAGCATTCCTATTTATCCACATCCTCTCCAGCATCTGTTGTTTCCTGACTTTTTAATGATCGCCATTCTAACTGGTGTGAGATGGTGTCTCATTGTGGTTTCGATTTGCATTTCTCTAGTGACCAGTGATGATGAGCTTTTTTTCATATGTTTGTTGGCCATATAAATGTCTTCTTTTGAGAAGTGTCTGTTCATATCTTTCACCCACTTTGTGATGGGGTTGTTTTTTTCTTGTAAATTTGTTTAAGTTCTGTGTAGATTCTGGATATTAGCCCTTTGTCAGATGAGTAGATTGCAAAAATTTTCTCCCATTCTGTAGGTTGCCTGTTCAAGCTGATGGTAGCTTCGTTTGCTGTGCAGAAGCTCTTTAGTTTAATTAGATCCCATCTGTCAGTTTTGGGTTTTGTTGCCATTGCTTTTGGTGTTTTAGTCATGAAGTCTTTGCCCATGCCTATGTCCTGAATGGTATTGCCAAGGTTTTCTTCTAGGGTTTTTATGGTTTTAGGTCTTACATTTAAGTCTTTAATCCATCTTGAGTTAAGTTTTGTATAAGGTGTAAGGAAGGGATCCAGTTTAAGTTTTCTGCATATGGCTAGCCAGTTTTCCCAACACCAGTTATTAAATAGGGAATCCTTTCCCTGAAAATTGCTTGTTTTTGTCAGGCTTGTCAAAGATCAGATGGTTGTAGATGTGTGGTGTTATTTCTGAGGCCTCTGTTCTGTTCCACTGGCCTATATCTCTGTTTTGGTACCAGTACCATGCTGTTTTGGTTATCGTAGCCTTGTAGTAGAGTTTGAAGTCAGGTAGCATGATGCCTCCAGCTTTGTTCATTTGGCTTAGGATTGTCTTAGCAATGCGGGCTCTTTTTTGGTTCCACGTGAACTTTAAAGTAGTTTCTTCCAATTCTGTGAAGAAAGTCATTGGTAGCTTGATGGGGATGGCACTGAATCTATAAATTACCTTGGGCAGTATGGCCATTTTCACAATATTGATTCTTCCTATCCATGAGCATGGAATGTTCTTCCATTTGTTTGTGTCCTCTCTTATTTCCTTGAGCAGTGGCTTGTGGTTCTTCTTGAAGAGGTCCTTTACATCCCTTGTAAGTGGTATTCCTAGTTATTTTATTCTCTTTGTAGCACTTGTGAATGGGAGTTCACTCATGGTTTGACTCTGTCTATTATGGTGTATAGGAATGCTTGTGATTTTTGCACATTGTTTTGTGCCCTGAGACTTTGCTGAATTTGCTTATCAGCTTAAGGAAATTTGGGGCTGAAATGATGGGGTTTTCTAAATATACAATCATGTCATCTGCAAACAGAGACAGTTTTACGTTCTCTCTTCCTACTTGAATACCCTTTATTTCTTTCTCTTGCCTGATTTCCCTGGCCAGAACTTCCAATACTTTGTTGAATAGGAGTGGTGCGAGAGGGCATCCTTGTCTTGTGCCGGTTTTCCAAGGGAACACTTCTAGTTTTTGCCCATTCAGTATGATATTGGCTGTGGGTCTGTCATAAATAGCTCTTATTATTTTGAGATACGTTCCATCAATACCTAATTTATTGAGAGTTTTTAGCATGAAGGGGTGTTGAATTTTTTCAAAGGCCTTTTCTTCATCTATTGAGATAATAATGTGGGTTTTGTCATTGTTTCTGTTTATGTGATGGATTACATTTATTGATTTGCATATATTGAACCAGCTTTGCATCCCAGTGATGAAGCCGACTTGATCATACTGGAGCCCCAGATAATTTTTTTTACAGCAGTGAATTTAAAGTAACTAAATATTTTTCCAAAACACTGTAGCAGAAATCTATTTGTAATATGATTTCTAAAAGACGGAGAGTGAGGGCAGGCAGAGGGGATGGATTTCAAGAGGAAGAAAAGTGCTATATTTAGTTAAATTAAAATGGAATGGTTTGCATCTATACATAGTGAATTAGCTGTCATTGCATAACAGATGATTGACATCTATTTGCACAGTGATTAAAGAGTATTTTCAGTCCCCAGAGTCAAAATCCACATGGAGTGTTATATGTTCTCATCTGAATAATTACTCAGTGGTCAAGAAAAGACAGGGACTATATTCACAAATGGACACCATATTGAATCAGAATCAAGAATTTCATTAGACTCTCATCTGTCTTTTCAGCAGAAAACATTTCTATCCTTCATTCATTCTTTTCATCATTCTTTCACAAATTTTGAGTGAGCAGCAAAAAAAATAAGGAAAAGGAAAAAACCTTATATTCTGGTTAACAGAGATAGATAATAAATTACATAGTATGTTCTGTGTCATGTATGTTAGATTAGTTAATAAGAAGAATAATAAAGCAGGGACTAAGGCTCAGAAATGTGAGGGGAAACATTTAGGCAGAAGAGCAAGGAATAGCTTGTTAAGAAAGTGGCATTTTATTCGACATCTGAAATAGGTAAGGGAGTGAGCTAGGTACATGGCTAAGAAAATAGAGTCCTAGGAAAGATTACTGCAAAGGCCCTGAGGGTGAAGTACGTGGTGTGTTCAGTGACACCAAGGAGGGCAGTGTAGCTGGACTAAGTGAGAAACAGTTATGGGCATAGAAAGGACATCAGAGAGCTCCCTGGGAACCAAATTAAGGAGCGCCTTTATATAAACAGGACTTCTATTTTCACTGTGATTGTGATGAGGAATCATTGAAAGATTTTTAAGCAAAATAGTAAGATAATATCACATTCTTTATAGCAGACTATTTCAAGAAGACTTTTAGCTATGCCATGAATAGTTACAATATTCTATTCCAAAAATATTTCAACTTTATGGTGGGGCATGGTGGCTCATGCCTGTAATCCCAGCAATTTGGGAGCCCAAGGTGGGCAAATCACTTGAGGTCAGGAGTTTGAGACCAGCATGACCAACAAGGCAAAACCCAGTCTCTACTAAAAATACAAAAATTAGCCAGGTGTGGTGGCAGCCACTTGTAATCCCAGCTACTTGTGAGGCTAAGGCAGGAGAATTGCTTGAACCCAGAAGGCAGAGATTTCAGTGAGCCCAGATCGCACCAACTGCACTCCAGCCTGGGTGACAGAGTGAGACTGCACCTCAAAAACAAACAAACAAACAAACAAAAATTTCAACTTTATAAATCTTTGGAGTTGATCTAACAATAACTCCAAATTCCTTACTTTACAGTGAAGAAATTAAAGCCCAGTGATGGTGAGTGACTTTTCCCATTCCAGTAGTTGGTAGTTAAGACCAAACTTTTTAATGGAATAAACTAGAGGAAGAAGTGGTAAGTTTTGTTGCTCAAAACCAGGAAATGCACTGATTTATTTTGGAGGAGCTCATTTATAGAGGACTAACTCACAAGATTGAATTACAATTTAAGTTTTGGCTAGATCTGTTAATTTTATATGGTCATAACCTACATCTTCTTTCTTTACCAGTAATCCCAGTGAGAATGATGTCATTTAGCCTTTTCCATACTCCAGATACTCTTATCACTTTTTGCAAAACTGGGAACTGAGGAGTATCTTTTCCATGGAGTAGAAAAGACTAACTTATCGACTAGATAAAGTACAGATGACTCTAGGTTTGAAAGAAAGCACCTTGGTTAAACAGAAAAAGCTTCAGCTGAACAAAGAACCCTTCATAGCTGTTTCAGTTAGTGACCTTTTTGATCAAGGCTTTGACCATATAGACCATGACCACATTTAAGTTATTCATATGGCCGTGTTCCTGAATAAAACCTTTTGGTTCTTCAAAAGTTAAATCACCTAAAGCAGATATAATTTATTTATAGAAGTATACTCTTCTTTACTAACCTAAAGTATGAGGTGTTTTGGGGGCACAATTTGGCTGACTTCTACTACAAGGAGCTACACCTTCATGAAAGACAACATCCTTCTCTTCATAGAGTGATTGTCCTCCTGTAGCCTGAGTTCTAGACTCATAGGTCAAAACTCAATTTGGGCAAATTCACATGGGGTGGAAATCTTGGTATCTTTCATCATACCAAAACAATGTACAGTTTTAAAACTTAAAGCACTAAAGAAGCTAGCATCACTGAAAATATCCTCAGGAAAAAATCTGAAAGCCTGGACAAATTCTGAGTTAAACAAACACTATCAAAATCCCAGGGATATATTAGTCTTTTGAACATTGCTACAAAGCCACATCATGGCACGTGGTAAAGGGCCCAAATGAATCAGAAGATAATTAAGCATCCACACAGTCACTGGTCTTCCAGTTTAAAAGGAAGAGAGAGGAAAGTGGCTAGTATTCTCACACAGGTCTTATCAATAAGACTAAGTTATCAAAGTAGAGCCCATCAAAAGTAGGATTGGTGTAGCTCACTTGGTGGAAAAGATAATTAAGGGTGGCAGGATGGGTTAAATAAAGAAGATACTGGAGATAAGAAAATGCTCAGGAGGCTGTTGTCATCCAGATATGATGCCAGGAGGAGGGCAGGAGGGGGTTGTTTCCAAAGTTATCATAACTCTTATGGAAAGATTGGCCTCTGTAGATATTTCAAGTAAAAATCTGATAAAACATGGTGATTAGCTAGATCAGTAGAGGGATAAAGATTACCAATTTATTTCAAACCTGGAATGTTAGAACTATGACAGACGTAGACAATTAAGAATAAAATTTGGATTGAGGAGACGAGAATGAAAGAGCTACCATTCATTGACTACTTCCAATGTACTAAGCCATGTGCATTCATTAGCTTATTTAATGTTCTCAACAACCCTGTTGATTCATTACTTTATCCATATATTTATTCATTGACAAACATTTACCAAGTGCCTATTATAGATTGGGTGTTGTTCTATGTAAACATCATTATCTCCAATTTTATACATGAGGAAACTGAAGCTCAGACAGGAACAGTAATATGTCTAAGGTACCTAGCCAGTAAATGGCAGAACTGGAACACAAACCCAGGTTTAATGGGTTCCAATGTCACCATAATTACTGTATTAAATTGCTCTGAATTTTAGCTTTGGATTTAATTCAAAAGATGCAACTGACCCCCAAGAAAGTCCAGTTGTGGGACAAAAAAAAAAAAAGGATTGGAGGGCCATGAGGCTACTGGCATTGGCTGAATAAGAAAGGCACCAGGACATTGGGAATCAAGTGTGTATGTGAGGCATAAAGGGAGAAGCAGCTTTATTACATGAACATCTCAGTGAGGACATTGGCTTTGGCTAATAGTATGGAGGGTCGAGGGCTATAAAACCAAGTATAGCCGCTGCTGAATTTTCTGGTCTCTAGGAGAAGAAAGGATGTTGTAGGGATGAGATGGACCCATATCTCCTCTGAAATTCAGATATCCAGAAACTGACATACCCTATGATGTTAAAGATATCAATGGTACATTAAGTTATTTAATTAACACAGACTGGATAAGCCTGTTTTTTTTTTTAATTTTTAGTACTGTTCTGGTTTGAATTGTGTCCCCCAGAAACAATATGTTGATGTCCTAACCCCGAATACCTCAGAATGTGATCTCATTTGAAAATAGAATTATTGCGGATATAATTAGTTAAGATGAGATCACATTAAAGTAGGGTAGGCCCTTAATCCAATGCAACTGGTTTTCTTATAAGAAGAAGAGAGACACACCTGGGAATACCATGTGATAACAGAGACAGAGACTGGAGGGATGCATCTACAAGCCAAGGAATATCAATCATTGCTGGTAACATCAGAAGCAAAGAGAAGGGCATGGAACAGATTCTTCCACAGAGCATGCAGAAGGAACTAACTCTACCGACACCTTCATTTAGACATCTAGCCTGCAGAATGAGAAATGAATTTCTGTTGTTTTAAGCCACCCAGTTGGTGATACTTTGTTGTGGCAGCACTAAGAAACAAATATAAGTATTTATCAAATTAAAAAAAATCACTCTCATGATGTCCCAGGAATGTTCTAAGTGCTATACCAAATAAACTAATTTGATCACCGTAACAATCCAATATGCTAAGTACTATTATCTACATATTACTGATGAGAAAATTGAAGCATAGTGAGGTTGCATAACTTGTCGAATAAAGATGTGAGATTGATACACACATGTCTGGCCCCAGAGTCTACGTACCTAAACACCATGCTCTGCTCTGTGTCAAGAATTCCTATTGCCCTTACTTTTCAGTATACCATCCCAGGCCCCTCAATTTCATTCCCAAAGCACTGACAATCTTTTTTTTTTTGGATGAGTCTCGCTCTGTCGCCCAGGCTGGAGTGCAGTGGCGTGATCTCGGCTCACTGCCAGCTCCGCCTCCCGGGTTCACGCCATTCTCCTGGCTCAACCTCCTGAGTAACTGGGACTACAGGGGCCCACCACCACGCCCGGCTAATTTTTTTGTATTTTTTGTAGAGACGGGGTTTCACCGTGTTAGCCAGGATGGTCTCGATCTCCTGACCTCCTGATCTGCCCGCCTTGGCCTCCCAAAGTGCTGGGATTACAGGCGTGAGCCACCGCACCCAGCCCCAGGACTGACAATCTTAAATTACATAATCTCAAATGATGACAAGAAAATTAATTTGTCCACTGGTTCAGCATTTAAACAAATATTTCTCATAGTCAGTCTCACATTTAATCCTTGAAACATTCCAGGGTTGGCCTATCTTTTGTTTTGTGGAGTTTGTTGATAAGGTAGAACACAGTGATTTGAAAAACAATTATATGGTGTTGGTAAATGCATGTTGAACCATGGATGTTGAATAAACTGAAAATTCCAAGGGATTTTCATGTAATGTATACACCAATTTTGCAGGATTCATAGAAGTTTCATTACTCTTTTGACTTTGGTTAACTGCTCACATATTGTTATAAAATAAGATAGAATAAAGCAAAATATTTGCTTAACTATATTAAAGACTGATGAGGGACTTCACAAGTTTGCTCAGGATGAGGTGCACATATTGGAGGAGAGCTGGACGACATCCTCTCTGGATGTTGCCAATTCTCTTTTGGAGTCATCTTTTTGCTTCATTATTAAGAAAGACAGGATACTCCCTTCCCTAAGGGGACAAAACAGACCCACTCCACAAGAGGCCAGGACCAATGTGCCTTAACGAGGAAGCTGAACTAAGTTTGCTTCAGGGCAAAGCACTCCCACAAGTCCCATAAACTTTCCAGGAATCCACCAGATTAGCCAAAAGAAACAATGCTGTGAAGTTGAGGGAAAGGAAAGAAAGAAAAAGAAAAAGAAAAAGAATCCACATGCAACTAAACTCTCTATGTAATCCCCAGCTGCCTCAAATTGGCAGTTCTATGAAGCAAGAGTTCAGAGCAAAAGCTATCAAAAACTTTTTTTCTGATGTGGGAACCTTGCATATGAAAGTCCAAACCAAGTCATAGAACAATATGGAAAACACATGTAGGTATTGTTGATTGACTATGAGAACACAGTTAACCTCCTGTCAGCTTTGTCAGCTGCCTAGGGAATAGCTGTTCGACTTTCAGTTCCCATCCCCATGAAGCCCACAGACAAGGAAGTAAATCGGAAGTCTGCTTTCTAGGGTAGTTTTCAATGTAGTAGATAAAACTATCTCCCATTTCCTGAATACTAGAGAAAACCATTTAAAAATGCCCAGACAGAAAGTAAAACACACACACATAACATAGTGGCCTGAAATGCAGTATGTTTTAATTGATAAAGGTCACTCTGTTAAATAATGATTTATTTATATTAAAATTGGAGATCAAGTAGTTGAGCTAAGGAACAAAATGGAGCATATGCTCCACAGGAAGAGCAATGTGGTTTCATTGTTTTCTTTGAAAAATGTGGGTTCTCAGAACAGCAAATAGACATACTGAAATCTACATTTAAACTGCTCCTCGGTTTTAAGTGGTTTTAGAAATATTAATGTGGAAAGATAAATGCAAGTGTATCAACATATAGCACATAAACAACTACCTAATTATGTTAATTAATCTTGCATGTTTGGTAAGAAAAAAATTAAGCAGTAGAGGCTATTCTATCCTCCATTTATTCAATAATTCAGTGAATGGGTGCTCTGCACTACGTGTGATACCATTTTGTTTCTTGTAGTGCAGACTTTGCCACAATAGGCTGAAACAGATCCCAGGACACAAAGCAACCACCGCATCTGGTGCTCAAATGGAGAAAAAGCCATCTGTTCCAATGGCGAAGTTAAATCTGACTATGTTAAACTTCATAAATAAGAGAGAGAGTGTGTGTGTCTCGGGCCATTCTTGCATTGCTATAAAGAAATACCTGAAACTGGGTAATTGATAAAGAAACATGTTTTACTGCTCACAGTTATGCAGGCCGAATGGGAAGCATCTGCTCAGCTTCTGGTGAAGCCTCAGGGAACTTGCAATCATGGCAGAAGGCCAAGAGAAAACAGTTACATCACAAGGTGAAAGCAGGAGCTAGTGAGAGAGGGAGAGAGAGAGAGAGACAGAGGGAGAGAGAGAGGTGGTGGGAGGGGGGAAAAGGTGTCATACACTTTTAAATGACCAGATCTCATGAGAACTCACTATCACAAAGACAGCACCAAACCATGAGGAATTTACTTCCATGATCCAAACACCTCTGGTATTAGTCTGTTCTCACACTGCTATAAAGAACTACCTGAGACTGGGTAATTTATGAACAAAATAGGTTTAATTGATGCATAGTTCTGCAGGTTGTACAGGAAGCATGACTGGGAGGCCTCAAGAAACACAATCTTGGCAGAAGGTGAAAGGGAAGTGAACACGTCTTCACATGTCAAAGCAGGAGAGAGAGAACAAGTGAAGGAGGAAGTGCCACACACTTTTAAACCATCAGATCTCATGAGAACTCACTCACTATCTTAAGAATAGCAAGGAGGAAGTATGCCCCATGATCCAATCACCTCCTGCCAGGCCCCTCCAACAATTTGACATGAGATTTGGGCGGCAGACACAAATCCAAACCATATTATTCTGCCCCTGGTCCCTCCTAAATCTCATGTCCTTCTCACATTGCAAAATACAATTATCCACTCTCAACAGTCCCCCAGTCTTAACTCATTTCAGCATTAACTCAAAAGTTCACAGTCCAAAGTCTCATCTGAGACAAAGTAAGTCCCTTCTGCTTATGAGCCTGTGAAACCAAAAACAAGTCTGTTACTTCCAAGATACAACGGGGGTACAGGCATTGGGTAAATGCTCCCATTCCAAATGGGAGAAGATGGCCAAAACAAAGGGGCTACAGTCCCCATGCAAGTCTGAAGCCCAGATCAGTCGTTAAATCTTAAAGCTCCAAAATTATTTCCTTTGACTCCATGTCTCATATCCAGGGCATGCTGATGCAAGAGGTGGGCTCTCAAGGCATTGCGCAGCTCTGCCACTGTGGTCCTGTGGGGTACAGCCCCTCTCCAGGCCACCCTCACAAGCTAGCATTGAGTGCCTGCGACTTTCCCATGTGCAAGGTGCAAGCCATCAGTGGAGCTACCATTCTGGGGTTTAGAGGATGGTGGCCCTCTTCTCACAGCTCCACTAGGCAGTGCCCCAGTGGGGACTCCATGTGGGGGCTCCAACTCCACATTTCCTCTCCACGCTGCGCTAGTAGAGGTTTAATAAACAAAGAATTCCAAGGGATCTTCAAGTGCAATTTTGGCAACAAGTAATTATTAACTAACACACTTATTTTATTATCTAATCCAGAATAAATGTATCTAATATATATCTTTTTTAGATCTGGTTATTATTTTAAATGTCATATCATTTATCTGTTATATGCATAAAATTGAATATGAATTGCAAATATATATACAGTTTTACATAAAATATATATTAAGTTTTATATATAGAGAGAGTTATATATATACATATGTAACTTATGCTTTTTACCCACTTTTTTATAGGCATATGGGGATTACAAAGACTGTCACAGTAACAAAGAAGTTAAATACACTTGTATAATGTAACACAATTAATAAACCCATGTCTTCTTATCCCAAGTCCAGGCCTTTTCCCATTAGGAACATGGTTGCTTTCCCTATTTCCAAACATAGAAAAGTAAATATGACTTAAAGGACTTAGGGGCATCACAAATGAAGTCTAAGGTAAAATAGTGATGGTGGATAGTAAAATAAAAGTGAAAAGTTATCTGTAAAACTCTGAGGCAGAATGGGTTAGAAAAGAATGAAATCATTTATGTATTTAATAAAAGCTTTGTGGTTTGGCTCGATACATGAGCAATATTTAATATTGTGTTTATCTATAGCGTTCAGCCCCATAATTTGTATGTACATCTAGCTAGCACTAAATATCACCAAGCATGTTCTAGACAATGTGCTAAGTACTAGCAATACAACAAAGCAGCAAGCATGGATCTTGACTCTTCCCAAGAGGAATTTATGATGTTCCAAAGTGAACCAAAATGAACACAAGGTAATCACCTCAAGAAAAAGGAAAATGTGTTTGCTAAGTCTAAGGATAGGCAAGTAAATGCTAAAGAAAAAGTGTGTGGCACTTCCTCCTTCACCCTCTGTCTGTCTCCTGCTCCAACATGTGAAGACTCACTTCTTTGCCTTCCACCATGATTGTAAGTTCCCTGAGGCCTTCCAGCCATGCTTCCTGTACAGCCTATGGAACTGTGAGTCAATTAACCTTTGCCTATTTCCCAGTTCCAAAGTCACTTCCCCATTTTCAGGTATCTTTATAGCAGTGCCCCATTTTTCTGGTACCAATTTTCTGTATTAGTCCATTCTCACATGGTTATAAAGAACTACCTGAGGCTGGGTAACTTATAAAGTGCCACACACTTTTAAACCATCAGATCCATCTATCACAAGAACAGGAAAGGGGAAATCTGTCCCTATGATCCAATTACCTCCTACCAGGCCCCTCCTCCAATTCAACATGAGATTTGGGTAGGGACACGAATCCAAACCATATTAACCTCCAACCAGGCCCCACCTCCAGCATTCATGACTATATGCAACATGAGATTTGGGTGGGGACAAATATCCAAATTATATATAAATATATAAAATCATGTATTTTATAATAAAGACAAACCAACTGCCAAAATGTATAAATACATTGCCAAGATTTGGCTTTCCTGTATTCAAATTGGAAGAACAGAAAGATAATACAAACAGTGGGCACCTGAGTCAGGATAATACTTTGCTGTTCCTTCACATTGGTATACTTTAAATAATCAAACATTTACTTATAGAAGACGCAGACTACTGTGTGGGAAGAGAATAGAAACGTAGCCCCCTTGTGGCTATTCCCAAATTCTCTAACATCTCAAAAGCTCTATTCCCAACTGCACATTCTACTAAGAAAATAGTAGCTTTACAGTAGGTGCCACCCTGCTTTAATGGCAGATTAGGGACAATATATTTCATGCTCCAAATGACTTATGAAAGTATTATTCAACTATGTTTTTGCTAGAAATGTTATAGTAATATTTTATATATCTTTGCACATATTTCACAATATTTTAGTAATCAATGATGTACTCTTCTTTTTTATTATTATTATTATTATTTTTGAGACGGAGTCTTGCTCTGTCGCCCAGGCTGGAGTGCAGTGGCGCAATCTCGGCTCACTGCAAGCTCCGCCTCCCGGGTTCACACCATTCTCCTGCCTCAGCCTCCTGAGTAGCTGAGACTACAGGTGCCCACCACCACGCCCGGCTAATTTTTTTGTATTATTAGTAGAGATGGGGTTTCACCATGTTAGCCAGGATGGTCTCGATCTCCTGACCTCGTGATCCACCTGCCTCTGCCTCCCAAAGTGCTGGGATTACAGGCTTGAGCCACTGCGCCCGGCCTCAATGATGTACTCTTCTTTATAGTTTAGTATTCACGTAAGTAACCCACCTACCCTACTTCTTAATCCAGCAATATTTCTATAGCTATTCCATTTAAATGAAGAATGGTCTTAAAAGCTCTAAAGAGTATTTTCAAATTTGGCATGAACAATAATATCCCATCAAAGGAGATCTTCCCCTAATACTATTTCATCATGTCAGTAATTTGAAGAAAAGCTAATAGTTTGCCTGTTTTGCTGGTTTCAACCAGCATACAGTGGGTGGGTGTGTAGGCTTCAAAGTTGCAAAAATGGAAGTATTAATTGAACATAAAGTACTATATGCAGAATGAAAAGATAACATTATGTGAGAAAATAACCATTTGAAATAATAGAACCAAACTAAAACATTCTCAGTAGATCATCAGGTTCAAGTCGTTTCCAAGTCAAAGGAATTATTCCCCCAAACAGAGCTGCTTGATCTACTATAAAAGTTATTTAATAAAAGATATACTTCAGCTTCCTCAGAACAAATCCTTCTGTGTATGTAACCTTTGCACATAGAAAATTCTCCCTTACTATTAACATGAGCCCCGTTTTGCATACTTAAACTTATGAACACAGAAATCATATAAAATCATTCTTGGCAGTTCTTCTCTTGACCAGAATGACACATGCCATGATGATCTTATCATAACGTGCAGCAGGAAGTGGCTAATGAGGTCATCCTAGCAACTACAACCTCGTCAAAGAGGCCCATATTTTCTGGTGAAATAAGGCAACCAATCTATTCATTTAGCTCAGTCTCTCTTTTCATCTAAGTTGTTATCACAAAATTCCCAAGTGTTGGGTTTATAGCCACAGATTCTTCCTTCAAATGAAGTAGGCTCGTGCAATTGTCTATTCTTGTAAAAGCTGCTACTAATTTTGTACTTCCTCATATTGACCTCAGAATCATCCTGAAAATGATTCTCTGCCCTCGTCCTGAATATGGGCTCAGTTGATGAAGAAAAATACAATTTGGAAAAAAACGATTCAGGACATCTAAAGAGACTGAGCTGACAAAAAAAAAAAAAGTGCTGGAGATTATGGCTCTATTTGATTTCAAAATGAACAAACTCATTAAAATAAATTGCTTCATGCAGAAAATGTATAAAACATATGGAAAGCAGAATATCAAGAAAAATATACATAACATTTATGAAAACAATTATTCAATTTGGCATTCAAAATTATACTTCAGTGGAAAAGATAAAAAGGATATAGGAAGTGCCAAAATAACATTTCTGACACCACTTTTCGTATATACCCTAAATTGGATCTAACGTAAAGTAGAAAAATATGTGGAAAACCTAAAATCAGTAATATAAATGAAGGAAGTGCAGTGCCCTAAATGCGTAGCACTTTAAAGCTGGAAAGAACGTCAGAAATTATTTATAAACACAATGCCTCATTTTACCAAAAAAACCTGAAGTTTAGAGCAGTTAAAGTTCTTGCCTGAGGTAATACAGCTAGTTAATGAGAGAACCAACACAAGATCCTCATGCCTCTCAGTCCAGTACTTTAATCTCCATTCACACTTAAAGTAACTGATAGCAGAATATATGCCTTTATTTTGAGATAGAATAGGGATTTTGTACACCTGCGGTCATAGTCCGTTTTCACATTGCTATGAAGAATACCTGAGATTTGGTAATTTATAAACAAAAGAGGCTTAATTGGCTCACAGTTCTACATGTCTTGGGAGGCCTCAAGAAACTTACAATCACGGAGGAAGGCAAAGGAGAAGCAAGCACCTTCTTCACAAGGTGTCAGCAGAGGAAGAGAGAGCAAGGGAAATCCCACTTTTAAACCATCAGATCTCGTGAGAACTCCCTATCACAAGAACATCATGGGGCAACCACCCCCATGATCCAATCACCTCCCACCATATCCCTTCCTCCACATCTGGGGATTACAATATGAGATGAGATTTGGGTGGGGACACAGAACCAAACCATATCACCTGGGTTCCAATCCTCTGCTTTTCCCTCCCTGCCTCTAGTCCAGCTCTGCTCAGCCTAACCATGTTTTTGATCTGACGATACAGAAACAAAAGAGGGTTTTCTCATGCAGCATTGTGGCTGTAAGGACAGAAGAATAGCAGCTACAATCTTGGAGGGCAGAGATGACATGGGGAGATAGCAGGACAGTTATACGAAACATATGTTGTCTTTCCTTAGCTACAATAACTCAGTTTGATCAATTTGAATTATACATGGTAGATGCTTGGCAATTGCAATACTACTCTGATCTCTTTAAAAGTGGAAAAATGAAAAGCATTATATATTAACACAAAAGGAAAATATCATAAACAAACAAGGCATGACTATGACTGAGTCTCACTCTAGCAAACCAATGATTATGCAGGGAAGTCCAGCAAGAGAAATAAGCAGAGATAGCTAGGAGGAGGCTATTTGCAAATTTTTAAGGATACCTACTATATTTCAAAGGTTGTTACCTGAAATGAAAAGCAGCTACATTATGTCAAATAATTTCCCATGGACAGCAGCAATGAAATTTTTTCTAGTCCAACAGCTTCCTTGAGCCCCACAGTGAGGTTATGCACACAGTGAAGCTGCAGCTGAGAAAACCTATCAGAGGGTAGGGCCATATGGAGTGGTATTTTTTAGACCACAATTTTTTATCCTCAGGTAACACTGTGTAAAAAAGAGAAGTGGGGAAACATGGTACTCATGCAGCCTATAGTGCCAGCACTATACTGGCCTATGTAAAGTAGATGAATACAACTTTCAACATTGTGTTTTATATTTATTCACAAGTGGGAAAAATAGATTGTGCTCTTCATGATCAGCAAATCTATGTGAGTCATGCAAGGAAATAGAGGAGAGCATATTACCAAATGTACTGTAGGTACAAATCACAGCAAAAACTTTAAAGATGCAACGAAAGCTCCAACACATTATTTCTTTTATAACTTATTGATGCTGAAAACCGTTTTCTAGTCCACAACACTGGCATCAACAAGAATACTATTACTTTTGTTATTATTATCTTTTCAACTTTTAAAATGTTGGAAAGAATTTTAAAACTAATCACAGAAAATGAGCTAAATATTTCAGAAAAAAAAATCTGCCAATACATTTTTTCTGTCCTCTCATGTACCTTATAGCCATTCTGCCTATTTTTGCTTCCCAATATGCCTTGGTATTTCAGCTACTAGCAAGAATGCTATAAGAATTAGACTTCACTGTCAGTTTGCATTGTGTCAGGATTGATGGCTAAAAATAATATTTTAGTTTTTTTAGAGGTATTTTTTCTGTTTTAAGTTTTTCTTTCAAGAACTGCCCTTTTCATCTGGTACAGATGCCAATAATGGCTGTACCTCCACTGCCAGTGGGATCAGAATGACACCTGATGAGCCAGTCTAAACACTGTATCTCATTCAACATAGTAACTGATCCAGAAATGAGAATAACACCCAATAGAATCAATCAAAGTCCATTTGAAAGTTTTATATGGACATAAATAGAAAAGAAATACCTTTCTTACCTTCAGAGATCCTGAGCATGAAAAACTATGTCAGCTTAGAGCTTCTGGAGGCCATCTTTACTGTAACATGGAAAACACCTGACTGAGAAGCCAACAGACAAAAGCAAAGCTGAGATGTTATAGAAACAGTTTCCTGTAACATCATGAACACGTGGATTCAGCCATACCTGAATCTAATGCATTGCTTGAAATTTCCAGTTAAACGTGGCAATAAGTTTTGACCTTTCTTCCTTTGGTCAAGCTACTTAACTCATGTATAAGAGTATTAACTAATACCAGGCCTCAGCAAAAGCAGTGAGAAAATGAAAAAACTAATTGTTATAATTAACTTTGTAACACCTCACAGTACTATATGTATTGGTCAAATGGTGCGTGTACATGCATCACTGACTCAGCTTAAAATATAAAATTATTAGATTTTTGTGTCATGTGAATTAAAAAAGTTATTAAGGTGAGCATTTAAGAGAAATTCAGCATATATTTATAAGAGAATAGATGGAGATGATTTGGCAAAAATCAAAAAAATTTCTCTAACTCTTAATTCATTTATTCATTCAACAAACATTTACAGAGCACCTACTCTGTACTATGTACTGCTTTAGGTTCTGGGAACACAAAGTGAACAAAATCCCTGCCTTCATGTGGTAGATGATGAAACAGGAAATAAGTAGGACAAATGAGTAACATAAATAATATGCTGGATTGTGATAACTGTTAAGGAGAAACAATAAAGCAGTAAAAAAATACTTAATTTGTTTCTTAGTGGGGAGGCTATGTTTAAAATGTCATATTCAGTGGCCAGGGAAGTCTCACTAAGGTGGTATCTTTTGGGTAAATAACCTGAAAGCAGCAAGGGAGTGAGTTAAATAGATGTCTAAGGAAAGATCACTCCAGATAGAGGGCACAGAAAGTGCAAGACACTGACAGGTTTCTAAAAGAAGAGTGACATGGTCCGTTTATGTTTCACCAGAATCACTTTGGTTGCTGATTTCATAATAGACTGAAGGAAGGAAAAGGTAGAAGCAGAGTGCCCAGTCGGGCCGCTATTGCAATAATCCAGGTGAGAGATAGCAGTGTCTTGGATTAGGGTGGTGATAGTGTGTGTCTTGAATGTAGAGCTAATGCTTACACATAAGATATGGAGCCTGAGAGAAAGAAAAGAATTAAGGATGGCTTCAAAGCTTTGGGCCTAAGCAACTGGAACAATGGAGTTTCCATTCATTGAGATGGTAAACTCTGCAGGAGGAAAAGGATTTCCTGGTGTCAATGGGGGTAAGTTGTGTGCATGGAGGAGGGGTATAGTGGTTTGGGGCATGTTCAATTTCAGATACCTGGTGGAGACATCAGGAAAGGTGTTGGATATACAAATCTAAGACATTCTATTGGGAAAAGTCCCCACTCCTTAAGTGTGGGTTGTGCATAATGACTTCCTTCCCAAGAATAAAGTATGAAAATGAGGAGGAAAATAACTTTATAGTGGAGAAATCTGGTAAGTATTACCTGTGGTGGTTAATAGTAAATGTCAATCTAATTGGATTGAAGGATGCCAAGTTTTGTTCCTGAGTGTGTCTGTGAGGGTGTTGCCACAGGAGATTAACATTTGAGTCAGTGGACTGGGAGAGGAAGACCCTCCCTCAATGTGAGTGGGCACCATCCAATCAGCTGCCAGCTTGGCTAGAAAAAGCAGGCAGAAGAAGGTGGAATGAGCAGACTTGCTGAGTCTTCCAGCCTTCATCTTTCTCCCATGCTGGATGCTTCCTGTCCTAGAACATCAGACTTCAAGTTCTTTGGCTTTTGAACTCTTGGACTTACACCAGTGGTTTGCCAGGGGCTCTTGGGCATTCGGCCACAGATAAAAACCCTAGAAGAAAACCCAGGCAATACCATTCAGGACATAGGGATGGGCAAGGATTTCATGTCTATAACACCAAAAGCAATGGCAACAAAAGTCAAAATTGAGAAATGGGATCTAATTAAATGCAAGAGCTTCTGCACAGCAAAACAAACTACCATCAGAGTCAACAGGCAACCTACAGAATGGGAGAAAATTTTTGCAACCTACTCATCTGAAAAAGGGCTAATATCCAGAATCTACAATGAACTCAAACAAATTTACAAGAAAAAAAAAAACAACCCCATCAAAAAGTGGGCAAAGGATATGAACAGACACTTCTCAAAAGAAGACATTTATACAGCCAAAAACACATGAAAAAATGCTCATCATCACTGGCCATCAGAGAAATGCAAATCAAAACCACAATGAGATACCATCTCACACCAGTTAGAATGGCGATCATTAAAAAGTCAGGAAACAACAGGTGCTGGAGAGGATGTGGAGAAATAGGAACACTTTTACACTGTTGGTGGGACTGTAAACTAGTTCAACCATTGTGGAAGTCAGTGTGGCAATTCCTCAGGGATCTAGAACTAGAAATACCATTTGACCCTGCCATCTCATTACTGGGTATATACCCAAAGGATTATAAATCATGCTGCCATAAAGACACATGCACACATATGTTTATTGCGGCACTATTCACAATAGCAAAGACTTGGAACCAACCTAAATGTCCAACAAGGATAGACTGGATTAAGAAAATGTGGCACATATAGACCATGGAATACTATGCAGCCATAAAAAATGATGAGTTCATGTCCTTTGTAGGGACATGGATGAAGCTGGAAACCATCATTCTCAGCAAACTATCGCAAGGACAAAAAACCAAACACCGCATGTTCTCGGTTATAGGTGGGAATTGAACAATGAGAACACATGGACACAGGAAGGGGAACATCACACACCCACACCGGGGACTGCTGTGGGGTGGGGGGAGGGGGGAGGGATAGCATTAGGAGATATACCTAATGCTAAATGATGAGTTAATGGGTGCAACACACCAACATAGCACATGTATACATATGTAACAAACCTGCACTTTGTGCACATGTATCCTAAAACTTAAAGTATAATAATAATAAAATTAAAAAAAAAAAAAGGGTTGCACTGTGAGTTTCCCTACCTTTGAGGTTTTGGGACTCGGATTGAGCCACTACTAGATTCTTTGCTCCTCAGCTTGCAGACAGCCTATCATGGGACTTCTTCACCTTGTGATCATGTGAGTCCAATTCTTTTTAGCAAACTCCCTTTCATATACATATATCCTATTAACTGTGTCCTCTAGAGAACCCTGAATAATACAGTGCCTCAATAAGATGATAGAGATTAACATCAATAATGGTGAGTCATATCAATGGTATATACTCTTAATATGATGTAATGAAAATGGCACTTTACCTCTGTGGTCTGCATCCTCCAAATCCACAACCCCAATCCCTAAAACTCATAACCCCCAAACCCATGACCCCATGAGGTAAACATCAGACAAATTCCAAGTAAGGAATATTTTACCAAATACTAACCAATATTCTTCAAAATTGTTCAAGGTCATCAGACACAGAAAGTCCAAGAAACTGTTACAGCGACAGAAGCCTAAGAAGATATGATGATTAACTGTAATATAGAATCCTAGATTGGAGCCTAGAACAGAATGTGGCATTGCATAAAAACTTAAGAAACCTGAAAATATGGATTATAATTGTTAAAAGAAAAACTTCAGCCAAATTAAATGTAAAAGAGTTTAATTGAGCAATGAACGATTTGTGAATAGAGCAGCCCCCAGAATCACAGCAGATTCAGAGAGACTCCAGTGGTGCCTCATTGTCAGAACAAATTTACAGACAAAAAATTGGAAGTGATGTACAGAAATCAGAAGTGAGGTACAGAAACAAATGGATTGGTTACAGCTCAGCATTTGCCTTGTTTGAATACAGTTTGAACACTCAGCAGTATATGAGTGGTTGAAGTATGGTCGCTGGGATTGCCCAAGACTCAGCTATTGTTACAGGTGCATACTCCTAAATTAGATTTTCAATCTTGTCTACCTATTAACTTAGGTTGCAGTTCATCCACAAGGACCCAAATATAGAAGTACGGAGTCCTTCTCAGGCCATATTTAGTTTGCTTCAAGGTAATATACCAACATTGGTTCATTAATTGTGATAAATATTAATGTGAGATGTTAAAATAGAAGAAACTAGATATAGCTATGTAGAAACTATACCGTCTTTGCAAATTTTTTGTAAGCTAAAAACTACTCTATAATAAAAAGATACAAAGAAGCATTACCTAGAATAATGAAGACATGCTGCTATCCTAGAAGGTTAGTATAAAGACTGTTTTTTAAAGAGACGAGAATAATTTGTCTTGTCAAATGCTTCTTCTATTAATTTCCTGTTACCGTTGTAACAAATTGCCAGAGATCTAGTACTTAAACCCACACAAATTTATTATCTCATAGTTTTGGGAGTCAGAAATCCAAAATGGGTGTTGCTACACTAAAATTAAAGTGTTGGCAGGGCAGCATTCCTTCTGGAAGCTCTTGAGGACAATCCATTCCCTTGTGTTTTCTACCTTTTAGAAGCTGTCTTCATTTCTCAGTTTGTGGCCTCTTTCTCTGACTTCAAAGCCAGCAGTACGGTATCTAAAATCTCTTCTCAGATTCTGTTGTCACATCTTCTTCTCCAACACTTACCCTCTTGCCTCTCTCATATAAAGACCCCTGTGATTACATTGGGCTATCATGGATAATCCAGGATACTCTCTCCATCCATAGTTTAATCACATATGCAAAGTAACTTTTGACATCTAAGGCAACATATTAACAAATGCCAGGAATTAGAATACGGGGAGAGCAAAAGAGGTATTATCCTGTCTACAGAGGATGAAAATTGGCCATTATTGTTAATTAGAAGTCATTAGTGTTCTTGATGAGAAATTTTGACAAGTTACGGGGTGAAAAATTGATTGGAGTGGGTGAAAAGAGAGAATGGAAGTAGAGACACTGGAAACAATGTATATAAACCACCAGCAAGGAATTTGCTGTAATGGTATGTTAGTTAGGGTTCACCAGAGAAACAGAACCAACAGGTTAGAGATTTATTTTAAGGAATTGGCTACTGTGATTGTGGAGTCTCTGGCAACAACAAAATCTGATGGAGGAGGCCAGTAAGCTGGAGATTCAGGAAAGAGTTACGGTCAGAGTCCAAAGGCAGTCAGGCTAGAGACCATGAAGTGCTGATGTTGCAGCTGTAGCCTGAAGGCTGTCTAATGGCAGATTTCAGCCTTTTGTTCTATTCTGGCTTTCAACTGATTGGAGGCCCACCCACAATATGGAGGGCAATTTGTTTTACTTAAAATCTGTAAATATATAAATCTCACCCCTAAACATCTAGAATAATATTCGACCAAATATCTGGGCACTGTGGCCCAGCCACACTGACATATAAAATTAAACATCACAACTAGGAAAGAGTAAAATGAGCATTAATTTTAACAGGAAGTGAGGACAAGAAAAAGTTTTTAAGATGAGAGAAATCAAAGCACATTTCCATAGTTAAAGGAAAGCTCTAGTAGAGGTAAAAATAATACTAATAATGTGGGAGAGAGGGGAGGCAAAAATATCCTTGGGTAGACAGAAGGGATGAAATATGAAGCACAGGGAGAGGGATTGACCTTGATGAAGAGTATGAACAGTTCTTTAATTTAGTAATAGGAGGGACAATAGGAAACCTGCAGACACAGTTGTATGGAAGTGAGTGATGATGATAGCTTGTGGAAATTCTCTTTAGATTGTTCCAATATTTTAGTGAAATAGGAAGCTTGGTACTCTCAGCTGAGAGCAAAAATGAAGTTGGGAGTTTTAAGGAAAAAGAAAGAAGTACACTCAGGAAATAGGGGAGAATTGATGATGCAGAAAATGTAGTAGGAATACCTGGTAATATTGAGAGGTGACAGTGTGCTGGCAGCCCTCGCAGCCCTCGATCGCTCTCAGTGCCTCCTCAGCCTCGGCGCCCACTCTGGCCATGCTTGAGGAGCCCTTCAGCCCACCCCTGCACTGTGGGATCCCTTTTCTGGGCTGGCCGAGGCCAGAGCCAGCTCCCTCAGCTTGCCGGGAGGTGTGGAGGGAGAGGCATGGGCGGGAACCAGGGCTGCGTGTGGCGCTTGTGGGTCAGCGCAAGTTCTGGGTGGGCATGGGCTCGGTGGCCCCGCACTCAGAGCAGCCAGCTGGCCCCGCCGGCCCCGGGCAGTGAGGAGGCTTAGCACCCAGGCCAGCAGCTGTGGAGGGTGTGCCGGGTCCCCCAGCAGTGCCAGCCCACCAGTGCTGCGCTTGATGTCTCGCCGGGCCTTAGCTGCCTCCCCGCAGGGCAGGGCTGGAGACCTGCAGCCCACCATGCCTGAGTCTCCCCCCCGCCCCCATGCTGTGGGCTCCTAAACGGCCTGAGCCTCCCCAAGGAGCACCGCCCCCTACTCCACAGCACCTGGTCCCATCCACCGCCCAAGAGCTAAGGAGTGCGGGCGCATGGCGTGGGACTGGTGGGCAGCTCCACCTGCGGCCCTGGTGTGAGATCCACTGGGTGAGGCCAGCTGGGCTCCTGAATCTGGTGGGGACTTGGAGAATCTTTATGTCTAGCTAAGGGATTGTGAATGCACCAATCGGCACTCTGTGTCTAGCTCAGGGTTTGTGAATGCACCAATTGGCACTCTGTGTCTAGCTCAGGGTTTTTAAATACACCAATCCACACTCTGTATCTAGCTAATCTAGTGGGGACATGGAGAACTTTTGTGTCTAGCTCAGGGATTGTAAATGCACCAATCAGCACCCTGTCAAAATGGACCAATCAGCTCTCTGTAAAACAGACCAATTGGCTCTCTGTAAAATGGACCAATCAGCAGGATGTGGGTGGGGCCAAATAAGAGAATAAAAGCAGGCTGCCCGAGCCAGCAGTGGCAAGTCGGTGGGGTCTGCTTCTACACTGTGGAAGCTTTGTTCTTTCACTCTTTGCAATAAATCTTGCTGCTGCTCACTCTTTGGGTCCACAATGCCTTTATGAGCTGTAACACTCACCGCGAAGGTCTGCAGCTTCACTCCTGAAGCCAGTGAGACCACAAACCCACAAGAAGGAATGAACAACTCCAGACGTGCCGCCTTAAGAGCTGTAACACTCACCGTGAAGGTCTGCAGCTTCACTCCTGAGCCAGCAAGACCACGAACCCACCAGAAGGAAGAAACTCCGAACACATCCGAACATCAGAAGGAACAAACTCTGGACACGCTGCCTTTAAGAACTGTAACACTCACCGCGAGGGTCCGCAGCTTCATTCTTGAAGTCAGATCAAGAACCCACCGAGTCCAGACACAATATCAATGTCCCACTTACACAGAGTCATGAATTTAAAGTGAGAACAGTCAGTACAGGTTTTGTCTTCTCTTTAGCATCATTCAGCAGGACGGCTGTAGGCATGGAGCAGGAGCCATTTAACCAAGCTGGTGGTCTAACCAAGTAAGTCTGACAAAGTAGGAGGGGGGTCACAGAATTGCTGGTGTGTGCAAGGAACTGATTACAATGATTGCCCATGGAATTTTAGCTGTATAAGGACGTGAAATGATGTAAGTGAAGATAAGACAGGGTGAAAGATGGTGAAAGATAGTGAACAGGTGAAATTAGCTGAATAAAAATTTTCATAAGATAGAGTTTTTGCATTTGAATTAACTAGGACAAATGAGCTGTAAACACAGCAGGAGGCAGAATGTGAGTCAGATGAATGGTATCAAGGTTATGAATAGATTAAAGTTATTACTAATTATAAGGAAAAGAACATGAAAATGAAAGGTGCCTGCCATAAGGTGGAAGATAATATAAAGAACTGGGGGGTCAGGGTGTTAAAATGTAATGCTGACATCACTAAGAGTTCTGACAGTGTCAATACCCTCGAAACTAGGATCACAGGAACACATCTGTATTTGAGCCAGGTGGGCTTTTTATCTTGTTGCAGTGAGGAAGAACACACACCACAGGAAATCATGGAGCATCTCAGTAAGAGGGTATTAGCAAGAACCAATTATAGGGTTTGAACTTTGGTTGAGGGACTTGAGCGGGTATCTAAAGAAGCTGAGTCCACTACAGACTTGAATGCTGTCAGGAAGCAGGAACAAATCTGTTGTTCAACAAATCTTATCTCCAGGAAGGGGACACTAGAGCAAATCTAAAGTTATCCTTGCTAAAGAAGTAGAAATTACTTATTTTAGTAGTCAAGATAAGAGGGATCTTTTATATCTGGGGTAACGCATTGACCTTATTTTTGTCTGTGCTTAGACGAAATTATAAAATAGTCTTACTTTGTCTCCCCTTAGTCTCATAGTCTGAGGCTGATATTCTGTGAGGCTGTTTATACCCAATAAAAAAGTAACATGGCCTAGTTTCCAGATGACAGGGACTGATCATTTATTTGTTTAAAAACTGCTTTCTCAACAGGAATAGGAGAGTGGCAGTAATTCAAAGTTGAAATCTTTAAGGGGTAAAGTTGATGCAAGTAAGATACACTCCCCAGGAGTGTAGATGACTAGAAACAGAAATGTAGAGAAGGTATAGTGTGATAACAAGAGATTCAAGATGTTTGCTTGTTTATATTACTAGGAGGTTGGGAAGTTTGTCTGGAAGCAGCAATAAGAAGGAAGGAGGGTACTTCCTCTATCTCAAGGCTCAGTGTTAAAGAGGAAACCAGCCACCACATGGGGGCTACAGAGGAAGCAATACCACCAAGTATCATTAGACTTTAATTATTAGAAGATAAAAAGAATATTCACAGAAGAAATGAGGATAAATGCACACTGAAAAGGCTTCAGAAGAGAAGAATCAGTGGGAGGCAGTTTACAAAAAGGGATATGTGGAACTACGTGAGGGATGGCCTAATTCTGAGGCAGATAATAGTGGTAAAGCTGTGGATGCTAAGGAGAAAGAGGGAGAGATGGAAAACTTCCCGGATTACTCAAAACTCTGGGCCTTTACCTGAACTGTGGCAATGGAAGCATGGAGTTCTGCACAGGAGCAATCTTCATCATTGCATGGCACTTACTTGACTCTTGCCAAAGGTTGGCCTACAGAGGGATATTTTTACTTTAAACATATAAGCTGCTCTTCAAACTGGAAAGTATTACAGTAGTCCAGTAGTCCCCCCATATCCAAAGTCCCACTTTCTGCAGTTTCAATAACCCATGCTCAACCATGGTCCAACAATAGTGAGTATACTACAATAAGATATTTTGAGAGAGAGAGAGAGACCACATTCACATAAATTTCATTACAGTATATCTTTATAATTGTTCTATTTTATTATTAGTTATTGCTGTTGCTAGTCTTTTACTATGCCTAATATCCAAATTAAACTTTATCATAAGTATGTATGGAGAGGAAAAAAATATAGAATGTAGCATATGTACAGTTCAGTACTATCTGTGGCTTCAGGCATCAACTGGGGGTCTTGGAACATATTCCTCTCAAATAAGGGGAATGAATGCATCTGTTGCTGGTTCACTAAAATGTTTTTATTACTTGATTTTATTTTAATGATTCATAAAAGCCAAAACAAATTGCTCAGTTAAGAACCTATCTGTCTCAAATAATGATGGACTACTGTATTTGTTAATAATTCACCAAATGTTGTGAAATGTTCACCAAAATTACTTGATTTTAATGATTCACAAAAGCCAAAACAAATTGCTTAGTTAATCCTGTGTATTATATTGTATTAACTTGATATTACATATATTTTTTGAAAAGTCTCCAGATGCCTCTCAGATTTTACATCTTATTCTTTCCTTTTTTAAAATAATTAACTATGGACCTTGTTTGCTTGTTCTTTGCATACCTTATTATTTGCTTCAATATGCATTTGTTTAATGAATAGAAGTATCAATACATACTTTAATGAATAGAAGTATCAAATGAATAGTTTAATGAATAAAGTAGTTTAATGAATAGAAGTATCAAAATATCCTATTGTTTTGCTTTGACAAATAAATATGTTAAATCGATGGGCTCCTGATAAGGGGAGATCTTCCTACAACATATCTGAAAATTCTTCTTTATCACATCCAAAATTCCCAACAGTAGTAGATCAGTGGGCCAGTGCAGAAGAAAGTCAAACTGAGAAGGAACTAGGTCAAAAATTTAGTACTTTTCTTCTGGGCAGAGGGATTATGAATAATATTTTCACCAAGTTTTTCTATTCTTTCCTATATATTTTTAAGTACTCATACTAAATATTCATTGACTTAATAATCAGGACAAATATTTTTAATGAGGTCAGTTTGGCAAAAACTTCCAGAGGAGATGAGGGCTCTGGCATGGCCAATTGAAAGGGAATTTTATGAAAATCCTGGTGGGATATGCTCAGCTCAGAATTCCTAGAAGGATGAAGAAGACTAAAGCAGAGAACATCATCAGCTAGCAAGTGCTCTCAAATTCTTGTTTTTGTCTTATAAAAAATGGCCTAGACCTCCCAGAAGAGTCTGTAACAAACATCACATTCCAAACAGAAATCATTCATCTAATGATTTTTGCAGGCAACAAAAATGAGTCCATCTTCTGCAGAAGTAATATTCTGAAAAGCAAGTTAAATTTATGACATTAGGTCAGTTTTACAAGCCAAGAACTTTGAGTCTATCTAGAAGAAACAAATGAAAAACTACTTTGCATCCAGAAGGCACTAAAGTGCAGCTTCAATAACCTTCCATGGGAAAGAATTCTAATTTTTGTTTTCAAGTACATGTAGTCACATTACTTTTTGAAATAGAATGATTTGATAATAATTATTTGAACCGATCTGTCATATATGACCAATAGTGCAAAGCAAAAGCAAAAACAGTCGCTATTTATATGGGTTTTCTCAGAATTACCACAATAAAAATCATTGTCTATTGCTAAGCTTTTTTTCTTTTGAGACAGCACAACATCAGTCTTCAAGTTAAAATAAAGTGTGACACTCCAATAAAAAGAAAACTATAGAAATCAAATCTTAACTTATTACCATAAGTAATAGAGTAAGCAGTCTACAGATGGAAATAAAATAATATGCATTTTTGCCTATATTTGCCAAAAAGGAAATCAGAACCATCAAGTACTTACATACCATGTCTAGCATTTAATGCAATATTCACACATAGCAATAGAATAAGTAAAAACATAACTTGGTGTACTGTTGAGGATTACGTAAAACAGTGCATTTCCAAACTCATCAGATGGCCTAATCCACCAGCATTTCTCATCATGTAAACCAGGATGTGGTTATGTTTTGACACCAACAATTTCTTAACAAGGGTGTTTAGTTTCTAGGAAGATTTGTTGAAGTCTCAGACGTAGTTACTGAAGACTAGCTATTATAAAGAAAAGTGGGTTTAGCTTTTCTCTAAGAGGAGACTCATTGTAAGTACTAGAATATGTCTTGATTCTCTTCATGTATGGTGAATGAATTAAAATTAAGAAAGGATTCCTTTCCTCAGACACATTTCTTTATGCTTCCTAAGCTGCATTATGAATGCATGAGGCTCTCCCTGCAGAATTCTCTACAGGCACACCATGTCTAGTCTTAACGCTTTATGCCCTGCTTGTTTTGTTTCACCACAGAGTTGTGCAGATGCCTATATCTGTTCTCTTTCCACAATGTACTTACAAGCATATTTGGAACTCTTTTAGACTCTGATAAGGACAGTTAAATTTAAGTGAAAATGTTGGGAGAAAGCTGAAAGAAGAAATAAAAAAGAAAATTAGAAGATAATTTTAGGAAGAGGTTGCTTTAAAAGATTGAACACAGATTACTTCATTCCATTCAATTTAAGGGGAAAAGAGTTGAACAGAGATACCCTGCCAGTGGTGATGTTTTCACAACACTGTGAGTGTATTAAATGCCACTGAGTTTTACATTTTAATGGCTAAAATGTTGAGGTTTTATTTTATTATTATACTTTAAGTTCTAGGGTATACATGCACAACATGCACGTTTGTTGCATATGTATACATGTGCCATGTTGGTGTGCTGCACCCATTAACTCGTCATTTACATTAGGTATATCTCCTAATGCTATCCCTCCCCCAGACCCCCACCTAACCACAGGCCCCAGTGTGTGATGTTCCCCATCCTGTGTCCAAGTGTTCTCACTGTTCACTTCCCACCTATAAGTAAGAACATGTGGTGTTTGGTTTTCTGTCCTTGCAATAGTTTGCTGAGAATCATGGTTTACAGCTTCCTCCATGTCCCTACAAAGGACATGAACTCATCCTTTTTTATGGCTGCATAGTATTCCATGGTGTATATTTCCCACATTTTCTTAATCCAGTTTATCATTGATGAACATTTGGCTTGGTTCCAATCTTTGCTATTGTGAATAATGCTGCAATAAACATATGTGTGCATGTGTCTTTATAGCAGCACGATTTATAATCCTTTGGGTATATACCCAGTAATGGGATGGCTGGGTCAACTGGCATTTCTAGTTCTAGATCCTTGAGGAATGGCCACAATGTCTTCCATAATGGTTGAACTAGTTTACAGTCCCACCAACAGTGTAAAAGTGTTCCTATTTCTCCACATCCTCTCTAGCACCTGTTGTTTCCTGACTTTTTAATGGTCGCCATTCTAACTGGTGTGAGATGGTATCTCATTGTGGTTTTGATTTGCATTTCTCTGATGGCCAGTGATCATGAGCATTTTTTCATGTGTCTGTTGGCTGCATAAGTGTCTTCTTTTGAGAAGTGTCTGTTCATATCCTTTGCCCACTTTTTAATGGATTGTTTGCTTTTTTTCTTGTACATTTGTATGAGTTCTTTATAGATTCTGGATATTAGCCCTATGTCAGATGGATAGATTGTAAAAATTTTCTCCCATTCTGTAGATTGCCTGTTCACTCTGATGGTAGTTTGTTTTGCTGTGCAGAAGCTCTTTAGTTTAATTAGATCCCATTTCTCAATTTTGGCTTTTGTTGCAATTGCTTTTGGTGTTATAGACATGAAGTCCTTGCCCATGCCTATGTCCTGAATGGTATTGCCTAGGTTTCTTCTAGGGTTTTTATGGTTTTAGGTCTAATATTTAAGCCTTTAATCCATCTGGAATTAATTTTTGTATAAGGTGTAAGAAAGGGATCCAGTTTCAGCTTTCTACATATGGCTAGCCAGTTTTCCCAGCACCATTTATTAAATAGGGAATCCTTTCCCCGTTTCTTGTTTTTGTCAGGTTTGTCAAAGATCAGAGGCTTGTAGATGTGTGGTGTTATTTCTGAGGGCTCTGTTCTGTTCCATTGGTCTATATCTCTGTTTTGGTACCAGTACCATGCTGTTTTGGTTACCATAGCCTTGTAGTATAGTTTGAAGTCAGGCAGCATGATACTTCCAGCTTTGTTCATTTGGCTTAGGATTGACTTGGTAATGGGGGCTCTTTTTTGGTTCCATATGAACTTTAAAGTAGTTTTTTCCAATTCTGTGAAGAAAGTCATTGGTAGCTTGATGGGGATGGCATTGAATCTATGAATTACCTTGGGCAGTATGGCCATTTTCACGATATTGATTCTTCCTATCCATAAGCATGGAATGTTCTTCCATTCGTTTGTGTCTTCTTTTATTTCATTGAGCAGTGGTTTGTAGTTCTCCTTGAAGAGTTCCTTCACATCCCTTGTAAGTTGGATTCCTAGGTATTTTATTCTCTTTGAAGCAATTGTGAATCGGAGTTCACTCATGATTTGGTTCTCTGTTATTGGTGTATAAGAATGCTTGTGATTTTTGCACATTGATTTTGTATCCTGAGACTGCTGAAGTTGCTTATCAGCTTAAGGAGACTTTGGGCTGAAACGATGGGATTTTCTAAATATACAATCATGTCATCTGCAAACAGGGATAATTTGACTTCCTCTTTTTCTAATTCAACACCCTTTATTTCTTTCTCCTGCCTGATTGCCCTGGCCAGAAAATCCAACACTATGTTGAATAGGAGTGGTGAGAGAGGGCATCCCTCTCTTGTGCCAGTTCTCAAAGGGAATGCTTCCAGTTTTTGCCCATTCAGTATGATATTGACTGTGGGTTTGTCATAAATAGCTCTTATTTAGAGATACGTCCCATCAATACCTAATTTACTGAGAGTTTTTAGCATGAAGGGCTGTTGAATTTTGTCAAAGGCTTTTTCTGCATCTATTGAGATAATCATGTGGTTTTTGTCTTTGGTTCTGTTTATATGCTGGATTACGTTTATTGATTTGCATATGTTGAACCAGCCTTGCATTCCAGGGATGAAGCCCACTTGATCATGGTGGATAAGCTTTTTGATGTGCTGCTGGATTTGGTTTGCCAGTATTTTATTGAGGATTTTTGTATCGATGTTCATCAGGGATATTGGTCTAAAATTCTCTTTTCTTGTTGTGTCTCTGCCAGACTTTGTTATCAGGATGATGCTGGCCTCATAAAATGAGTTAGGGAGGATTCCCTCTTTTTCTATTGATTGGAATAGTTTCAGAAGGAATGGTACCAGCTCCTCCTTGTACCTCTGGTAGAATTGAGCTGTGAATCTGTCTGCTCCTGGACTTTTTTTGGTTCGTAGGCTCTTAATTATTGCCTCAATTTCAGAGCTTGTTATTGGTCTATTCAGGGATTCAACTTCTTCCTGGTTTAGTCTTGGGAGGGTGTATGTGTCCAGGAATTTATCCATTTCTTCTAGAGTTTCTAGTTTATTTGTGTAGAGGTGTTTATAGTATTCTCTGATGGTAGTTTGTATTTCTGTGCGATCAGTGGTGATATCCCCTTTATCTTTTTTTATTACCTCTATTTGATTCTTCTCTCTTTTCTTCTTTATTAGTCTTGCTAGCAGTCTATCAATTTTGTTGATCTTTTCAAAAAACCAACTCCTGGATTCATTGATTTTTTGAAGGGTTATTTGTGTTTCCATCTCCTTCAGTTCTGCTCTGATCTTAGTTATTTCTTGCCTTCTGCTAGCTTTTGAATGTGTTTGCTCTTGCTTCTCTAGTTCTTTTAATTGTGATGTTAGGGTGTCAATTTTAGATCTTTCCTGCTTTCTCTTGTGGGCATTTAGTGCTATAAATTTCCCTCTACACACTACTTGAAACATGTCCCAGAGATTCTGGTATGTTGTGTCTTTGTTGTCATTGGTTTCAAAGAACATCTTTATTTCTGCCTTCATTTTGTTGTGTACCCAGTCGTCATTCAGGAGCAGGTTGTTCAGTTTCCATGTAGTTGAGCAGTTTTGAGTGAGTTTCTTAATCCTGAGTTCTAGTTTGATTGCACTGTGGTCTCAGAGACAGTTGTTAGAATTTCTGTTCTTTTACATTTGTTGAGGAGTGCTTTTTATGTTATGTGTATTTTACCACAATTAAAAAATTAGCCCAAGTAAAAGGGGAAAATGTCCTTTACCACAGACATATAGCATCTCAGGATTATAAAGAACCTTAAATGTAGTCTAGGCAAGTGTTGTTTAAACTCCTGGCAGCAATAACTTTGTGGGTCATGAAATCCATCTACAGAAGACCAGAATTTTAATAAAATAGAAAAGGAAATGTCCAAGTGTATCATATATAGTAAGTATAGTTTAATAATACTATGTTTCAGTTGTATGTGTACATGTATGTTCGTGTACTCAGATATAATGTAAAACATATTTCTCACCATATGTTAAATCAAAAATGGTAAAGGTATCTCATCTGGCTCAAATTTTGATCGGATGCAACTATCCTTTCTACAGAAGTTTGACCTTTACATCAAAGGAGTAAAGACAGAGGATCCTAAATTTAACAGTAGTAAATATATGATCTATAGAAGACCTAACTAATGGAATCAGGTATAGACTCACACCAAAATTATAAAGATATCAAATTTTGAAACTCAAGTATAAAACTATAGAACTGATATGTACTAGTGGATACCCTTTGTGAAGTGTCACTTACAAAAATGACTCAGAATGTGACCCTTAGAAAGCCATGCCAAGGAACACAGTAGTATAGAAATGAAAGCACATGCCAATAGAACACTTAAACTAGCAAAATCTGGCAGGGAAAAGGCAATCAGCATTCTGCAGACGCTATTGCTGACTAATCTGCAAGTATGTGACAAATGTTCTGGAATTCTTTAAGGATGTGCAAAGGTAGGACATACAAATCACTAAAAGTGATTTATTTAGATTTATATTAGGTTCTATCATAAATCTAGGTTATTATATTGCAGTTGCACAGCAATCTAAGAAACATAATAGAGTCTGAAAAAGACATATAACAGAGTTTGGAAAAGTCTGCAGGGTTGAATGCAAACTAATTAGAAATTGATATAATTTTAGAAAATATTTTCTAAAAATAATCAAGTATGTTAATTGATTATCTTTATCTTCATTTCCAGTACCATCTTCATTTCCAGTACCATCAAGTATTAGGTGCCCCGTAAGGGTGAGCCTTTCCACTGAAAGTCAACATTAGCTTGCCCTCAAATTCCAAATGGTTTGTTATAGTCAACTAGGACATCTCAGTCAGCAAGGAGGTCACTGTTCTCCAAGATTTACCTCTTTGTAGATAAGATATAGTAACACATATGGTCCTTCTTCCTGATCTTCTGAGACCCACCAGACTTAAAATGCATTCCTGGCAGAGAAATCAGGGACCTCAGTCTAAATCACTCATCAAGGAGTGCCAGATGCTTTTGTGGAAGACAAAACAGAAAAATGCAACATATTCTAAAATGACATATATGCTACCCACAGTGGGGTATCAGTAAAAACTTGCTGACAGTTCAAACTTAAAATTTCCTGCTTCCCGAATGCTGATAATAAAAATCCAAAACCATAGACACTTACGCAAAATTACTTCTTCTCAAGTGTTGAAAATAGTTTCTAGGACAGCATTCATAAACATTTCAAAACATTTCTCAGACAGGAGGGCTTTACCATGGTTTAAGAAGATTTGCAGTAAAGATGCTTAGACAAAATGTATTTGAAAGTAGCTGAGGAGTCACTACTTCCCTCGTTTACAGGAGAACTAGGGGGTAAGAGGAGGTAAGGAAATAATATCCTTAGAGAGCTAAACTGATAACCTCTTTTCTTCAAAATGACAAAACTGGCTACCTAAAGAAGTAACCAAGATGACTGCAAATGAGTTACTGATGGATCTAGAATACTTAAAATTCCAATTCAAATGATATGGAGATGTAAAATTGGAATGTAATTATAACTGAAAAAGGCAAAGTCTAAACTATTATTCCTATCTTAAAGAATAAGCCTATAGTTTAACCTTCATTATGAAAAAAATATTTTATAATAGAAAGATAACCAGCATGGAGTCTATTTAAAATAAAAAACTACCAAATATGTTGATTGTTTTTTCAGTAAAATATAATAAGCAGGAAATGTGCATCAGTCCATGATGAGTAAATAGGTGTCACACTTACAGTCCAGCTGTAAACAAACCATAAAACCGGACAAAATACATGAAACAAAGTATTATCAGACAATAGAGAGTATGGCAAGACTAAGATTCCTAAGGGAAACAAACAAGATGATCCCAAAATCATCTCAACTTTTTATCAGGTAACACATTATAGATCACAGTGCAAAAAATGGGAAATAAAGCAGACCACAGCAGATTCACTGAATTGATGAGTCAGAGACTGCAGTTCAGAGAGGGAGGCAAAATCAACTAAAAGTTGAAGATGCAGCTAAAACAGTGTTAAGAGGAAAATTTATGACACTAAATGCCTTCATCTGGAAGTTAGAAAACTCTGAAATTAACAATCTAACTTTTCATCTAAAGGAACTAGAAAAAGAAAAGAAAAAACCAGCCCCAAAGCTAAGAAAATAAGTAACTAAAATTAGAGAAGAACTTAATGAAATTGAGACACAAAAATCCATATAAAAGATCAATGAAACCAAGGATTGGTTCTTCAAAAAAGTAAACAAGATTGTTAGGCCATTAGCAAGATTAACAAAGAAAAAAGAGAGAAAATCCAAATAAGTATCAGCAGAAGAGACAAAGATGACACTACAACCGATCCCACAGAAAAACAAAAGATCCTCACAGAATGCTATGAATAACTCTATGTACACAAATTAGAAAATCTAAAGGAAATGAATAAATTCCCACAAACTCAAAGCCTCCAGAGATTGAATCAGGAAGACACTGAAACCCTGAATAGACCAATATCAAGCCATGAAATTGAGTCAGTAATTAAAAAAAACAAAACCCTACCAATTACAAAAAGCTCTGGACCAGATGAATCCACAGCTGAATTCTACCAGATGTGAAAAGAAGAACTGATACCAATTCTATTGAAACTATTCCAAAAAAATCAAGGAGGAGGGACTCCTTCCTAATTTCCACTATTTAATATAGTACTGGAAGTCTTAGCCAGAGCAATCAGCCAAGAGAAAGAAATGAAAGGCATCCAAATAGGAAAAGAAAAAGTCAAACTATCTTTCTTCACAGTTCAAAGAATTTAAAACAGAGGGACCTTTCAACCCAGCAATCCCATTACTAGGTATATACTCAAAGGAAAATAGATTATACCAAAAGGACATATACAGCAAGATGGTGAATTTAAACCCATCAATATCAATAAGTACATTACATAAAAATGGTCTATATTCCAATTAATAGGAAGAAATTGTCAGACTGCATAAAAGAAGCAAGATTAAATTGCATGCTATATAGAAGAAGCCCATTTGGAATATAAATATAGAGATTAAAAGTAAGAGGATCAAATTTATATCATGCAAACACTATTCCTAACATTGCAGTGACCCACTTATAAAATATCAGATAAAGGCTGGGCGCAGTGGCTCATGCCTGTAACCCCAGCACTTTGGGAGGCCAAGGCAGGCAGATCACGAGGTCAGGAGATCGAGACCATCCTGGCTAACATGGTGAAAACCCGTCTCTACTAAAAATACAAAAAATTAGTCTGGTGTGGTGGCAGGTGCCTGTAGTCCCAGCTACTCAGGAGGCTGAGGCAGAAGAATGGCGTGAACCCAGGAGGCGAAGCTTGCAGTGAGCCGAGATCGCACCACTGCACTGCAGCCTGGGCAACAGAGCAAGACTCTGTCTCAAAAAAAAAAAAAAAAAAAAAAAAAAAAAAAAACAGATAAAATAGACCTTAATACAAGGAATATTGCCAAGGATAAAGAAGGATATTTCATGTTTAAAGAGTCAATGTATCTAAAAGATATGAGAACCTGGAACATGCAGGCCCTTGATCAAAGAGCTTCAAAAGATATGCAGCAAAAACTGGCAGAAATGAAAATAATATATACTCACAAATATAGATGCAGATTATAGAAACAGGAAAAAATTATAAAGAATAGCAAAAACTTTAACAATGTTACCAAGCAACTAGACCTAATTGACATTGATAGAACACTCTACCCAGCAACAACATAATACATATCACTGTCAAGTGCACATGGAATGCTTACCAAAATAAAGCATACGGATTATAAGATAAGGCTCAAATTTAAAAGTATTAAAATTATATAGCATATGTCTCTGACCACAACAAGAAAAAAATAGAAATCAATAACATAAAGATATTTGGAAAATACTCAAATTCTTGGATGTTAAACAACAAACTTTTTAAAAAACCATGAATCCAAGAGGAAAGAAAATAAAAGATACTTTTAACTGAATGAAAATTAAAATACAACATAAAATTTGTGGGTTTCAGCAAAGTTGGTTCTTAGAAGGAAATTTACGTTTTTAATGCTTATATTAACAATGAAGAAATAATTAAAACAAACAATCTAAGCTTCTACTTCAAGTAAAAGATGAGCATGTTAAAATATGCAGACAGAAAGAAATAATAAAGACAAGAGGAGAAATTGCTTTTAAATAACGGAGAAAAACAGAGAAAAATCAATAAAACCAGAAACTATTTGTATTAGTTTTTACAAATATTAGTAAAACTGATAACCTCTAGATAAGCTGAAAAAGCAAAAAAGCAATATAAATTACTAATATTAGAAATTAGCAGGAATATCAATACATATTCTATGATATTAAAAGTACAATAGAGTATTAGTATGATCAGTTTATGCCAATAAATTCCACAATCTTTAAGAAATGGACAAACTTCTCAAAAGACATAAATTACCGAAGTTAACATAAGAAGATGTAGAAATTCTACATAGGCCTACATTTACTAAAGAAATTGAATTTGTAATTGCAACTTTCCCCAGAAAGGAACTCCAAGACCATATACTCTCACTGGTGAATTCCATTAAATATGTAAGAAGAACAAACCAACCATATTCAAATACTTTCAGAAATTATTGAAAGAGGCCATCAATAGTCTAAGACTAAAGCTGGACAAAAATAATTATAAGAAAACACCAGGCCAATATGTCTCATGAACACAGAAAAAAAATTTAGAAGACATTGGCAAATAGAATCCAGTTTTATATTTAAAAGATAAAATATCATGGCTGACAGGAAATTATCACAGGATTTTGAGACTTGTTTAAAATTTTAAATGAATTTTATAATTTACTATAACAGAAAAAAATATTTAAAATATATAGAATTATTTTCATAAATGGGGAAAAAACATTTGATAAAATTTGACAGTCATTCATAATTTAAAAACAAAACAAACTAAAATAAAATAAAACCTCTTAACAAACTAGTCATAAAAGGGAACTTCCTAACTTTGAAAAAGGGAGCATTGAAGAAAAGCCTATCAATCACTGGCAAAATACTTAATGATAAAAGGCTGAATGCTTTCTTCCTAAGATCAGAACCAGAGTGAATAAGAAAAGAAAAAAAAATCAAAGACATGAGAATTGGAAAGGATGAAATAAAGCCCATCTTTATTCTCAGACAACATGATTAAGTACATAGAAAGTCCTAAGGAATCTACAAAACATTATTAGGACTAATAAGTGAGTTTAGAAAGGTTGCAATATGTAAAAATCATAGCTCACTGCAGCCTCAAACTCTGGGGCTCAAGAAAAACAAAAATAGGTAAATGAGACTTAATTAAACTGAAAAGCTTCTGCACAGAAAAAGAGATACTAAAGACAGTAAAGAGACAACCTACAGAATGGGAGAAAATATTTGCAAACAATGCATCTCACAAAGAGCTAAGATCCAGAATCCAGAAGGAATGCAAACAACTCAACAAGAAAAAAACAAATAACCTCATTAAAAAGTGGACAAATGATATGAACAGACATTTTTCGAAAGAGAACATTCAAGTGGCCAACAAATGTATGAAAAAAATGCTCATCATCACTTACCATCAGAGAAATGCACATTAAACCCACAATGAGATACCATTTTACACCAATCAGTACGGCTATTATTAAAAAGTCAAGAAACAACAGATGCTGACAAGCCTGCCGAGAAATTGGAGCACTTATATGCTGTTGGTGGGAATGTAAATCAGTACCTCTATGGAAAATAGTATGGAGATTTCTCAAAGAACTAAAAATAGAGCTAACCTTTGATCCAGCAATCCCACTACCAGGTATCTACCCAAGGAAAATAAATCATTATATTACAAAGACACATGCGCTCGGATGTTTATCACAGCACTATTCACAATAGCAAAGTCATGGAAACCAACCTAAGTGCCCATCAGTGCGTGATTGAATTAAAAATGTGATATATGTCTACCAAGGAATACTACTCATCCATAAAAAACAAATGAAATCATGTCTTTTGCAGCAACATAGATGGAACTGAAAGTCATTATCCTAAAATGACTGAGAAACAAAAAGTAAAGAATACATGTTCTTACTTATAAATGGGAGTTAAACAGTGGGTGCACACAGACATACAAAATGGAATAATAGACATTGAAGACTCCAAATGGTAAGGGGGGATAAGGGGTAAAATACCACCTATTGGGTACAATATACATTATTTGGGTGTTGGGTACATTAAAAGCCCAGATTTCACCACTGTGAAGTATATCCATGTAACACAACTACACTTGTACCCCTAATTCCATTAAAATAAAAAAATTAATTTTAAAAATGAATAAATATATGTAATATGAAATAATTTTATATTAGTATTTTAATTTCATAAAAAGGTTTTTGTAAAGTTGTTTATACTAGCAAACAGCCATATCTTCAAAATATGTACTAAAATGCTGGAAAAATATCTATTGGCAACCTCTTAGTGCAAATCACTTCACCAATTAACTAAAAAAAGGTCAATTTTTGAATTTTATTATTCTGCACATATTATTTTCAATTTCCCCTTGCAACTGAATATCCTTTTTGATTCATTTAGTTGATGGCAGCATGTGAACATGTAATTAGATTACAGATACTTCAAGATTGAAAAACTAGGATTCTTCTGAAAAAATATATAGATCAATTGCAAATATGTTAATTATCAATAAACAGAAAATAAAAATGTATAAATTTCATACTTCATAAAATAATTAAATATTTATGATAAATTTAGGAAAAAAGTGCATGACTTGTAAACTGAAAACTAGATGGTATTGATGATAGAATTTAAAGATCTAAAGACATGTTTTCATGGATTAGAAGACTCAATATTGTTAAGATGGAAGTTCTTCACTAACTGATCTATAGATTCAATGTACTCTTAATCAAAACCCTATCAGACTTGTTAGAGAAATTGATAAGCTTATTCTAAAATGTATAGGGAAAGCCAAATGATAATTCTAAAATTTCACAACTTCTACTAGATTTTAAGACTTGCTATGAAATCACAGTAATGTGACAATGAGGTATTGCTAGACATCAATGGAACAGAATGTAATCCAGAAATGGACACTTCTTTACTAGGTCAACTAATTTTTTACAAATGTGGCAAGATAATTCAATGGGATAATGAACAGATTTTACAACAAATAGTCCTGGAACAACTTGACATCAATGTGTAAAAAATAAACTTCAGATTTGTCTCACGTCACAGACAAAAAAGGAACTTGAAACATATCATTGATTTAAGCACGAAATCTAAAAATACAAAGCTTTTAAAATAATATATAGAAGAAAATCTTCAGAAGAGGCAAAATTTACATAAGTAGTGCAACATAAAGTATCAATACAAAATTAAAAATTATATATTGAAGTCTTCCAAAGAAACCATTAAGATCATGACAATTAAGCCACGGAGTAAATATACATATATATATATATATATAGATGCATATATCTGACAAACAAGTGCGATCCAGAATATATAAAGAACTTGTAAAACTCGATAATAATAATTCAAGCAAAAAAATTTTAAATGGGCAAAGTATTTGAACGGATACTTCACAAAGGAAGATGCACAATGACAAATAGGCACATGAAAAGATGCCATC
This sequence comes from Homo sapiens, assembly GCF_000001405.40. NCBI lineage: Eukaryota > Metazoa > Chordata > Mammalia > Primates > Hominidae > Homo > Homo sapiens. The sequence continues at coordinate 106,664,642 of NC_000004.12, read as the reverse complement.
ATCATTATTCATCAGGAAAATGACAAAAACACAGTAAGACTAAAACTTAAAAGAATGACAAAAGCAAGTATTGATGAGGATGTAGAGCAATTGGAACTTTCTTAACTTGCTGATGGGATTGTAAAATGGCATAAATTCTTGGGAAAACAGTTTTGTACTACTTTATAAAGTAAACCATATACTTACCATACAGCCCCACAATTCCATCCTTAAATATTTACCCAAGAGAAATGGGTAAGCCACACAGAATCCTGTACATGAATATATTCAGAGAAGCTTAGTTCATAACAGCCAAAACTAGAAATAATACAAGTGTCCATCACCAGGTGAAAGGATTCATAAAGTACGGTACAATTCACAATTGTGGTACAAGGAGTACCACTGCATGGAATACTACTGAACAATAAGAACAATCTGTTGACATGTACAACACATGGATTACTCTCAAAATCATTGTGCTAAGTAAAAGCTGTGAAATTCAAAAAAGTATATACTTTATCACTCCATTGATATAAAATTCTAGAACAGGCAGATCTAATCTATAATGATAGAAAGCAAGCATATAGTTTTGGTTGCATCAGGAGTTGGCTGGGGCATTAACTAGTGAGAGGCCCAATGGAACTTCTGAGAGTGATAGAAATTTTCTATATCATGATTGTGATGGTAGGTACATAAGTGTATGCATACAGCAAAACTAATCAAACTGTACATTTAAAATAGGTGCATTTCATTGTATGCCACAGTAAAACTGACTTAAAATACACTTTAAGGAACCATATGTGTATACTGAATGAATGCTTAACTAAAACATCTGAGGAATAGGAGGTGGTTACGTGAAGTAACCAGATGCTTCTAACTGTACCATCCTTATTCCTTTATATTCAATAAATTAAAATACAATACATTAAATTTTACACTGTAGTTGTACTAATTGAAAGTTTTCCAGTAATCCAAAAACTATTTTATAATATTGCCTTGTTTTGCGGCTACTTATATCATGAGGGTTTATAAATATTGTGTTATAGAAATGGAAGGCATAAATAACTGAGTTACACTCATTTGGAGTGTAAATGTAAACTGAAATAAAGCTATAATGTAGTTATGTAATCAAATATACTTCTATAAGTACATATATATAAATAGAATGTGTGTGCTCTCAAAGATTGTTTTCAAATTAATTGAAATTTACTGACCCTGCAATAAAAGAATATGGCTAAATAATATTTCAAAAGATGAATTATGAGCTGATATTATTTTAAGTCACCCAGTTCTTACACCAAATAATATGCTATATTTGCCTGACATACCCAAGAATTTTTAAAGGAAGAAACTTACACCAATTTTATATCTAAATAATGTAAAAAACTCCAGCATTTCCTCTATGTAGACCACATCTTATTTATGTAAATTTTAGATATCTCATTGGCTTTATCTTCTATCTTTTAGTCTTTTGCTTAGTAAGTACTTATGCTGTGTATTTACTCTAGCAAATAAAATGCAAAGAAACATCATAAAGAGATGGTTTTCCAACAAATGAATTAATTCTTTATCTTTAATCCAGATCTATAGTTTAAAGGCACAATTAGCTAAGTGTGGAAGCTTGAAAAGAGACTTTTTTAGTACTTTTCTTCCAGATATATTCATATTCATTAATTCTTTTACTTTTCATTTACTGAGAGTATAGAATATGGCAGGCACTGAGCATACTGTTTGTAATATAAAGATAAGGCAGGATGTGCAATATCATAGAGCTCATAGGAGACAAATATTTAAAGAAAACAAATTCTGACCTTACTCTGGAATATCTCCAATTATTTTAATACTGATACAAAACTACTTGAAAAGTTTGCAGCAACTCAAATGTATACTCTTTTCTCGGTGATTTCATTCAAATTCAATAAACATTCATCCATTTGAAGAGAACAAAAATTATCCACGGAAATGGTATGAATTACATCATCATCATAAACGAGAAGCAGAAAGATTTGTTTCATTCTCAAATTATCTTCTGATGCAACTCATCCATGAGTATGGAGACATTGCTTTATAGGTTTGGTATAACACGTAGTTTATAAGCCATTTCATAGAGTGTTATATTATGTCCTTTTCTACCCACTATGACTAGGAATACATGACATGAATTAGATATCTGCTTTCTTATTTGCTCATTACTTCACAGTTTTGTCTTAACCACCTATAAGTAACCTATCTTTTAAACAAATAAAGTAACAATTTAATAAAACACAGCAGCAATAAAAAAGCAACAATCTATTTTAGCAGCCAAGGAAAACATCTGTACTGAAGACAGAAACATTAGTCTCTATTCATATGTAAAAATGGCTAAAATCAAACTCAGACATTAGTAATTGATCCAGGATGTCTCAGAACTCCATGACCTATGGCTGTCAAAATTCGTTGCTATAATAAAAAATAAAAATTGTGATTGCATTGGTGGAGTGGGGGTGGGGATGAATTTCCAAGGCAATTTGGCAAATATAGGAAACGGTTAAAAAGATAAAACTGAAGACTTTGTATAAAAACTAAGCCAAACATGTAATTTTTATATGCAATGCAATTAAACTAATTGTTTTTCTTCTAGAGTTGATTAAGAAACACTGACAATTGAAAGGGAATAAAATGCTTTTAGTATTTGGCTTGGAATTATGTCAAAAGAAGAAAATCTTCATTTTTAAAATAGACAGTTGTCATGAGGTACTTTGGGCAGGTTAGTTGGTGGATCGTGAGGAATGCTTTCTCCTTTTGCATGCCACATGACAGAACCATTCTTAGACTCTTTATAGGATGAGGTTTTTGGACACACCTGAAGATATTTCAAAAGTGATCACTGTTACAGTTCTTTTACAAACAGAGAAGCAACCAAAGCAATTTATTCTACTTTTAAAACAATCTGATTACATAATAAAAATATAATCTAACATCTGCACATTTAAAAATATTAAATATTTGGTTTGTTTCCCCCTTGGGGGAGAAAAATTTCTGAAACTTTCTTTCCTGCTTACTTATCACCACCTTCTTTTTTCATACCCCCAGCACACCATTCATTCTCTCACATGAAAGGGGATACCTTTGTCCAAATGCCTTAGTCCAAAATATAATAGGCATTTGGATCATTGCAGGTCAAAAGGAAAAGGTAAAATCCCTTATTTTACAAATATTTTTTCCAGAATCAATTTCCTGCAAATATAGAGCTTTGGGGTTTTTTTGTTTTGGTTTTGGTATGGGTAGCCTTACATTTTAATAGGTAACATTCACTGAAAGCTTGTATATATAATGCATTTTTAAAAATATTTTAACTTATAATAATTGGTTTAAATTTTACAACTCTAGGGAGCAAGTAATATTATTATCCCTTCTTACAAATGAGAAAATTGAGGCACAGAGAAATTGAGTTACTCAAGGTAAGTGCTTGAGTCAGAATTTAATCACTGATGTTATAACTCCAGAGTTAGTATGCTTCGTCAATATGCTTTTAACAACAGGAATTCTGAGAAATACAAGTTACAGGAGAAATGGATTGTCTCATCTGTGTGGGGTCCTAAGCAAAGCATTTTCCATTTGTTTGTTTGTTTGTTTGTTTGGGCAAAAAACAGAAACCCACCCAAACCACCTCATCTAAAAAGAATTATTCCAGGCTACAACAGGCTTTCTCAGAGGCATAAGAACAGAAGTTTAGCCTGAACTGAAGTTGAAAAACTGTTAGAAACAAAAGCTCTTTCCTTTGATTCTCAGGAAACATGTAGTCAATCCATCGGTGGCTCCTCATTACAGATAGAATGTATGTTCCCATGTTGCCCAGGCTGGTCTCGAACACTTGGGCTAAAGCGGTTCGCCCAACTTGGCTTTCCAAAGTGCTGAGATTACAGGCATGAGTAAACCTGCCTGGCCACCATTCACTCCTTACCTAGTAAACTCTCTCTCACATCTATAACCAGAAGGAAGTGATGATATTCCCATTTTACAGATGATGAAATTGAGGCTCAGAGAGATTAAACTACTTTCACAAAGCCACAGAGCCCTAAGTAGTGGCTCCTAACATTTGAGAGTACATCACCTTATTTAAAACACACATTATTGGGCCCCATCCCCATAGTTTCTAATTCTGTAGGACTTTGGTGGGGTCTGAGAATTTGAATTTCTAACCACTTCCCAGGTGAATTGCAAATGGTTTTAACAAAATGCTGAGGACATGGAAGAGGAAGAATATCTTTCCAAAATTAGGAAAGGGAAAATACTCTTTACAGAAGAGATGATATTTGAGCTGGACCACTGAAAGATGATTAAACATTCACATGGCAGAAGAATGAGACAGGCCAATAGGAGTAGATCTGGAGGTACAAGAACTCAATGTACATCATTTGGAAATTCACTAGAAAAGGACATAAAGGAACTTTCTCTGATGATGGTATTAATCTATATATTTCTTCTCTTGAGATAGGAAAGCAGAAGAAAATGGTAAATAAAGATAAAAATAAAACTGGGGCCAAGGAGGGGGATGTTGAGTGAATTCATACCTGTTAAAATTCAAATTGCCATCTGAATGGCCAAGTTTACTTATAATTATAGTATCTTTCATTTCTGAGTTTCTCTAAACATTATCTGGTACTCACTACAAGAAACTTCCATTTTTACATGTGTTTCTATTGTCTTTACCAAATTTATTGCAATTTTCATACTTACTTCAGTACCCCTCCTTATACTCATTTAATCTTCACTTATTTTGTAGAATGAATCTCAGGAATACTCCTTACTTGTTGTATCATACATACACTGATCTATAGTACATAAATTAATTTTCACATTTCTTTGATACTAGCACTTTTAAAAAAAGTGAGTCTGTATTGGTTGTTAAAAATTGATGATTATTAGTAGAGACAGTAAAATTTCAAGAGATGTCACAATCTAATATGTGGTCTTTGTCATTGTTTTAGTGCAGTATAAGTATATTGCACAATCCAAAACCCAGCTGCTTGTCTTTCCTGTGCAATGAAGTATAATTTGGGAAGGAAGCCGGATATCTGGTTATTAGTATATATCCATGTTCTGGTTCCACTCTCTCAAATAATGTCTTTGTCTGACAGATGTTGCATAATCTTCTCCATACCATTACCACATCTAACACAAAAGAAAGTCATTGTCAGTATTTTAGTGGAGCCATTGTTTGTCTTGAATATTCTCTTATGTCATCATAGTCTTACTTGAGATAAAAGTTGAGACATTTCTTAGTCTAGAAAATGTTTCCAGGCTACAGTTCTCTGATTGAAGGAGAAGAGAAACACTAGTTTCCAATAGTCATACCCACTGCTTACTGAGAAAATAAATATCAGTGTGACTTCAAGCAAGTCACTGAATCTCCATACACCTCAGTTTCTCTATCTATAAAGGGTAAGTATAGAACGGTGAGGATAGAAATAGTATCCACATTATTTAGTTATTATGACTATAAAATCAGTTAAAATATGCAAAGCATAGACTAGTAACTGGCTCTCAGCCTAAGATCTTTTTTTCTTCATTTGTTAAAAAAAATTGTCATAAAAAATGTTTCAGTAGATATATTTAGTTTATTGTTTTCTAAAATCAGAAAAAAAAAGTTGCTAAGCACTGTAGAATATTTGTATTGCCCCAATGTGGGTGTGATTTTACAAGGTTAAGAAGCAATTTGAACTTGTGCAGGACCTACGTTTGTTTCCATTTCGGTTTACTTGCCTTCTCGGCATGTAGCATTTAAGAAAGGTTTTTTTAAAAAAAAAAAAGTCCCCGGAGTTTACAGTCTCCCAGGAGAAAATAAAGGAGTTTTACATGAAGAATTGAGAACACAGTTTTGGAAGTAAAATTATTTATCTCGTGAACTCAGATCAATAATGTTAAAGCAATTATACTCTGGATGTCTGGGAATTCTTTCTACTTGATGCTTTATTTTTTATCTTGTGATTTCTTCTCTCTTCCAGACTTATACAACCTTAAATTAAGTACATAAAGATGGACATGGAATGATTTTCATTGAACAAAAGCAAGATAATTTTATTAAAATGTGCTTATTGATGGTAGCAAAACGATTCTGTATGATACTGTCACGGCATATACATGACATTATGTATTTATCAAAACTAGCAGAATTTTCTAGCACAAAAAGTGAATCTTAATGTATACAAATAAAAAATTATTTAGGAAGTAATGAGATTCCAGGAAAATATCCCAACTGTAGGGAAAAAAAACCCTCACTATATTACAAACGTATCGAAGAAAAAAAATAACTCATTGAAAGGGATTGGGAAAAGGTACATACCTCGGTAATCTGAGGAATGTGTACAATCTGTAAAACTTAAAGCAAAACAAACTGCACATGAATGCTGTATTCTAGTTGTTTTCCATTTGGGTATGGATTAATAATATTGATACTACTATATGTGTGACCTGGAATTGAGCAACTAATAAATGGATGGCAAGTGGTAATGGCCAGTTTTCTCACTGTTGGAATGGTAACTTATAGATAAGCAAGGGGAAGAGGCTTGAATAATGTGAGTTAGAATTGCAGATGTCAATAAGAAGTTATGTTTATCATAATATAGATGATCTAATTACATATAGAAATGTTTATTTCTACGTATATATAGACCAGTTAATGCACACATATTTTTTTGCCCTTTCAGAAAAGAGAGCCTAAAAGAAATGGTGCCCTGGAAGCAAAGAGCATGCCTAGAATTCAGATCCTGCTTTCTAATACTATTTTCCAATAAAAAGAACCAGGACTCTTTGGATAAATGGTTGATTCTAGGAATGGGGGAGGAAGTGCATAAGATAAGCCTGAAACATCTTGTGGTGCCAGAAAGTAAGGAAGGACTTTATAAAATTAAAAAAAAAACTTATATTGATGGAGGCATAGGAGTCAAGTGAAAGATATTCCAATGGCCAAAACTGCAATAATTTGAGCAACATGAAGTAGTGCTGTATTATTGCCCCAAATATAAAACAAACATTCCTGACTCCATGCTTATATAAATAAGTGACTGAATAAATAAGTATATGAAAGATAATGGAAATTCACCCATGTAGAAAAATTCCAAAGAATTTATGTGGATACTCCACCCTTAAGGAGTGGGGAATATAACTCTCTTTTAGTGTGGGCTGTGCATAGAGACTTCCTTCCAAAGAATACAGTATGAGAAGAGGAAGAAAAAAAGAGTAACTTTATAGTGGAGGAGATATTCCTACACTACCTCAGCCAGGTGGTGAATGTTAAAAATAATGATGATAAGTCAAGTTGATAGCATATACTCTTATGTGTTGAGGGTAGCATTTTACTTCTATTGTCTTTCTCCCCAAAACACATAGCCACTGTATAATCCTGGGAAAAAAAAAATCAGACGAATTCCAATATGGGAACATTCTATGAAATACCTGACTAGAACTCCTCAAAACTGTCAAGATCATTGAAAACAAGGAAAGTCTGAGAAACTGTCACAGCCAAGAAGAGTCTAAAGAGACAGGACAAAGGTAATGTGGTATACTGGGTGGAATCCTGGAATACAAAAAGGACAGTATGCAAAAACTAAGCAAATCTGAATAAAGTATGGACTTTAGTGAATAATGTGTCAGTATTTATTGTTACAAATGTACCATACTCATCTAAATAATGCTAATAATAGGAAAAATTTTGTTTGGGGTATATGGTTATTCTCTATATTATCTTCCCAATATTTTTAAGTATCAAAACCATTTTTAAAAGTCTACTTTAAAGGATATGGTCACTGGTATCAGCAAATATGTTAAGATACAGAGTTCATTTATGTCTGGGTTTTTTTTTTGAACTAATTAAGTGGCAGAATACATCCTAGAATAGTGGACTACACCAGTTTGACAGTGACTGATCCATTAACATGATTTCTAAAATATCTCAACCATTTTACTTACTTCGCACATGTGTGGGAAAGGGAGGCAAGTAATAGAGCCTTTATGTGCTGCTCTCCACAATGGTGTGATACATGTAGAGTATGGGAATAACAAGCAGCATTTCTGATCAGTGCTGTGGTCTAGGAATTAAGAGCTAGAATTTCTTGACTCAAAGGAGAATAAGTCCTTTTATCATTTTCCTGCTAGTTATTTTTAATTCTAGTTATTCACTTTAATTCTAGTTATCAACTAGAATCCCAAAATATTAACATCACTTAATGTCGTTTCAACTAAGCTGTGTTCATACCAGGTTGCCTCTGAGTTCAAGGGTAGTATTACTGAAATTAACACAAGAAATAGTCAAAATGAATAGTACTTTAATATATAATACTTAAATTCTAGCATGTACAGATTTACCATGAAGCTAACAAATCTTAAATTGTAGGACCTCTCACTAGCAATGACCCTATTCAAGTTTTTGTGCTTAATTTTATGTCTTTAATTTCATGCTTTTTTTTCTAAAAAAAAAAAAAAAAAAAAAAAGGCTTCTGAAATTGTGTGAGCTCCAGGACATATGACGCCCTGCAGCATACCTGCTAGCCATATAACTGAATGAAGGAATAAAATAGATATTTAAAACCCATAAATAAAGTCCTAGTTTAATCCAATAATTTTAACATTTACATCAAAATAAGTAGACCCTTGTAGTAGAATTGAAACAATTAGCACAATTGAGTAATTTTTCCACATTCTGTTTCCTCTATACATTCTCCTAGGGAAGGAACAAAAGAACAGTAACATCATCAAATGTAAGGGAGCCATAAATAGGCTTCTATGAAGTTGATTATCAGCTACTATATATTCATATGTAATTAAACATGACACTTGAGTACTATTGAGTCATAATAACGTAAGAGAATTCTTGATTCTTTATCAACATTATTTCTTTTTTCTTTCCAAAGTTTCTTTCAGATTCAAAGGGCACATGTGCATGTTTGTTACATGGGTATTTCATGTTATGGGGGTGTGGGGTACAGATTATTTCATCACTCAGGTAATAGGCATAGTACCCAATAGGTAGGTTTTTGATCCTCACCTTCCTCCCACCCTCTACTCTCAAGTAGGCCCTGGTGTTTGGTGTTTATTATTTTTCTTTGTGTCCATGTGTACCCAATGTTTAGCTCCCACTTATAAGTGAGAACATGTGGCATTTGGTTTTCTTTTTCTGCATTAATTCACTTAGGCTAATGGCCTCCAGCTCCATCCATGTTGCTGCAAAACAACAACAACAAAAACAACCAAAAAAAGGATGGTTTTTTTATTTTTTTATTTTTTTTATGGCTATGTAGCCTAGACTATATTAGTCTCATTGAGTCCTTTGTGTTTAACACTGTTTTTAGAAAATATTTCCCTTATCTTATGGGAAAAATGCAAAAAAAAAGTTTATCTTATAATCCCTTCCAGGGCATAATATTCTATCTTGTCATTAAAATACAGAAAGGCAAAAGGCTGCTTTCATTAAAATCCTTCCCATTTCTCAAGGTCTATTCCATTAACTGCTTATTCTGTGTCATGCACTGTACCCAATGCTATGGAAACAAAGATGACCAAGGCATCCCTGACCTAAAATGCATCACAATCTGGTGGGTGAAGCAGATGTGATAATCAACTATAAAACAATGTAGAAACAGTGGGAAACACAGGATCCTCTAATGAAACAGGAGACCCATATTACTTAGTTGGTTTGTAGTAGCCACAGGAAGACTTACTGGGTTTGAGAACCACTAAGAAAAGCAGGAGAATTTTGAGCAAAATCATCCTACAAGCAGTTCGGAGTTGCTGACCATAAATGTTGGTGTAGAGATTATTAAGAGTTGGCCTGGAGAGTTAGACAAGAAAAAGATTATGGAAAAACTTACATATACAGAATATCAAGGAGTGGGATTCTATCCTACAGATTAGGAGACAATATTGAGCAATTTAAAAAGGGGAATAACATGTCCAGAACTGTGTGATATATATATCACAGTTTCTTTATCCACTCGTTGATTGATGAGCATTTGGGCTGGTTCCATATTTTTGCAGTTGCAAATTGTGCTGCTATAACATGCATGTGCAAGTATCTTTTTCATATAATGACTTCTTTACCTCTGAGTAGATACCTAGTAGTGGGATTGCTGGATCAAACGGTAGTTTTAAGAAATGAGATAGACAGCAACACAATAATAGTGGGGGACTTCAATAATCCACTGGCAACATTAGACAGGTCATCAAGACAGAAAGTCAACAAAGAAACAATGGATTTAAACCATACACTGGAACAAATGGACTTAACAGATATTTACAGAACATTCTACCCAACAACCACAGAATATACATTCTATTCATCAGTGCATGGAACTTTCTCCAAGATAGACTATATGGTAGGCCATAAAACAAGTCTCAATAAATTTAGAAAATTGAAATTATATCAAGTACTCTCTCAGACCACAGTAGAATAAAATTGGAAATCAACTCCAAAAGGAAACTTCAAAACCATGCCAATACATGGAAATTAAATAACCTGCTCTTGAATGATCATTGGGTCAACAATAAAATCAAGATGGAAATTAAAAACTTTTTCAAACTGAACAATAATAGTGACACAACCTATCAAAACCTCTGGGATACAGCAAAGGCAGTACTAAGAGAAAAGTTCATAGCCTTAAATGCCTTTATCAAAAAGTCTGAAAGAGCACAAATACACAGTCTAAGGTCACACATCAAGGAACTAGAGAAACAAGGACAAACCAAACCCAAACCCAGCAGAAGAAAGGAATTAACCAAGATTAGAGCAGAACTAAATGAAATTGAAACAAAAAAAATACAAAAGATAAATGAAACAAAAAGCCAGTTCTTTGAAAATATAAATAAAATTGATAGACCATTAGCAAAATTAACCAAGAAAAGAAGAGAGAGGATACAAATAAGCTCTGTAGAATGTATATGCCAGCTATGAACATCATAGTAATGAAAGAGGAGGTATTACAATTGACTTTAATGTGTTAGTATAGCCTATCTATGTTAATAATAGCTGCCATTTTTCCTTTTTTCCCTTAAGTTCATTTTAGCATAACTAAAAGGCTCACAAAACGAGAGAATACAGCTGGTATTTAATATTCATATCTTTAATACTGGTATAGAGTATTCACTTTTCCATTAGTTTTTACACTTCTATCTCTTGGCAATGTTGCTGGCAATATTTTATTAGTACCATCATTAGCAAGCAGTCAATAAACTCACTGTCCAATGTGCATAGAAGGGAATAACGTAGCACCAGCCTTTGAGAAAAGACAGGCTTTATTGCAAGTCAACTGGCAAGGAGATGGGAAGAAATGCTCAAATCTGTCTCCCCAAGCTGGGGTTTGGGTCAAGTTTTATAAACATACAGTAATGAAGTGTGATCCGATTGGATTTTGCAACGAGGTGATGCTGAAAGGCATAATCTGACTGGGTCTTACTATGGGGTGATGCCAGGTCTCAATCTGATTAAATCCTGAATCCTGCCATGTGATATCTGCTTCTTAATTCAGTCCCAGCTCCTCAGTCCAAGCACTTACATTCCACCTGTGGTTGCTCATTTGGTTCATCTGGGCATATTCAGGTTACATGACCTTTAACTGGAAAATCCATGGCAACTGAAAAACAACTTACAACTTTGTTCATAAAACTTGAACCACCATCCTGGCCAACATAGTGAAACCCCGTCTCTACTAAAAATACAAAAATTAGCTGGGCATGGCAGCACATGCCTATAATCCCAGCTACTTGAGGCAGGAGAATCGTTTGAACCCGGGAATCGGAGGTTACAGTGAGTCGAGATCATGCCACTGCACTCCAGCCTGGTAACAGAGTTAGACTACATCTGAAAAAAAAACTTAATTAATTTAAAAAAAACTTGAACCAGATTCGTCTGATGTGGTTACTCCATGATTATATCCCAGTAGCATATTCTATGGGACCATTCCCTTGGAAAACTAAAATAGTAAGGTCCTGATATTAAAAGCCATATTTAAAAAGTTTGGGTCACTTTGTTCATATATGCTATCTCCTGGATGGCTGGAATAGAGTTTAAAGAAAGCAAAAATAAATATTTTTATGGGGACAATTTTAATTATTATTATTAAATAATCAAACTTTGCTCTAATTTAAATGTTGTTGAAGTCTCTAGGAAAAATGTATGTCTATCTTGCAAGTTGGACTTTCCAGACCACCCTTTAAAGAGAAATAAACAAACACTATTGGGATTTAATTTGGAGATTTAGCTTAATTGATCACACATGTAGGAAAACTACTAATTGGAGACATTAATAACTTGCTGGTTCACTAGTGGTTGTCAGGCTATTACTAAGCCGATTGAGCTTTTTTGGTTCGTTACTTAATACCAACTACTGAACCTGTGGTTTTAATAAAGTTCAATTTATTTTTAAAAGACAATCCAATCCATCTCCATGTGTGCTTCTCTTAAAGATTAATTTAGGTGACTCATAATACATTTTTTTGAAGATGAGAGGAATGAAAAAACAAGCCCCAATTGAATTTCTGTTTTGGAGCTGGGTGAAAATGGAGCAAATTGTGACTTCCTTGACATTACTGCAGCTTTTTTTCTGCCATAATATTCCAACCAAAACATTGGTAGGGGAAAAAACACATGTACAACAATTTTTCAAGAAATAAGCTCATTCTGTTTGTGCTCCTCTGTAGAATGTGTATGCCAGCTATGAACATCATATCAATTCTACTATAAGTTCCAATATAAGTCCAATATAGGTGCCACTTCTGGGACTCCTTCATAACTTCCAGATTCCTGCAGTCTGCTTTGATTTCCCCTCTTTATGTATATATCCCTTTAGCAAAACACTTATTATACATACATTCTCTGTTAGGTACTGTGATAGGCTCTGGATATACCAAAATTAAGACTCAATCACAAGCTCACTAAGATCAGAGAAGGACAGAGATAAGAAAATTGAGAAATAAATACACTGCTGTTATTACCATAAAAAAATGTTTGTTTGTTGTGTTTGCATGTGAAGGGTGTGTGTGGGTGAGGGTAAGAGGACAATTACTTATAAAAGTTCTCTGAGATGTTACAAATGAGCTGAGTTAGGGGTTAAAAACTTGCCTGAATAGATTATCATTACATTTTTTAATAGTGTACAACTGATTAAACAACATAAATGTATTACAGATTTTGATGATTATTAATTATAACAATATTTTGGTAGAAATAGATCTCTTAATGAGACTTTGTGTTCAATAAGTTCATGTATCTACACATAAATTTTTTAGCATGAGACATTTGTCAGCATCAATTCTATTCCTATTTTTCATTTTTATACAATTCAGTCAACATGTGGTCATATAAATAAGTAGGTGGAAATGGAAAATTTTCTTAATAGTAATATTGCTCAAATCTTTGAACTCCTTCTGAGCTTCTGCGTCATCTGCCAAAATTACCAACTAATCTATCATACAAATAATTCGTAATGATCTATCAGCTGCAACTCAATTATTCCCTGAAATTCTTTAAAAACAAAGAATGGGGAACCGCCTGATTTTAAAAAGGCATTTAAAACAATTTACTTCCTGTCCCTAGATTGTTAGGAAACAATGTTTCATGAATATTTTCATATTTCTGCACAGAAAGAGTTTTTCTTTTTTAACAAAAACTACCACTATCAGCAACCTTGATAAAGAATGGATGACAAATAAGCCTTGAGAGTTAAAGATACAGACCTGCAGAGAGATTAGTAACATTTTCCTTGGAGACATCTGTTTACATACAAGGAATTGTAAACCTAGAGAATCTCAGCTCTTCTCCTTGGAGAGGATTTGTTTATCTTCTAGAGCAAAGCTCTCTATCTCTATCTCTATCCCCATAGGGGAGGAGGATTAACTGTTCTAACTGCTCTATATGTTTCTAGACGTATAATTTCAAGGTTTCTTTCTGTATTAGTCTGTTCTCACACTGCTAATAAAGACATACCTGAGACTGAGTAATTTATAAAGGAAAGAGATTTAATTGACTCACAGTTCTAGATGGCTGAGGAGGCTTTAAAATCATGGTGAAAGATGAAGGGGAAGCAAGACACATCTTACATGGTGGCAGGCAAGAAAGAATGAGTGCCCAGCAAAGGGAGAAATCCCTTACAAAAACCATCAGAACTCATGAGAACTAACACTATCACAAGAACAGGATGAGAGAAACCACCTGCATGATTTAATTATCTTTACCTGGTCCCTCCCCTAACACATGGGGATTATGGGAACTATAATTCAAGATAAGATTTGGGTAGGGACACAGCCAAACCACATCATTCTGCCCCTGGCTCCTCCCAAATCTCTTGTCTTCACAGTTGAAAACACAATCATGCACTTCCAACAGTCCCCCAAAGTTTTAACTCATCCCAGCATTAATTAAAAGTCCAAGTCCAAAGTCTCATGTGAGACAAGGCAAGTCCCTTCCACCTATGAGCCTGTAAAATCAAAAGCAAGTCAGCTTCTTCCTAGATACAATGTGGGCACAGGCATTGGGTAAATACGCCCATTCCAAATGGGAGAAATTGGCCAAAAAAAGGGGCTAGAGGTCTCATGCAAGCCCAAAATCCAACAGGGCAGTCACTGATCCTTAAAATTCCAAAATGATCTCCTTTGACTTCATGTCTCACATCCAGGTCATGCTGATGCAAGAGGTGGGCCCCCATGGTCTTGAGAAGCCCTACCCCTGTGGCTTTGAAGGGTACAACCCCACTCCCAGCTACTTTCACGAGCTAGTGTTGAATATTTATAGCTTTTCCAGGTGCACAGTGCAAGCTGTTGGTGGATTTACCATACTGGAGTCTGGAAGGCAATGGCCCTCTTCTCACAACTCCACTAGGCAGTGCCCCCAGTGGGGACTCTGTGTGGAAACTCCAACGCCACATTTCCCTTCTGCACTTCCCTAGCAGAGGTTCTCCATAAGGACCCCGCCCCTGCAGCAAACATCTGCCTGGACATCCAGGCATTTCCATAAATCCTCTGAAATTTAGGCAGAGGTTCCCAAACCTCAATTCTTGACTTCTGTGAACTCACAGGCTCAACACCACGTGGAAGCTGCCAAGGCTTGAGGTTTCCACCCTCTGAAGCCTGAGTTTTGGGTGGGAACACAGACAAACCATATTACTCTCATATAGTACAAAGTCCACTATATACTCAGGTATTATCTGCAGTTACCATGTCTCTCCAGCGGAAATTGAAGCAAGATATTTGGTAAGTAAGCATAAGTCTGTCTCTAGTCCTGAGGTCTCATGATTAAGTGTGTTTGTGAGTGTGCGTGTGCACACACATGTATGTATATGCATGCACGTGAATATAGAGTATATAAAACCATGCAATAAGAGTAACATCTCAGACACTTCACAGTTTCAGGCCAAACATAGATTAATTCACTTTCTCAAGTCCGATATTACTAACTGTCCCTGCTTTGAATCCCTGAAGGTTTTGACACTACGTAACATTGTAAGGACAGGGATGTCTTTCTTTTGTAAAGGAAAAAAAGACTATTGTAAAAGTATAGGTGGGAAAGGAATACCTATAACTGTCTTATAGACAGATCAATTGTAACATGTGGTTTTGTACCCTTTGGAAAGACTTTACATATACCAAGTTGCACATTATAGGACAAGTAAAAGAGTGGGTGAAAAAAGTAAGTTGTAGAAATAATTGAGGATGATTCTTTACATTACAAAATTAAATATTACATTTTTATAGTTTCATGTATCTGTGGTTAATTGATTAAGAAAATTTAGGGAGTAATAAAAATACAAGGCAGTGAATTTTTTAGGGAAAATGGGGACAGTTATGGAAAGCTTCAAAGATACTGGTCAATGTTGTGTTTTCTAGTTGTTTATTTCAATATTTTCTGTAAACTATACAGATATTACTTTAAATTTTGTGTATTAAATGTTTCATAATTTTTGTCTCAATTTTTTAAGGTAACTGTCAATGTCACAGCTGAGTGATTGAGATGCCCTCAGTAACACCATGAGTGCCTGTATTATATAAAGCACAGTAAATAAAAATTTTATATTCATTCATTCTTCAGGTATTTACAGATCAGCTATGTCATTGTTCTTGGTGCTTCTAAAATAGTTAATAAGACAGGATGGAATGAAGGAGTGTAGTTTAAAGACTATTGTAATAATCTAAGTGAAAGATGATGGTGGCTTTGACAGGGTGGTAGCAGTGGAGATAAGTCATAAGGTAGTAGCAATATTGTGAATGTAGAACCAACAGAATTTCCTGATAGTTTAGATATGAGGTGTAAAAAATATTTAGTATGACTCTAAGGTTTTGACCTAAGCAACTGGAAATATTGAGTTTCCATACATTTGATAGGTATGAGAATGTGGATAAAACAGGTTTGATGGGGGAGAAAATTTGTTATCTGTATTAGATATAAAGTGGTACTGAATGTATAGGGCTGGAGTTCAACAGAGAACTATTTAAACACCAGGTGCACTGCTCACCAATTCTGCCAATTAAAAGCATCTTATTCTAGCTTAAAATTTTCATTTAGGTTCTTTTGTTTTTCAGACAACTCATTTTAGCCATACCAAAAGTTGTGTTTTGACTCAGAACTATATATTTTTTAAAAGTTTTTTTAATGATAAGGTCTATGATTTTCTAAACATATAGCTTCAGTACAAATACATGTGAATGTGTGTGCAAGTGTGTTTATGTGTGTGTGTATTTTTAATAAACTATAGTGCTAATATGGCTTTGCCATTGATTTCCAACTGTCTTCACTGGGAAATGTTGAATCATTGGCTAGTAATAGCTAAGGAACATGCCTTTGTCATCTTCTAATGCTGTGTTGTCTTTCTACTGACCTCTGTTGTGAACCATACCATTTTGGTCTGAAATTGATATTTCCTTCAGTCATGATTTTTAATACCAATTGCAAAGATGTCTTGGTCTCTGTGTGTAACCAAGCACTCAAGTGTCAGGCTTCAAACAGAGAGCCAATTATTTGTCTGGGTCTAGTAATCTCTGTTTTTAACCACAGGTCCTTTTATTAGTATTCTGTTCCCTATGTAAACATTCTGTACAATAGCAGTTGCAACTCTCTCAGTTTTGAATACTCTCTCATATTCACCCTAGGTCTCAGCCCTATCTCTAAATAGCACAACAACAGTAGGAAACATATTACAGGTATTTTAGGGTTTTTTTTTTAAATAAAACATAGTAGATTCCACATGGCTAAAATACTAACTGGAAAAAGTCTCCCCATTTGTGCAAAAGTCATGATTCCTATTTTATTTCATATGTAACATTAGAAAATATGTTGTTGCCTATAGAACTCCAAATTTTACTAGTTGATTATATTATAACCTGTTTTATAAATACTAAAACAATAATTTTGTGAAGTTAACTCAAGTCTAAGTTACACTTTTTAACTTTGCACTTTTGGAAATTTGATTATCAGTTAACACAGATGTCAGATTTATATTATTGGGATAGGTAAACTTAGACCATCAATTTATCATTTTATATTAAAATATAAATTTTTAAATGATGAAACTATAATGTTCATTTGACTCTTTATACTCTTATCTGCAGAAAATTTACATAGAAAGACACATTTCTACCAAAATATTTCTTAATGAGTAGAGCAATATTGTTTTGAGTGATTGGTTTTAATACCCACAGTTAACAAATTACATTTGAGAAATGAATTAGAATTAGGAAAACTTTGCCCTATATTATACCTAGCTCTTGAAAGAGTTTTAATCTTTGGCTCTTGTCCTCGTACACACCACCACTCATCTTGGTATATATCATTACATCAGATGTGTAATAGCAGTCTTTCTTTATATCAATTATACTGATGTAATATATATTCATTATCACGTTTCTTACTTCTTTATTCTATATCTTATACCGTATTAAGCATGAGAGATATGAATTGGAAAAGAAATTAGCCATGAGTGACATCAGCAAGAAGGTGGAATATCAAGTATCTTCTCCAACCACAATGGAATAAAACTAGAAATCAATAGCAATAGGAACTCAGAAAACTGCCCATATACTTGGAAATTAAATCACATGTTCCTGAATGTTCAACAGGTCAATGAAAAAAAGTTTAAAATTTTTCTAAAACAAACAAAAAAGGAAATACGGCATACCAAAATCTATGGGATACAGGAAAAGCAGTACTAAGAGGGAATTTTACAGCAATAAATATCTAAGTCAAAAAAGTAGAAAGATTTCAAATAAACAGCCTAACAATGCATCTCAAGAAGTTAGAAAAACAAGAACCAACCAAACCCCAAATTAGCAGAAGGGGGGAAAAAAAAAGATCAGAGCAGAACTAAATAAAACAAAGGCTGAAAAATAAGGCAAAAGATCACTGAAACAAAAAAGTAATCTCTCTTGAAAAGGTAAACAAAATTAACAAATCGTTAGCTATTCTAAAAATAAAAGAGAAGAACCAAATAAATGAAATCATAATAAAAAAAGACGTTATAACTGATATCACAGAAATACAACGAACCGCTAGAGACCATTTTGAACAACTATACACCAACAAATTAAAAAGCTTACAGGATATGAATAAATTCCTGGACACACATAACCTACCAAGATTGAACCAGGAAGAAATGGAAAATCTGAACAGACCAATAATGAGTAAAACTATTGAATCTGTAAGAAAAAAATCTTCCAAGAAAGAAAAACCCAAGATTGAATGGTTTTACCGCTGAATTCTACCACACTTTTAAAAAACTAACACCAATTCTTCTCAAACTATTCTAAAATATAAGGAGGAAGGAGTTATTTTTAACTCATTCTATGAAGCCACCATTACCCTGATAACAAAACAAGACCACAGCCAAAAAAGAAAACTATGGTCGATATTCCTGAGGAACATAGTTGCAAAATTTCGCAACAAAATAATAGAAAGCTAAATCTAAGAACACATCCAAAAGATAATACACAGTGATCATATGGAAATTATCCCAGGATGCAAGAGTGATTCAATATACAGAAATCAATAAATGTGATACATCACATCAACAGAATGAACAAAAACCATACATATGATCATCTCAATATATGCAAAAAAAGGCATTTGTTCAAAATCAAAATCCCTTCTTAACAAATTAGATATAGAGAGAGCATCCCTCAACACAGTAAATGCTATATATGAGAAACCCACAGCTAACATCATACTGAATGAAGAAAAGCTGAAAGCCTTTTCTCTAAGAAATAAACAAGACAAAGATGTTCATTTTCACCTCTCTTATTCAGCATAGTACTAAACGTCCTAACCAGAGCAAACAGGCAAGAAAAAGGAAGGGGGGATATGTTGGTTAATGGGTATAAAAATACAGTTAGATAGAAGAAATAAGTTCAAGAATTCAATAGCATAGTAGAGAAATAATAGTTAACAATAGTTTATTATTTTAAAAGAGAAGAGAATTGTAATGTTCCTAATACAAAGAAAAAATAAGTGTTTGAGGTGATAGAAATCCCAATTACCCTGACTTGGTCATTATACATTGTATACATGTATTAAAATATTATATGTACCCCCCAAAATATGTACATTTATAATTCATAACTTACAAAAGACACAACAAACAAATAAAGAGTGTCCAAATTGTAAAATAGAAAGTCAAATTGTTTCTCTTTGTAGATGGCATAATCTTATAAATAAAACATCTTCAAGACTCCACTAAAAAATTCTTAGAATAAACAAATTCAGTAAATTTGCAGGATACAAAATCAACTAACAAAAACCAGTAGCATTTCTATGCACAAATAACAAACTAGCTAGAAAAAAATTAAGAAAGTAATCCCATTTATAATAACTACAAATAAAATAAAATAACTAGGAATAAATTAAACCAAGGAGGTAAAAAATCTTTACAATAAAAATTACAAAACATTGATAAAAGAAATTAAAGAGGACATCAAAAAATGGAAAGACATTCTATGTTCATGGATTGGAAGAATTAATATTGTAACAATAGTAAAAATTACCCTACTACCCAAAACAATCTACAGATTTAATACAATTCCTATCAAAATACTAAATAACATTCTTTACAGAAATAGAAAAAACAATTCTAAAATTTGTATGGAACCACAAAAGCTCAAATAGCAAAAGGAATCCTGAGCAAAAAGAACAAAGCTGGAGGCATCACACAACCTGACATTAAAAAATACAACAAAGTTATAGTAACAAGAACAATATGATATTGACATAAAAACAGACATATAGACCAATAGAACATAAAAGAGAACCCAGAAAGAAATTCAGGTATTTAAAACCAACTGATTTTTGACAAAGATAACAAGAACATACATTGGGGAATGGAAACCGTCTTCAATAAATGGTGCTGAGCAAACTTGATATTCATATGCAAAACAATAGAACTAGACCCATATCTCTCACCACATACAAACAATTCAAAATGAATAAAATACTTAAACATAAGACCTGAAACTATAAAACTACTGGAATAAAACATAGGCACAACACTTCAGGACGTTGGTTTGGGCAAAGATTTTAGAGGTAACACTTCAAAAGCACAGGCAACAAAACAAAAATAGATAAATGGGACTACATCAAACTACAAAGCTTCTGCACAGCATAGGAAACAATCAACAGAGTGAAGAGACAACCTACAGAGAGAAAATATTTTCAAAGTATTCATCCAACAAAGGACTAGTATCTAGGATTTACAAGGAACTGAAACTACTCAACAAAAACAACAACAAAATCAATTAAAAAATAGGCAAAGGATGTAATAGATATTTGTTAAAAGAAGACATACAAATGGCCAATGGGATTAATGCTCAACAATAATCATCAGGAAAATGCAAATCAGAGTTAAATAAGATAGCATCTTACCCTAGTTAGAACGGTTATCATCAAAAAGACAAAAAATAAATAAATAAATAAATGCTGGTTGAGGATGCAGAGAAAAGAAAAAACTCTTATTTGCTGTTTATGGGAATATATATCAGTATAGCTGTTACGGAAAACAGTATGCAGGTTTCTCAAAAAACTAAAAATTGAACTCCCACATGATCTAGGAATCCCATACTGGGTATTTATCCAAAGGAAAGAAAATCACTACGTTGAAGAGAAACTTGGACCCCCATATTTATTGTAGCTGTATTAACAATAGCCAATACATGGAATCAATCTAAATGCCCATCAATGGATAAATGAATAAAGAAAACGCCACATATATATATATATATATATATATATGCGCAATGGAATTCTACTCAGCCGTAAAAAATAATGAAATCCTGCCATTCACAGCAACACGGATGAGCCTGGAGGACATTTTGTGAAGTGAAATAAACCAGTCACAGAAATATAAATACCACATATTCTTAGTCATATAGAGGAGCTAAAAAAATACCGAACTCACAGAAGTGGTCAGTAGATGCTGAGAAGGATGGGGGGAAAGTAGACATTGGTTAACAAATACAAAGTTACAGCTAAACAAGAGGAATAAGCTCTAGTGTTCTATAGTACTGTAGGGTTACAAATAATTTAGTGTATATTTTCAAAAAGCTAGAAGATTTTCAATGTTCATAACACAAAGAAATAATAAATATTCAAGGTAATGGATATGCTAATTACCCTAATTTGATTACACATTGTAAATATGTATTGAAATATCACTCTATAGCCCATAAAATATATATAATTATTACATCAATTAAAAAAGAAATTAATAATAAAGGTATTTGAAATATTGATTTATATCCACCATCATTAGTGGTTAATCTTGCCCTACATTTATTTTGTATAAGAATATTAACTAAGAGTAGCAGAACATTTGAAAATATTTTTATTTAATTACCCTCTTGTTTTATCTTGTTCTATCTACTGATAGGATTATGCAATGAGAAAAGCATGAAAAACATTGGCTTTGGGGAGCCATTGAAAGGCTTTCAACAGAACTATTGCATGGCCATACTTTCAGTTACAAATCTGGGAATGGGATTTGTGGAAGATAAAGAAAAATAAAGAATAAAATACAAGTAAAAAGTTGAGGTTAGAGGCTGTTGTAGGAGCTCAGCCAAGAGATGATTAGGACCTGTAGTATAGAATTAGTATTAAGAATGAAGGTAATTAGACTCTCTTGTGAACAATTTGAGCCACAAAATTAATAAATGGGAAGACTGATGGGGCTTGAGGCTGGTGCAGTGCTGAGACTAAGGTGAAATCAAGAAGGACTGCAAGTTCCCTGGATTTGGGGAGAGTGTGGTGTACATCCCAGTGAGCTTTACCAAGATGTGACCAACTCCTCAAACTCCCCCGAGAGTTCAGCAACACATTCTGTACACTGCTAATCTTTTCTGTCTTACATGGAGTTTAATTATATTACTAGTTATAAAGATATAATCTCTGACTTTCAATTCAATTGATATTAATATACAGTTATTGAATATCTGTTTATCAACTCAGTATTGAAGCTTCAGAAACATATTCCACTTGGGGCTCCTTTTATTAAATGTTGTGATAGGAATGTTGAGATGTTATTTATTATGCATTTATTATATATCCATTCATAGTTTCCACTCATCAATCATTCTTTTTTAGACCAACACATAATAAAGGACAAAATGGAAAAAAAAATACTGAAGTCATCAGAATTTCTACACAATACCTTCAGTGTTCTTGCACTTTGCAATGCTGCCATTTTTCTCTTGTAGCTCTTTTCTCATAGCTTCTCTCTGAAAATGGACAAAGCTACAATTGGTAATGAAACAAAGATAAGTGAGTCTGAAAAGCAAAATGAACTCTAAGCCAAAACTAGTGAAAAATTACACTATTGCTGCCAGTGAAAATCAAAGCCTAAAAATATATGACTGCATGACTGAATGAGAAAAACAGAGAGGAGGGACAGAATAAGAAGGGAAATAGAGCAAAGGAAAAAAGAGAGGTGGCATATGCTACAAAGAATAAAGACACAGGTCCTCAGTCTTCCTGAACTCTGGCAGTGACCTTGGTAAAGCTGTTCCAAATCTTGTCTAAAATTACATATTAGTCTGATATGTGGAAGTAAGCAATTATGACTGCTCCATATTAATAAAAAAAAAGACTTTAAGCATTCCTGAAGACTACCTGGAGCATGCCCATTGAAAACTTGTGGATCATAGGCACCCAGCCTGAAAGTATTTAACAAAGAGAAGACCATTGGGAAAGTTTCTTTTTTTTGTTTTTTTTTTTGTTTTTTTTTAAATTTTTTTTTATTATACTTTAAGTTTTAGGGTACATGTGCACATTGTGCAGGTTAGTTACATATGTATACATGTGCCATGCTGATGCGCTGCACCCACTAACTCGTCATCTAGCATTAGGTATATCTCCCAATGCTATCCCTCCCCCCTCCCCACACCCCACCACGGTCCCCAGAGTGTGATATTCCCCTTCCTGTGTCCATGTGATCTCATTGTTCAATTCCCACCTATGAGTGAGAATATGCAGTGTTTGGTTTTTTGTTCTTGCGATAGTTTACTGAGAATGATGATTTCCAATTTCATCCATGTCCCTACAAAGGACATGAACTCATCATTTTTTATGGCTGCATAGTATTCCATGGTGTATATGTGCCACATTTTCTTAATCCAGTCTATCATTGTTGGACATTTGGGTTGGTTCCAAGTCTTTGCTATTGTGAATAGTGCCGCAATAAACATACGTGTGCATGTGTCTTTATAGCAGCAAGATTTATATTCCTTTGGGTATATACCCAGTAATGGGATGGCTGGGTCAAATGGTATTTCTAGTTCGAGATCCCTGAGGAATCGCCACACTGACTTCCACAATGGTTGAACTAGTTTACAGTCCCACCAACAGTGTAAAAGTGTTCCTATTTCTCCACATCCTCTCCAGCACCTGTTGTTTCCTGACTTTTTAATGATTGCCATTCTAACTGGTGTGAGATGGTATCTCATTATGGTTTTGATTTGCATTTCTCTGATGGCCAGTGATGATGAGCATTTTTTCATGTGTCTGTTGGCTGCATAAATGTCTTCTTTTGAGAAGTGTCTGTTCATGTCCTTTGCCCACTTGTTGATGGGGTTGTTTGTTTTTTTCTTGTAAATTTGTTTGAGTTCATTGTAGATTCTGGATATTAGCCCTTTGTCAGATGAGTAGGTTGGGAAAATTTTCTCCCATTTTGTAGGTTGCCTGTTCACTCTGATGGTAGTTTCTTTTGCTGTGCAGAAGCTCTTTAGTTTAATTAGATCCCATTTGTCAATTTTGTCTTTTGTTGCCATTGCTTTTGGTGTTGTGGACATGAAGTCCTTGCCCATGCCTATGTCCTGAATGGTGATGCCTAGGTTTTCTTCTAGGGTTTTTATGGTTTTAGGTCTAACGTTTAAGTCTTTAATCCATCTTGAATTGATTTTTGTATAAGGTATAAGGAAGGGATCCAGTTTCAGCTTTCTACATATGGCTAGCCAGTTTTCCCAGCACCATTTATTAAATAGGTAATCCTTTCCCCATTGCTTGTTTTTCTCAGGTTTGTCAAAGATCAGATAGATGTAGATATGCGGCGTTATTTCTGAGGGCTCTGTTCTGTTCCATTGATCTATATCTCTGTTTTGGTACCAGTACCATGCTGTTTTGGTTACTGTAGCCTTGTAGTATAGTTTGAAGTCAGGTAGTGTGATGCCTCCAGCTTTGTTCTTTTGGCTTAGGATTGCCTTGGCGATGCGGGCTCTTTTTTGAAACCAACGAGAACAAAGACACAACATACCAGAATCTCTGGGACGCATTCAAAGCAGTGTGTAGAGGGAAATTTATAGCACTAAATGCCCACAAGAGAAAGCAGGAAAGATCCAAAATTGACACCCTAACATCACAATTAAAAGAACTAGAAAAGCAAGAGCAAACACATTCAAAAGCTAGCAGAAGGCAAGAAATAACTAAAATCAGAGCAGAACTGAAGGAAATAGAGACACAAAAAACCCTTCAAAAAATTAATGAATCCAGGAGCTGGTTTTTTGAAAGGATCAACAAAATTGATAGACCGCTAGCAAGACTAATAAAGAAAAAAAGAGAGAAGAATCAAATAGACACAATAAAAAATGATAAAGGGGATATCACCACTGATCCCACAGAAATACAAACTACCATCAGAGAATACTACAAACACCTCTACGCAAATAAACTAGAAAATCTAGAAGAAATGGATAAATTCCTTGACACATACACTCTCCCAAGACTAAACCAGGAAGAAGTTGAATCTCTGAATAGACCAATAACAGGAGCTGAAATTGGGGCAATAATCAATAGTTTACCAACCAAAAAGAGTCCAGGACCAGATGGATTCACAGCCGAATTCTATCAGAGGTACAAGGAGGAACTGGTACCATTCCTTCTGAAACTATTCCAATCAATAGAAAAAGAGGTAATCCTCCCTAACTCATTTTAT
The DNA here is from genome assembly GCF_000001405.40 of Homo sapiens. Classification (NCBI taxonomy): domain Eukaryota; kingdom Metazoa; phylum Chordata; class Mammalia; order Primates; family Hominidae; genus Homo; species Homo sapiens. The sequence continues at coordinate 106,639,239 of NC_000004.12, read as the reverse complement.
GAGGCCAGCATCATTCTGATACCAAAGCCGGGCAGAGACACAACCAAAAAAGAGAATTTTAGACCAATATCCTTGATGAACATTGATGCAAAAATCCTCAATAAAATACTGGCAAAACAAATCCAGCAGCACATCAAAAAGCTTATCCACCATGATCAAGTGGGCTTCATCCCTGGGATGCAAGGCTGGTTCAATATACGCAAATCAATAAATGTAATCCAGCATATAAACAGAGCCAAAGACAAAAACCACATGATTATCTCAATAGATGCAGAAAAAGCCTTTGACAAAATTCAACAACCCTTCATGCTAAAAACTCTCAATAAATTAGGTATTGATGGGACGTATTTCAAAATAATAAGAGCTATCTATGACAAACCCACAACCAATATCATACTGAATGGGCAAAAACTGGAAGCATTCCCTTTGAAAACTGGCACAAGACAGGGATGCCCTCTCTCACCACTCCTATTCAACATAGTGTTGGAAGTTCTGGCCAGGGCAATTAGGCAGGAGAAGGAAATAAAGGGTATTCAATTAGGAAAAGAGGAAGTCAAATTGTCCCTGTTTGCAGATGACATGATTGTATATCTAGAAAACCCCATTGTCTCAGCCCCAAATCTCCTTAAGCTGATAAGCAACTTCAGCAAAGTCTCAGGATACAAAATCAATGTACAAAAATCAGAAGCATTCTTATACACCAATAACAGACAAACAGAGAGCCAAATCATGAGTGAACTCCCATTCACAATTGCTTCAAAGAGAATAAAATACCTAGGAATCCAACTTACAAGGGATGTGAAGGACCTCTTCAAGGAGAACTACAAACCACTGCTCAAGGAAATAAAAGAGGATACAAACAAATGGAAGAACATTCCATGCTCATGGGTAGGAAGAATCAATATCGTGAAAATGGCCACACTGCCCAAGGTAATTTATAGATTCAATGCCATCCCCATCAAGCTACCAATGACTTTCTTCACAGAATTGGAAAAAACTACTTTAAAGTTCATATGGGAAAGTTTCTTTTTTTCTCTTTCCTTTTTGCTTCCTAATTGCTTTAGAATTCCTGACACAATTAATTAGGCAACAATAAAATGCAAAAGGAATTTCTACTGGCATTTGGCACTATAAATATTATGTATACAGGAATGATAATTTTGTTGGCATTCTGCAATTCCCTGTTTTCAATTTCCTTCATTCTTTTATATAATAAAGTTTTGGTTACGCCTCCAGATACAGAATAAACTAGGTGAAGTTTAAAGCCCTGTTGTCCCAATGAGTTTTCTTATAAAATGTTATCCAAAAGTCTTTTATTTAATGATGTCCCTATTGATGAGACATTGACTTCGTCGTTGTTTAATCTTTCATTCTCAAATGTCTGAACTTTGTAGAGGTACACTCTATGTTGAACAATATATTAAAATCTTTGCATGGAAGTATTCTCATCACCTACCATAGTCCCTGGCATTTATATTCCAGTTAAATAACATTTTAGATTTAGATTCTCTATTAGTTTATTCTCACACTGTTATAAAGAACTACCTGAGACTGAGTAATTTATGAAGAAAAGAGGTTTAATTGACTCACAGTTCCACAGACTATACAGGAAGCATGACTGGAGGCCTCAGGAAAATCACAATCATGGCGGAAGGTGAAGGGGAAGCAGGCACGTCTTACCATGGTGGAGCAGGAGTAAGAGAGCCAAGGGGAAGGTGCCACACACTTTCAAACAACCAGATCTCATGAAAACTCACTCACTCTCACAAGAACAGCAAGGGGAAAATCTGCCTCCAGGATCCAATCGCTTCCCACCAGGTCTCTCCTCCAACACCGGGAATTATTAATACAATTCGACATAAGAATTGGGTGGAGACAAAGAGCCAAACATATCATTCCACTCCTGGCCCCTCCCAAATCTCATGTCCTTCTCACATTTCAAAACACAATCATACCTTCCCAACAGTCCACCAAAGTCTTAATTCATTCCAGCATTAACTCAAAAGTCCTAGTCCAAAGCCTCATCTGAGACAAGGCAAATCCCTTCCTCCTATGAGCCTGTAAAATCAAAAACTAGTTGGTTATATCCAAGACACAATGCAGGCACAGGCATTGGGTGAATGTCAAAAATATAAATGTGAATTTTTGTAACAAAAGCATAATTTTAAAGAAACTAAATAGAGAGAGCTGTGGTAATCAGAGGACTTGTCTTGGCTTTTTTTGTTTGTTTGTTTTTTGAGACGACGTCTTTGGAGTGCAATGACACGATCTCAGCTCACGCAACCTCCGCCTTCCAGGTTCAAGCGATTCCCCTGCCTTACAGCACCCGCCATCATGCCCGGCTAATTTTTATTTTTGTAGAGATGGGGTTTCACTATGTTGGCCAGGCTGGTCTCGAACTTCTGACCTCAGGTGATCTGCCTGCCTAGGCCTCCCAAAGTGCTAGGATTACAGGCGTGAGCCACTGCACCCGGCCTTGCTTTGGCATTATTAAAACTAGCTAAGAATTATTTTTCCCAAGCAAAATATTTATTGCAAATTCAAAACTTACTTTAGAAAAAATAAAGAATTTGTATATCTTTCTTCTCTCCCCAAATTCCCTACCCCCCAATCAGAGAGGATATTTCAAAACACTTTTTCATCTTCCTAAATAGAAAATAAAATGGGAGAATAATATGCCCTGGACCAATGAAGCCCAGATAAAACTAAAATCATTCTGTTAGAGAAGGAAATCCATAAATACTATTAATATATTTGAGTTACAAAGAAACTTGAGCCTTCAAACCAAGACAATAAGAAAGTTTAATGTTTTAGCACATTAGTTATTAAAGCTGCAATTCTTTACACACTTACCTTAAGTATAGTAAGCATGTGATTTGACTAAATTCCCTCAGTGCTATGAAGTAGGTACTAATACTCCTATTTCACAAATGAAAGTATTATAATTTAAAATGGTTAACTATTTCCCCAAGACTCCATGGCTTAGAAGAGCAAAAGCAAGTCTTGAACCAAGTCCATTTGGTTCTTAAGACCAATACCCTCAGAGCACACTGTTGTAGGCTTCCAAAGGCTTTGCAATCCCTGCAGTATTCTTTCTCAAAGCTTTTGGCCATGAGATCTTCACTACCACTGTTTTTTCAGGTTTTTGTTTGTTTGTTTGTTTTTTGCTTGCTTTTATACCTTCTTTCGAAATAAAGAGATGAAAGAAAATAAAAGATTATAGCCAAAGATATTCCCTCACACCTTCCCTCATACCACCCAAAAGGAAAAAATTATCAGCTACAAAAACTTTTCTGGCAGTGCCTTGAGATTATGTCCTATGGGACCATTTGTGATAGTCATTTCTGTTATTTTCCAACTCCCAGGAGCTCCAGCCCATGTTCTACCTAAGATACACTCCATTCCCTCATACATCATCAATCACTGACTACTGTGATGGTGCCCTTTTGCAATAGCTTCCTTCTCTGCTCCTCCAGCATTCAACTTGGTAGATAAACCTTTGTGTTAAGAAGGCCAGTTTACTACTTAGGTACTTCAATTGTGTGAACAAATAGCACAGGCAGCAGTAACCCCTAAACATATAAGAATTTATGCCTGCAACAATGTTAACCCTATTTGTAGTTTTTCACAATATACATCAAGACAATATGTTCATTTTTTCTCCCTGAACTCAAAAAGAACAAATTTCTAGTTCTTCAGGAGAGTACTTTGGCTCTCTTATCTCATAAGCAATACCAGTAATATCGTGAAAAATCAGCGAGTAAAAAATAAAAATTAAAAAAGACAAGTGAATAAAGAAGTAGAAAGAGTGATGAATGCATAATGAACCAAAAAATCACCAATGAGATGTGTGAGATTAATACTTTAAATGTTTCTTAACCACAGAAACCCTGTTTACTGTTGCTGCATATATATTTCAAAAAAGTGAGAAAAACTAAAAATAATAGAGGCAAGAAATTGAAAAATATAACAGCCTGAAGCCATTAAGTATAAAGCAACCTAAATCTCAAGATAATAATTCAGAATATTATGTCACATTATAGCATATTAATTAGTATTTCTAATGACAGTTCTGAGACAGTGCATGTTTTGGAAATTTGAACATTTACAGAGAATGTTTAAGTGATACCAAATGCCCTTTCTTGCAAAACCAAGAGAAATGTGTGAAACATTTTTTAAAGACTCCCATTAAAAAAATAAACTTTAGCACTTAACATAGATAAGCTTCAGCTGGAAAAATCACTTACATGGATCATTTCATTTCACACACACCTAAAATATTGGGTGTCTATTCCTACCATGTGGAACATTTTGTTTTTTAATGGATCACTTAGTCTTTCTCAGAGACTGAGGAAGATAATGACTCTTGGCTTCTAGCATCTAAAGAAATCATCAGCTTTACTCTTCTCTTTTGGAAATGAATGACTGGGAATAAAGACATTCCTCCCTCTCTGCTTTTCACTCCAACCTTACCAACTAGTTCAATGCCCAGAGAGCCCATGCAAATTGTTTCCTACATATGCTTTTGGCAAACACCTCTAGCACTTTCTCTTCTGTCAAATTTTCTCAGCCTCTGGCTGGGCGTGGTGGCTCATGCCTGTAATCCCAGCACTTTGGGAGGCTGAGGTGGATCAGTTGAGGTCAGGAATTTGAGACCAGCCTGGCTAACATGGTGAAACCCCATTTCTACTAATAAGACAAAAATTAGCCAGGCGTGGCACATGCCTGTAATCTCAGCTACTGGGGAGGCGGAGGCAGGACAATCTGTTGAACCCAGAAGACGGAGGCTGTAGTGAGCCAAGATCTCGCCATTGCACTCCAGGCTGGGCAAAAAAGTGAGACTCCATCTCAAAAGAAAAAAAAAATCTTCTCAGCCTCTAAAATATATCAAGGATAATTGAAACAAATATGATGAAGACATTCCAGGATAGAAATCATAAAACAATGGGCTGGGCACGGTGGCTCACACACTTAATCCCAGCACATTGGGAGGCCGAGGCAGGCGGATCACAAGGTCAGGAGATCGAGACCACCCTGATTAACACAGTGAAACCCTGTCTCTACTAACGATACAAAAAATTAGCTGGGCATGGTGGCGGGTGCCTGTAATCCCAGCTACTCGGGAGGCTGAGCCAGGAGAATGGCTTGAACCCGGGAGGCGGAGGTTGCAGTGAGCCAACGAGATCACGCCACTGCACTACAGCCTGGGCAACAGAGCAAGACTCTGTCTCAAAAAAAAAAAAAAAAGAAAGAAATCACAAAACAAAATGCTTAACCCTAAATTAAAGAGGTGGTCTGTTTATCAGCAGTCAATATTTGGAAGAGGCAAATAATTAACTATGGTAACCTTCTCTTCTTTTTATTTTATTTTATTTTATTTTTTTTGAGACAGAGTCTCACTCTGTTGCCCAGGCTGGAGTGCAGTGGCGCAATCATGGCTCACTGCAACCTCCGCCTCCTGGGTTCAAGCAATTCTCCTGCCTCAGCCTCTTGAGTAGCTGAGATTATAGGTGTGCGCCACCACGCCCAGGTAATTTTTGTATTTTTAGTAGAGACAGGATTTCACCATGTTTGTCAGGCTGGTCTCGAGCTCCTGACCTCGCGATCCACCCGCCTCGGCCTCCCAAAGTGCTGGAATTACAGGCATGAGCCACCGCACCCAGCCCCTTCTCTTCATCTCAATCGAAGTTTCACCTGACAGGCAGTGTGGGTCAGAAGTAGAATTATATAATACAGATATAATGTCATTATTAACATTAAAAAGAAACTACTCTTTTGAGATCATGTAAATCTAGTCGGGGATAGTTCTTATTACAGGTGATCTCTTTATTGTATCACTTTGATGTTGAGAGCCAAGCCAGTATAATATAGAAGCAAAGAAAAAAAAAAAGACAGAGAAAGGAAGAATATCTTCAGTCACAGGCTTTGTGAGGGCAAGGTACCTTAAATCTTGTAATGTAAATTTACAACACAATAGCTATACATCAGTAACAAGGACTCAGAACAGCAAAACTCTGACATCAAAACACAGTAACGTTAGTAGTCATCTTAGTAATAAGGTTTACTTTCTAGAAATTATCCTGTTGGCTATAGATGAAGCCACTGTGCTGTACCTTCTTTACAAAAGAGTCTTGTTGAATTTCCTCTTGTTTGTTCTTGACTCTCCTTCATTTGTACTCCTTTGTCCAAAAAATGACTTCATGCCTCCTAAATAACTCTTTGGTCATTGTCACATTCTTAGTTCAAGCCACCACATCTCTTGCTTGAATATCTGCAGCAGCATCAGAACTTCCTGCACACAGTTCCATTGACCCCACCTCTAGAACATTAAAAATGCTCTCACTTCTATCTGTTCCCTTCTGTTGATAAGGTGGTTTTAAAAATGCAAATCAATCATGTCACTCCTTTATTTAAAACTCTTGAATGTATTCCGATTACCCTGTAATGAAGCCCAAATTCTTAATACATACTAATAAGACTCTCCTGAGTCAAATCTCTCCATAACTTTTCAGCCCCATTTTGTACCAGGAAGGTTTATTAGGGATCTGTACATCTGAAAAAAGGGGAAAGAATTAAGATTGGGCAGAGGGAGAAGCTGGACTGCGATGTATATCTAACAAAGCCTCAGCCAACCTGGAGGGGACATATGGAGGACATATTGCCCATTAGAGTCATCCTTCACCAAGCTAAAATTAAAAAGCCTTTATGGACATGTCTCAATCTGTAACTGGATGCAAACTGCCCAAGGATGGAATGACCTAAAGTGAAACAGCTATATGCAGCTAAGGCAGACTCTGACGAGTTGGCAGCTGGAGGGTGCCTACTAATCTTCCTCTCCACATTTGGTCATCTAGATTTTTCTGGGATAAGGAATTGCGTTATGCATGCCCTCATCTACCACAGCCCATTTCTTATACCACTCATATTATCTTTTAAATACACTCGGGGAGCAGCTTCTCCAGGATTTTGATGGGCCTGTCTTCCTGAGGTAAAACTTAGAAGAGACAATTTAGTAGGATAAGCAATAGTCTTCACTTCTACAGCTATCTCAGGTCCACAGTTGATATTCATCATCTCTTTGCTTCACTGTCTACTCTAGATTTCCCTCATGCTTAGCTTCTACTTCTTCTGTCCTGGGTGATTTACATGGTGCCATGACCCAAATCTTCATGCTCAAAGACTCTAGGTTCCAGGCACCATGCTGTAGTTTATGTATCTATATATTATCAGTAATATTTGGGAAATGGAGTTCCAGGAGGTACCCATGTGGATCATCTGGGTTCACACATATTCCTTTCTGTTTTACTATGTAACAGCAGGTCCAACTCCTCCTGCTGATTAGTCAATTACCCCTGTCAAGTCAGTTACCTCTGGCTCTTGCATGCTGGCCCTGGGATGCAAGGATCCCAAGTGTGTAGCTTAAAATTTAATGGTAGCTTTGCTATGTCCCCTGCTTACAGTGTGCCCTTTTGGAAGCCTAGGACCTCTAACTCTTTAGATCCTAGTGTTGCAAGGATGTGAATCACCAAATTCCCCCAGCAGGTTATTGGGAGGGATGGTACAAAGAGCTACTCCTTTTTCTACCTCTTTGTTTCATTTCCCACTGGAAATACAATGCCGTATAAGCTTTTCCATTCAAGGCCTATATTGCCTTGAATGAAATCCTAGAGGATAACATGTCATACATGCAGGCTACCACTTCCCAAGCTGGCACTTCAGCTATGCCTTCCACAGGCTATTCAGTGATCTATCAGGCTGTCAGCTTGTGGGTAGTGCAGAATGTGACATGAACAGTTGATCCCATGGTTATGAGCCCAAATATCCCTTTTGATATAAAGTTTGCTGCCTGTTCTAATACAACATTGTGTGGGGTTTTACACCAGTGGATCAAACACTTAAATCTTAAGATAATGGTACTGGGTAAGGCCCTGTGGACAGAAAAAGAAAACCCATATCTGGGATATATGTCTATTCTTCTGAGAATGAATCACTGCTCCTTCCAGGATGGAAAGTCCCCAATAATATAATCAGCTGGCCAATAAGGGATGAATTTATCTCCTTGAGGAATGATGCCATATTGGGAGCTCAGTAGTTACCTCTGTTGCTGGCATATCAGACATTCAGCAGTGGCAGTAGCTAGATCAGCCCTGGTAAGTGGGAGTTCATGACATTAGGCCCATGTGTGACTTCTGTCTCCATTACTGGTACTGTATGGCCAACCTGCCAGCACTGGGTAGACAACAACAGAGGCTGGCTGAGTTTAAGACAGGTTGGGTCATATTGTCCTCTTGGTTGCATGAACTACTACTAATATAAAAATCTTGATCTTTCCACGTGTGCTCACTTTCATATGTTTATCGAAATGTCTGTACCCCAGACTACTTCGTCTCCAGTCTTCCAAACCTTTTCCTTCCAAACTTAAAAGCTTTCATGCTAGACCATTTGCCTCTGCCCATAATTCACACATAACAAAGTGCACTTCCCAAAGGTCTGCCTATTGGAAGAATTTTTAACCACCATTTGTTAAGCCAATCCCCTAGTAAGGCTGCCATGTGTTTTTGACCCACACTCACATTAATTCATTCATTCAACTTTTATTGAACACTTAATCTGTGCCAATTACTTTCCTAGGGTTTGGGAATCAAAGAACAATAAGACAACATCTTTATTCACTAGTTCACAGCCTAGTGCAAGTCAGAAATAAATAAAACACAGTAAGTGATACTTACAGGATTAACAGCACACTTCCAAATTAATAGGTATAAATGTTAGATATTTCAAAAATAAAAGTTACCCAATAGCAGAAAGATTGGCCTGCAAACTGAATAGGTATGGATTTATAAAATTACAGTTGCAAGTAAAATTAATTAAAATACAACCTGCAAATGTGATTATCTGCTGTCAAGATGAAGCCTGAATATACTTTAGGGAAGCTGGCAAAATGGCCCCTGGTTAATACTATAAATGCTGCACACCAAGCAAATTCTGAGCTCATATAATTCCTCTTTTTCAAACATGTGGTTCAGGGTGCTTCTCAGGGCCATTATTGCCTGCCAACACTGGAGTGGATTGCATCTTTGGGAAGGCGATAAGAAATAGTGCCAAAGGAGGCAAAAAGAGAAAGGGGACAGAGTTGTGCAAAAAATAAAGACGAAGTACCACCGGAACAATGTGTTCCTAAATAATATACGTGATTATTACTGTTCAGAGTCTATGCGGTTTCTGGCATAGCTCCTCAAAACAAATCAATTAGATATAGGCAAATGTTCTCAGCATTGCAGAGTGATTGGTCAAGAGTACAAAAAGGAAATCATATTTCAAATGATATTTGGAAACAAAAAATACCTCAAGCCACTTGAAGAAAGCTAACCATGTGCTCCAAAAAAGGTGTTGCTTATCTAAAATTCTAGGTATCGATCTAGGTCTCTAGGTGGAAATTAAGAGAACCCAACCTAAGAAACTCTCCCCTACCCCAGGCAAAAACAGTCACAGTGTAAATCTAAACCTCAAATAGATATTACAAGCCCAACTCTGAGGAGTGTTTTCTCTCCTCTAAGTATACAAAGAGAAAAGGAAAAAGAAAAAAAAAATCAGCTAACCAAACACTGAAATCTTAACAGAACAAGCACTGGAACATTGGACAACTATCCATGTCTTGTAAATGTCCAAACATTCTTAACTTAAAAAATCTGGCTGTGTTTATCATGGAAAATATAGAATTAAGGTATTTCCAAGCCTTCCTGGATTTAATCATAAAGTACCCCAGACCTCCTGTATGACTCACCCATCCTAATGATGATGATGGAAATGAAAGTATGTTTCTTGGTGGATTAGCTAACAGTGTCCAAGTGAACAACAGCAAGTCCAGAATTATTATCAAGGCATCACGTTCATCCTTGGCATGACAAACATTCAACACTAAGAGTAAATGGCATTTTGTGAAAAAGAAAGTCTTGCCTAAAGAACAAGTGAGTTCTTCCCGATGAATGGAAAAGCATTTTTATAGTTTATGCCAAGTAAACAATAATCTATTTTTTAAAAAGACATAGTGGGAATCATTTAAGCACTTAAAAGATCCAGTGCCACATGCAGTAAGTGAGTGGCATAAAACATTCCATGCTTAAGGAATATGCCACTGGAATCCTCATAAGTAATATCACCACTTAATGGCTGCAGGCACTTCAGACACTAACTCTTCTATAACAGGATTCATGGTGAATTTGTTATACTCATTCATTTAAACAATGATCCAATATATGTTAAATACTGTTAAAATTAATTTGAGTGTTGTTCCTGCATAATATAGTGTGTCTGTTAAATTCTTTCTTATTGTAATTTTTTATTTGATCCACCTCTTTCCTCATAGCTAATTAATGTCAGACCTAAGCTCTGGATTCCAAAACTTACTCATTTTACAAGAGTATTTCACTGATTGTATAAACAACAAAGAGCATGTCAAAATAACAAAATGTCTTTTTTTTCTTGGAAGTAAGAAGAGATTTATTAAAGTATTTGTTTTGGCTAAAGGCTTCAGGCTGGGCACTGTGGCTCACGCCTGTAATCCCAATACTTTGAGAGGCCGAGGTAGGCAGGTCACTTGAGGTCAGGTATTTGAGACGAGCCTGGCCAACATGGTGAAGCCCCATCTCCACTAAAAATACAAAAATTAGCCTGGCATGGTGGCGCACACCTGTAATCCCAGCTACTCGGGAGCCTGAGACAGGAGAGTCCCTTGAACCTGGGAGGCAGAGGCTGCAGTGAGCCAAGATCGTGCCATTGGACTCCAGCCTGGGTGACAGAGTGAGACTCTATCTCAAAAAAGAAAAAAAGAAAAAAAAAAAAAACTTCAAATTAATTCTCCCATAGTCTTCACTAACCATATGTGTGCGTGTGTGTGAGAGTCTGTGTGTATGTATATATAATTTAGAAGAAAAAAACATACTAAAATCAGTGTCAAACTGAGTTTTTAATAATATTTTACCAAATGGAAAAATCTGTTGGGTGAAATAATGGGTTTTTCTCATAAGGAACTAATTAACATACTGTGCTTCCTGTCCTATCTGCCTTTCATCATAAACATTAACTTGTTACAGCAGCATAGCATACCCCTACTGCCTGGAGATACAATAATACCCCATAGAGCTTAATCCTAACATTTTTTTTTTTCTTTGACATGGAGTCTTGCTCTGTCCCCCAGGCTGGAGTGCAGTGGCGCGATCTCGGCTCACTGCAAGCTCCGCCTCCCGGGTTCAGGCCATTCTCCTGACTCAGCCTCCCGAGTAGCCAGAACTATAGGCACTTGCCACCACGTCCGGCTAATTTTTTGTATTTTTAGTAGAGTCGTGGTTTCACCCAGGATGATCTCGATCTCCTGACCTCGTGATCTACCCACCTCGGCCTCCCAAAGTGCTGGGATTACAGGCGTGAGCCACCGCGCCCGGCCAATCCTATCAATTGTTTACCATGAATATTTCTTTTTCAAATTTGTATTTTAACTATTCAGCCATAAAAAGGAACGAATTAATGGCATTCTCAGCAACCTGGATGGAACTGGAGACTACTAGTCTAAGTGAAGTGACTCAGGAATGGAAAACCAAACATTGTATGTTCTCTCTCATAATTGGGAGCTAAGTTATGAGGACACATAGGCATAAGAATGATACAATGGACTTTGGGGACTTGTGGGAAAGGATGGGAGGTGGGTGAGGGATAAAAGACTACACATTGGGTACAATGTACACTGCTTGGGTGATGGGTGCACCAAAATTTCAGAAATCACCGCTAAAGAACTTATTCATGTAACCAAAGACCACCTGTTGCCCCAAAAACCTATTGAAATAAAAAAGAATTCAAAAAATTTATTTTAAAAACCAAATTTGTATTTTAGATTGCGAAATGCTGTGCTTTTACAACTTTTACTAGCAGAAGAATGGAAACAGAAGTATTACAATAAGGTTATGAAATATCAGGTTATGAGTCTAAACATTTGGCAGTATCTTTGGCCACAAGTAAAAGAAATTCTAAGGAAACTTAAACACTAAGAAAATTTATTATTCCACATCATAGAAATGAAGAGAAAGTTCAGGTTTCAGGGTTGGTTACTTACGCATTCCAACGGTCATCAAAGCCTCAAGTTCTTTCCTTCTCCCCTTTCTCCTTTCTTCCCTCTTTCCTTTGACCTCATCCACAGGCTGTTAGATAGATTGCTGCGGAAAAAAAAAAGAAATCAAATTCTTAATTCAGACCAAAATAAAAAAAAGATCCAGACAAAAAAGATAGACTATCCTCTGATGTGGATAGCTCTTAGGGTGGAGGAAAATTTTCTAGAAAATGTACCAGAAGACTGAAGTTTATAGTTTGTTGGTTAGGATTGGGACATATTTCCATTCATAGACCAATCACTTGGAATGATAATCAGCCCACCCTTAGAAAAAATGAGTTATGCCTCTGTAGCTGGGATGGGGTCATATTTTGGGGGCACATGACTGCATGAGAATGCTGTATACCTGAATAGATCCAGATTTCATTTGGAAGAAGAGGAAAAATGAATAGTGAGTAGATCATCAAAAATGTCATCTTATAGTAACTGTAGCTGCATTACAGGTGTAAAGGCTAAAATTTAGGAGTGCAGGTAAGTAGAGTATTGTTGAGGAGGTAATGATCAGAGATTAGAATTTTAAATTAAGTTAAGCTAATGTGGGTTTTTAAAATTTTCTTAATAAAATGAGGATTAGATATAACTAAAAAATAAGTCCCCAATAAATAAAGATTGAATCAAAGACAATGCATCTTTCTGGACTCAGTATCAGTCTTTCATGTATCAGTATTAAAAAATACAAAATTATGAAAATTTCAATCCAGTTGCTCTGTTTACAAATGAGTCCAAATTATCTGAGATCACATAAGAATCAGTGATAGGCAGATATCCTTAAACTCATGGTATTTTTCCTGTCCCAATATTATGTTACATTTTTTACTGAGTATCATGTCGTTATAAAGATACATCAGTTATGATTTTTTAATGCAAAAATTATCATTCCATAGGAGTGCAGGTGCCTTCTTGGTAAAATGATATATTTTCTTTTGGGTAGATACTCAGTAGTGAGATTGCTGGATTGAATGGTAATTCTATTTTTAGTTCTTTGAGAAATCTTCATACTGCTTTTCATAAAGGTTGCATTAATTTACATTCCTACCAACAGTGTGTAAGCATTCCCTTTTTGTGTCCATCAGTGAATGACTGGATTTAAACTGTGGTATAAATATACCATGAAATATCACTCAGCCATATAAAAGAATGAAACCATGTCTTTTGTAGCAACATGGATAGAACCAGAGACCATTATCCTACGTGAAGCGACTCCAAAACAGGTCAAAAGCTCCATGTTCCCACTGATAAGTGGGAGCTAAACAATATGTACACATGGACACACAGAGGGGAATAATAGACATTTGAGAGTCCAGAAAGTAAGAAGGTATGAGGGAAGTGAGGGATGAAATAATATCTATTCCTATTGGGCACAATGTACACTATTCAGATGATAGGTGCACTAACAGCCCAGACTTCACCACTACACAATATACCCATGTAACACAATGCACTTGTATGCCTAAATCGACACAAATAAAAAAATAAAATCATTATTCCAAATTGTTCTGAATGCTTTTACATAAGCATAATAAGAAATGAAACACCTCTTTTCTCTTTTAGCACTCTTTATTTTATCAGAAATTAAGTTACTATTATTAATATTGATGCCAAAAATTGGCTATCTACTATGTGTCAAGTATTGTGTCGGGTGCTTTGTAATCATTATTTCTAATTGTCCTAACAGCCCAAAAGGGAACTCAATAGATCCTTTTTGAAGATGGACTGAGGTTCATAGGCTTTAAGTTCTTTGTCCAGGACAAGTTGATTCTGGAGCAAAGATTTAAAGGTTTGTTTACAAATAAACTTTTTGTTTGTTTACAGAGCAATATTTTTTATAATCATAGATGCAAAAATTCCAAACAAAATTTCTGAAAATTAAATCTGACAAGATATAAAAACAATAATATATCACAACCAAATTGAGATTATCCCAAGAATGTAAGGTGGGCTTAATTCTTGAAAACCAATCAGTATACTTCATCATATTAAGGGATTTAAAAATTAAAAATACTTATTATCTAAATAAGCTCAGGAAAAACATTTGACAAAATATAACATCTACAAATAAACAAAATAAAAACTTCACAGTAAACCAGAAATAGGAGGGAACTTCCTTAACCTGATAAAGATCACCCATGAAAATCCTTCAGCTAACATCACACTTATAGTGAAAGACTCATGTTTTCCTCCAAGATGAAGAACTAAATAAAAATGTTAGCTCTCATCATTTCTATTAATACTATACTGGAGATTCTGACTACTACCATAAAACATGAGAAATAAACATAAAACATCCAGATTGGAATGTAAAAAGTATGACTGCCTTTATTCACAAAAGAAATAATTGTATACGTAGAAAACCTGATGAACTGTGTAAAATAACTTCTAGAACTAGTAAGTGAGATTAGTAAGGCTGCAAGGTTAAAACATCAATTGTATTTCTATCAAAAAATAATTTTATAATCATCTATAACATTATAAATATGAAATACATAAGGATAGATTTGAAAAAGATGTGGCAACTACAAAACACTGCTAGGGAAAATTAAAATCTAAAAATATAGAGAAATATAGCGTGTCCATGGGTTGGAAGACTCAGTAATATCAAATGTCAGTCTTCATTAAATTATTATGTAATTGCAATGCAATTGTAATCAAAATCCCAGCAAGCTTTTTGTGTAGGAGGTTTCAAGTAGAAAAGGAAATTCAAAGGACCTTGAAGAGTCAAAACAACTTTGAAAAAGAAGAGCAACATCAGAGCATTTACACTACCTGACTTCACCTTACAGTAAAGTGACAATAATTAAAGAATACAGTATAAATGTAAATATAAACAAATAGATCAATGGCCTCACACACATATGGATGATTGATATTTGTAAAGATTCACAGGAAAGTCAGAGGAGAAATGGTAGTTTTTTCTTCAAATTATATTTTCTTCAAATTATATTGAAACTATTGGACATGCAAACTACATACAAGACAAAAAATTGCCATATACAAAAATTAACTCAAATGGAATTTAATATAAAAACTAAAACTATAAATCTAGGAGAAAACTTTTTCGATCTTGGATTAGATGAAGGTTTCCTAGTTACAATACAAAAGGCATGATTTACAAGAGAACAAATTGAAAAATTTGACTTTTTCAAAATCAAAACTTTTCAGAAGACATTGTGTTTTATTTATTTATTTATTTATTTATTTATTATTATTATACTTTAAGTTTTAGGGTTCATGTGCACAATGTGCAGGTTAGTTACATATGTATACATGTGCCATGCTGGTGCGCTGCACCCACTAACCCGTCATCCAGCATTAGGTATATCTCCCAGTGCTATCCCTCCCCCCTCCCCCCACCCCACAATTGTTACGAGAGTAAAAAGATAATCCACAGACATAGACAAAATATTTGTAAATCATATATTTGATAAAAAGATTTGTACCCAAAATATATAAAGAATTTCAAAATTAAACAATAATAATGCCTTCAAAAGTTGGCAAACATGTGAACAGACATTTTTATCAGGGGAAATAAACAGATGAAAAATAAACACATGAAAAGATGCTCAACCTCATTAGTTATTAGGGAAATACAAATTAAAATCACAATTAATATGACTGTATACTTTTAGAAAGGTTGTAATTTAAACAACTCACAATACCAAGTGTTGGCAAGGCCATGGAAGCACCAGAATTCTAATACAATGCTGGTGAGAATCTTTAATGGTACAACCATGTTGGAAAATACCTTGGCCATTTCTGAATCTGTTAATTGTACACCTACTTTGTGATCCACCCATTTCATTGCACAGTATTTACCCAAGAAAAATAAGAACATATTTCTATAAAAATTGTGTGTAATGTTCGTAGCAGTTTTATTTTAATAACCAAAAACTGAAAACAACCCAGTCTATCAACAGGTGAATGAAAGCAAATTGTGGAACATATAAACAATAGAATACTATTCAGCAATAAAAAGTAAACTATTAATACAACAAAATGGATAAATCTCAAAACAACTGTGCTAAATGAAAGCAGACAGACAAAAAGAGTTTTACAAAGCACATGAGAAAATTTTTGCCAGTGATGGACATGCTCATTATTAATTCTGGTAATAATTTCTCAGATATATTTTTATATATTCAGAAATATATCAAAATATATCAAATTGTATGGTTTAAATATATGCAGCTACTTGTATGTCATTTATACCTCAATAAAGCTGTTAACAGCAACAAAGTAATCTTACTTATTTTGAAACTTCAGGCTGAACTTAATCCAAAACTCATATCCCATCCTGCACGGACTAAACCAGAAGCCCTGGCTGCATAAAGTAGACGGGGTTGGAGAGAAGGTTTTAGGTCCTCTGGTGTGGGACAAGGATAAGGAAAAGAGAAGGCATTATCTTTTTACGTGACTTTCCTTTTGATGGTAGTTGGGAGGTATTTCCATCCTCATTCTAGTCATGTGGTTTCATCTGATGTTGAGAATTTTGCTAATATTCGGGGCTCCATGTGGGTGATGTGCATGGGTTCCTCAGGGTGGTGTTTACTTTCACCTAAGCTTCGTCCATTGTTCAAGAGACCTCTTTAGAGGAGCAACTATGTCTGCCATTGGCTCCACCAGCAATAATATTTATATATATATACACACACACACACACACACACATACACACACACATGCACACACACACATACATATATATGCATGTGTGTGTGTGTGTACATATATGTGTATATATATATATACCTCCCAACAACTTCTCTGGGTTGGGCATTTTGTCACTTTTCTCAATGGCTATATAAGTTTCTATTCACTACCGTCTAAGTGTGAAGGCACCTCTCAAAAGCCTTGCAGATTTGAGATCGGGAAACAATAGCCCTAATTTGCTTGCTCAGATAAATTATTCTATGTCATTAGCCACTCAAATCATGCTGTTCCAGGGAGCCTCCTGTCTTCAGAAAGCAGATGCCAGTCTCTGCTCACTACTGAGGCCATTAAACCTTATTCTTCTCAGAGTGGGAATGGAGGAACTTTAATAAGACTGCATGCTGTACTCTTGGGCTCCCTACAGTTCTTTTAAACACATTCTCACCAAACTCTGCTCTGGAGAGTTCTGAAGCTCAGAAATCACCTATTAAGAGAAGAGATCTCAGATTCCCCCTCCTTAAGGAACACTAAGCATGATGGAGTTATTTATATCCTACTGCTCAAGGTAGTCACCAAGGTCTGTTTGCAAAAAGTTAAAAAACTGCAACCTCAGGCATAAACAGGTTAAAGATACTCCCAGTCTTCATGAGTGATCTTGGGTTCCCCTTAACTTAAGTTCAGTAAAGGAGGGAGGGAAGACTCTTTGTTCACAGACACTTTACTCCACAGTGATACAGTCAACTAGTTTAATAACAAATCTGTTTTCATTTTTTCTTGGGCACACAGCAAGTCTGTTCCTAGAATTGACAGCATTTACATGTGGCCATGAGTTCTATACAGTGAGCAAAAGTGAAGTACTACTACTACTTTTAGTCATAGTACATTACAATCTCTAAAATAATAATTTTATATGTTTCTTCCCTAGCTTCAATTTGGATATAAATGCCCAGAAAGACCACAGAAGAGAGTAGAGCCTCCAACAGCCTGGGTCCCTAAATAAATACATAAACCCAAGACCCCTGTGCCCCAAACTAAACCGACATTAATTCCTAAGTAAGAAGAAATAAATTACTACTCTTTTAAGGCTTCAAAGTGCTTTTATTTGCCTGTTACAGTAATTTATCATAGCAAAGACAAAAATTGATATTTAGAGTGGAATATTGCCTTAAACAAAGACATTGTCTAATTAGGCAGCAAACAGTTATATATATACACATATACGTATATATATACACATATATATGTATATATGTAAGCTAAACAGATGGAAACTCATGTTACACAGTGGCAAAATATTTGGTAAAATCATCATCTGCTTGGAAGATAAGCCAGCGGCACCTGAACCTGCAGTTTGGGGGAAAGTGAGAGTAGGATTGAGAGTGAGTGTCTTAGCTTTTACCTAATGCTTTTAATGAGGTATTACAAGAGAAAAAATGAGATCAAATTGCATAGTCTGCAAGCATAAATGAAAGGGAATTAAAATTTTCAGAAATGTGACCTCTGAATAATTTGGAAAAGCGAACTCTTTCTGGACACAAAAGAGTAAAAGATTGATAAGCCTTTTGAGTAATGTAAGCCCTGTAAGACTTTACTGAACAAAAATTCAGCACTGTCTTTGAGACTGAATGAAGGTTAATGCATTTCCACCACAAATTATTGTTTCATATGGCCACAAGGTAGTTTTGCTTAAGCTGAGAGAGGCATGAAGAGGAGACAGCAAAGAAATAAGCCAGATTTCAGAGCTCTATTTGGGAGAACATTTTAGGTGTGCATATTGAAATGTGAAATTGATTGAAAGCAAGATCAAAAAACTCCTAAGATATAGAGGGGACTGTATTGTCAAAAAATATATATGTTAATTACTTCTCAAGCCTTTAAACAACTTATGGGTGCTCAAACTTACCTGAGCACTAAGTGAGCTACAAAATCTGAACAACTCAAAATGGGCATAGCCCCAAAGCCCACTTGAGATGTGCCCATGGAGAATAATAGATAAGAGGAAAACTACCAGAGAGTGCAGCCAGAGGCCTCACAGGAGAGTGCTCAGGGACGGTCCTCCTAGAATACAGAATAAGGGTCTAATTAAGAACTTTAAAAGCAAAGGACCCTTACAAAGCCTGCCCTACAGGAGTTGATTATTGCTGTTTAGCAGTCACTGCTATGTCTGTCACTCATTCCTCATTTGGACAGTTCACTGTTGTTATTCTATCCCTGCTTTACTCTTATACAGTAAGTGTGGAGGCAGTGAGTGAGCAGATAATTGTCTTTATAGTTTAGTAGTCACTGGATCATGAGAAGCAACATCTGGACCTGGTAGAAAAGACTGCATATCACCTGGAGATCACAGACATTGAGTCTGTAGACAAGGTAAGTAAATTCCATGAATAAGAACTATGAAATGAATATTTAGTGACCAGACTATGGAAGAGATGGCTTCCCAGTCAAACCAATGTCTTCTCTTTCTTCTTCCTGGGAAAGATAGCTGTATTTCCTAGCTCCCTTTGCATTTAGGTGTGACAATGAGACTGAGTTCCAGCCAAAGAGTCCATGGAGTGGAAATGACACACACCATTTCAAGGCTTGTCCCATGTTATGGGCTGAATTATATCTCCTTAAATTCACATGTTGAAACCCTAACTCCCAGTAGCCCAGAATGTGACTGTATTTAGAAATAAGGCCTTTAAAAAGGTAATTAAGTTAAAATGAGGCTGTTAGGCAGATCCTAATCTAAGCTGACTGATGTCCTTATAAAAAAAGGAAATTTGAACAAAGTAACACCAGGGATGTACACATAAGGGGAAAAATCATGTGTGGACGCAGTAAGAATGCAGCCATTTCTAAGCCAAAGAGAGAGTCCTCGGAAGAAATCAACTCTACCTACACCTTGATCTCGGACTTCTTTTCTGCAAAACTGTGAGAAAATGATTTTTTGTTACTCAAACCACCCAGTCTGAGGTGCTTTGTTATGGCAGCCCTAGAAAACTGATGCAGCCCATAAAGCCCTCCTCTATGCAATCCTCTATACTCTTCCTTTCTGGCTGGCTGGAATGGAGATGACCCCCAGCATAAGGCTAGATGCTCTTTGCCAAGAATGGCAAATTTACAAACCGGAAAAAATCTTCTCAAAGGAAAATCATTTAAGCCAGGAACACCCACATTGTTGAATTACATAAGTGAAAAATAAAATTTTATTGTATTAATCTACTAAAATATGGGGGGTTGTTAGTTACAACAGTTAGCATTACTCTTGACGATTCCCTTTTCTTTCCCCAGTTCTCTTCTTAGTCACTGTTGGCAGGGGGCGGTATATACTTTTCACCTCTTAACAAGCCCTGTGGGAATATAGCTGGGTTCTATTACATACTGGCTTTCAAAGTGGGATACTCAGCTCATCTTGTCCACAACTGAAGTCCTTAACTACAACTCTGGGACACAGTAAATTTTTCACTCAATATCTTCTAACATGGTTTAAAAATAGATGGCTTAAGGTAAAATAAATAGAAAATTCACAAATATATTAATTAAAAACTATATCCCAATTTTAACGTGTCAATCAAGGGGGATGTTTTCCATTATTTACGAGGAAATGAGGAGGCTAGCTATTATTTTTAAAGCTAATTCTGTCATAAAGAAGCTCATATAACTGTCCTATCTTTTAAGACTGGAATATAAAGATTACAGTCCAGCTATAGATATTGTTAAGGACTTTGAGCCCAACAAATGAAATTCTTTCCTCTCATCTTCTACTCATGCTTCTTAAGAATGGATAGGAAGGAGAATACCTTTTATAAATATATGAATTTAATATATGAATACATGAAAAGCATTCTTCACACAAATAATCCATTTATTAATATATTTATGTAATTAATACCATGCTTCTTGCCTTATCATTGACTCTGAAAAAAGTGGCCTAAGCATTGTATCTTTGAACTAATATCAGATATTTTGGAGAAATTATAATGAAATTTAGAATAGTTGTCTTAAATTGGAGCTAGAGATTAGGATAAATCAAAGGGTTATTTTAACCAAAGAGTCTGGACACTAATGTGACATCAAAGGAAAACTACTTAGGTAGTGAAAGAAAGTAGTGAAAATGAAGTGACAGCTGAACATGTAAAGACCTACAGAAAAACAGAGACCCAGGAGTAATCAACAGACTATGCTCTAACATCACCAACCAAAGCCACTGCTGCACTAACCTGGTATAGCCCTCTTTTGTTGGCTTGGAAACAGGCAAAAAGAAGTCTTAACATCTAATAGTTCTCTATAGGCAGGGTGACAATATGTCTTAGTTTGCCCTAGATGGCCCCGAATTATTGCTGTAAAAACTGTACTATTGTAATATTTAGGTGATAAATTTTATAATCCTGTTCACAGGATAGACTCAGTATATATTTTGCAAGAAGGGACAGAAGAAAGGGTTCCTTGAATAACTTTAAGGACAGTTTAAACTGCAACTACATTTCTTGCTCCAAGAAACCATATCTCGTCTTCTCTTTGGTTCTCTCTAAAGGCAGCTGTATTAGTCTGCTCAGGCTGCCATAACAAAACACCATAGATTGAGTGGTCTAAACAACAGAAATGTATTCCTCACAGTTCTGCAGGCTACATGTCCCAGATCAAGGTCTGGAAGAGTGTTTCTTATGAGGCCCTTCTCTTCCTGGCTTGCAGACAGCCACTTTCTTGCTGTGTCCTAACATAGCCTTTCCTCAGTGCATGCATATGGATAGAGAGAGAGATTTCTCTCTTCCTCTTCTTGTAAGACCACCAATCTTATTGGATTAGGACCCCACCCTTATAACCTTATTTAACTTTAATTACCTCCTAAAATCCCTATCTCCAAATGCAATCACATCAGGAGTTAGGACTTCAACATATGAATATGGGGGTATACAATTCAGTCCATAGCAGTAGCTATAGTTTTTGAGGTACCCTTGTAATTGCTTCCTAGTATATTACCACAGCTTAAGTGTAAAAGTCAGAGTCATAGCTATATATATATTTTTAATTTTCTTCTTGGCACCTGCCATGAAATTTGGCCAGTCAGGATCAAAGAAAGCCAGGATTGTAAACACCAGCCTGTATATTTTTGTTAGTGGTGTTTTGTCATAAGCCAGAGCCTGAACCCATAGCTGAGAGATAGCATACTTTGTTTTGTAGAGAGTAATTGGGTTGATGAGCTTCTTTGTTCAACCCAGTTACATCAGCAAAACAAGGATGGATATATTGAGGTATGCATTGATTCATTTGGAGATAGTAAAATGGCTTAAGAGACAGTGTGGCATAAGCTTACTTCTCACTTTAAGGGAAGGTCATAACTGGCATTTGGATAAGTCTGTGTGGTTTAGAAAATAACTATTTACTTATATCAAACAACTATCTATAAATCATGAGATCAGAGAACATACACTGTCCTAAATGTTTTTCCTGTCTTCACAAAACTAATTATTTTCCCTATATACCTTGTTTCTGAGGTCACTTCTCAACTTTACCATAATTGCCTTAAGACAGTAATCTCCCACTGACTCCAATAAAGAAGTCTGATCATAGTGATTACATAAGCCAAAATTATGGCTTGAAGACCATTGAAGTGCTGAATTTCAAAAGTAAACAGGAAAGAATGGAAATCCATCTCTTTTGGAAGATAAAAGGAAGCTCTTATACAGATGGGATATATAACTTTAATTAAATCATTAAAAATATGGGGGCTCCCAATAGTAGCCAAATTCTGTACTTTGCATTTGTGAAATTAAACAAACCTTAAGCTATGATTTTTAAAAGTCTTGGCTTTAAAAATGATAAGGCAGCAAACCACAGGATGTCATAAACTCGGGCAAGAACCAGGTTATCTTACAAGCGACTTTGTGTAATATTACAGAGAAGTCTATTTAGATATATTGATATTGGGACAACAGGTAAAATAAGAAAGTAATGTTGTCCAGACTGACAGCAGATCAAAGTCCTATAGGTGCAGCTATTTGTATGGGCAGACAATAGGGAATGACAACCCCAGTAAAGGAAAGGATAGCAGCATTTCATCTAAATAACATGTTGTTGACATCTTAGATTCCCAGCAGAAGTTAGAGGGGATATTGAATGCTCAGGGAGGTAAAGGATGGCAAGGATTTTAGAAAAAAAATTATAAATGACCCCAGAGAGAAAGCAAAAGCCAGAAGTGTTTAAACATTATCTGGCAATAAAAGTTAGGGATGAACTTGTGAGTCACTGGATCACACCAGATTTCCCCCTTGCCAATTTCCCTTCTGCCCTTTCCTCACGACAGGAAACAAGATTTTTTAACCTGAGCCAGAAAGCAAGTGATAGCTGATGATTGCTGATGCAGATCACAAATGAAACAATAAAGTGTTGTGGAAGAAGCTGTTCTTGGGACAGAATACTTCCAATGACGCCTGTTGAAAGTGTCTTACTTTTTGAGGGGGGAGGGGAATGTTTTGTTGCTATTATTTGTTTGTATTAAATAGATTTACTGAAGTATAACTAATATTCAATATACTCCACATATTTAATGCATACAATTTGATGAGTCTGGACATCATTCATGTTCTTAAAACTTTCCAGTGGCTTCTGATTGCAATCGTAATGAAATCCAAGGCAACACTTACTGGTTTCCCTTAAATGTACTTTGCTCATTCTCACCAGCTGCTTCCCCACAGGAAATGCTCTTCTATATCATGTTTATAAATGTATCTTTCTTCTCTTTCAGAGCTCAGACTAAACACCATCTCTTTATAAATGCCTTCTATGGCCACCCAATAAAGAGTAGCCACTCAGACACTCTTATGTTCAAAGAATTTGCTGAGTCAGTATTATTTATTGATGACCACCTCTTTTCTTCTGTTTACAAAGCGCTGTTCTCCCTTCTACAGCGGTTTATTGTCTAAGGACTCGTAGCCCTTCACCCTGAAATGTGAGCATGCATCAGTTTCTTCTGGGATGTATTTCTGATTTGGGGTTATTTTCCAGTCACCAAAATGCAATTAACTTTGATGATGACAGAAATGCTTTAATTCCTATTAATTTTATTTGCCCCACAAATGCTTGTTGACCTGTGTACAAAGCACAGCACTAGGTTCTCTAGAGGGTGTTGGGAAAAAAAAAATTACCTTGTTCTTTCCTCCACTGAGGGCTTACCATCTATCAGCCATGGTTTCTAGGACCCTTGGGTACTGAATTAACTGTAAAACGCTTGCTCTTATTAGTATTATATCCTAGCAGAGGAAAATAGGTCATAATTAAATAAATAAGAAAGAATGAAAGGCAAGTGTGATAGTGACTTCAACAAAACCTAATATTCTGTTAATAGAAGTTTGAAAAAAATGAATACAAATAAAAAGCAGGAATTCCAATGACCAACATCTCTTGTAGTGCCTGTCTCTACAGATGTATTGCCTAAACATTCAGCTATAGAATTTCCCTCCTTTGGTTTTCTTCAGATTTACCCTGGGATATTTTAAGTGATACAGATGCCTTTTAGTAGGATGGCTTCTACTAATGGAGTTCTCAAAAGTGAACATCACTAACATAAATAAATTCCGTGTCTACGTTTATAACATATCTCACAGTATTTCCATAGATATTGATAATGTTCCTTCCAAACGTTCATTTTCTTTAATGTTTTAATAAACCATTCCAGCTTATAAACTTTTGCCACAAGTTTTCCTTTCACTTTGTGCATAGATGGAATACAGTAACAGCAACAACTGAAATGAATTTTCAGCTTGGAAAGAATGTGCAGAGTGATCTCTCGACCTCATTCAAGTTCAGGAAAAATTCAGTTCAGGTTACCTTTCATCATCTTTGCTGTTTATTCTATAAATTCCATCATCAAGAGTAGCCTAGGGCAGACTTAGCCACGTTGACACAGCAGAACTCAATTTTTTAAGGGAATAGGAAAAGAAAACTTTAACGTGTTAAAACAATTTCTGATTATTAGGTGAATATTTTTAGTTCTGAAAAGAAAAGCATCTAATACAAGCTTTATTTACAGAAATTTTAGGGGCTTTTTTTAAAGTTGCATGAACAAAATATGATATTTCCTGTAATTATGTATTTTTAAACTCTATACCAGGAGCTTATAATCCTGAAGGGAGGAGGAATTTTATAGTTAATCTGCCAGAAGCCAAACCATCAACCTTGGTGTGCATGCATCTGCCCTCTTGAGCGCTTCAAGGTAATCACTTACTGCATATCAGAATTGAGAAAAATAAATCACCTAATTAGAGTCCTATTTTAAGTATTACTGTATTTATTTAAGTACCAATGAGCTAGGCATCATCCGACCTGTCCAAAGACCCTTTTTGTCTGTAATTACACGTGCCTTCAGTCACATCTACAACAAATGACCCCACCCTAGGGTTTTCCTACTGGGAGATCCTATCAAGGTCACATCCTTCTGTAAGTGAATTTGTGAAAATAGACCCAATTGATATTTTTCATGTAGTTATAAATGGGTTTGTTAGCACCTCATAAACACATCTTACTCAATATTAATGACATTCCTTTTTATAGGCTTTTCTCCCAGTCTGTTTCTCATAAAGAAGATACAATAAGACTTAGCTGCTGAAGAAACATTCTTTGCATTGCACTGATACTTTCTTCTTAATCAATTATAAGGAGATCTCCAAGCCATAATAAGGAATCAGAAAAAGAGTATAGCATTTATAGGCTAGAGAGGATAGACAATGTTGTCATACTACCGATTTTGTGAACTTGGGCAAAATAATTAACTGCCACAATGTCCATATCTGGAAAACGAAGCTAATGCAAAATAAAAACTCCTACATAATAAGCTTGCTATGAAGATTAAATAAGAAAATATTTGCAACATGCTTGCAATGATGCCTGGTATGTAGTCAGTGCTTAATGAAAATTAGCCAATATCATAACTGTGTTAGAAGAAGTGTATCAACAACAGTGTTGGAGTTGGTAGGAAAGGGAAGGAAGAGTTATTTGGAGTCAAAGATGGGTTTTTTTCATTGTTGTTTTTATTTTTAGCTGTATATTAACAGTTGTAAAATTATGATTGGAATTCCTGTTAGAAAAGTAACACCCAATGGCAAAACTAAAGCTTTCAAGTTCGAACCCCGCATTTTGCATTGAAACAATTATTTTTTTTTTTTTTTTTTTTTTTTTTTTTTTTTTTTTTTTGAGACGGAGTCTTGCTCTGTCGCCCAGGCTGGAGTGCAGTGGTGGGATCTCGGCTCACTGCAAGCTCCGCCTCCCGGGTTCACGCCATTCTCCTGCCTCAGCCTCCCAAGTAGCTGGGACTACAGGCGCCCGCCACTACGCCCGGCTAATTTTTTGTATTTTTAGTAGAGACGGGGTTTCACCGTTTTAGCCGGGATGGTCTCGATCTCATGACCTCGTGATCCGCCCGCCTCGGCCTCCCAAAGTGCTGGGATTACAGGCGTGAGCCACCGCGCCCGGCTGAAACAATTATTTTATAATATGGTTTATGCTAACTCAAGGGCTCTTAGGAATACAACTACCAGTTTATAGTTTAGTATTAAATACACAGTCTTACATCCAAGGAGCAGATTTTTAAAATTGAGACCAATAAAAGAGAATATTGAGATTGACAAAAGGTTTCAAAGGAAAACATTTTGTATTAGATGGAAACCTCAAAGCAGTGAATTTCCTCCACCAATGCTTTCAACACTCTTGAAAATTTCCCCCACAAAAGAATTGGTCCAAATGGTGTGTGTAGCACATGGACCAACAGACTAATTCTCAAAGTTTAAAAAACACAATATTGCCAGTCTAGTTAGAATTCCTCTCATCAGGAAGGCAAATAGGAGCAGTGCAAAGGCAAATACTGTGAACAAACCCAGCTGTAAATGTATTACAATCCGCTTCATAATAACACTCTACTACATAAATAATGATATCATGGCAAAAGTCACATGTTCAATCCTGCTACAGACACATCTTGTTTTATTGGCTTCACATTATTTATTTCACAGATATTGTGTTTTTTACAAATTGAAGGATTGTGACAATTCAATCAGCGCTATTTTTACAACAGCCTGTGCTCACTTCATGTCTCCGTCACATTTTGGTAATTCAAGCTGTTTCATTCTTACTGTATCTTTTATGGTAATATATAACCAGTGATCTTTGATGTTACTATTATCATTGTTTTAAGGCACCACAAACCACTCCCATATAAGATGGCAAATTTAATCAGTAAACATTGTGTGTGTTCTGTTCGACTGCTCCATCAACCATTCCCCTATCTCACTCTCTCTATTCCCTGAGACACAATATTGAAATTAGGCCAATTAGTAACCCTAAAATGGCTTCTAATTGTTCAAGTAAAAGGAAGAGTCACACATCTTTTGCTTTCAATCAAGAGCTAAAAATTATTAAGCTTAGTGAATAAGGCACGTGGAAAGATGAGATAGACCCCAAGCTAGGCTTCTTACATCAAACAGATAACCAAGTTGTGAATGCAAGTAAAAAGTACTTGAAGGAAATTAAAAGTGCTAGCCCAGGGATCACACAAATGATAAGAGAGCAAAATAGCTTTATTGATGACATGGAGAAAATCTGAGAGGTCTGGATAGAAGATCAAACCAGCCACAACATTCCCTTAAGCCAAAGCCTAATCCAGAGCAAGGCCCTAACTCTCTTCAATTTTATGAAGGCTGAGAGAGGTGAGGAAGCCTCAGAAGAAAAGGTGGAAGCTAGCAAAGGTTAGTTCATGAGATTTAAGGAAAGAGGCCATCTATATAGCCTAAAAGTGCAAAGTGAAGCAAGAAGTGCTGATGTAGAAGCTGCAAGCTATCCAGAAGATCTAAGATAACCGATAAAGGTAGCTACACTAAGCAACATATTTGCAGTGTAGCAGTAACAGCCTTATATCAGAAAAGGATACCATCTAGCACTTTCATAGCTAGAGAGAAGTCTAGGCCTGGCTTCAAAACTACAAAGGAGAGGCAGACTTTCTCTTTAGCAGCTAATCCAGCTGGTGACTTTAAGTTGAAGCCAATGCCTATTTACCATGTCAAAATCCTAGGACCCTTATTAATTATGTAAATTTACTCTGTGTATACTTTATAAAGGGAACAACAAAACCTGGATGACATCATGTGTGTTTACAGTATGGTTTATTGAATGTTTTAAGCCTACTGTTGAGACCGGCTGCTCAGAAAAATAGATTTCTTTCAAAATAGTACTGCTCATTGACAATGCCCTTGATAAACCAAACCTCTGATGGAGATGTGCAAAAAGAATGTTGTTTTCATGACTGCTAATGTTACGGGATCTTTGGAGTGTCAATTTTCTGGCTGGAAACTTCTGTGGCCAGTGGTGCCTTTGCCCAAGTTCGTGTCCTGCATCCAGAAAGAATGAGGTATGCAGACAAATGGAGGGTGAACAAGACGAAGAGGAGCTTTATTGAGTGTTAGAGCAGCTCAGAGGAGACCCACAGCAGGTAGCTGTACTCTGTAGGCAGTTCCTCCTGTCAAATGTTCAACTCTCAGCAGAGAGGAGGCCCTGGAGAGGGTAGCTGCTCTCTGCTACTGGTCGTCCCAGTATCTTCTGCTCTCAGCAGAGAGTAGGTCCTAGAGAGGGCTGCTTCTCTCTGCAGCTGTAGTCCTGACATCTCTTCAGGTCTCTGAGTCTCTCAGAAGAGAGGGTAGCTCCTCTCTGCAGCTGGTCATCCCACAGTCTGTCTGTCCTCTGCTCTGGCTGAGCCCCAGGCTTATTATGGACCTCACAGGGGAGGAAGTGCATGCCAATCAGTCCCTGGGCAGCCATAGGCAGGCCTGGAAGAGGAACCACATGTCCCCACTTAGGTCCTCAGGACTGGCAGCTCAGCCCCCAGCCTTTAGGCCCTACTTGGACTGAAGGTGGGTCCTTACCCGGGACCCGCCCCCTTCTGTTCAGGAATCTGCCTCTCAGTATCATTCATGGCCCACTGGCTCTGCCCCAACTTTGCTGGTGATCAGAGTGGGTGCCAACAGCAGGGAGAGGCCTGGCAGCAGAAGCAGGCACTTCCAAGCCTCTGAGGGTAGGGGGACCTTCCCAGGCCCCCAAGAGTACAGGGATGCCTGTCTACAGCCATGGTTTGGGCAGCTCCTGCTGCTGCACCTGGGCGGGCAGGGCTCTTGCCTGTTCCTGGCTCCCCAAGATCACAGGGAGGCTCGGATCTACAGCTGTGGTTTGAGTAGCTGCAGCTCTGCCCACAAGCACAGCAGTGCCCTGGTTTCAGTGGCGGCTTGGGCAGCTGCAGTTGCACCCATTTGTCCCCAGCCCCTACTGGCTCCATGGAGCATGGCATTGGGCTATGCCCATCACAGCCTGGAATGGGGGCTTCAAGTCCTTGCTGGGCCTGGGCTAGCATCTGGGGCAGGGACGATGTTGCTGTGAGCTCCTCCTGTGGCGCTGGCACCCAGGGGCGGCCTGAGCTCCTTCTTGCCTGGTGCACAACCAGCCCCTTAGGGCAGTGGGCTACA
This sequence comes from Homo sapiens, assembly GCF_000001405.40. NCBI lineage: Eukaryota > Metazoa > Chordata > Mammalia > Primates > Hominidae > Homo > Homo sapiens. The sequence continues at coordinate 106,609,951 of NC_000004.12, read as the reverse complement.
GGGGGTGGGGGTGCTGTCTGCCTCCTCGTTGTGCACCCTGAAGTGGCCAACATGATAACAGCAGCTGCACCAGATGGCCCATGGCTGCCATCACGAACACAACATCCACTCTTCAGCTCACGAGTCAAGGGGTAATTTTGACTTTCAAGTCTTATTATTAAAAATTTTTTAAGGCAATAGCTGTCATAGAGAGTGATTCTTCTGATGGGTCTGGGCAAAATAAATTGAAAACCTTATGGAAAGGATTTATAATTCTAGATGCCATTAAGAACATTTGTAATTTATGGGAGGAGGTCAAAATATCAATATTTGCAAAAAATTGATTTCAACTTTCATGGAGATCTTGACGGGTTCATGACTTCAATAGAGGAAGTAAATACAGATGTGGTGGAAATTGCAAGTGAACTAGAACTAGAAGTAGAACCTGAAAATGGGGCTGAATTGCTGCAGTTTCATGATAAAACTTTGAATGAGTGAGGAGTAGTTTCTCATGAATGCTCAAAGAATGTGGCTTCCTGAGATGAAATCTACTCCTGCTGAAGATGCTGTGAACATTGTTGAAATGACAACAAAATGGTCAGAATGCTACATAAAATTAGTTGATAAGGCAACAGCAGGATTTGAGAGGACTGACTCCAATTTTGAAGAAGTTCTACTGTGGATCAAATGCTATTAAATATCATCACATGCTATAGGAAATCTTTCATGGAAGAGTCAATTGATACAGCAAACTTTATTTTCTTATTCTTAGAAATTGACACAGGCACCCCAAACTTCAACAACCACCACTCTAATCAGCCAGGAGCCATCAATATTGACACAAGGTCCTCTACCAGGTATATTTAGTTAAATTATAGGACACTTAGTATGTGTCCACTTGAGAATTGCTTGGTTGGTGTGAGACAAATAAACAAACAAAAACAACAACAAAAAGTACCCCACACATCTGGTGTCAGAAATGTTGAGTTACTGTGTAAGAGTAAAAAAAAAACACTTTGGGATTTTTTTCCTAGCACTATAAATAGCACTTATCACTGTATGAAAATGTTTATTTATTCATATATATTCTTACTTAATTTCTACCACCCCAACTCATTGGGCACTGGTACCATATTTGTTTGGTTTACCTCCACGCATCAAGTGTTAATATATAGTACAGTGCCTAGCACACAGCAAACCCTGAACCCGTTTCCATAGAGCAAATGAATAAGGATAAAAGCGCTGCAAGAGACACATCTAAACAAATTTGCCAATATCAAAAATTTTACAGACATCATATCTTATTTTGGACAAAGAGAATACAGCATAAACTCATTAAGTATAAAAGAAAACAACTCACTCGGACACTTAAATACAGTTGAGTTAATTTCATTCCTCTTATTTTGTAGTCCACTAATTTTTTACATTCTTACTCATTTCTTTTACCTTCTTTTGTCAATGCAGATTCAATAAATAACAACTGACATGTAGTGCTTCATGCAATAGTTTTTGTGTAACTTATTATTAAATGACTTCCAAAAAAGTCATTTAAGTCATTTAAGTTGGGGAGAGTATCTAAACTCCTAATGAAAAGGTAAATTTTAGCCTTGCTCTTTCCTGTCCAGATAATGAAGAAGTTCTCCAGCAAATCAAGGTGCAGAGTTGAAATATTTGCTGCAACAAGCCAAATCTCTTTCATCAGAGTAAACTAGGACTTCACTTGAATCCACACTTCAAGTTAGAATAAATGTTTTTGCCTTTTTAGTTTCTAGCACTATAAAAGGGTTCATGAACTTCAGTAAAATAATTCCAGCTGCTGGTACCCAATTACTAAAATTGAACAAAAAAATATAATTTGTGCAGAAACAAAACGGGCATATAACCACCCACCCCTAAATCCAAAAAGCATGCCAAAACAATTTCTCAGTGGTTCACAAAACATTACCAAAAGGCCTTGCTTGCACTCAGTGATCATAAAGCCATAGGGATAAGATAGTCCTTAGGTGCGTTATGAAGACTAATGTTCTAGTACTGTTTGAATTCGAGTTGCAAGAAATCATCTTAAGCTCAATGAATTACTCCCTGAAAAACATCTTCCAGGCCATTCACCAATATATTTTGTGAAAATTTTGCAATTGCTGAGTAAAACATGAGCAGTTAGAGCAGGTTGGATTTTTTCCAAAAATTGTATGTTCCTGTGGATAAAGGTCCCTGAGGACATTTTTGATAGTGATCTTACAATGCAGTACTGCTTCAGAGTTGGGGAAATTGATGTTTGGTGAATTGGTGCTTTTGCTATTTTTTCCTAATTCAATTTCCTCCAATACTCTAGGGAAATCAGAGAATCTAGTATGTTATTTCCTTCATAGGTCAATATTTTTTTTGACATGTTAGTTGAGTAATGACATCTCGTTTCTTTTGACCAATTTATTATACCAAGAAAGATTTTCTGCAACATAAATAAAACTCGAAGTAGAATTTATTTTAAAAATAAAATCATACAGTTACTGACAGTATCAAGAGCTATGACTGATATTTAAGGAGATACTTCAGGCTCATAGGTCAATGAGAATCTATTCTCCTGTTTAATTGCCTTCATACCATTTTTTATTCTTTGAAATGACCTTGTTTAGTTCCTTCTCTGTTGTATCTCTTCCTCTCCCTCTCTCCCAGGACAGCTGTATCCTGTACATGGTTGCAGTTTTCAGTCAATATTTCTTGAATTAATGAACAAACAGCCACTGATTAACAGCATGAAGAGAATATTGTGACAAATTATTTCATACAATAAAGCTATAGTAAGTTAAATAAAATAGAGTGCCCCAAAAAAGATACATCCAAGTCCTAATCTCTAATAGCCATGACTGTTGCCTTATTTGGAAATAAGTCTCGCAAATATAATTACATTAGAGATCTCAAGACGAAATCATTCTGGGTTTAGAAAGGGCCCTACATCCAATGACTGGTATTCTTATAAGTAAAGAACAGAGAGTTTTGAGACACAGAGTCATATGGGAGAAGGCCATATGAAAATGAGGGTAGAGATTGAAGTGATGCATCTAATTTGTGACCCAAACCTCAAAGACACACAATTTATCCATGTAACAAACTTGCAGATGTGCCCCTGAACCTAAAATAAAAGTTAAATTTTTTTAAAAAGTGATAATAAAAGGAGAGATGATAGGCAGTGGGCATAATATTGTGATGTAGACAGATCTATCCTAAGTCTTCATCCAAAAGACTGCTCTGTCTTTTCAGAGGAAGAGTAAGCAGATTGCTCCCATTGTTCAGATTTCCCAAAACTGCAATAAATTCTTTGTACCCTTAAAAAAATGATTCCTCCCTCGTCTCTACTAAAAATACAAAAAATTAGCCGGGCGTGGTGGTGGGCGCCTGTGGTCCCAGCTACTCGGGAGGCTGAGGCAGGAGAATGGCGTGAACCCAGGAGGCGGAGCTTGCAGTGAGCCGAGATCGCGCCACTGCACTCCAGCCTGGGTGACAGAGCGAGACTCCATCTCAAAACAAAACAAAACAAAACAGATTCCTCGTAGTCACTAGAAGCTAGGAGAGGGGCATAGAATGGATACTCTCTGAGAGCCTTCAGAAAGAACTTTGGGCTGGGCGTGGTGGCTCACGCCTGTAATCCCAGCACTTTGGGAGGCCAAGGCAGGCAGATGACGAGGTCAAGAGATAGAGACCATCCTGGCCAACGTGGTGAAATCCCGTCTCTACTAAATATGCAAAAATTAGCTAGGCATGGTGGTACACACCTGTAGTTCCAGCTACTCGGGAGGCTGAGGCAGGAGAATCGCTTGAACCCGGAGGCGGAAGTTGCAGTGAGCCAAGATCGCGCCACTGCACTCCAGCCTGGCGACAGAGCGAGACTCCATTTCAAAAGAAAAAAACGAAAAAAAGAACTAACTTTGCCAAGAACTTGATTTTGGAATTCTGACTTCCACAACTGGGTAAGAATAAATTTCCGTTTTAAGCAACCCAATTTGTGGTAACTTGTTGCATCGACCCTAGGAAACTAATATGGGAGCAAACAATTAAAATCATCTTTATTTAAATTTTCTTTCTCATTATGGCAGAAATGGAAAGAAAGACAAGATCTTAAGTGAACATTCATCAGTCTGTGATGGAAAGAGATGACATCTAAAATATTTCACTAGTAACATTTGCTAGTAACAGTAATGAAAAATCATGACAATGGAAGTACCAGTTTGGTTAGATAATGGGTCAGTGAGGCAGTGTGAGCTAGTGATGCCAGACATCTGCATTCAAATCCTAGGTCTACCGCTTTCTAGCTGTGTAACCTCAGACAAGTTATTAATGTTTGACCTCTTGAACTCTCTGAAAAATAAGGATAATAATAATTTCTACCTCCTAAGGTTGTTGGGGGGATTCATGCAAGTAAAATATCTAAGTAGTGCCTGAAACAAGGTGCTGAGGAAGTGTTAAAGATTATTCATAGACTTCTTAATAACTTAAGAGAACACAAGTTATACAAATAGAGCATAGGATTAATATTGGTTGAAGATGGCATGAAGGGTACACGAAGAAATATGTTCCTGATTTTTAAAGCTTTTCAGAGGTTTAAAAACTTTTATGATTTAGGATCTCTTTCTCCTTTTTTCTCTCATTCTCTCTCTAGTACTTCTTTCTGTCTGAAAAGGAGTGTTTCTTCTACTGATTTCATTCAAATCTCTCCTTCTGTACCCTAATGCTCTTGGGAAAAGGAAGGAATGAGAGCAAGAAAAGTGTAGAAATCTGTCCCCATCTCTCTTCCATGCTAATGGAAGATATTAGAGGCATTCAATTTTGAGATTGAAGTCCCATTCAAAACCATCTAGTTCAATTCCCTTCTTTACAAATTTTCAGAAAATTTATGAACCTCATCCAAGGTTACTAGGTTGTATAGGACAAAGAACTTGGGCATCTTATTCACTGCTATTTACTTATATGCTAGCATAGGTCTGGCATGGAACTGAAAAACAGATGAATGATTGACAAGCAGTTGATGGCATTGACTGTAGTGGTGGCCCATCTGGAGCAGCCATTGCCATCACACCAGCTGCAGTAGGGGAGGTACAGCCAGGGCTGTACTTCCCATGGAGCCGGCGAGAGCCAGGAGCAGGCAGAAGCCCTGCCACCTTCCAAGTTGGAGAGGAGGGAACTCCACCCTCCCAAGCAAAGCTGCAGCCACCTGGCTGCAACTGTGGACCTGGGCATCTCTGCACTCTTGAGGACCTAGGAAGTCCCCCTTCCCCTGCAGGCTCAGAAGGGCCTGCTCCCACTACCTGGCCTCTCCCCACTCATGGAACCCACTCCAGTTTTGGAGGAAAGTTATGGCTGAGCCCAGGCACTGTCACAACCCAGCCTGTGTGTGTGCACTTGGGGAAGCACTGACATGCCAGCCCCCTGCCACCTCGGCCCCCTCTGGACTTTGGGTGCCAGCAAGCATGGGAGGGTGGCTGAAAGAGAGCTAAGGGTGACTCGTTGCAGGCCTGCAGGCATCTCTTGGCACAAACAACCTGGGTGCCATGGGCACTGTAGATGGGAGGTTAATGGTGGCAGGATGCAGACAGGCTCCTGGATGGTCAGGGGTGGGTCCCCAGTGAAGCACCACCTTCAAAAGCCAGGGATGGCCTGAAGCCTGGGGACTGGGCTGTTAGTTCCACAGACCAGAGTGAGAACTTATGGTGCTTTATCGGAGCCCACCCACAGCCACCCATGGACCAATCCGCATGTACTTCCCCGACTCTGAAGCCCATAAGAAACCCTGACTCAGCCAGACCTGAGAAAATAACCAGATGCCCTGTCTGCAGAGAGGAGCTACCCACTGTGGGTCTCCTCTCTGCTGAGAGCTAAACGGCGGGAGGACTTCCTGCCTGCGGAGAGGAGCGACCCACTGCGGGTCTCCTTTGAGTTGTTCCATTGCTCAACGTAGCCCATCTTCTCCTTGCTCAACCCTCTATTTGTCCACGTACCTCATTCTTCCTGGACATAGGACAAGAACTCGGGACCAGCTGAATTGTGGGGCTGAAAGAGCCATAACACCAACAGGGCTGAAACACACTCCTTGCTCACTTCATTGCAGGCAACAAGAAGGAAAGAAGAGAGAAGGAAAGAAGAATTGTGGCCCTTTGGGTTGGCCAGACCTAGGAGCTCCCTGAGCCAGGCTGTGACAGCCTCTATGGGGCTCTGCAGTTCCTGGTGCCTCTAAGCTTCTGGGTGCCACCATGTTCCCCAGTGCCAGGCGTGGAAGCTGCTTGAAGTACACCTGGTCCAGCCACCTGGTCCAGCCACAGTATCGCAGGGAGCCAGCACTCACGCTGGCACCTGGAGCTGCCCACCCTGCTGCAGCCAGCATGCCTGGCTATGTGCAGTGTCCAAACCCATTGCTCACTCCCTCACACACCCCTTGTCACTCTGCACCTGGCTTACCCTTGGCAGGCATGAGAACTTGGCTGGTAGCATGAGCTGAGAGCAGACTGAGTGGGCAGAATGAGCCCAGTGGGTCCAAGGAAAATAGGCAAAGGCGCCACTGGCCATAGAGGTTTCTGGCTGGAAAAGTGACACCCCAAGAATCCTGTGACAGCATCATCCTGGTATTGTATTAGTTCCATACCTCATTATGTATGACCATATAGTAAAAAACAAATATATTGAATTATGTCCACATGAAGCTAAAGTATGTAATTTTGATTATTTTGGGCTGGAAAGATGATCCTTGATTTTGCTGAAAATTAGTATCATCTCATTGGAATCTATGCAAATAGTAAAGATGATTTTATAAGCCTAGAGCCACTTAGAGTAAAAAAGGTTTTATAATGTATATATTTTATCTTTTTCTTGCTCTGTAAGATTTCTCTTAAGGAGGTTTTTAGTGGAGTATCAGCTGTTCCTAGAAATGCCAGATCCCCTTTTTATTCCATCTGCAGGACACATGTAGCCATCTCTTCTTTCTTTCAGAGGGAATCAGTCTGTGTCCACATCCCAGAAAGTAAATTTGGGAGGTTGGAGGGAGTGGGAGGTGGTAGGAAAGTCAGCCAAAATGAGCAATTTCAACTTATTTGATTTTCTTTTTTTTTTTTTTTTCTGTATAAGTGCAGTGGCCAAGACCCAAACAGGCCTGACTCTTCCGCCAGCATGCAGTTTTTCCATCACTCCTCTCTAGCTAGAACATTGACCCAACAGTATCACTCACAGAGTTTTTACCATCAGGCGTTTAACATCCCTTGGAATTCTGATTCTGGGCCTTCCTAAATAATATTAAGGAAAATAAGTAAACTTTACCATATTTTAAAATGTACAGTTCTGCTCTTTGCCACTTTTTCTGACATTTGTCTCACTTTAGAATTACTTTAGACACATCATCATTTTATAATAGTATTCTATAAATGGAGTTCTTTTGCCCAAGGATTCAAGTTGGGTAGATAGGAACAAGATTAGGTATCTATGTAAAAAATGATTTTTACTTAAAATATATGAAAACCAAAAAAAAAAACTCTTAAGGTTTTATTTTTAATTTACTGCAAAGAGGAAAATATGACTCAATTTGAATCAATGAGAGTTCTGAATCCAGATATAGAAATATCAGAAGGCCACTGAGAGAAGAGTCATGAAGAAGCCTTAAGGTACCACAGTAAATGACTTGTGGAATTAAGACTACTTTCATTGTATCAAAAGCCACTTCATGACCCACAGTATTCCCTCACACTGAAATAAAAGAAATTTATTTTGTTAAAATTCTGCCTTTATTCTATAATCTGAGACTTTTTCTTGAGGTGGGGGAGTAGGGTCTTGCTCTGTCACCCAGACTGGAATGCAGTGGTGTGATTGCAGCTCACTGCACCCTTGATGTCTGAGACTCAAGTGATCCTTCCACCCCAGCTCGTGAGTAGCTGGGACTGCAGGTGCATGACACCACACCCAGCTAATTTATTATTAGTAATAGTAGTAGTAGTATTTACTTTTTGAAGAGACCAAGTCTCCCTATGTTGCCCAGGTTGGTCTTGAACTCCTGGGCTCAAGCAATCCTCCTGCCTTAGCCTCCCAAAGTGCTGGGATTACAGGCATGAGCCACTTCGCCTGGCCCTAATCTAACACATTTTATGGGTTTTCTGTTTGTTTTCTGGAGGGGTTTTAATTTAGTGGGGAAAGATACTTGGCTTCCAAATAGTGAGCAGGTCACAACCTTAGACATGTTTCCTAAAGAAGACTTTTACAAGTTTAAGCTTCTTTAGAACTTTGACATCATCAGTCAGCTATGAGGCTTATCACAAAACCAGGAATTCTTATTGCCCCATTATTTCTCCCCCATCCATCTCTTAGGCTTAGTTTTTCCTTCTTTTATGAGTAGAACTTTATAATCAGTAGAATGTGTACTTTTAAAACTTTTTCTTTAGTGACAGGCTTCATGTTGTCATTAACATTCTCCTACTCAGTTCTCCTTTAATCCAAGGGTGAGTATTTGTGAGCTACTGATTAGAACAGGTGTTCATTTTGTGGCCACTGGACAGAGTTTCCTCTTGAAAGTTCATTTATATCTTGATCTCTTTACTACTACCTAAAGAAGAAACTAACAGAGAACAAATGGTCTTTTTAAAACAAAGAATAAACTCTATGCCTATAAAGAATAACATTTAAGTTTGTGCTTCTCTGCTCAAAGAACTGGTTTGAGGCATTTTACATTGCAGGTTAATTTCATAATACACCTCTACTTCATACAACAGTGCAACCATAATATTAAATCTTACTATTGAAAATTATGAGCTTTGAAAGTGCTATGATTCTAATTTCCCAAACTGTTTCTTCAATTCAGGCTGACTTTAATAGAACACTTAAGTTGGTTATTATGGAACCAACTTAAGTATTCTATTAAGTGTTCTATTAAGTTGGAGACCAACTTAAGCATTCTATTATGGAAAAAAATGTATATAATACTAAATACTTTAATTAAAGTCCATTTAAAAGATTAATAATATTTCAAAATGTCTTCTGAATAGAAGTAACACATGAGTAAGTCACTTAATTTATCAGACTCTCAGTTCTCTTATCTGTAAAATGAAGTGCTCCGAGTAGCTTATCTTTAAAGTCCCTTCCAACTTTAAAAGTCTATTTGATCAGAATGTTTCTTCCCTAGGATTCCTGGTTCTAGAAAAGCATTCCAGCACAGGAGTTATCTGCTAAAATCCTAAACTAGATTTTTTTAAGTTCCAACCCCAGTAACCATCCCGTATTATCTAAGTCAGAATACATTCTTGGGCATATTTGCGATGTCAAGCCAACCTGAAATACAAGCCTCTGACTGTCAGCAAGGTAAGCATTCTGCATATACTTCCACTTGCCTTGCTTAACAGAGGCTTCCAAACTCCAAGAAAACACCACCACCAATCTGGAATTAGAAGGAGGAAAGATATATAAAAGTCCTCAAGAATAGAAAATACTTCAAAACCAGACCAACTATGGGCCAAAACATGTACTATTACAGAAAATAAATCACAGAATGCAAAAGAAAAAAACTACCACATAAGTAATTTGCTTCCAAAAATTTTACCTATGAAATTAAATTAATTTGATCAATATTTTAGAGGTAGAAGAAAAAATCCTCCTCTGAAGTGAAAACAACTTTTTTCCTTACCTCCAAAATTAAAATGGTAACAAAATGAAACTACATGAATGGAACACTTTGCCTGTATATCTGTACCTTTTAAAAAAATAATAATAATTTTTATTGCCAGTGACAAGAGAAACCTTAAAAGCATTCCTACTGGTTAACGAAGACAATTTGAAGAACTCTCCCTTTGGATCACAGTATTTTTTAAGATATTCACTGTTTCCTTGTCTTTGCTGTATGTTTTCCAGCAATATACTTAGCATGTCACCTTTATGTGGCTGCAGTTTCCCCAACCATTTTCATAGCTCATAAAATGGTTAGGAAATGTTTACAAAAAATGCCCAAAGAAACTGAGCCACAAATAACATGAGCTTCATGGATCTCAATGGTCCAGCTTTAATTTAGTTTACAAGGAAGGAATTTTTTTCATTGTAAATACACTGGTAACATCTGTATTTTAGGTTCTCTTGGAAAGATAAATAAGAAGCAGTTCCACCCAATGTGTATTATTTGGCTGTCACTCTGAAATATGTGATGCTCTAATTATTCTTCTCATGAAATCATACACATAAAAGAATTCTCTCTCTTTCTGCAACATCACCCTCCTTTTGTTGGTCACTTTCAGTTATCTGACCATGGTGGAAAGACATTCTGCCAAAACTGCATAATAATATCTGCATACAAAAAATTAGCCGGGCTTGGTGGCAGGTGCCTGTAGTCCCAGCTACTTGGGAGGCTGAGGCAGGAGAATTGCGTGAACCCAGGAGGTGGGGCTTGCAGTGAGCCGAGATCCAGCCTGGGCGACAGAGCGAGACTCCGCCTCAAAAAAAAAAAAAATATTCCATTTGGAATCTATTGCATGAACTGTCAAAATCAAAGTATACTCTTGAATTTGAAGTCCACTACTTACGAGGGATGACCTTTAGCCCTATAATATTTGAATATTTTTTCCGTATAGGCTGCTAGGGGATGCATGGCCAGAAAAGTATCCCAAATAAGATCTCAGTTTATAGTTGTCTGGAGAATCACTGAATGGAACAACAGCATACAGTGTAAGTATCAGATTGCCTTTTCTATTTCATTTTGGTGTTTTACAGAATAAAGGGTGGTACTGGACTATTTGAGTTTAATTGAATGTGCAGTCAATTCTGAAATGCTGGTTTGGAACCCTACACTTGAGTCTTATGCTGAACTTCATGTAGTATAACTGTCAGTAGGGCAGCTTAATAAATACACAACATATTAGGTGTGTGCATGTGTGAGTCCATTATCCAAACTCTGCAGAGGAAGCTAGCTGTCAGACCAACTCTAACAGATGTCTCATCCTTGAATGCCATGCCCTGGAGAAAGGTTCCATAAGGAATTTATTATCTAGACTTCCCTTTTCAATAATTTATTTGATCAACCTATTTTAATGTATATTTTCCCTTAACCATTCTGGGTCAGTAATTTGTGAAGAAAATGAAAAGAAATCTAAAATCAAAAAAGATTCTCATTATGCAGACTAATGCTACAATTTTTGCTTGACAATTCCAAAGTTGTATGTGGGTAACATGTATACTTTCATGAAAACGTATCTGTGACCCTCCTTTTTTATATATCTAACCCAGAGAGAATGATAATGAAGATCATTGTCCCAGTTACTTTCCTGGAAAGATAAAACCTTGTCTACATGTAGGAGGCTTCTTCCTTTTAAACTGATACACTTATAGAACTAAACAATTAGGGGATGGTGAGATATTGGAGCCAAAGGTATATAAGTTCCTACTGCATGCTGTCTATATGAGGTTAATTATAGACTGTGTTGTCTGTGTTCAGTCATGGCTCATTACCACATGTCTTTTGGAATTTGCCATATGGGAAAAAAATTTTCACAATCTCATCAAGCACATGGTGAGTTTCCAGTCTCCTGAGGAAAGGTAAATCTAGTCTGCCCCTCACTCCCAAGTCCTCAAAACCCTCACACTTGTAACACCATAAATTACCTTTAAAAACATGAGAAAAAAAACAGATATTAGGCTAGAGAGATTAGATGTGAGATGTGTAACCAAGGATACCTATCCATAAGGCTTAAAAGAAAAAGGAATAACGCCTCAATCTGTGATATGAAAAACATTATTTGACTTAAAGAATATGTTATTAATTGTCCTAGCACTGAGCTTTATCATAACTTACGTAATAAGAGATTTTGTGTACCTCTTAAGAAATACACAAATACAAATAGACCAAAAGTTGGCAAGCTTTTTCCAGCTCTTTCATTCTGAAATAAAAATGATTTGGAAAAGCACAGTGCAAATCCAACTTCACCGTTTAAGGAGTTTTTCCCATTCTAGACTTGGTTATCACTGCCTAAATCAAGTAAGAGCAAATAAAGCCAACCCCAATCCCAGAAAGACCCATTAGCAGGGGTCCCGCTAAGTTTATTGTCCTGATTGCTTCTTTGGCCTGCAGAATCAGGCACAGCACAACTGACCAGGTGCTGAGATGGGACCTGCTGAGGACGTTCCACTTCTAAAGTCAGAAGGTAATTTTACCAAATAGGAAGAAGCTGACTATTTCTCTTGCATTTCCAGAAAAGAAAAAGGCTCTGGGTTAACCTGTAACGACAGTATTAGCTTTCAAAGCATTCTAAGCCTTCACAAATTGTGCCAATGGGGATGAAGAGAAATATTAGGTACAGGCCAGCTCATGAGGTTCCATGATGCTTTCAGGAAGAAGCAATAAGGCATGGGAACTCTCAAGGAGAAGTTCCCAACCAATCAGAGTAGGTTCTATCTTATTTTTTTTGTATTAAGGAACACCAGCTAACTAATAAGAGCTCAAATGGTTCCTGGAATATTCTTGACTCTTTACTCACTAGAATAACTTCGTGACCCCAAAGACATTTAGAATCATTTTACAGTGACCTTGGCTGACCCAGCTTGCTCACCAAAACCATCTCTATAGGTGCTTTCTTTTTTCTTCCCCTAGAACCAGGTTGATCTTCAATAGGATCAGTCCTTTCATAACAGGAGGGTCACAAGGACAATGAAGAGTGAGAGAGGAATAAAAAGCAGGGACTAAGATCCAGGCTTAGGAAGGACACTGACAAAACACAGACTCTACTATTTTATTTGAGATTCAGGGCCAGGCATCAATTTTACAGGGAAACATACAATAGGCAAGGTAACAAGGTAGACTACAGATAGAAAATCAAAACATAAGCCCATGCAGAAGGCCAATATATAAATGAGAAGGGAGGCTGGAAAGTGGAAACTACATTTCCTCATATATAAAATATGATGCAAAAGGATTCATTTGATTTAAGACCTGTGATTCAAAGTTTTATTCTTGAGGTTTATGATTATTGTTTTTTTTCTTTGATGCTTTCTCTCCTTCAGAAACATCTATCTCTCTGATGTCTGCCCTCCATTTCTATTGATTTTCCATCTCATTATTTTCATCTTCATTCCATAATTCTTTCTTCATTCTATGAGACCTTGATTCCAGATAGTATTATTTCTAATACTGGAAATCCTAGAATTACCCAGCATTATATATTTCACATTTCCATTGCATTATTTTCAGTTACTGGAATAAAGTCAAAAATAATAAGGTGCAACATACAAGGTTTTTTCTTTCATAACACATTGTCATTTTTAGCCTAAAGAAGTATAAAGCAATGTTGATATACAGATGCTAATAAGTTTAATATTTTACCTGATCAACATAATTTCCTATGCCCCTTCTTTGGTTTCTCATACTCCTTGTGTTCCTAGAAGAGCTGTCAGTCATGTGTTCATCACTCCCTTTGTCAAAGGGACACGTGATCAAGTTTGATCCAATCATAATACAACATCTCGCTCACAGTGATAGGGTTATCATAGGCCTAGGACCTAAGGTTGGCCAATTAGAACCCTCTCAGGGATTCTTTAGCTGCTTCTGCTGCAAGACTCTTCCATTTTTATTACAACTTCTAATGATCTAGCACTTTTTTCTAAATAATGAGAGTCTATTCATGTAGAAGAAGCTAACACATGTGTATAAGTGATGAGAAGCAGAACCAAAAGACAGAGACAAAGCTCAAACCATGAAAATATCGTTTGAGCCCAGATTCCAGCCTTGACCTCCCAGTTCCATCAGCCAATAAATATTGGTCTTTACTTAAACTAGTTTTAATTGGGTTCCAATCACTTAGTACTGAAGGAGCCCTGGGATGTATAAATGTCAAACACTATTAACAGGAACACAGCTGAGACTAATAAAAAGCCTCCACAGCTTAATGATAAATGACTAATGTATGCTGCCCACATTTTCCAGGAATTCTTGATGCCTAATGCCAGTAATGTTGTACATGCTCAGTCAGGTTGGTGAACATATCAATTACTGTGGTTTACAGATGAATTTCCAGGTCACTGATTTTTTTTTAATTTTCTGCTGTTTTAAACAGGGTTGTGGATTTTAGATTTAAGATGATGCATATCTTCTTGACTTCAAGAGGCTATACAATATTGGACATGACATGGTTAAATAGTAAAAAACCGTACTGTGCTGAAGTGAGGGGCAAAATTGTGTAGTCACACATAAGAAGTATCTCTATATCTTCTACTCAAATGAGAGAAGCCTCTTTGAGTTCATATTGAATCCTGAAGTTGTTCTCATCTCCAAAAATAAATACAGCAAATTGAAAACACTGCCCTATTTCCCCTGTATTTCCAATTTCAAGTGCATTCATCCACTGAAAAAAAAAAAAAGTCTTTACTGATGGCCTACTATGTACCACAAGGTAATGTACTATATGCTATGGATAGCAATTGAGAGGATAAAGTTCAGGCCTTGGTGATGAAGCCAAGCAACAAACCTATAAACAAATAATTAATTTTGGGTAGTAATAAATGTTCTGAAGAAAAATAAGTCGGGTAAAGATATAGGGAGAAGAAGCCTTCCCTGAGGAGGTAGCATTTTTGAAGGAATCACATGAGGGAGGACAGGAAATGAAAAACTATAAAGTTAAAAAGGAATAATGTCAGCAGATTCAAGGAATACGAAGTCTAGACCAGAAGAAGCAGAGTGAATAGGGCCCTGTAAACCTTGGTAAGAAATCTGGATTTTACTTCATACATTATGTCAAGTGATTGGAGGGTTTGGGTAGAAGAGTAGCATAATTCAAGTTTTCAGTAGGTTACTCTGGGGGTAGGAGAGAGGTAGTACTCATAGAAGCAGGGAATTAATAGATGCCAGTTAAGGAGGTAAGCCAGGTGAAACCACATGCTGGCCAGGTAAGACAAAATGCTGGCTTGGATAAAGATGATAGCAATGGAAGTGATGAGAAGTGGGTTAGGGATAAAATTTCAAGTTAGAGTTGAAAAGACTTTCTACCATATTGGATGGAGGCATAGGAGAAAAACAAGAATCAAGGATAAATCAATTATTTTTTAATCTCAGTAACTGTGTGAATGATGATGGCATTTACTGAGATAGAGAATGTCAAGAAGGAACTTTGTTTCACAATGAAAATTCAGATTGGATTTCTGCCTTCCATGTATGAATGGCACCTGGGGAGGCAGTCAGACCTCAATTTCCTATGCTCAGCATGACCAAGTGGAAGCATAGAAGTTGGTTTGCATTGTCTGAGCAGAGAAGCCTAAGAGAGCCCAGAGTTGCCCATACCCAAATGTGATGTTGGAGCAGTTAAATATTTCCCCCACATTCAAAGACAACAGCACAGAAGATTGAAACTCTCAAGCTTTTATGATGGCAATAAGAGAAAGCACATCAAATGTCTATAGAAAGACAGCTTAAAGCCCCTTCTGAAAAGAAAATATCTCAGCAGAAGCCAGAACAAATGAATGACAATGACTCAGACAAGGCATGCCATCTGCCTCACCCCATTTACTGCCTGATGCCTAGAAATGATGTAAGCCCTAGTTCCACCCTGGAGAAGCTTGATGTGATTCTGCAATAAATTTGATAGGCCCAAGTGAAAAATGATTTTGTCTTGCAGTTGAATAGAGGCTTATTACAATTCAGTTATAGGAAAAATAAAGATAACCACATTTCACCTCTAAGTTTGTAAGCTTGAATTTACATCTTCTACATAGAGTAGAGATTACCCAAGGGCTAATTAACATGGGTTTTGAAGAGCCAGAAACAAGAGGAGGAATTACTAAAGTACGTGAGAGCTAAGCACAGGCATATTTCTTCATTCAATATTTGACCAAGGGTTTCACTAATTTCTTTGGAAATTAAGTCATTATCAATGTCTAGGATAAATGCAATTAATTAATACCAAGAACACATAAAATCGCTGTAGGTAATTTTTAAAATATTAATTCTAAAGTGATCTGTATAACAAACAATATAACCATAAATCCAAAATATATATTTGATTATTTCCATTTAATCCATTTGTTTTATGAGATCACGAATTCTAAAATCCCTTCTGAAATTGTCATGTATGTGTAAGAGGACAGGTGCTTCCCAAGTCACAATGGCTGTCACAATGCTGCTGCACAGAAAGGGTAGCTTAGGTAAATGGTACTACTTACTGAATATTATCTCAGCTAGCCTCACTCTTACCCGTGGTGACATATGGTATCACAGCAAAGATTTCTATGTAAATGTGTGTAATTATAAGCTATATGTCGCACTGTCCTCAAGTAAACCAATGTATCTCAGAGCATTTTCTGTCTGTTCACTTGAGAACCATAAGTTGGTATCTACCTATTCAGTATGAGGAATACTGTCATTTTGGGTATTCAATGCTATAGAAATATTGCTTTGTAGTTTTTTAACTTACAAATATGGTGGAATTAACTTGCATATAGAAATGATCAACATTTTTATTAAGAATTATAAATTTTATGAGTTATTTGAGGAATTGAACTAAAAGCATGGGGTAAAAACATTAGAAAATATGGCTTCTCATTGCTCTTTCTTAATTTTTTTTGTTGTATCAAATGATACAGGGCTTCCTGAGATTGTTTTGTGAGTTTATTATTGTGTTAGTTCATGTTTTGTTAATTCAATTATCGATTTCCATATCATAAAATATAGAATCAAATGTAGATTCTTAAAAAGCAATGTCTCCAAGAGGAAATAAAAATTTTAGGGACAGACAACATTCCAAACTGAAGATGATTTACCATGGAAAATATTTAAGGGAGATATTATTTGGCTGTCTACAGTAATAACACTGACAATCATCTGTGGATAAACCTGAACAATGTCAAATTTTTCAAAGGCCTTCTGTCACCAAGAAAAGTAAAGGTATATTTTCCTTATTTAGGAATATGAGTGCAACTCTAGTGTTCTTGTTCACAGTGCTTTTGTAGTCTAAACAAAATGTTTATTACATTAGACTGTAGTATTGGGCCAATTATCATGAAACCCACAATGAATTAAAATACTTCATTGTTTATCTATTTAATCCATTTTAAATTTGTATTCCTTTAGAACATAAGATTTCAAGTAAAATTTGTACAATGCCCAGATTCAGTTGGGGTGACAATAAATTTCCCAAGAAAATTCTCATTCTCTTAGAAAATAGCTTTTAAAAATCTAGTGCCAACTTTATAATTTGGGGAAGAAATACGACATGGTGACTTAAGTAACTTTGGTGCAGGTTTCATAAGAAAACATTTTAAAAGTCATCCTTATTAATCATAGCAACTATAGCCAATATCTTTTATTTTTGCCTGCCTAGGAACCCTTCTATTTCTGGGTGAAATAGAGGCCTAATTTGCCTTTTGGAAACTATCTTTCTCTCCATTCAAATCGTTTTAATAAAATGGTAAATGATATCCCAACTACCTTTTCCTATTTCTGCCTCAACTGAGACGCAGTTTTTTAAGCTTCAGTTTTCTCATCTATGTGATATCAACCACAGAGTAAATGACGTATTCACATTTTTTTGTATAATATAAAGTATTACAAAATGAGAGGCATTATTATTACAATGTCTATTGACTGGAAAAAAAATGAATATTTATAATGACATAAGAAAATGCTCTTGCAAGTATGACTGTATCACCACATGTAAGAAAAATGAGATGAGCATTTTCTAATATAAAAGTTGTTTGTATTATGTAAGGTGACCAGATACAGAAAATGTGTGTTCCAGATGATCTACAGGTTGGTTTATGTATTTCAACACCTTGCTCAGACAGGTAATAGTCATTGAAACTCAGGAGTATTACTCCGTTCAAATGTATAGGGACGAAATAGCTCAGAATACTGTGGCATTTATGGCAATACTCATAAACGGCCAGGATGAAATCCAAGTTGATTTGGATTATTGTATATGTATCAGTTAGAGTTCTTTGGCTAAGTTAAAAAAAGAAAAGGAATTTATGGGAAGCACTTGAGGTTGTCGATGGAATCTAAGAAAGATTTGAACAAGCAGCTCAAGATTCTGTGGGTTGGCACTTTGGGCTGTCTCACCTGATGGTTCTCATGACTGGCCCCTGCTGAGCTCACCACTGCATTTGTGGACAACTCATAATATGCCTAAAGCTGGCTGTTTTTTCTCGAAAGGGTAGGGTCACTGAGAAACGTGTTGCTCATCATCCTGCAGGCTAATTTAGCTTCTTCTCATGGTGACAGCCAGAGGGTCTTCAAGAGCAGTGAGAGGCAAGCTCCAGTGTGCAAGACTTTTTCAGATCCCCGCCTGTATCAGGTTTGCTCATGTCCAGATGGGGAAAGCAAATCATAAGACCAGTTCAGAGGATGTGAGAGGAACTACCAACAGGAATGTATAAAAGGAAGATGATCATTAGTAGCCAATTTTGGAACCACAACTCATTTATTTGTTGATTGGTCAATCTACTTTCGATACTAGGCCAGGTTAGCTATGTCCTGTGTGGCATATGGTGTAAGCATAATATAATTTCCACTAAACTTGAAAATCAGAAGAGTTAAACCAACTACTTTAAATTATCAATTTAAATTCAAATTAAATTACAAATTAAGAGATAATTATAAGGCTTTCAAAAGTCTCTAAGTTTACTAAGACCATATGATCATATCATTTTTTCCATAAAGTAAAAAAAAATGCTCTATGGTTCATAATATAGACTAGGGCTACTGCCAAATTTAACATTCCATTTATTAATTTATCAAAAATTTCTATTTTCTAGTTAAAAAAAAAACTTCTATAAACCTCATCCTTTTTCTTCTTATCCATCATAAGAACTAGTAATTGGCTTTCTTTTCAGGGCCATTTTTATACACACCCTCCCTCGCCCAAAACCTATGACAGTGTTCTCACTTCAATTTACTTGAGTTATTTTATAGAGATTGAGTAGAGAGTACATATCATGACCCAATGAAGATATTAGGTGGTCATCTAGGTGATTTATAGACAAATGTTTTCTTCCTACATGTGAAGCCTGTCTCAACATGCAAATCAATGAAGACCTCAGCAAAATCATTGATTTAAAACACATCATGAACTTGAAAGATCCTACACAAATCATTAAAACCAAGAGTGTTAAATCCATGACTACTGAGGTTATATACTATCTTATTCCTCATGATAAAGAAAAATAAATATTAGGGTACCTTTAAATACATAGGGGGTATATGTGTGTGTGTGTGTGTGTGTATGCTGGCTCAATTTTTAAGATAGGAAGTTGTATTATATGCCACATAACTTGTTTCTAATAATGCCAATGTTATCCAAAACGCTTCAAAACTTTATATTAGGTTGGTACAAGAGTAATAGCGGTTTTCACCATTAAAAGTAATGGCAAAAAACCGCAATTACTTGTGCACCAACCTAATACTTATAAGGAATTTAATTCTAAAAACTGTTATCAAGAAAATGCTCTGCCAGACTGCGTAAGTGTCTCTTTCATAATTTACAGCACTTACCAGTGGGACGGGCTTATCTCTAACATATGCTTACAAGTGGCATGTCATTCAAGGACCCAAGCTTCTTACAAGTATTTTGATAGTATCCTTTGATATTACCTTTGTAAATGCCTGTTACAACTCTATCTAACATTAACTCCTCAGTTAAAAAATATTTAAGGGCTACTAAACTATTTATTCAACATAGGATGACATTTTTCTCTGCCACATTAATAAAAATTGCATCTCAACCACCAAACAAAAATGAGACAATGGTAGCTAAAGAGCAGCTTTGTTGGCCAGTCGAGGAGTCATAGGGAAGACCCTGGAAAAGCACTTGATCTCAGCTGGTTGTGCCCACCATGGTTAGCATGAGATGCTTCTTCTCTTACACAGAATGAAGATTCAGGAAACTTCTCCACACTGTTGGTAGGGTCAGACAACTTGGAGGTTTGCTGGGAAATAAGAGCTGAGTGCATTGTGCTTTGTTTTCCTGCCACACCATGCAATTGTCTGCTTTCCAACATCCTTCATGTACTGCACTTTTCCCCAGCAAGTTTCTAGCACCCTGCAACAAGCCTCTTGAATTATGGTCACACATCTACACCCCGTTGTTCTATAAAGATAATAAAGAAACACGGTAACGTGCTACATTTGGACAGCCTTCTCAGTGAGGCAAAACAGATGTCAAGAGAGGAAGACTATCAATCTAAAGCTAAAGTGAGAGAAGAAAATTAAAACAAAAACTTCAAAATAAATCATTCACTAGGAAGAAGGTAGATGACAGAGTATGACAAAGTGAGGTGGCAGCTCAAGGTAGGAGACTCAAGACAGGCTCAAGATCCTGTTCAGAACCAGAGTGCATTCAAAGTGTCACAAGTGCCTCATTTTAAACAGAATCAGCTCTAGATGCCAAAAAATTGCAAGAGGCAGAAATTCTTAGGAAACTGATCATTGGTTTCTTTAGAAAGAAATGTCCAAAAGCTATTTATAAATCTATTCTATAATCAGCATAGATGTGTATGCATCAATTACGAGCTCCAGCCTTCCAACATCATCTTTGAACCCTCTAAATATTTGTGCAATTAAATTGTAGTTCTCCCTCTTTCTTCTTTCTTCTGTCTCTCTCTCTCTCTCTCTCTCTCTCTCTCTCTCCTCTCTCTCCTCTCTCTCCTCTCTCTCTCCCCACTCCCCAACCCCACCTCTGGCTTTTGTTCTTTCAATCTATCAATATATAAATGGATAAATAGATGAACAGACAGAAAGAGGATGGGTGATATCTCTCTCGCATTTTGGTTTGGGTTTGGGTTTAGGTTTTAAATCTCCAAGGTTCTTTAAACTACAAGGTTCTGGAAAGCAGGAACCATGTCTGTTCTTCAACATGTACACACAAGTGCTTAGTTCATGTGGTGGTTGCTGAGAAATACTTTTGCACTGTCTGATTAAATGATTCAAGAGTTTAAAAATTCTTTTACAAAACATAATGGAAAATATGCATGTAACAGAATATATACAATGAGAACCAAGTGCTTTTAAATGTTTTCAGAAGAAAGATGCCAAACCCTGCTTGGCAAAGACATGTGCCTTCATTTTATTTCAATGGCACTTCAACAGACACACCAGAGGCCAAAATTTAATATTTTTAAAATATAAAAAATACTCAGAATCAGCAGCTTATTTCTGTTTTTGTAAGTTCTACATTTTGGTACTAGAGGAATTATATTTCTGGGGCAAGACGATCACCCTATTCTTGATGCTGTGGCATATAATTTGAAGATTTCATAGCACTGAATTATAGCAAGCATCTGATTCGGTTAAAGTTTGGAAAGCTCTGGTTAAGAAAAGAATTCATCTGGCCTAAATCAAACTGGGTAAGAGCTTACCAGAGAATAAGATATAGAACAGCTATGTTGGGGTATAGGAAATTGTTCAGTTTTCAAAGGAAGTAAAATTCCAGGAGAAGCAGTAGTTAGTCTAATTTGAGTCTCATTTACAAAGCTTGTCTTTCAAGGTAAAGGACTAGCAAGAAACTAGGTCAAAATACTGTTTCTTTAGTTTCATGTGAGATTGTACCTCAACTCTTACTTGGAGAATTCCTTCTCCTATCTTTCATCAATTCTGCAGCACTGCCATCAATATCACCCTCACTGTGTACCCAAATCAGCAACTCCATAAATTTCAAAATCCCTTGCTCTAGCATTTTACAGTACCTGTACCAAGAAGCTCTGACCATGTTTAAATTTAAGCTTATTCACTTTCTATTGTAAAAAACAATGCATGCAGACACCTGCAAATCATCTGAATATAACAAATGCATTTTAAGGAAAACCTAGAGGATGACCCCTATAATTAAGAATGATTCAATAAAAGAATAAGAAAATACCTCAAGTACATAGGTCAAAGGAACACATTACATTTTCTTGTAATTTTTGATAATATAGTACTTTACTTAGGCAGGCTTGCTTTAGATGACACAATGACTTTCTGGGTACCTGTAGGGAATTTAAGTTTAATCAACTTCACAGAGGCAAAAGGCTATGCATTTCCATACTCAAAATAATGGAAAACAGTTACTCTATCCCAAAGCCTGTTAAGAGGCCAGTAAAATCACTGTATTGTATTAACTTGCACTTCTGGTCCTCTAGATGGTGGTTGTAAAATTGTAAGTGTTTGGATGAACACTTCACAGGATTTGATGATGAGTGCTTTTCACAAAAGAGAATGAGTCACACAGCTTTTACAAGGATATCTGCCTCATAGAGAAAGCCTGAAACACTGGAATAAAACATTACCTCTGCCAGAAGAATGTCGGGAGGCAAACCAAAACACAACATGTGAAACTAAATAAGTTACACTGTGTAAATCAAAGCTCCATTTTGCTATTTAGAACATGGTTTTTGGCAGCACATTCTTTATTGTTCCAAACAACAATAGTAAGAACCAGAATGGTTGCTAGGAAGTTTACAAAGTTTTCATAACCCAATGTTCCTTGGCACTTTTTTCCCCTCTGGGTATCGTACTTTGCTTGATCATGGCTGAAAATGATAGAAACATTTTCATCAAAATATTATTTAAATAGATATATTTAATTATAGTTAAATATTATATGACCCTTTGCCCTGTTGAGTGGGAGACTTCAATCCATGTAGAAGATGTAATGGCGGGGATGAGGGGCAACTGTTTATCTGTACACCATGCATCAACCCAGCAATTAAGCAGTTTTCTATTTTATATTCAATATGGATATATTTCAAGAAGTTATAAAATTGTGGTAATTTTGAAGGATTGTTAAAATAAAATATAAAAATCCTAGAAATAAAAATCTGTTTATTTGTATAACTAAATTATTAATATTTGGGGAGTGGACTCAAACAATGACACTTTTCAAAACTATTTTTTAAAAAACATTTCTAGTTATTTTTAGTTTCTGGATTTTCAGAATAAGTATTCCCGAATAATATTTTTAACTTTATTATGAAATGTTGCTATTATAAACATTATGCTTTTACATAATCAAATTGGGACTTTAAAAATAGGCTAAAGATAAATAAGTACTTTGACTGTCTTTTGCTTTAAGTTTTTGCATTTTACTTTAAATACAAACATTTTTCATTTGTTCAACTATTATATAACTTTCCAAAAGGGGAAATATATGTAGATGTAGATCTCTAAGAATTGTTTTAAAAGGAAAGAGAATATTAACTTTTAAAGATAAGTGTTTTGACAAAAATTTCTATTATACTTCCTTTGGTTGAGTTTCCACATTAGTCTAAATCTTTTTGTTTACTACCAACAATAATAACAAAAAAAGACAATAAAAATATAGAATAACATGGATATAATTTTTTTTTTTTTTTTGAGATGGAGCATCACTCTGTCACCCAGGCTGGAGTACAGTAGGGCAAGCTCAGCTCACTGCAACCTCCACCTCCCAGGTTCAAGTGATTCTTCTGCCTCAGCCTCCTGAGTAGCTGGGACTACAGGCACGTGCCACCATGCCTGGCTAATTTTTATACTTTTAGGAGAGAGGGTTTTCCACCATGCCAGGCTGGTCTCGAGCTGCTGACCTCATGATCCACCTGCCTTGGCCTCCCAAAGTGCTGGGATTACTGAGCCACTGAGCCTGGCCTAAACATTTCTATTAAAGAATGCAATTTAAAGGTAAATTGAGAAAACACATTAGTGTTACTCATTAAAAGTTCAGCTCCATTTTTTGAAGTCACATTCCTGGACATCTAATACATATTTTACAACAGCATGCCCAGATCTGTTTTCTAAAATAACAAAGATGATGGATAATGTTAACATTAGTCACTTATTCACAGATTCCAATAAAAGTAGGGAAAAAAAATATGTGAAGAGGTAAAGTAGATAATGCCATAACACAATTATCACTACTAAAGTTTATATGCTAAGTTTTAACAATCAGATCAGTAATTGTCACTCCCTTAAGAATGCAAAACGTTTGCATAACTATAAAAGATGTACCAACCAGTATCTGAATTATGTGCTCTTTCCTCCAGGCCAAGTTTAATTTCATTGCTTTCTCACCCACTAAGTGAATATTACACAATTCTAGTAGGTGAAATGACTATATTATAGAGATAACCATCAGTCTGCTCTGATTTTTTTTTATTAATTGCTTTAAAAAAAACTGGTCTTGTATTTTTGCAATGCACCACTGGGAATACATTTTCCATCAGATGGTAACATATGTGGTTCTCAGGATACAATGGCTAAAAAGCAATACTTTTTAAAAAGTGTTTTAAAAATAATATTCAATACTGATTTACTATCAACATGTTTAAATGTAAAGTTATATCCAAAAAGCAAAAGTAAACCAAAAATATGTTCCAGAGACCACATGAAGACACACAGTTGCTTGCTAAACCGCATGTTGATTATGAAAAAATAATAATCAGATTAGTTTTCTAAATCATAAGAGTTTGTACTGAAGATGACTTTTCCTAGAGCACCAACAACTTCAGGACATTTAGCCTTATGTTTAACTGCAATTAAAACAAGTGAACATTCTGGTGTCTCTAAACAGATCCTAATGTCCCTAATTCCTTACAAAGGAATAATTCAAATATTCTTATTCACAATATTCACATGCAACGTTTGAGAGTCAAATGCTGATAATCTCTGGCAAGCAAAGAGCAAATATTTAAAACATCTCTCCAGTGGCACTTAGGTGAGTGTCACTAAGAATTTTCTGTAAGTGTATAAAATCATGTAATGCTGAGAAAACAATTCCTGTAATTTCAAGTTTAAGGTTCATAAGGAGGATAACTTCTATGAAGAGAAGGGAAAGCTAGTATTTTCAATTTGGAATAAAAATATATTTTAACATTTTCCATTCATTTTAACTTCAGAATCCTTGGAAAGAGTCAGGTCAGGATTAAGCCCCTTCTGGACTGTAAATGTTGCCATTTTTAGTTTAAGTCCTTAGTAAACATCTTTGTCTCTCTCAAGGGCTCTTTCCTGGAAGGACCTCCATTGAAGGTCCATGTACATAACATGTACATTTGTCATATTCAGAAGAATATTATGGCACAAGAATATCTTACTTCTAACTACATCAACCCATTACATGCATCAAATGGCTTGGTTTTCATCCATGCCCAGATCTTGGTCTTAGAAGTCAGTACCTTATGGATATTTGAAAGGATAAGTTTACCAAACAGATGGCAGAGTCTTCATGAACTTTCAGAAGGAAACCACAGAACTAGTTTACATAAATCTGAAGAGAAAATACTTGCCACAATTTGAAAGGATTACCACAAAAATGCTGCCCCTCCCTCCAAAATTGCAAAAGCTCACAGAGATAAAACTTATAAATTGCCATCATTTTGGAGGGAAATAGAACACATGCAATATTTTCCATTGACCTCCCCAGCATCCATCCACCCCACCCCATTCACAAGACCCTTTTCAACCTACTTTACTTTCCATCCTACCTGCCAGCTGTGACACAGATTGGCTATATGCTCACACATTACTTTCCACTTTCTAGATACAAAGATATACTACATTTTGTAGATTTCTGGTGTTTTTGCTTTGGTTTTTATTTCACTTTTGCACAGAGGTAGTTAAGACAAGTGTGTCTTCTTGAAGCTTTCTCTTTTAACTGCAAATTCATGAGATCAAGCAAACTTCTTGCCATATATGAGAGATGTAGAGCCACAGCAGGGAACAGCTTAGGTCCCTGAGTGACTGCAAGGAGCAGTTTCTGTCCCCCTGACCCACATTGAACTTCTATGAAAGCAAAAAGCAGACTTTTATTGTGTTAAGCTTCTTGGATTTAGGTGTTGTTTCTTACAGCATTTGACCTATTTTCATTAATGAGATTTAACAACTATTTCTCCTCCCCATTTTCTCAGTTTTCTCTTCACCTCACAACACACAAAAATTGTAGTCAAAACCAAACTGAAGCACAGCTAGGAACTGAGACTAAGTAAAATGCTATGAAATATTACCCATGAAATAAAAAAAATCCTCAGTATTTTCATTTGTTATTTAAATACCTAAGATATTTTCACAGTCAAGTAACAATTGTTGTCAAGTGATATCACAGTCAAGTAATCTGTTACTCATTAGATTTTTTTTTAAATTTAATGTGGAAGGAGTTTACCATGGCCAACCCAGTAGAAACTTTACGAAGTACCTCTCAGCTGGAGTTACCCTTTGTATCTTCCTTACTCATGACTCATCCAATGATCATTCTAAAACCATTTCCTTCTTTGCTACTACAATTCACTTAAAAGAATGGAGAACTTCTTACAGTAGGATAATGACCTTGGAGTTCCACAGAGAGGCTAGCAGTATGAAACGGAGATGAGATCACCCTACACTGAACTTGCATAACTATAATTTCATAATCAGATGTGTTAAATCATGTTAAGTCACTAACTTTGGTCCTTCTAGAAATTTTCATTGCTCTACAGGATAATAAACTATTCCATAAACCAGAGATATATGGGACAAAAAGGAAATTCAAGTAGCGAAATGGAATTAGCCTTATCTTGTAGATATTTCAGAGTTTCCTACATTTAACCTTTATGAGTAGTGTGCTACAATTCTTTGGGGATGAAAAACACAGGGAATATGTTAGATAGTTAAACTTCACTGTTTGACCACGCTGGAATTCTTAGCCATTGTTTTCAGCTGGAAAAATATAAAATAATAAACTTAGATGTTGTAAGTGTGACCTTTGGAACTTTCTTTGTTGATACTATCATGAGCACACATATTAAAAGTGAAATGGAAGATGAATAGTTTTGCGGGTAAAGAAATATTTTCCATCTTCACAATCTATGGTTTCAGGGTTCCCCTAAGGCCTTAAAATGAAGTCTACTTGGTGGTCTCAACTCTAACCCCTGGAGAATGTATTCCTCATCTCCAACACAGAACACCTGATTCTGCAGAATTTGACACTTCTCTGCAGCCTCCACACAGAAGAAATGAAGGACTTGACATACATGGAAATTAAATTATCTTCTACCCCTAGAGATATGCTGTCCTCCCAGGTCAGGGTTACATGAAGGTCAAATGAAGGAGCTCACATTTCAACCAAGTCTGCCCTAGCTGTGAATCGACAGAAAACACATCCTTTTGAATTCTTGACAGTATGCTACATTTTATGTGATCCATCAAAACTAAGAATGGAATAAACACACAAAGTAAAAATCAACTTAAAGGAAAAATAGCTTTGCATTATCAAACTAGGGTGTTTACCTGAAAAGCTAGAAGTTGCCTCTGAAGCGTGAGTTTCCCATGAGTTTGAAATACATAAGTAAATTATAAAACAGTCATAAAGATACAGCCTGTATCAGCAAAGACTGACTGTTACTGTTCCATGTAAACCTTCGTGGACATTTAGAAGTCATGTACTTGGTTTTGCTGATTAGTAAGTCACACTTCCACATAATGACTGATGGCTTAGAGGCAGTCAAAAACAGAAAGAAACATCATAAAGGCTTCACTGAAAATATAGAACAACTTGCAAAATAAGGTAAAAATCCATTGAATCAGAAATAATCATTGGTATTCATAGATGCACATTCAACATATCATTACATTAGACTTACTTAAATGTTATATATTTTCAGAGGACTCTCATCACTAAAAGTAAACTATTTTACATGTTCACTTCAGCTCAATTCCTTCTTAGCTGACATGTTAAGCCATCTATTGGCTGAAACATGATAAATCTCAGCCAAATTGGAAAGCTAAAAACATAAAATTCTTTGCACAATAGAATGTTTTCAGCTCATCCAGAATACATTTCATTTCCCACTCTCAGTGAAAGTTTTGAATATTTACTGAATTTATGTAATTATGCTAAAAATAAGGATGATTTGTTTTAAAGCCTTTGAAGACACCCACAACTTTTAATGCAGAAGATATGAAAGTCTTCTTGATCCCAGAGGTCATCTATTCTATTCTTTTTCATTCTTTGAGGTGCCTAATCTGGGTCATAGTTATTTTGCAAGAGAAATAAGCTTTCCATCCTCTCTTGCATTTAGAGACTATTAATCCATGAACCCACAGCCTCCACTGAAGACCCAAAAAAAAGATTTAAACAATCCTATCATCTCATGGGTAGCAGCAGGTAATTAAGATTAGACCTGTGCTTCTTTAGAACTCAGGCTACCCTTTCAATAATGTGCATTGAAAGGGTAGGTTAAAGTCATGTAATTATCAGCAAGTTCTTTGATCAACTGCACTCACATTTTAATCATCGTCTGCTAAAACAGTCACTTTGCCACAAAAATTTTATATCACAATGCATCCCTAGTAAATATACATAGATATGCAACTCTTCTCACTTTCACAATCTAACAGAAAACGAAAAGCCTCCTAAGTAAAGGGAATACAAAGAAATGAAAAAGAGTTCCACAAACAATTAACAAAGGCAATGTAAAGACAATGTGTGGTCCAACTAATATATCACCCGAGACTGCTTAATTATCATCCATAATTTATCTTTTCATTTGACTAAAATGGAAAATGAATATTTTCAACCAATAGAAATATGATGTTAATACAACATGCATATAATAAAAGTTTTATATAATAAAATTTAAATCATCAAATTACATGAAAGAGTAAAGCTCGGGTTTCCATATCTGTGGCCCATCAGCATTAGATCAAAGATCATTTTGCCCACCTTGCTCGAAAGAGGGTTTTCCTATGATATTTTTGAGAAGAGCTCCTTGGCTTAACTAGCTCACTTTAGAGCCTGAAATCATTACCCTTATAGCCTCTCAGACATTAGAACCCTGTTTGCCCAAATGTATACAAGGACAAACCCACCCTTTCTGGTTCAAACTACAAAATTCTCCTGCCAAGCAGCAAAAATGTCACGCCTAGACATAGCAGCCCTACTCAACAGTAAGTGGAGGAAGCAGCCTTGCTGGATACAGTTTCTCCTGGACAGCTCTACTGGTTTGAGCACCAAGCTCCTGGTCTCTTGTATTATCATGTGAGGACAAAGTTAAGCTGACTTTCTGCTCTCCAACTCAGAGTAATCTGGTCAATCACAAAATCACAGAAAGTTCCTATTACCAAAAAACAAATATGTATTTTCCAACCAAATAGTACATATTATCTGCTCGTTTATTTTAATGCAAAAGTAATAACAAGTAATATGTGTTGATTATAAAATCACATTATATACAGAAATAATCACTTTCCCCCAATACCACCACCTTCACCAGAGGTAACCCTCCCAAACCTTTTTTGTGCATTTATAGATATAGATAATGTCTTAGTCCATTTGGGCTGTTATAACAAAATATCATAGACCGGGTATTTGAAAAACAAGAGAAATTTATGTCTAATAGTTCTGGAGGCTGGGAAGTCCAAGACCAAGATTCCAGCAGATTCAGTGTCTAGTGAGGGTCCCCTTACTGATTCATAGTTGATGTCTTCTTGCTGTGTCCTCATACGGTAAAAGGAACAAAGAAGCTCTCTGGGGCCTCTTTTACAAAAGGGCACTAATAAAAATGAAGCCTTGATAAAAAGGGCACTAATACAGAAGGGTATTATAATAAAGGACACAAATCCTATTTATTAGGGCTCTTCCTTTATGATCAAATCACTTCCCAAAAGGCCCCACCTCCTAATACCATACATTGAGGGTTAGAATTTTAATATATGAATGTTGGGAGGTCACAAACATTCATATCATGGCAAATAATAAAAGCAACAGTCAAAATATATCTAGTACTTACTATGTGCCAGGATTTATACCAAGCGCTTTCATAAATTCTAAATCATTTAATTCTTATAATAATAAGGACTTGATTTCTATGAGACTTGCTTTTTAACCTAACAATATATCTTGGAAATTTTTCAAAGGGAATGGTAAGGGTGGAACAAATTTCAGTGCTTCTGTAAAATACATATTAAACTGTGACTTATGTTTCCTATGTTCCTAAATTTTCACAGTACATTGGAAGTAGGAGTACAGGATAGATTTGTGAAATAGCCCTTTTATATTCTTCTCTTTCAAAATCTATAGCAAATGCTAAACAAGAGCACTGTGGACCACACAACTTTTCTCCAAAAAGATTACCAAGTATTAGGAAGAGATAACTGCTGTTAATTTACCCTCCTTCAACTTACTGAAAAGCAAAGGGAATCGTTCATGAGAATTGGTAGAGAGAGGTGGAAAAAGGAAAGAAATATTAAAAACACTGCAAACTACTTTGTGTATATTTTTTAAAACTACATAAATAAGCTTATTACATGTAGTAGAAATAAATGGAAGTATTTTGCAGGATTTTCATTCTAGCTAAAAGGCCAGGTCTGAAAATAGTGAAAGAACAGCCAGAAGACAAAGGGCTTTGAAAATTTTAGGAGACATTTTCATCTTCATAGCTTCCTGATGCCAAAAAATGAAGCAAAGCTTTAATAATATCTTCAGCACAGCAAAATCATGACCCTCAAATATCAGACTTAATATTCTCATTTAGTATTTCATAAACTTCTACAAGTTTCCCAAGGAGAGCAAGTACTTTTTTTCTCCAAATCCTTTTTATGGAAAACTAGAATGTGCCCAGAGGAATCCTCAAGCCATATTCATTCACACATACAAAGAGAAAAAGCTAAAGTTGTTCACTAACAAGTTGATAAACTGCAACCCAGCCAAGAGTTGATTCTTATGGAATTGTTTTGCTATGTATTGAAATGACAGAAGTATAATGTCTGTTGTTTCTGTGTATGGATTACATCTAGCAAAGTATAGGATAACAGAAAATCATATTATCCTACTAAAAAAATCTGTTATGCTTGTTTTTTATTTTCCATTAAACACGTTGGCTTAAGTATGTGTAATCTGATAAAGGACATATCACCTGGATGTTTGCTGAAGGGATGACAGAGGTTTAGTCTTGTGGGTCAAATGCAGGATGGTATTTTGGAAGTGCATGCTAGGAAAGTGCAAGGATCCGGTTCCAAAACTCATTTTTTTTAAAGAGGTACTTGAATGCCAAAGAGTCTGAGTGTTACATTGCCAAGGTGCTCTCTAAAGGCAGGGGTCATATAGTGTACACTCACAAAGACGACAGCAAGAGTGTAGCAGTCTCATAGCAGGGAGACCCTTACTAAGAGGGAGTCTGTTTCTTTCACCCAAGATGTTGGTCCCCCTTTCTATCTGCTTTTCTGTCGAATTCAGTCCACCACACCACCTAAGAAAAAAATAATCCAATTCCTTTGCTTATAAAGTAAGGGGTTTACTTCTGCAATGTAACACTCCACAAACACTACCAAGTGGTCTAGAGGTTACAAGGTCTAGCCCACACTTCATAGCCCAAGAGAGAGCTACAGTTGTTGAATATTCATGTTACTGTGCCAGTCAGCCTCAGAGAACTCCAGCTTCCAGCCACTGAGTACAAGTATTCAGTAAAATAGAGAGGTCTATGGATGTCTTTCCAACTTACCCACTTAAACAACTCCAGCCTTAAAGGTCAGTATAGAAGGTGGGTTGAAGAACACAAGTTGAGTGTCTGCTACATTTTTTAGAATTTTCATAATTTTATCCCTACTTGTAAGAGGATGAGTGAGATATTAGAATATCTGAGAGAAGAAGACAGCATTTTTAAATTTAGGCAGCAGATTCAATTTAAGAAACAGCTTAAGAATACCAATCTCAAAATTCAAGCAGAAAGTACATTACAATATATCAACTAAAAACAGTAGCTACTAAAGAAACCACATCTGTCTATTGCTTTAATTTTAATTGAGGTTATATTGTTTTGTTTGCCATTCATCTTACAAGACAAATTATATTTAGTATTTGCCTAGCACTTCAGTTTGAACACTTAACACAATTAATCCTCGCAATAGCCTTATCAGGTAGGTAGCAATGTTCTTGCTTTATATGGCAACGTTCAGTCTCAGAGAGGTTTAGAGACCTGTCCAAGAACAATCAGTTTTTAGGTGAGAGAAGTCAACTCTCCCATGTTTCAGTCCAATGACATTATGCCACAGCTATTTCCTAAGTCACTTAAGTCCCCAAACAAAAATGTGGCAACAGTCACAGAGGGTTAATTAAGGAAAAGGAACTTGTGAGACTCTAATGACTTATAAAACCAGCTATTAAAAATGGTTCTCTTGGACCCTGAAGCCACTAATGAATTGATTTATTAATACTGGACTCTCATTATCTTGCCTGATATCCCCCAGGTTGAATCATGCAGAGTGTCCCAGATCCTGAAATAAGATATCTCTCAGTCAGTAGGAACCAGAATATGCGAAAGAGAAATAAGGCCTTGCCTGTTGTAGAGACAAGACTTTCTCAAGACTTTTGTTAGTCCCTGGAGATAATCTGCTTCCTGGCATTAAAATCATTCAATTAAAAAAAAAAACTTTTTAAAAGAAAACAGTAGTTTCATTTACATATTTATTGGGAATATTTAGACAGACCAACAGTTTAAATTCCCATTAATTAAATTAAACCATAAGTATAATTAAACCATAACTATAAACCAGAAGACAGATTGATATCAAAAGCAAACAAACAAAACAAAACAAGGAAACAAACAAAAAACGCCTCATGTTCACACTGAATGACATTTTGTAACTCTAATAATTATGTGTCCTTCATCAAAGAACTTCTGGTATTTTGTGCCTGAGCTCCTAAGAATATTTTCTGTAAGTATACTTAGGAGCTTAGGCACAAAATACCAAAAGTGAAATACCAAAATACAAATGTGAAACTTGCTGATTTGGAATAGAATGTTGCAATTCTTTAAGATGATATTGGTCAAGTGGGTTAGGCCAGGATATTTATGCAATTTAGTAAGATAATTCATTTTCGTCTGGTAAGACTACAAAAATTTCTTTGCTATCACCATACCTACTTCACGATTTAGTCAAATTTAATAAAGTAAAATGTCATCTTAGCCTGTTAATGCCTTCTCTTAAAATTTATCTTGTATAGGAGGAGCCAAGATGGCCGAATAGGAACAGCTCCGGTCTACAGCTCCCAGCGTGAGCGACGCAGAAGACGGGTGATTTCTGCAATTCCATCTGAGGTACCAGGTTCATCTCACTAGGGAGTGCCAGACAGTGGGCGCAGGCCAGTGTGTGTGCGCACCGTGCGCGAGCCGAAGCAGGGCGAGGCATTGCCTCACCTGGGAAGCGCAAGGGGTCAGGGAGTTCCCTTTCCGAGTCAAAGAAAGGGGTGACGGACGCACCTGGAAAATCGGGTCACTCCCACCCGAATATTGCGCTTTTCAGACCGGCTTAAGAAACGGCGCACCACGAGACTATATCCCACACCTGGCTCAGAGGGTCCTACGCCCACGGAATCTCGCTGATTGCTAGCACAGCAGTCTGAGATCAAACTGCAAGGCGGCAACAAAGCTGGGGGAGGGGCGCCCGCCATTGCCCAGGCTTGCTTAGGTAAACAAAGCAGCCGGGAAGCTCCAACTGGGTGGAGCCCACCACAGCTCAAGGAGGCCTGCCTGCCTCTGTAGGCTCCACCTCTGGGGGCAGGGCACAGACAAACAAAAAGACAGCAGTAACCTCTGCAGACTTAAATGTCCCTGTCTGACAGCTTTGAAGAGAGCAGTGGTTCTCCCAGCATGCAGCTGGAGATCTGAGAATGGGCAGACTGCCTCCTCAAGTGGGTCCCTGACCCCTGACCCCCGAGCAGCCTAACTGGGAGGCACCCCCCAGCAGGGGCACACTGACACCTCACACAGCAGGGTATTCCAACAGACCTGCAGCTGAGGGTCCTGTCTGTTAGAAGGAAAACTAACAACCAGAAAGGACATCTACACCGAAAACCCATATGTACATCACCATCATCAAAGACCAAAAGTAGATAAAACCACAAAGATGGGGAAAAAACAGAACAGAAAAACTGGAAACTCTAAAACGCAGAGCGCCTCTCCTCCTCCAAAGGAATGCAGTTCCTCACCAGCAACAGAACAAAGCTGGATGGAGAATGATTTTGACGAGCTGAGAGAAGAAGGCTTCAGACGATCAAATTACTCTGAGCTACGGGAGGACATTCAAACCAAAGGCAAAGAAGTTGAAAACTTTGAAAAAAATTTAGAAGAATGTATAACTAGAATAACCAATACAGAGAAGTGCTTAAAGGAGCTGATGGAGCTGAAAACCAAGGCTCAAGAACTATGTGAAGAATGCAGAAGCCTCAGGAGCCGATGCGATCAACTGGAAGAAAGGGTATCAGCAATGGAAGATGAAATGAATGAAATGAAGCAAGAAGGGAAGTTTAGAGAAAAAAGAATAAAAAGAAATGAGCAAAGCCTCCAAGAAATATGGGACTATGTGAAAAGACCAAATCTACGTCTGATTGGTGTACCTGAAAGTGATGTGGAGAATGGAACCAAGTTGGAAAACACTCTGCAGGATATTATCCAGGAGAACTTCCCCAATATAGCAAGGCAGGCCAACGTTCAGATTCAGGAAATACAGAGAACGCCACAAAGATACTC
This sequence comes from Homo sapiens, assembly GCF_000001405.40. Classification (NCBI taxonomy): domain Eukaryota; kingdom Metazoa; phylum Chordata; class Mammalia; order Primates; family Hominidae; genus Homo; species Homo sapiens. The sequence goes on along the minus strand of NC_000004.12, from coordinate 106,575,544 downwards.
CTCGAGAAGAGCAACTCCAAGACACATAATTGTCAGATTCACCAAAGTTGAAATGAAGGAAAAAATGTTAAGGGCAGCCAGAGAGAAAGGTCGGGTTACCCTCAAAGGAAAGCCCATCAGACTAACAGCGGATCTCTCAGCAGAAACCCTACAAGCCAGAAGAGAGTGGGGGCCAATATTCAACATTCTTAAAGAAAAGAATTTTCAACCCAGAATTTCATATCCAGCCAAACTAAGCTTCATAAGTGAAGGAGAAATAAAATACTTTATAGACAAGCAAATGCTGAGAGATTTTGTCACCACCAGGCCTGCCCTAAAAGAGCTCCTGAAGGAAGCGCTAAACATGGAAAGGAACAACCGGTACCAGCCGCTGCAAAATCATGCCAAAATGTAAAGACCATCGAGACTAGGAAGAAACTGCATCAACTAATGAGCAAAATCACCAGCTAACATCATAATGACAGGATCAAATTCACACATAACAATATTAACTTTAAATATAAATGGACTAAATTCTGCAATTAAAAGACACAGACTGGCAAGTTGGATAAAGAGTCAAGACCCATCAGTGTGCTGTATTCAGGAAACCCATCTCACGTGCAGAGACACACATAGGCTCAAAATAAAAGGATGGAGGACGATCTACCAAGCCAATGGAAAACAAAAAAAGGCAGGGGTTGCAATCCTAGTCTCTGATAAAACAGACTTTAAACCAACAAAGATCAAAAGAGACAAAGAAGGCCATTACATAATGGTAAAGGGATCAATTCAACAAGAGGAGCTAACTATCCTAAATATTTATGCACCCAATACAGGAGCACATAGATTCATAAAGCAAGTCCTCAGTGACCTACAAAGAGACTTAGACTCCCACACATTAATAATGGGAGACTTTAACACCCCACTGTCAACAATAGACAGATCAACGAGACAGAAAGTCAACAAGGATACCCAGGAATTGAACTCAGCTCTGCACCAAGCAGACCTAATAGACATCTACAGAACTCTCCACCCCAAATCAACAGAATATACATTTTTTTCAGCACCACACCACACCTATTCCAAAATTGACCACATAGTTGGAAGTAAAGCTCTCCTCAGCAAATGTAAAAGAACAGAAATTATAACAAACTATCTCTCAGACCACAGTGCAATCAAACTAGAACTCAGGATTAAGAATCTCACTCAAAGCCACTCAACTACATGGAAACTGAACAACCTGCTCCTGAATGACTACTGGGTACATAATGAAATGAAGGCAGAAATAAAGATGTTCTTTGAAACCAACGAGAACAAAGACACCACATACCAGAATCTCTGGGACGCATTCAAAGCAGTGTGTAGAGGGAAATTTATAGCACTAAATGCCTACAAGAGAAAGCAGGAAAGATCCAAAATTGACACCCTAACATCACAATTAAAAGAACTAGAAAAGCAAGAGCAAACACATTCAAAAGCTAGCAGAAGGCAAGAAATAACTAAAATCAGAGCAGAACTGAAGGAAATAGAGACACAAAAAACCCTTCAAAAAATCAATGAATCCAGGAGCTGGTTTTTTGAAAGGATCAACAAAATTGATAGACCGCTAGCAAGACTAATAAAGAAAAAAAGAGAGAAGAATCAAATAGACACAATAAAAAATGATAAAGGGGATATCACCACCGATCCCACAGAAATACAAACTACCATCAGAGAATACTACAAACACCTCTACGCAAATAAACTAGAAAATCTAGAAGAAATGGATACATTCCTCGACACATACACTCTCCCAAGACTAAACCAGGAAGAAGTTGAATCTCGGAATAGACCAATAACAGGAGCTGAAATTGTGGCAATAATCAATAGTTTACCAACCAAAAAGAGTCCAGGACCAGATGGATTCACAGCCGAATTCTACCAGAGGTAAAAGGAGGAACTGGTACCATTCCTTCTGAAACTATTCCAATCAATAGAAAAAGAGGGAATCCTCCCTCACTCATTTTATGAGGCCAGCATCATTCTGATACCAAAGCCTGGCAGAGACACAACCAAAAAAGAGAATTTTAGACCAATATCCTTGATGAACATTGATGCAAAAATCCTCAATAAAATACTGGCAAACCAAATCCAGCAGCACATCAAAAAGCTTATCCACCATGATCAAGTGGGCTTCATCCCTGGGATGCAAGGCTGGTTCAATATATGCAAATCAATAAATGTAATCCAGCATATAAACACAGCCAAAGACAAAAACCACATGATTATCTCAATAGATGCAGAAAAAGCCTTTGACAAAATTCAACAACCCTTCATGCTAAAAACTCTCAATAAATTAGGTATTGATGGGACGTATTTCAAAATAATAAGAGCTATCTATGACAAACCCACAGCCAATATCATACTGAATGGGCAAAAACTGGAAGCATTCCCTTTGAAAATTGGCACAAGACAGGGATGCCCTCTCTCACCGCTCCTATTCAACATAGTGTTGGAAGTTCTGGCCAGGGCAATCAGGCAGGAGAAGGAAATAAAGGGTATTCAATTAGGAAAAGAGGAAGTCAAATTGTCCCTGTTTGCAGACGACATGATTGTTTATCTAGAAAACCCCATCGTCTCAGCCCAAAATCTCCTTAAGCTGATAAGCAACTTCAGCAAAGTCTCAGGATACAAAATCAATGTACAAAAATCACAAGCATTCTTATACACCAACAACAGACAAACAGAGAGCCAAATCATGGGTGAACTCCCATTCACAATTGCTTCAAAGAGAATAAAATACCTAGGAATCCAACTTACAAGGGATGTGAAGGAGCTCTTCAAGGAGAACTACAAACCACTGCTCAAGGAAATAAAAGAGGACACAAACAAATGGAAGAACATTCCATGCTCATGGGTAGGAAGAATCAATATCGTGAAAATGGTCATGCTGCCCAAGGTAATTTATAGATTCAATGCCATCCCCATCAAGCTACCAATGACTTTCTTCACAGAATTGGAAAAAACTACTTTAAAGTTCATATGGAACCAAAAAAGAGCCCGCATTGCCAAGTCAATCCTAAGCCAAAAGAACAAAGCTGGAGGCATCACACTACCTGACTTCAAACTATACTACAAGGCTACAGTAACCAAAACAGCATGGTACTGGTACCAAAACAGAGATATAGATCAATGGAACAGAACAGAGCCCTCAGAAATAATGCTGCATATCTACAACTATCTGATCTTTGACAAACCTGGGAAAAACAAGCAATGGGGAAAGGATTCCCTATTTAATAAATGGTGCTGGGAAAACTGGCTAGCCATATGTAGAAAGCTGAAACTGGATCCCTTCCTTACACCTTATACAAAAATCAATTCAAGATGGATTAAAGATTTAAACGTTAAACCTAAAACCATAAAAACCCTAGAAGAAAACCTAGGCATTACCATTCAGGACATAGGCGTGGGCAAGGACTTCATGTCCAAAACAGCAAAAGCAATGGCAACAAAAGACAAAATTGACAAATGGGATCTAATTAAACTAAAGAGCTTCTGCACAGCAAAAGAAACTACCATCAGAGCGAACAGGCAACCTACAACATGGGAGAAAATTTTCGCAACCTACTCATCTGACAAAGGGCTAATATCCAGAATCTACAATGAACTCAAACAAATTTACAAGAAAAAAACAAACAATCCCATCAAAAAGTGGGCGAAGGACATGAACAGACACTTCTCAAAAGAAGACATTTATGCAGCCAAAAAACACATGAAGAAATGCTCATCATCACTGGCCATAAGAGAAATGCAAATCAAAACCACTATGAGATATCATCTCACACCAGTTAGAATGGCAATCATTAAAAAGTCAGGAAACAACAGGTGCTGGAGAGGATGCGGAGAAATAGGAACACTTTTACACTGTTGGTGGGACTGTAAACTAGTTCAACCATTGTGGAAGTCAGTGTGGCGATTCCTCAGGGTTCTAGAACTAGAAATACCATTTGACCCAGCCATCCCATTACTGGGTATATACCCAAATGAGTATAAATCATGCTGCTATAAAGACACATGCACACGTATGTTTATTGCGGCACTATTCACAATAGCAAAGTCTTGGAACCAACCCAAATGTCCAACAATGATAGACTGGATTAAGAAAATGTGGCACATATACACCATGGAATACTATGCAGCCATAAAAAATGATGAGTTCATATCCTTTGTAGGGACATGGATGAAATTGGAAACCATCATTCTCAGTAAACTATCGCAAGAACGAAAAACCAAACACCGCATATTCTCACTCATAGGTGGGAATTGAACAATGAGATCACATGGACACAGGAAGGGGAATATCACACTCTGGGGACTGTGGTGGGGTCGGGGGAGGTGGGAGGGATAGCATTGGGAGATATACCTAATGCTAGACGACACATTAGTGGGTGCAGCGCACCAGCATGGCACATGTATACATATGTAACTAACCTGCACAATGTGCACATATACCCTAAAACTTAGAGTATAATAAAAAAAAATAAAAATAAAAAAATAAAATAAAATAAAATAAAATAAAATTTATCTTGTATAATTTTAAAAAAACATTATTTACTAATTTTGTCTATAGTCTTCCTATATAATGAATAGATATGAAGATTAAATGTTCACAGGTTTTCTAAGAATGGGTCTGTGAAATGTTAATTAGAATATGAGGGGAAAGCATTTTTTTCAAAACTTAAATATGTTGATCCCAAGGCTCTCATTAGAAGTTAGCTTTATAACTGAGATGACTCTATTTTCTTCTTTTTTCCAAAATTCTTGTGTCAATTATTCAATTCTGCTTTTAGTGGCCTCAATAATATTGCTGCCTGGCTCTTTTCAGTGTTTAGCGTAACAGTACAATACCTGAGAATGTACCATGAAGAACAAAACACTATAATGAAGCTTCAAGACCAGCTCTGATAAAAGTTTGCCTTCTGCCCAAGGTTCAACCATTGCCGCCACCACCACATAGTCCCAAGTTTATTAGGTAAACATATTTAACTGCAATTTCTTACCTATCCTTGTCAATGTCTTCATTCAACTGAATTCAAGTACCCTGAAAATTGGGTACTTAGATTTTATTTATCCCAAAAAGCACCTAAAAGAAGTTTCTATTCTGAAATGTCATTAAACAACTGTTTGTTGGATTTGGTGCATTCATTCTGATGTCTTATACTTGATTTCAATAAAATTAGATCTCAGCCTGAGGTGCAGGGCACCCAGCCATCTTCAGAGTCATTAGGTTATGGTAAGCATTACACATAATCCCAAATGGTGAAGTCCTTTCTGACACTCCATTTTTTGGCAATTTAGCCTTTTGGTGAGAGTAAGTCGGCTTGATGGATGATCCTGAACAGAAATTATGTGATCTCTGGCCTTCATGTGATAGAAAACATTTTTTTTTTTTTTAGAAAAACAGTGTCTTGTATAATCCATCATGAAACAATCTTTCAATTTAGCTGTTGTGACTCCAGTCTTCCGGCATCAATGTAAATGTGCTTCAGATCATGTTAGTCCCAGTTCAGATGAAATTCTGCATTTGACAATCCACACACCATCGCCAGCTGGAATGAGGCCTCCTTGAGTTAACACACACATTTAAGATCCAGGCCCAGATACAGAACGAGCTATTTGTTGAACATAGATCATGTATGAACCCAACAGATGTAGAAATGCAGCTATAGCCAGATCCACAGTGCAGGCAGGCAGGATTCGCTATGGCCCAACTATGCTGACACCCGGGAGCCATCTGGTCTTCTCCACACCACCAATTAGCACTAAAAATGTCATTTGTGATGTAAAAGTGGGAGGTTTTTTTGTTTTTTTGTTTTTTTCTGTCTCAAGTAGCCACATCGCTCACCAAACAGCCACCAAACATTTTTTCATGGTGTTTGCGTAAGTGAGAACCAAGAGGAGAAAGATCTTGGCACATTAGAAAATAGAAAACCACCCATTGCTGCTTGAATTGCTTTCCGGCATAGTGAAGGTTTCATTTCTGTTTTGGCTGTGGTTTCACAACCTTGAAGAAGCCAAACTGTGGATGTGTAAGTTACTTGATAACTTAAAATACAAATTCTTAAATCACTCACTGCCTTTCCATTTCAAATAGCATACAGTGAACAATCTGTTTGCAATAATAATAGGCATAACATTTTCCCACTTCCCCCTAGCTAAATGGATGCTGATACTAGAACTCTGTGTTTACTTTTGCACCTGAATTCCTCTGTGGTGAGTATTGGGGAGATTCATATTCCAAGAGAGGATTCCAAATGGCATTCTGGCAGATGACAAACAATACAAATGTAGTTCATTTTTATATTAATTTATAGGCAGCCTTATCCCAAGCCCCTTGGGCATCCTAGCAAAATTAGAAAAAAGAAAAATAACTACAAACATTTATCCAAGTGAAACATATCCAAATAAAACCAAGATCAAGAGCTCAAAATAAATACTGCTATAATGAATGCTGCAAACTACAAAAAAAAAAAAAAAGGTTTAAATTACTCAGAGCCCTTGAGGCTAAAGATGTGATCAACCAATTAAGAGTTGCAAAGCATTTTGGAGCTATAAAGCTTCCTATCAATGAAAGTGTTTATGAGTTTGGAATAAAGATTCACAAGAAGATGCCCTTCTCAGCCAACCCTATCCTGATTGCAGCCAGCAGAAATAATTCCAGGTCTGCAAGCTGCTCTTAGTGATTTGGGCAGGACCCAGAGCAGATGTTTATTTATTTGTATTTATTTCATACATGTTTCAAAATAAATTGACATAAATCAATAGATCCCTTCTACAAAAGAAATGAATAATTTTATCCTTAATAGAAAGAAATTACTGGCTTTGGTGAAGTTGAAAGAGTAGAAATCATGATATTAAATGAAGAAATAAATTATTTTAAATACCTATTAAGGTGTTAGTCAATTAACGATACTGTATTATCGATTTACCTTGGAGTAGGGGGCAGGGGAGGGCTTTTTCCTAGAAATAATGCAAGGATATAAATCATCTTAATATCAGAATATCTTTACATGGAGTCTTTGATTCAAACCCAATTAGTGATGTTAATTGATGTCTGGATTTAAATATTTAGACCCTTTTATGTGAAGTAGAAACAAGTAAACTTTAGTAAATGAATTAACTTAATATTTTTAATGTGTAGTTACATAATGAAAATAATTGACTCAGTCTTCTTATGTTTTAGGGCTCTGGAACACAGAAACCAGTACTGAATTTAATGTGGGTCCAAGAAGTTGGCACTGCCCACTGAACCATATATAAGGGGTGTTGCTGAGTCAAATCTTAGAGCAATGCCAAGATCACATCTACAGTCAAGTTACTGAGATCTTAGTCCAGGCACTACTGTCAATGCACCACTACCATGTGGAAACCATATAGCAACAATTTTAACAACCTTTGCTTTCTTTGAATGACTGAAATTTAAATGTCAAAGTGAGAGAGCAATAAAACTCAATATATAGCATCAGCAAATTTGTTCAAGATTGTAACCCAATAGAATAGGATTTCTGCCAACACTAAAAAATATTTTCAGTTTTTCATATTTAAATTCAATTCTAAGTTGTATAAGTGTAAAGAAATTACATAGTACAATATACTAGTTCTCATACTCAAATTTAAGCAGAAGAGCCCTGGGCATATACATAGGTTTTTAATAAAATCTTTAACAAAATGTCAAAATTTAATTTAATTTATTTATTTATTTATTTTGAGATGGAGTCTTGCTCTGTCGCCAAGGCTGGAGTGCAGTGGCGCGATCTTGGCTCACTGCAACCTCCACCTCCAGGGTTCAAGCAATTCTCCTGCCTCAGCCTCCCGAGTTGCTGGGACTACAGGCGCGTGCCACGACGCCCAGCTAATTCCAAAACAGATAAAAATAGAGCTGTCCTATGGAAGCAGGACCAGGGGTCTTGGGCTTCCTGCTTTGGCCTCCTGTTTCTCATATCATAATTATTTGTTTACTTCTTGTATTCCTCCATACTATCATAAGCTCTTTAAAGACTGTGACTGCCTTGTTTCTTTATATTCTATGGTACTGTGTACACAGGCTGTGCTACACAGCCTGACCATAGTTTTAATAAATAAATTTTGAAAAAAAAAGGGAGGGAAGAAAGGAGAATGAGAAGAAAGGAGGGGAAATAAGCAGATGCTTGGAACTTAAAAGTGACACTCACTACACATGATAATTAGTATTTGCGTGTGAGTACTCTGGACAATGAGTGGTGTAAGTTGTTATCTCAGATGGGCTTTTAGAAGGCAAGCATGAAGCTAGGTTCATAAAAGTGTTCCCATAACACCTTGCACATTTCTGTATTATAACATTCAACATTTTTCACTTCAGTGTCTGTTGACATATGCCTGTGTTCTGACAAGACTGAATGTTCTTAAAAGGTGATGACTATTTCTTATTCAAATTTGTGTTCTGGACAATTTACAGAATGCCTGGACATAGTAGGTGCCCAATAAATACTTGTTGAATGAATAATCTCTTTAAGGTTTTTCAGATTTTGTGAGGAAAAGTGGTACTTAATTACAAAATTTTCATCTGAGATATTCAGTGTATATTTTAATTCTTAGATATACAAAAGCATGACTAGTGAATTTATTAAATAGGATAAATGTATTTTTGTTCAGTGTAATTTATTCATTGAAAACATTACCTCCTAGCTCTTTTAAAAATGCTTAGTGCACAAATTTTGTTTTACAATTGTGGGAAAATTAATATCAGCCACGGGCCAAAAATTTGGATGATGATCAATTATGGACATAATTGTATATCTACCTGATGAAATACATATGTATTTAGAGTGATGATTTTGAAGGCCTATTTAGAGATGTTTAAAATATTATTTAGCACAAAGGACATACACTCTAATGTGTGGATAATACCATATTTCTATGACTTTGTTCATATAATTTTGTTGATTGTTGGCTTACCCATAGAATGAGAGCACTCTCTCCTTTCCAGTGGCATAAATTTACCTACAGATTAAGATGAATTACATTCTGACAATCTATAAACTCAATAATTCAAGGTATTTTAACTTATGACTTATAAGAACACTTATTTTCTTAGTAGAGATTAAATAACATCTGTTTTTTTTTCAGATAGTATAAAAGGAAAGGAAACTAATGTTTTTGAATACTCTAATGTGACAAGAATTTTATTTTGTTTTTACAGCATTTGATTACATCTGATTCCTTTTTCTGGTTGGTATGTGACAAGAGAACAATGAGTAAAGCCACCTCTCTAAGGTGCCGCAGGAGAAAGAGGCACTGAGCCTCTCAAATCCTGCCCTAGTCACCGGCATATGCACCCCACCTGTTTATTGCTGATTTAGAGTGGCTCAAAAATAATACTTAATACTTTGGAATTGAATTAACACACAAAAGTGAGAATGATGCCTAGCTCCTTTGAAGATAGAATTGAACCCAAAATGATCTTGAAAAATAATAGAAGTAACAACAAATACTTAACAGGAAGGCAATCAAGAAAGAAAAACAAATACCTGACATGAATTCAGGATGCGGAAGAATGGGTTTGCCACAGAGGCTGGAAGGTGCCATTGTGAATTATGAACTGAATATGAGTCAGCAGCACACTGCTATTATTTTTAAATCAAGCAAGATAGAGGAATGCACTAACAAGAACATAATATGCAAGACCTGTGAAGCAATGGTCCCGTTGGGCCTTGGTCAGGCACTTAGGATAGTACTATATCCAGTTCAAGGTCCAGAAACTAAAGAAGGATAAGAAAACTTGGAGAGAGACAAAAGAAAAGCAACACCAAAGATTAAAAGTTCAAATAAAAGGATCTATAAAGAATTGGAAATCACAGAGGGAGACTACAAAACAGCAACTTTCTTCAATGTTCAGATAGTTACACATTTTTCCCATAAACTTTGGACTTACGGAGAAGATATTGCAATCCTCTCTTGGGGGCCTTACGGTCTTTTAATGACAACGGATTAAGACACTCTTTAGGTTGGCAGTGTTAGGAATAGAAAGAAATAAATGCTGACTCTGTGTCAGTTTCTTAATTTAAATGAATTCTGTATAGGCATCTGCAGAATATTTATTACTAGTACCTCAAACTTAAAATAAATTTCCTCTGTCAAAAATCTATTTTTCATCTTGAATCCCCTTATTTAGTGGCATCACTATGCCTCTAGTCACCCAAGACTGACAAAGAGCCATCTTCGACCTCTCCATCTCTCTTACCAGACACACTCAACTAATGATGAAGTTCCATTGATTCTACCCACTAGAAATTTTAACTCGACTCCTTCCTCTCCATTCTTCCTGTTCTTATCTTCATCTAGACCTTATCATCTCTTCCTTGTACTGTCTCCATGGATTCCTGTGTATTCTAATGTGAGTCTCTACTCAGAATCCCTCCTCTGCTTGAAGACTTCAGCTGGCCCTATGTATGCTTCTTAAGGGACAAAATCAAAGCTTTGTAGCATGACATGCAATACCTTTCATGTCCCCAAACGAGCTGCTGGCCTCAATCCCTTTACATCTCTTCCAAATATCCTATATTTCAGCCACAATGAAATACCTTAACACTTTCTAACTATGATTCAATATCCTTTCATGTCTTCATGATTTTACAATAAGTTTTTTGCTCTGCCTGAAATGTCTCTATGCCTTTTCTATCTCCTGGACTCCTAGGCTTTTGCATTTTCTGCAAAACTGTCATTAGAGGTGATATTTCCCCCCAGATCCTCATAAACCCATGTCCAGAATCTAGGTTAGATTTCTTGCCTATGTGCATCCTTGGGCTTATTTCCTTTATACACTTTTTGTTAATACCTGTCAGGTCACCATCTCTCCATTCAATCTACAAGCTCTTTGAAAATAGAAAATATATCATTTACTATTGTTATATCTCTTTCTTAGAGCTTGAAATATAATGGGCAATCAAAAAATGTCTTCTGTCAAAAAAATGTTTCCCCGCTGGATTACAGATACCTTAAGTAAACACATCATCTTGTATTCATCTTTGTATATTTATTGAATGAAACTTGAAAGAATAAATGATTTAGCAACATTCATTACCAAACTCATAAGTTGTTTAGCTCTCTCATAAGTTCCTATTCATAAGGTGATTTAAAAGATTATTATTGACATGCAGGTTGGGTTCTAAACAAGCTACAGCATACCTCAGAAATATGATCTAACTTTTATTGGCTTTCACCTGCATTCCAGAAACTTAGCCAGGGAAAATTGTCATGAACTCAATCACATCTGTGGAGCTGGCAAAGTTATGTAAAGAATAACTAGCCAGATGATTGGAGCCAAGATGGCCGAATAGGAACAGCTCCAGTCTACAGCTCCCAGCATGAGCGATGCAGAAGACAGGTGATTTCTGCATTTCCAACTGAGGTGCCAGGTTCATCTCACTGGGGAGTGTCAGAAAGGGGGTGCAGGACAGTGGGTGCAGCACACTGAGCATGAGCCAAAGCAGGGTGAGGCATCGCCTCACCCAGGAAGTGCAAAGGGTCAGGAAATTCCCTTTCCTAGTCAAAGAAAGGGGTGACAGACAGCACCTGGAAAATCGGGTCACTCCCAAGCTAATACTGTGCTTTTCCAATGGTTTTAGCAAACGGCACACCAGCAGATTATATCCTGTGCCTGGCCCGGAGGGTCGTACGCCCACAGAGCCTCGCTCATTGATAGCGCAGCAGTGTGAGATCAAACTGCAAGGTGGCAGTGAGGCTGGTGGAGGGGCGCCCGCCATTGCCGAGGCTTGAGTAGGTAAACAAAGCAGCCTGGAAGCTTGAACTGGGTGGAGCCCACCGCAGCTCAAGGAGGCCTGTCTGCCTCTGTAGACTCCACCTCTGGGGGCAGGGCATAGCCAAACAAAAGGGAGCAGAATCCTCTGCAGACTTAAATGTCCCTGTCTGACAGCTTTGAAGAGAGTAGTGGTTCTCCCAGCACACAGCTGGAGATCTGAGAATAGACAGACTGCCTCCTCAAGTGGGTCCCTGACCCCTGAGTAGCCTAAATGTGAGGCAACCCCAGTAGGGCAGACTGACACCTCACATGGCCAGGTCCTCCCCTGAGACAAAACTTCCAGAGGAATGATCAGGCAGCAACATTTGCTGCTCACCAATATCCGCTGTTCTGCAGCCTCTGCTGTTGATACCCAGGCAAACAGGGTCTGGAGTGGACCTCCAGCAAACTCCAACAAACCTGCAGCTGAGGGTCCTCACTGTTAGAAGGAAAACTAACAAACAAAAAGGACATCCACACCAAAACCCCATCTGTATGTCACCATCATCAAAGACCAAAGGTAGATAAAACCACAAAGGTGGGGAAAAAACAGAGAAGAAAAACTGGAAACTCTAAAAATCAAAGTGCCTCTCCTCCTCCAAAGGAACGCAGCTCCTAACCAGCAATGGAACAAAGCTGGATGGAGAATGACTTTGATGAGTTGAGAGAAGAAGACTTCAGATGATCAAACTACTCTGAGCTAAAGGAGGAAGTTCGAACCCATGGCAAAGAAGTTAAAAACCTTGAAAAAAAATTAGACGAATGGCTAACTAGAATAACCAGTGCAGAGAAACCCTTAAAGGACCTGATGGAGCTGAAAACCAAGGCACAAGAACTACATGATGAATGCACAAGCCTCAGTAGCCGATTCAATCAACTGGAAGAAAGGGTATCAGTGATTGAAGATCAAATGAATGAAATGAAGCAAGAAGAGAAGTTTAGAGAAAAAACAATAAAAAGAAATGAAAAAAGCCTCCAAGAAATATGGGACTATGTGAAAAGACCAAATCTACATCTGACTGGTGTACCTGAAAGTGACGGGGAGAATGGAACCAAGTTGGAAAACACTCTGCAGAATACTATCCAGGAGAACTTCCCCAATCTAGCAAGGCAGGCCAACATTTAAATTCAGGAAATACAGAGAATGCCACAAAGATACTCCTCAAGAAGAGCAACTCCAAGACACATAATTGTCAGATTCACCAAAGTTGAAATGAAGGAAACAATGTTAAGGGCAGCCAGAGAGAAAGGTTGGGTTACCCACAAAGGGAAGCCAATCAAACTAACAGCAGATCTCTTGGCAGAAACTCTACAAGCCAGAAGAGAGTGGGGGCCAATATTCAACATTCTTAAAGAAAAGAATTTTCAACCCAGAATTTCATATCCAGACAAACTAAGCTTCATAAGTGAAGGAGAAATAAAATACTTTACAGACAAGCAAATGCTGAGAGATTTTGTCACCACCAGGCCTGCCCTACAAGAGCTCCTGAAGGAAGCACTAAACATGGAAAGGAACAACAGGTACCAGCCGCTGCAAAAACATGCCAAACTGTAAAGACCATCGATGCTAGGAAGAAACTGCATCAACTAACGAGCAAAATAACCAGCTAACATCATAATGACAGGATCAAATTCACACATAACAATATTAACCTTAAATGTAAATGGGCTAAATGCTCCAATTAAAAGACACAGACTGGCAAATTGGATAAAGAGTCAAGACCCATCAGTGTGCTGTATTCAGGAAACCCATCTCACATGCAGAGACACACATAAGCTCAAAATAAAGGGATGGAGGAAGATCAAACAAGTAAATGGAAAACAAAAAAAGGGAGGGGTTGCAATCCTAGTCTCTGATAAGACAGACTTTAAACATCAAAGATCAAAAAAGACAAAAAAGACCATTACATAATGGTAAAGGCATCAACTACAAGAAGAGCGAACTATCCTAAATATGTATGCATCCACTACGCGAGCACCCACATTCATAAAGCAAATCCTTAGAGACCTATAAAGAGACTTAGACTCCCACACAATAATAATGGGAAACTTTAACACCCCACTGTCAACATTAGACAGATCAACGAGACAGAAAGTTAACAAGGATATCCAGGAATTGAACTCACATCTGCACCAAGTGGACCTAATAGACATCCATAGAACTCTCCACCCAAAATCAACAGAATATACATTTTTCTCAGCACCACATCACACTTATTCCAAAATTGACCACATACTTGGAAGTAAAGCACTCCTCAGCAAATGTAAAAGAACAGAAATTATAACAAACTGTCTCTCAGACCACAGTGCAATCAAACTAGAACTCAGGATTAGAAAAACTCACTCAAAACTGCTCAACTACATGGAAACTGAACAACCTGCTCCTGAATGACTACTGGGTACATAATGAAATGAAGGCAGAAATAAAGATGTTCTTTGAAACCAACAAGAACAAAGACACAACGTACCAGAATCTCTGGGACACATTCAAAGTAGTGTGTAGAGGGACATTTATAGCACTAAATGCCCACAAGAGAAAGCAGGAAAGATCTAGAATTGACACCCTAACACCAAAATTAAAAGAACTAGAGAAGCAAGAGCAAACACATTCAAAAGCTAGCAGAAGGCAAGAAATAACTAAGATCAGAGCAAAACTGAAGGAAATAGAGACACAAAAAACCCTTCAAAAAATCAATGAATCCAGGGGTTGGTTTTTTGAAAAGACCAACAAAATTGATAGACCGCTAGCAAGACTAACAAAGAAGAAAAGAGAGAAGAATAAAATAGATGCAATAAAAAATGATGAAGGGGATATCACCACCGATCCCACAGAAATACAAACTACCATCAGAGAATACTATAAACACCTCTACACAAATAAACTAGAAAATCTAGAAGAAATGGATAAATTCCTGGACACATACACCCTCCCAAGACTAAACCAGGAAGAAGTTGAATCCCTGAATAGACCAATAACAGGCTCTGAAATTGAGGCAGTAATTAATAGCTTACCAACGACAAAAAGTCCAGGACCAGATGGATTCACAGCCGAATTCTACCAGAGGTACAAGGAGGAGCTGGTACCATTCCTTCTGAAACTATTCCAATCAATAGAAAGAGAGGGAATCCTCCCTAACTCATTTTATGAGGCCAGCATCATCCTGATACCAAAGCCAGGCAGAGACACAACAAAAAAAGAGAATTTTAGACCAATATCCCTGATGAACATCGATGCAAAAATCCTCAATAAAATACTGGCAAACTGAATCCAGCAGCACATCAAAAAGCTTATCCACCATGATCAAGTGGGCTTCATCCCTGGAATGCAAGGCTGGCTCAACCTATGCAAATCAATAAATGTAATCCAGCATATAAACAGAACCAAAGACAAAAACCATGTGATTATCTCAATAGATGCAGAAAAGGCCTTTGACAAAATTCAACAGCCCTTCATGCTAAAAACTCTCAATAAATTAGGTATTGGATGGGACGTATCTCAAAATAATAAGAGCTATTTATCGCAAACCCACAGCCAATATCATACTGAATGGGCAAAAACTGGAAGCATTCTCTTTGAAAACTGGCACAAGACAGGGATGCCCTCTCTCACCACTCCTATTCAACATAGTGTTGGAAGTTCTGGCCAGGGCAATCAGGCAGGAGAAAGAAATAAAGGGTATTCAATTAGGAAACGAGGAAGTCAAATTGTCCCTGTTTGCAGATGACATGATTGTATATCTAGAAAACCCCATTGTCTCAGCCCAAAATATCCTTAAGCTGATAGGCAACTTCAGCAAAGTCTCAGGATACAAAATCAATGTGCAAAAATCACAAGCATTCCTATACACCAATAACAGACAAACAGAGAGACGAATCATGAGTGAACTCCCATTCACAATTGCTTCAAAGGGAATAAAATACCTAGGAGTCCAACTTACAAGGGATGTGAAAGACCTCTTCAAGGAAAACTACAAACCACTGCTCCAGGAAATAAAAGAGGATAGAAACAAATGGAAGAACATTCCATTCTCATGGGTAGGAAGAATCAATATCGTGAAAATGGCCATACTGCCCAAGGTAATTTATAGATTCAATGCCATCCCCATCAAGCTACCAATGACTTTCTTCACAGAATTGGAAAAAACTACTGTCAAGTTCATATGGAACCAAAAAAGAGCCCACATTGCCAAGACAATCCTAAGCCAAAAGAACAAAGCTGGAGGCATCATGCTACCTGATTTCAAACTATACTACAAGGCTACAGTAACCAAAACAGCATGGTACTGGTACCAAAACAGAGATAAAGACCAATGGAACAGAACAGAGCCCTCAGAAATAATACCACACATCTACAACCACCTGGTCTTTGACAAACCTGACAAAAATAAGAAACGGGGAAATGATTCCGTATTTAATAAATGGTGCTGGGAGGACTGGCTAGCCATGTGTGGAAAGTTGAAACTAGATCCCTTCCTTACACCTTGTACAAAAATTAATTCAAGATGGATTAAAGACTTAAATGTTAGAACTAAAACCATAAAAACCCTAGAAGAAAACCTAGGCAATACCTTTCAGGACATAGGTATGGGCAAGGACTTCATGTCTAAAACACCAAAAGCGGTGGCGACAGAGCCAAAATTGACAAATGGGATCTAATTAAACTGGGGAACTTCTGCACAGCAAGAGAAACTACCATCAGAGTGAACAGGCAACCTACAGAATGGGAGAAGGTTTTTGCAATCTACTCATCTGACAAGGGGCTAATATCCAGAATCTACAATGAACTCAAACAAATTTACAAGAAAAAAACAAACAACCCCATCAAAAAGTGGGCGAAGGATATGAGTGGACACTTCTCAAAAGAAGACATTTATGCAGCCAGGGGACATGTGAGAAAATGCTCATCATCAATGGCCATCAGAGAGGTACAAATCAAAACTGCAGTGAGATACCATCTCACACCAGTTAGAATGGCGATCATTAAAAAGTCAGGAAATGGCAGGTGCTGGAGAGAATGTGGAGAAATAGGAACACTTTTACACTGTTGGTGGGACTGTAAACTATTTCAGCCATTGTGGAGGTCAGTGTGGCGATTCCTTAGGGATCTAGAACTAGAAATACCATTTGACCCAGCCATCCCATTACTGGGTATATACCCAAAGGATTATAAATCATGCTGCTATAAAGACACATGCACACGTATGTTTGTTGCGGCATTGTTCACAATAGCAGAGACTTGGAGCCAAGCCAAATGTCCCACAGTGATAGACTGGATTAGGAAAATGTGGCACATATACACCATGGAATACTATGCAGACATAAAAAAGGATGAGTTCATTTCCTTTGCAGGGACATGGATTAAGCTGGAATCCATCACTCTCAGCAAACTATCACAAGGACAAAAAACCAAACACGGCATGTTCTCACTCATAGGTGGGAATTGAACAATGAGAACACATGGACACAGGAAGGGGAACATCACACACCAGGGCCTGTTGTGGGGTGGAGGGAAGCGGGAGGGATAGCATTAGGAGATATACCTAATGTTAAATGACGAGTTAATGGGTGCAGCACACCAACATGGCACATGTATACATATGTAGCCAACCTGCACGTTGTGCACATGTACCCTAAAACTTAAAGTATAGCAAAAAAATAAAAATAAAAAAATAAAATAAGAAAAATTTTAATTATAAGGCACTATAAAATATGAAGTATGATTGGGGTATTGTTATTAACATACTCGTTTTGTGGGAAGAGGTCATCCATGCTTCAAGTGTTTATCATTTCTTTGTATGAGGAACATTCCAATTCCACTATTTTAGTTATTTTAAAATATACAATAAATTATCGTTGACTTCAGTCACCTTGCAGTGCTATCAAATACTAGATCTTATTCATTCTAACTATATTTTTGCACCCATTAACCATTTCCACTCCCCCCACCCCTTCCCAGCCTCTGGTAATCATCATTCTCCTATCTCCATGAGTTCAATTGTTTTAATTTTTGACTCCCACACATGAGTGAGAATATGCATTTATATTTCTGTGCCTGAATTATTTCACTTAACAATGTTCTCCAGCTGCATCCATGTTGTTGCAAATGGCAGGATTTCATTCTATTTTAAGGATGAATGATATTACATTGTGTATATGTACTACATTTATTTTATCCACTCATTCATTGATGGACACTTGGACTGACTCCAAGTCTTGGCTGTTGTGAATAGTGTGCAATAAACATGGGGGTACAGATATCTCTTTGATATACTGATTTCCTTCCTTTTGGGTGTGTACCCAGCTGTGAGATTGCTGGATCATAAGGCTCTATTTTTGTTTTTTTGAGGAACCTCCATACTGTTCTCCATGGTGGCTGTGCTGATTTACATTTCTACCAACAACATACAAAAGTTCGCCTTTCTCCGCGTCCTTGCCAGCATTTGTTGTTGCCTGTCTTTTGGTTATGAGCCATTTTAACTGCAGTGAGATGCTGTCTCATTGCGGTTTTGATTCGCATCTCTCCGACTGATGTTGAGCATTTTTTCATATATCTGTTGGCCATTTACGTGTCTTCTTTTGAGAAATGTCTGTTCAGATCTTTTGCCCATTTTTTTTCTCTGACCTGTTAGGGATGAATTTTGCCCATTTTAATTGGATATTACATTTTTTCCCATTGAATTATTTGAGCTTCTCATATATTCTGATTAATCTCTTGTCAGATGAGTGGTTTGCGAATATTTTTTCCTATTCTTAACTTTGTTGTTTTCTTTGCTGTGCAGAAGCTTTTTAACCTGATGTGATCCTATTTGTCCATTTTTGCTTTGGTCGCCTGTGCTTTTGAGGTCTCACTTGAGAAATCATTGTCCGGACCAAAGTCCTAGAGACTTTCCCCAGTGTTTTCTTTTAGTAGTTTCACAGTTCCAGGTGTTAGATCTAATTCTTTAGTCCATTTTGATTTGATTCTTATACATGGCAAGAGAGAGGGGTCTAGTTTCATTCTTCTGCATATGGATAGCCAGTGTTCTCAGCTAACATATGCATTTGTCTGGGCTTTAGGATTCCTCATAAACTAGTCCCCAGGCAAGAGTAGGGAGGTTTCCCCTGAACCCTGGTCTTAAAATTGCCAAGGCAAAGGATCCCAGGACATAGCTGGAGTGCATCAAATTACTTTCAGATTTTAAGTTTCCCAAATTGTGAATTCCCTATTGGTCTGATTCTGGGTTAGTAAAGTGGCTATTATCTAGGGAGAAGTGTCTTTGTGATCAGAGATCAGGTTTTTGTATCCTTACATACAAAGGTGGTGATTAAAGCCACTGTGAAGAATGTGCTTGCCCAGAGAGAGTGAGGATCTGAGAAGGGGACTGAGGTTAATGCCTCGGGCAACACCCGCACAAGATTGTTCATTTATTAGATTTCCTGGAGCTCAGCTCAGTGCCAACCATGCAGTGGGTAATAGATAAACATTTTTTGAATTGCATTCCATTAAATAGTATATTTTTCATTCATTGATTCATTCACTCAATAGATACTTGTTAAGTACCTAGAAACGGTTAGGTTATGGGCTGGGTACTGAGAATGCAATTGAAGTGATCAAATTAAGCACTGTGCTGGGAACTTAGAGTTGGGGGACAGGAGGTTGGAGGCAGACCTTCATCAAATAATCTCAACAATACAATTATCAATGTGATAACATATAAGCTAGCCTGAACTCTAGTGGAATGTATTTCTAATAAAGTGACATTTAAACTAAAAAAAAAAAAAAAAAAAGAATAACTAGCCACATCAGTGGATGTAGTGTTTTCCTTACCAAAAGAAAAGAAATTATTAGTTCTAGATAAACACTGGCAGCAGTTAGAGTTCTATCTGCCAGTTAACCCAAGGAAAGAATATCCTTTCAACCACTGCTCAATAGTCAATCCTAGGGGTGATCACTGTTCAGATTTCTATCATTGTAGTTTTTCATTGTGCCTATTTTTAAGCTTCACATAAATATATGTGTACTCTTTTGTGCCCAAATTCCTTTAATTTAGCATAACATTTTTGAGATTTACATTGTCTATTCATTTTTGTTTGCTCATTGATTTGCTCTGTCAATTGTACAAATGCTCTACTCTCCATTAATTTGTTTTCTATTGATAATTTTTTTAATGTTTCCAGATTTGGGATATTAGGATAAAGCTATCTTTTGTAGATAAATATTTTATTTCTCTTGGGTAAGAGTGGAGAGTGGATTCCTGAGAGAGAAACACTGAGAGTGGAATTGCTGGATTACAGGAATTGCTGAATACATTTAAATTGTAAGCAACTGTCAAAGTAGTTGTATCACTTTAGTTTCATCAGCAATGTAGGAGAGTACCACTTGCTCTTGCTCTTTTCCTTACCAAAATTTGGTATGCATGATATATATTTTTAATTTTAGCATTCTGTGGTTGTAAAGAGGTATCTCCTTATGGTTTTCATGTTTATTTCCCTAATGAATAATGAGATTGAGTATATTTTCATCATCCTTACTTTGTTATGTATATTTCCATCTGCCTACTTTTTAACTGATTTGTCTTCATTATAAATAAGTGATATAAATTTTTATACTGGTTACAAATCTTTTTCAGATATACGTATTTTAAATATTTTCTACTAGTCTGTAACTTGAAATTAATTTTTTAAGGGCAAGTTTTGATGAGCAGAAGCATTAATATTAATGAAATTTAATCAATCATTTTCTTCACATTTTAAGAAATCTTTATCCCAAAATTGCAGATATATTTTTCTGTTTTATACTAGAACCTTTATGCTTTTAGCTTTTATATATGGGTCTATGATTCATCACAAATTAATTTGTGTGTGTGTTGTTAAATAATTGTCAATATTGATCTTTCTTCCCTAGATGAAGATCCAGGTGTTCCAGCAACAAAAGCACTGTCCTTTCCCAGTTGAATTGCTTTACTACCTTAAATAAAAAACAAACATATGTTTGTGAGTTATTCCTGAACTCTATTCTGTTCCATTACCCCATTTGCCTTTGCATTAATACCTTGACTAATGTAGTATTAAGTCTTAAAATAAGACAATGCCAGTCCTCCAATTTGATCTTTTTCAAGATTGGTTTGGGCATCCTATGTTTGTTGCATTTACATATAAATTTTAGAATCAGTTTATCTATTTTTATACAAATAATATCTAGTTTGGATTTTTTTATGGTTAGAATAAATCTATAGATTTGGGTAAAATTAATATAACAACACAGTGTGGTATATATTTCTGTTTATTTATATAATATTTCATTGTTCTCAACAATGTTTTAGAGTTTTAATTGTAGAAGTAATCTGCATATTTTTAAAAAGTATATTCCCATTGTATTTTTAAGATGCCTTTGCAAATAACATTTAAAAATTTAATTTTCTAGTTGTTCATTACTGGTCTGCACAAATATAATTCATTCTCATGTATTGGCCTTGTGTCACATTAGTTGCTACTTTCATTAATTAGCTTTTAGCCTGAAGTGCTGCAGTCAGGACCACATGAGGTAGCTAAAATTTGAGCAAAAACCCAGATTCTTATTTGCACAAAGAATCAAAAGACAGAACTCAGGAAATTAACGCAGTTAGAAAATAAAGAAGGTTAATCTAGAAAGGAGAGAACAGAGAGTGGGAGCCTCAAATTCTCTGTATCAATTCTACTCCAATTTCCTGCACAGACAGGCTTCAAACAGACCAACTTAAAAAACAGCAATTTCAGCTGCTGTCCATTGCAGGGGAGCCTAAATTTGGAGTTTGAGTCCAGCCATGCTAACTTTCTGCTAAACAAAAAGAAATCAATGCTCTTTGAAGATCAAAGCAGCATCTTCAATTTCCATAATGTATTATTTATAACGTTGGGGATTCAGGTTGACTGCTGGAAATTGCAATGTTACATTGTACTGAAACTGGATCATGATGTCTACCGTTAAAGAGTGTTCAGCTTTGTTCTGGCAGGCAGTTAACTATGGCTTACCATTATCTTAAGTGGATAATATAAAAACTTTATTGAAAATCATTTCTGACATATTTGTCTTTAATAAAACATAATTTTAGTGTAACTATTTCTTAATAGGGAGCTGGCTAGGAGAGGGGAGTTTCCCCTGATTTTTGACACAAAGTACCCTAAACCTGGCAAGACATGGCTCTAGGCGTTAAGGCAGTTCTAAAGCATCCCTAGGTTTGGAGTTATTTATAATGTGTCACCTTTTGAGGACCTCAATTACACATTGCTTCTTGTGAAACAGTAAATCCGATTTACTTTACAGTATAATTTCAGAATCATAATTCCAAAATGTTTTTATAAAAATTATTTACGTGTATTAATCATTTTAGCGATACCAGTTAGCTTCCATTTTGCATTTAAAGTAAAACCATATGCATTACTTTTATTGGATTTCCTTGTCACCTGAAATGGATGTTTATAAAAATTTTGGAGTCCAATAGACAAACCAAGTGCCAATATGTTATGCCCACCTTAAAATACTGCTTATATAAATAATTCCTTTCTTCTATATCAACTCCAAAGATATGCCAAAGAAAAAACTCATCTCTCACTTCTTCAAATGAGAAAAAGAGTTTTAATTTGTATCATTATTCTCAAGTATTGAGTCTCGAAAATCCTATCTCACAACTGATGGAAGAGTAGTCAGGTGCAATTCACAGAACTTAACAATAGACAAACCACCTGTTTTGTTTGGTTTTCTACCCCACCCAAGATAGGATGGTATTGAAGGTGGCCTCCAGTTATGGTAGAATCTTTGAAATAGTTCAAGGAAGGAAGACACCCTCACCCAGAAAGGGTCAGAAAAATGGTATGGATAATATATTATTATTACTTAAAGTTATCTTAAGTGGATAATGAAATTTATTGAAATTCATTTCTGACATATTTGTCTCTAAGAAAACATAATTTTATTGTAACTATTTCTTAATAGGGAGCTGGGTGGGAGGTAGGAGTTTCCCCTGATTTTTGTCTCAAAGTACTTGTATTCATCCATTTTTTCGCTGCTGATAAAGACATACCCAAGACTGGGCAATTTACAAAAGAAAGAGGCTTACTGGCACTTACAGTTCCACATGGGTGGGGCAGCCTCACGATTATGGCTGAAGGCAAAGAGGAATAAGTCACATTTTACATGGATGGCAGCAGGCAAAGAGAGAGAGCTTGTGCAGGGAAATTCTACCTTATGAAGACATATTCGCTATCATGAGAACAGCATGGGAAAGATCTGCCCCCATGATTCAATTATGTCCCACGGGGTCCCTCCCACAACATGTGGGAATTCAAGATGAAATTTGGGTGGGGACACAGTCACACCATATCAGTACCTTAAATCTCCAACACCTAGTGCATCAGTGAACATTTCAAACACAAGTCTATGGGTCAATGCTTATTTCGTTGTTTTTTTTTTTTAAAGAATACACAAGCTATGGATTCACAGGAACATTCCTCTTGCTAAATTCAGAGTATTTTCTGTATCATACTCCAAAATGAGCAAATAGGCATTCCATTTGATTAATAGTCAATCACTTTTTATCTAATCCATGTATGTCTCCAGAGTGAATATGCTAAGTATATGAAACCATTACTATTTTGCATGTGGCATTTTAAGATCACAAGAGAACTAGGGGGAATGGAAGCAATAAGTAAAGAATATTTTGTGTGGGAAAAATACTTTACACTGTTTTAAAAACCAGTTTTATTGTTGTGCTATTCAAATTACAGTATAATATTTGCAACAGAACGCGTTGGCTTTGAGCAAGATCTGTGGCCTGGGTACTTTGGGCAGAAGGAGATAAGCACTGCCTCTGTGCCAAGTATATTCAACTCTGCTGAAACCCATAAGGTTTTCAGTTTCACCTGGAAGAAGACAGAGAATCATTTTGAGGCAGGGACTCTAAAGGGGACAGGAAATGAGGACAATGGGAGGCAAGGCTGGCTTTTATTATTACCTCCCAACCAGCCTGAGAGGCAGGTTTTTGAGCCTTTATAAGAGTTTCAAAACAAGAAGCTGAAGAAATTGTGTAAATCAACAGTGAAACCCTGAGAAGATGCAATAGAGTCTGAGGGTCCAGTGAATATATGTAACATGTCACCTGCGTCCACGTGAAGAGACCACCAAACAGGCTTTGTGTGAGCAACAAGGCTGTTTATTTCACCTGGATGCAGGTGGGCTGAGTACAAAAAAGGAGTCAGAGAAGGGAGATAGGGGTGGGACAGTTTTATAGGATTTGGGTGAGTAGTGGAAAATTACAGTCAAAGGGGGTTGTTCTCTGGTGGGCAGGGGTCACAAGGTTCTCAGTGGGGGAGCTTCTGAGACTCATTGTCCAGGAGAAGGAATTTCACAAGGTAATGTCATCAGTTAAGGCAGGAACCGGCCATTTTCACTTCTTTTGTGATTCTTCAGTTGCTTCAGGCCATCTGGATGTATAGGAGCAGGCTTGGGCTCAGAGGCCTGACATAACGGAGTTAGGGAAACGCCAGTGTCCACCTCCCAGAGCCTTTAATACTATAGAAGACCATGCTCGGGTGCCACCAACAGAGCCTGGCTGTGGGGAAAGACTTCACATGGAACAGGCAAATATAGCAGGGACAAGGATGACACTGAGTCTTAATTAGGACCCTGAAACTGGAGGAATCTCCCTATATACCTAGGGGAGGTTTAGAAAGGGCCTACATTCCTATAGGCACAAAGCTGGCATTAAAATAGAGAAAATGCATCCATTAAAACTAAAGTGGCCTCATTTATACTCAAAGGTGGGGCTTTCAGGTTATACTTACAAACAGCTCTAAACCTAGAAAGTTGCATCCATGTATGCACAAGTGCTTAAATACCTATCAGATGTGTACTACCTCTTTTCTTCTGTGATATTGACCCTTATTTTTCACTGCTCAGCAAATTCTTCCACAGGCTGACCTTTTCTTAAGGGTACCCACACATCCATAATTCCCTTTAGTCCTCTCCCCTTACATAATTTGGCCTAGTCACCTAAGAAAATGACATTTGCCCTTCCTCCTCTATTTTTTGTTTCACTTTGAAATGACAACCAAAAAAAAAAGTTATTGAAATAAATATTTATTGAGTGAAGATGCAATATAATGCCTTATAGTTTGTGAAATATAAATTATTCTCTGCCTGCAGGGAGATTAAAATCTCCTAAGGTAAATGGGATAGTATATAAGTTAACAGAAAACAAGATGGAATGTGATAATTTAAAGAGATACCTAGCATAGGAGCATTCAGAAAGAGAAAATGAGTAACAATGAGATTGTCCAGCATTTAAGAGACAATTAATAAACGTCAAATGCTATTCTCAGTGCTTTATGTTTATTACTTCATTTAATCCTCACCATAACCCACCGAGATAGTTACTATTACCTCTGTATTTTTTAATATGAGCACACTAAGGCACAGAGATTAAGTAACTTGTCTAAAGTCACACAGCTAAGAATTGTCGGAGCAGATCAGAACAGTACGAATTCACTACACCAAACAAAGAAAAACCCAAAAACATTGAAAATTGAAATCAAATTAGAAACAATAAAGGGCCACTTCCATTAACCTCTAAAAACATAATGCTGACAATAAGTCTTCTTTGCTTTTCACTTTTTATAAATTAAACAAAATTTCTCAAGTACAACCACCTAAAATTAAATACAGTTTCCTATTCAATTTCATTTTTCCAGGCTTTCATCATTATTTTGCAGTTGTATTGTTTTTACTTTCTTTGTAATCAGAAGTATTTCAGACAATGGGTAAAGCAGACTTTTACAGGCCAAACTGGAAATCTAATAATCAGATTTTTAAAAACCAACTTACAAATGAATCTCTGAAACACCACCTCCTCTTGTATTGAGAATATGAAACACCATCTCCTGTGATTGAGAACACCTATGGCAGGTATGAACATCAATTAAACAGAAATACTGCCTTCTAGGAGTTTTTAAGATCATTTTCAGTTAAGATTCTGCCTTCTAAGAATTTCTCATATATGAGAGGAAATAAGACAAATAAATAATAATTTAAAACAAATAGATGACATGTTATTTAAAATAAATAGAAAAATTGCTATTGTCAATTTGGAGAAATTTTGTATTGAATGTCAGATACCTTTGAAGATCTTTAACAGCAAACTGACACACGTCTATGAAAATTGGTCAAATATCCTCACTGTTACATAATTGGCATTAATTGGATTTAAGCAACAAAAGAGAGTATTCTTCAAAAAAAAAAACAAAACAAAATGAAACAAAACAAAAAAGTAGCAGAAAAACTAGACCACACACACAGTCAGAATAAATTGCAGCACTAAGCTTCAGTTTAGTGAATAGTTTTTCCAAATTGGAGAAAAAGCAGTTTCAGAATAAGGATCCACTTACTTCTTACCTCCAATTCCCTCCCCTGTGTACATCTACCCATACATACACATACCACAACACTTACATTACTATAGAAAGCACATTTACAGGCTGGGCGTGGTGGCTCATGCCTGTGATCCCAACACTTTGAGGAGGAGGAGGCAGGAGGATCACTTGAGCCCAGAAGTTCAAGACCAGCCTGAGCAACACAGGGAGACCCTGTCTCTATGAAAAAATTTAAAACTTAGTTGGACATGATGGTGCTTGTCTGTAGTCCCAGTTCCTCAGGAGGCTGAGGTGGGAGGATTGCTTGAGTCAGAGGTCAAGGCTGCAGTTAGCTGTGATCATGCCACTGCACTACAGCCTGGATGACAAAGCCAGACCCCACCTCAAAAAGAAAGGAAGAAAGGAAGGAAGAGAAGAAAGGGAAGGGAAGGAAAGGGAAGGGGAGGGGAGGGGAGGGGGAGGGGGAGGGGAGGGGTGGAGGGGAGGGGAAGGGAGGGGAAGGGGAGGGAAGGGAGGGAAGGGAGGGAAGGAGGGGAAGGGAGGGAAGGAGGGGAAGGGAAGGGAGGGAAGGGAGGGAAGGGAGGGAAGGGAGGGAAGGAAGGGAAGGAAGAGAGGGAGGGGAGTGGAGGGGGAAGGGAGGAAGAGAGGGAGGAGAGTAGAGGGGGAAGGGAGGGAAGGAAAGAAAGAAAAAAGTCATTTACATGTTTACTGAGGAATAATTATCTTCCTTTATTTTTGGAAATCAAGGATGTACATATTAAAAGCACATTTTCATATAACTTACTTCTAAAATTAGCAACCAAGATAAAATAATCAGATTATAACACCAGCATTTTGTTTTTTTTAATTAGTTTATTTATTTTAGGTTGAGGGTTCAATGTGAAGGTTAGATAGATAGGTAAATTTTATGTCGTGGGGGTTTGGTGCACAGATTATCTCCTCACCCAGGTAATAAGCATAATACCTGATAGGTAGTTTTTCAATCCTCTCCCTCCTCCATCCTGAGGTAGCCCTGGTGTCTGTTTTTCTATTCTTTGTGTTCATGTGTAATCAACATTTAGCTCCCACTTATAAGTGAGAATGTGTGATATTTGCTTTTCTGTTTCTGCATTAGTTCTCTTACAATAATGGCCTTCGGCTCCATCCATGTTGCTGCAAAGAACATGATCTCATTCTTTTTTATGGCTGTATAGTATTCCATGAAAATCATCATTTTAAATTATCACATTTTGAACATTCATGTTCTATCACAGAGAATTTCCATACAGTATAGTATTTTTTCATTAACTCCAGTGGATTTTATAATTTCCACCAATTAACTAGCTTATCAGTGAGAGTTATGTCTGCCTGTTTTTTTACTACCCATAAAGGAACACTATATTAAGCTAAAGGATCATTTTCTGACTACTGCTTTCACTTATAATTTCATAGTTATATTTTTTCTTGATTACCAGATTAAAGATCACTGAAAAAATGTGGCTTTGAAGCAATCCTTAGGAGATAACATAGAAAACTTTTGATTTAGAAGCTGAATGAATTTAATCAGGATCTCATTCTAAATTAAGACTAATAGGAGACTATTCCTCCACCAAAGCCAGCATATATTCAAGCTACTTCCTCAGGTATTATCATTACTTAAAATTGTGAGAATGCCAATAAGAAAGTGATTTACTTCTAAATTAAATAACTCAAATTAAATTTACTCTGATTATAATAGGTTGTAATTGTTATTTTGATCAAGAATAAAATTTGTGGCATTTGCTTCATAAAACTTCTAGCAGCATTTTCCCCCAATTTTGAGATTAATGAAAATTTTCTTTCTATTTTTTAAAAACTTACTTATTTGTTTTCTTGAAGCAGCTATAGATTCACAGGAAAACAGAGGTGAATACAGAGATTTCCTTTATATTCCTTGGCCCCACACATGCACAGCCTCCCCCATTATCAACATCCCACACCAGAGTGGTACCTATGTTACAATGTATGAACCTACGTTGACACATCATTATCACCTACAGTCCATAGTTTACACTAGGGTTCATTATTGGTGTTGAACATTCTATAGGTTTAGACAAATGTATAATGAGATGTATTCACCATTATAGTGAATACAGAGCATTTGCTTTCACTGCCCTAAAAATCCTCCATGCTGTGCCTCTTCATCTCACCCTCCCCACAACCTCTAGCAACCACTATTCTCTTCACTGTCTTCATAGCTTTGCCTTTTTCAGAATGTCATATGTTTGGAATCATACAGTATGCAACCTTTTCAGATTGGCTTTTTACTTTTCTATTTTAAGTCATTGCTTTTCAAAGGAATTTGATTTTGAACATTTCTCTGGGCTAGTAGAAGCTTCTGTTAAAACAAACATCAAAAATTATTCTAATTTGGAAAATACAGTTCTTTTAAGGCAGCATTTCACAGTTAGAACTCTGGGATAGCTATACAGAATGAGGAACCTGAAAGATTTTTTTGTTGTTAATTGATAGTTCATAATTTTCTATTGGATTCTGACTTTAGGAAATTAATTTCTGTTTTTGTAATTTAAATTTAAGAAATCTTGGTAAATTCTTTCCGGGTAGAATTCCTTAACATTTAAAAATAATTACAATCATAATACTAATGATGCTTGGCTACTGTTTTATACAGATTTACTCTTATAAAATATTTTAATAAGGATTGAAAAAATGAGCCTTTAATTATAATTCTATTATACTAGTGAGACTTAAAAATAACCCAGGGTGAATCATTTTTCCCTTGGATATAAATAAGTTATCTTGGGAAATCCATTAATTAGTGAAGACATCATATAGGAGTTATTGCTCCCCTTGAGATGTCTCTGACTTTCTCAAATACAGGATTTGATTTATTTTGCCACTATGAAACTAAAATAGACTTATTTATGTGATTAATGATTTACTAAATTATAAATCACTTTGATTTCTCTAAATTGTCTTTTCAGTAGCAAAAGCAAAGTATACGAAAAGATCTTTCTCTGTAAGAACAATATATGGAATTTTTTTCCCTATCCTGCTTTAAAAATGTAAAATTTATTTTCAAAATTACTTCTCCGGCAAGTCTCAGAACTGTATTATCCAGGTTTTACTTTTTGTTGAAGCATAACATATATACTCTAAAATGCACAAATCTTAAAATGTACAGCTGAACAAATTTTTGCAAAGCAATCACGCCTATGTAAACACACCCAGATCAAAATACAGTTGACCCTTGAACAACACAGGTTTAAACTGCGTTGGTCCACTTATATGTAGATTTTCTTCTGCTTCTGCCACCCCTGAGACAGCAAGACCAACCCTTTGTCTTCCTCCTCCCCCTCAGCCTATTCAAAGTGATGACAATGAGGATGAAGATCTTTGTGATGATCCACTTCCACTTAATAAATACATTCTCTCTTGCTTATGATATTCTCAATAACATCTTTTCTCTAGCTTACTTTATTGTAAGAATACAGTATATAATACACACAACATATAAAATATGTGTCAATCGGCTGTTTATGTTATGGATAAGGCTTCTGGTTGACAGCAAGTTATTTGTAGGTAAGTTTGAGGGGAGTAAAAAGGTACACTAAGATTTTTGACTGTGCAGAGGTTGACACCTTAATTCCCGTGTTGTTCAAGGGTCAGCTGTAAATAACATTACCAGAA
This sequence comes from Homo sapiens, assembly GCF_000001405.40. NCBI lineage: Eukaryota > Metazoa > Chordata > Mammalia > Primates > Hominidae > Homo > Homo sapiens. The sequence continues at coordinate 106,545,699 of NC_000004.12, read as the reverse complement.
CCTCATCCCCCTAGTCATTACCACTGCCTACAACTAAGATAAGAAATTTTGTCTGCATTTTATTGTCAAAAATTATTGGTAATATTTATCTTTGCTGTTGCAGATCCAGAAATTCATTATTTTTCAACATGATCTTGTATCCCATGTACGAATTAAACCATGTTTATCAATTTGAATTTTGATGGATGGTTATTTCTAGCATTGGGCCATTTTGAGTTATGCTGACATGTGTGTTCTTGAATGTTGGTGAAAATATGTATTCATTTCCACAGATGCCTTTAGGAGTAAAATTGTCAGGTCATAGAGTACACGTAAGTTTAGATTTAACAGATGCTGCCAGAAATGTCTTCACAAGTGCTTAAAGCCATCTATGAAATTTCCAAATACTTCACATGATTGCTAACACTGAGAATATCTTTCCCCCAACATTCTGGTGGGCTTACAATAGTATCTCCCAATATTTTTGATTTGCATTTTCTTGGTGAGTAATGATGCTCAGCACCTTTTGCATATATATTTTATATATGATTTTTGTGAGGTATCTATTCAGATTTTATGCCCATTTTAAAATTAATTTTTTGCTGATTTGTAGAATTTATATACATAAAGGAAATGTTTTTTGTCAGATGTATGCATATGTCTCAACTCTGTAACTCATTTTTATGCCCTTAGAAGTATCTTTTGATGAACAAAAGTTGATAATTTTGATGAAATGCAATGTATCCATTTTCTTCACTGTTTTATGTTTCTTTCACTGTTTTATATGTGATTTAAGAAGTCCTTGCCTACCCACTAAAGTCATGATGATTTTTTTCTGTATTAGCTGTTGGCATCTCTATCGTTTTACCATTCATATGTTAACGTATGCTGTGAGCCATGTGATCAGGTTCACATTGCTATAGCACTTTTGATGTAAGTCTATTGTATATATGGGTCTGTTTCTATAATCTGGTTTATTGCTATATTTATCATTGTTCCAATACCATATTGTCTTAATTACCATAGCTTTAAAATAAATCTTAATACCTAATAATTCAAATTGTCAACTTTTGTTCATTTTCAAGATTATTCTGGCTTGACAGACTTGATGCTTCCCATTTCCACAGAAGTTTTAGAATCACTTTATCAATTTCTCTGAAAATACCTTAATGGGATTTTATTGGGATTGCATTAAAGCTATAGATCAATTATGAGAAAAATTTATATCTATACTGTATTAACTCTTCCAATCTTCTCTGGTTATATATTGCTGTATACAAACCATCCCCAAATGGTGACTTAAACCAATAATAATCATTTCCTTTCCTGATGACTCTGGGAATTGTCCGAGCTCATTTGGGCTCAGTTTTTCATGTAGTAGCAGTCAGATGGTGGCAGGGGTAGTGTTCAACTCCTCAAAGGCTTCTTCACTCATTTGTCTGGTCCCTGGTCTGGGAAGACACAAGCAGATGTAGACATGAACTGCCTAATGACATAGAACTCATAGTATCTCGGTTTTCTATTTCATGAATTTCTGACTTCATCCTTATTTTCTGCCTTCTATTCTCTTTGTCTATAATTTGCTTATCTTTTATTGAGATATAGGCTTACATAATTGATTTTCAGTGTTTTTCACTTCTAATATTAGCATTTAAATCTATAATGTTCTCTATCTATTTCTCAATTTTTGATATATACTTTTTTTATAATTACTGTCAGGTTCAAAGTATTTTCTAATTTCTGCCTTGATTTTTCTGCATTTCTTGCCGATTTAAAATGAGTATTAATTCAAAAACATCCTAGATCTTTTAGGTAACCTTTTATTTCTAGCTTAAATTTTTGGGTAATGGAAAATACTTTTTAGAATTTTAATCCTTTGAAACTTATTAAGACTTCTTTTATGAAATAGTGTATAGTTTGTTAAATGTTTCATGTGTTCTTGGAAAAAATGCATATTTTGCCAATGTTGTATGCATGTCTTACGTCAATTAGGTCAAGTGTGTTATTCAAATCTTCTGCATCTCTGCTATTTATTTCCTTGTACTGTCAGTCACTGACAAGTTAAATATTTGTGTAAAACTGGGTTTGTCTGTTCCTTTCAGCTTTGTCACTTTTTTTGCTTCGTATGTTTTGACACTACATTATTAAATGTATACACATTATACTTATTATACCCTCCTGGTTGAATAACTAGTGTAGCTATCAAGTTTTTTGTGTTAGTATAGTTATACCTAGTTTATTTTTCCATGTGGCATTCTTTTCAACTTTTCTCATCTTTATATGTAAGACATTAAAGCATCTTATAGTTGGGTTTTATTATAAATCTACTGAAATATTAAATTTACTTACAATTAATAGAATTACTAGGACATTTGGGTTTAAATCGACTATTTTCCTATTTTTTTTCTATTTGTCTCTATGTTTTTCTTTTCCTATAATCTATTTTCATGGAATTTTAGACTAATCAACTATTTTTATCATCCATTTGCCCCATTTTTTGTAGAAATATATTATTTTTTATATTGTTTCCCCTAGTGATTTACACAGTTGTTACTTTTTAACTTTTAAGATTAGGGTTACAAGCGTAGGTATGTATCATCGGGGTAAACTTGCATCACCAGGGTTCATTGTACAAATTATTTTATTACCCAGATATTGAGTCTAGAACCCATTAGTTATATATAGGAGGGTCCCCTCCCTCCTGCCACCCCCTTTACCCTCTGAAAGGCCCCAGCGTGTGTTGTTCCCATCTATGTGTCCATGTGTTCTCATCATTTAGCTCCCACTTATAAGTGAGAACATGTGATATCTGATTTTCTCTTCCTGTGTTAGTTTGTTAAGGATAAGGGCCTCCAGCTCAATTCATGTCCCTGCAAAAGATATGACCTCATTCTTTTTATGGCTGCTTAGCATTTCACAGTGTATAAGTACCACATTTTCTTATCCAGTCTATCATTCATGGGCATTCAGGTTGATTCCATGTCTTTGCTGTTGTGAATAATGCTGCAATGAACATATGCATGCATGTGTCTTTATAGTAGACTGATTTATATCCCTTTGGATATATCCAGTAATGGGATCACTGGGTGGAATGGTATTTCCAGGTCTTTGAGGAATCGCCACACTGTCTTCTACATGCAGAAAATTAAAATTGGACTTCTTTCTTTTACAATATTCAAAAATTCATTCAAGATGAATTAAAGATTTAAATGTAAAACTCAAAACCATATAAACCCTAGAAGGCAACCTAGGCCATTCGGGACATAGGCATGGGTAAAAATTTACATGTTTCTTCTTGATTTATATCTACATTTTTTTTTTTTACCATTTTTCATATGGTTTGAGAATTGTTCACACTTTACCTTTCCTCTATTCTTGACATGAATTTTAATTCTACAAATATTTTTGACATTCCTTTACACTATCACTTTTGCGTATATTATTTATTTTTACCCATATATTTACCTTTTACCATGATCTTTCTTTCTCCTTTTTTTTTGTACTTCATCTGTTTTTGTACTTCCATCTATTGTCCTTTTGTCTGGATAATTCTCTTTAGTAGTCCCTTTAATGAAAACTGCTGGTGATAAATTTGTTCGTTTTTTGTCTGAAATTTTTTTCATCTTCAATTTGGAATGGCATCTCTACTGCATATAGAAACAGATTGGCAATTGCTTTCTTATAGTTAAAAAAATCAATTTGTCTTATAGCCATCATTGTTTCTGTTGAAAAGGATTATGGTTCCTTCTTTGAAAGCATATTTGTGTTTTTCTCTAGCTGATTTTAAGATTTTCTTTTATAATATAGTTTTCAGCATTTTTACTATGATGTACCTAAGCATAGTTTACTTTGTATTTCTCCCACTTGATTCACAGAGTGTCTAAAATTTATGCCAATATCTTTTACAAGTTTTCAAAAATTATTTATTGGCCTGTATCTTTGAATATTGCTTCTGTCCCTTTTTCGTTTTCTTCTTCCAGTAGTTCAATTACTTATATGCTAGACATCTTCATTTTGCCTAATACGTCTCTTTTCTGTATTTTGTATCTTTTTTTAACCTCTTTTCCCTTCAATCTGTGTATGTTTTACTGATCTATTTTTCAGTTCAGCAATCCTGTCTTCTGCTATATCTAATATGCTGTTAAATTCATCCATCCAATTCCTGAGTTTGGTGTTATTCTTTTCAGTTCTAGTATTTCCTTTTCTTTCATTTTTATAAATTCCAGTTCTGTTGATTCTTCAGCATGAGTCATAGTTATTTTAAGTCCATGTCTTATTTCAATTTCTGAGTCATCTGCAATTCTACTTCTAGCATTTGTTTTCTAGGTTTCCAATCGTTTGGACCTATTTCCTAGCATGTCTGATAAACTTTTGTTGAATACTTCACATGGCATATGAAACACTGTAGAAGCTCTGGATGATATTAATTCATCTCCTGAGATGGGCACATAAAAACAAATCACCAGCGTGGGTTCCAAGATGGCCAAATAGGAACAGCTCCAGTCTACAGCTCCCAGGATAAGGAATGCAAAAGATGGGTGATTTCTGCATTTCCAACTGAGGTACCGGGTTTATCTCATTGGGGCTTGTCAGACAGTGGGGGCAGGACAGTGGGTGCAGCCCACTGAGGGAGAGCTGAAGCAGGGCAAGGCATTGCCTCACCCAGGAAGCGCAACGGGTCAGGGAATTTCCTTTGCTAGCCAAGGGAAGCAGTGATGGACAGCACCTGGAAAATTGGGTCACTCCCACCCTAATACTACGCTTTTCCAATGGTCTTAGCAAATGGCACACCAGGAGATTATATCGTACACCTGGCTCAGAGGGTCCCATGCCCACGGAGCCTCACTCATTGCTAGCACAGCAGTCTGAGCTCAAATTGCAAGGTGGCAGCAAGGCTGGGGAAGGGGCGCCCACCATTGCTGAGGCTTGAGTAGATAAACAAAGCGTCCTGGAAGCTTGAACTGGGTGAAGCGCACCGCAGCTCAAGGGGGCCTACCTGCCTCTGTAGACTCCACCTCTGGGGGCAGGGCATAGCTGAAAAAAAGGCAGCAGAAACCTCTGCAGACTTAAATGTCCCTGTCTGACAGCGTTAAAGAGAGTAGTGGTTCTCCCAGCATGCAGTTTGAGATCTGAGAACAGACAGATTGCCTCCTCAAGTGGGTCCCTGACCCCCAAGTAGCCTATCTGGGAGGCACCCTCCAGTAGGGGCAGACTGACACCTCACACGGCTGGGTACCCTTCTGAGAGGAAGCTTCCAGAGGAATGATCAGGCAGCAACATTTGCTGTTCAGCAATATTTGCTGTTCTGCAGCCCCCACTGCTGATACCCAGGCAAACAGGGTCTGGAGTGGACCTCAGTGAACTCCAAAAGACCTGCAGCTGAGGGTCCTGCCTGTTAGAAGGAAAACTAACAAACAGAAAGAACATCCACACCAAAACCCCATCTGTACATCACCATCATCAAAGACCAAAGGTAGATAAAACCACAAAGGTGGGGAAAAAACAGAGCAGAAAAGCTGAAAATTCTAAAAATCAGAGCGCCTCTCCCTCTCCAAAGGAACGCAGCTCCTTGCCAGCAACAGAACAAAGCTGGACCGAGAATAACTTTGACGAGTTGAGAGAAGAAGGCTTCAGATGATCAAACTTCTCTGAGCTAAAGGAGGAGTTTGAACCCATTGAAAAGAAGCTAAAAACCTTGAAAAAAGATTAGATGAATGGCTAACTAGAATAACCAGTGCAGAGAAGTCCTTAAATGACCTGATGGAGCTAAACACCACAGCACAAGAACTACAAGACAAATGCACAAGCTTCAGTAGCCAATTTGATCAACTGGAAGAAAGGGTATCAGTGATGGAAGATCAAATGAATGAAATGAAGTGAGAAGAGAAGTTTAGAGAAAAAAGAGTAAAAAGAAATGAACAAATCCTCCAAGAAATATGGGACTATGTGAAAAGACCAGATCTACGTTTGATTGGTGTACCTGAAAGTGATGGGGAGAATGGAACCAAGTAGGAAAACACTCTGCATGATATTATCCAGGAGAACTTCCCCAACTTAGCAAGGCAGGCCAACATTCAAATTCAGGAAATACAGAGAATGCCACAAAGATACTCCTCAAGAAGAGCAACTCCAAGACACATAATTATCAGATTCACCAAAGTTGAAATGAAGGAAACAATGTTAAGGGCAGCCAGAGAGAAAGACTGGGTTACTCACAAAGGGAAGCCCATCAGACTAACAGCTGATCTCTCAGCAGAAACTCTACAAGCCAGATGAGAGTGGGGGCCAATATTCAACATTCTTAAAGAAAAGAATTTAACCCAGAATTTCATATCCAGCCAAACTAAGCTTCATAAGTGAAGGAGAAATAAAATCCTTTACAGACAAGCAAATGCTGAGAGATTGTGTCACCATCAGGCCTGCCCTTCAAGAGGTCCTAAAGGAAGCACTAAACATGGAAAGGAACAACCAGTACCAGCCACTACAAAAACATGCCAAATTGTAAAGACCATCGATGCTAGGAAGAAACTGCATCAACTAACAAGCAAAATAACCAGCTAACATCATAATGACAGGATGAAATTCACACATAACAATATTAACCTTAAATGTAAATGGGTTAAATGCTCTAATTAAAAGACACAGACTGACAAGTTGGATAAAGAGTCAAGACCCATCAGTGTGCTGTATTCAGGAGACCCATCTCACGTGCAGAGACACACATAGGCTCAAAATAAAGGGATGGAGGAAGATCTGCCAAGCAAATGGAAAAAAAAAAAAAAAAAGGAGAGTTTGCAATCCTAGTCTCTGATAAAACAGACTTTAAACCAACGAAGATCAAAGGAGACAAAGAAGGCCATTACATAATGGTAAAGGGATCAATTCAACAAGAAGAGCTAACTATCCTAAATATATATGCACCCAATACAGGAACACCCAGATTCACAAAGCAAGGCCTTAGAAACACACAAAGAGACTTAGACTCCCACACAATAATAATGGGAAACTTTAACAACCCACTGTCAACATTAGACAGATCAACAAGACAGAAAGTGAACAAGGATATTCAGGAATTGAACTCAGCTCTGCACCAAGAGGACCTAATAGACATCTACAGACCTCTCCACCCCAAATCACGAGAATATACATTCTTCTCAGTACCACATTGCACTTATTCCAAAACTGACCACATACTTGGAAGTAAAGCACTCCTCAGTAAATGTAAAAGAACAGAAATTATAACAAACTGTCTCTCAGATCACAGTGCAATCAAACTAGAACTCAGGATTAAGAAACTCACTCAAAACCGCTCAACTACATGGAAACTGAACAACCTGCTCCTGAATGACTACTGGGTACATAACGAAATGAAGGCAGAAATAAAGATGTTCTTTGAAACCAACAAGAACAAAGACACAACATACCAGAATCTCTGGGACACATTTCAAGCAGTGTGTAGAGGGAAATTTATAGCACTAAATGCCCACAAGAGAAAGCAGGAAAGATCTAAAATTGACACCCTAACATCACAATTAAAAGAACTAGAGAAGCAAGAGCAAACACATTCAAAAGCTAGCAGAAGGCAAGAAATAACTAAGATCAGAGCAGAACTGAAGGAGATAGAGACACAAAAAACCCTTCAAAAAATCAGTGAATCCCGGAGCTGGTTTTTAAAAAGATCAACAAAATTGATAGATCGCTGGACAGACTAATAAAGAAGAAAAGAGAGAAGAATCAAATAGACGCAATAAAAAATGATAAAGGGGATATCACCACCAATTCCACAGACATACAAACTACTATCAGAGAATTCTATAAACACCTCTACGCAAATAAGCAAGAAAATCTAGAAGAAATGGATAAATTACTGGACACATACACTCTCCCAAGACAAAACCAGGAAGAAGTTGAATCCCTGAATAGACCAATAATAGGCTCTGAAATTGAGGCAATAATTAAGAGCCTACCAACCAAAAGAAGTCCAGGAGCAGACAGATTCACAGCTGAATTCTACCAGAGGTACAAGGAGGAGCTGGTACCATTCCTTCTGAAACTATTCCAATCAATAGAAAAAGAGGGAATCCTCCCGAATTCATTTTATGAGGCCAGCATCATCCTGATACCAAAGCCTGGCAGAGACACAACATAAAAAAAGAATTTTAGACCAATATCCCTGATAAACATCGATGCAAAAATCCTCAATAAAATACTGGCAAACCAAATCCAGCAGCACATCAAAAAGCTCATCCACCATGATCAAGTGGGCTTCATCCCTGGGATGCAAGGCTGGTTCAACATATGCAAATCAATAAATGGAATCAGGCATATAAACAGAACCAAAGACAAAAACCACATGATTATCTCAATAGATGCAGAAAAGGCCTTTGGCAAAATTCAACAGCCCTTCATGCTAAAAACTCTCAATAAATTAGGTATTGAAGGGAGATATCTCAAAATAATAAGAGCTATGACAAACCCACAGCCAATATCACACTGAATGGGCAAAACTGCAAGCATTCCCTTTGAAAACTGGCACAAGACAGGGATGCCTTCTCTCACCACTCCTATTCAACATAGTGTTGGAAGTTCTAGCCAGGGCAATCAGGCAGGAGAAAGAAATAAAGGGTATTCGATTAGGAAAAGAGGAAGTCAAATTGTCCCTGTTTGCAAGTGACATGATTGTATATTTAGAAAACCCCATTGTCTCAGCCCAAAATCTCCTTAAGCTGATAAGCAACTTCAGCAAAGTCTCAGGATACAAAATCAATGTGCAAAAATCACAAGCATTCCTATATGCCAATAACAGACAAACAGAGAGCCAAATCATCAGGGAACTCCCATTCACAATTGCTTCAAAGAGAATAAAATACCTAGGAATCCAACTTACAAGGGATGTGAAGGACCTCTTCAAGGAGAACTACAAAGCACTGCTCAATGAAGTAAAAGAGGACATAAACAAATGGAAGAACATTCCATGCTCATGGATTGGAAGACTCAATATCGTGAAAATGGCCATACTGCCCAAGGTAATTTATAGATTCAATGCCATCCCCATCAAGCTACCAATGACTTTCTTCACAGAATTGGAAAAAACTACTTTCAAGTTCATATGGAACCAAAAAAGGGCCCACATTGCCAAGACAATCCTAAGCAAAAAGAACAAAGCTGGAGGCATCACACTACCTGACTTCAAACTATACTACAAGGCTATAGTAACCAAAACAGCATGGTACTGGTACCAAAACAGAGATATAGACCAATGGAACAGAACAGAGCCCTCAGAAATAATACCACACATCTACAACCATCTGATCTTTGACAAACTTGACAAAAACAAGAAATGGGGAAAGGATTCCCTATTTAATAAATGGTCCTGGGAAAACTGGTTAGCCATATGTGGAAAGCTGAAACTGGATACCTTCCTTACACCTTATACAAAAATTAATTCAAGATGGATTAAATACTTAAATATTAGACCTAAAACCATAAAAACCCTAGAAGAAAACCTACGCAATACCATTCAGGACATAGGCATGAGCAAGGACTTCATGTCTAACACACCAAAAGCAATGGCAACAGAAGCCAAAATTGACTAATGGGATCTAATTAAACTAAAGAGCTTCTGCACAGCAAAAGAAACTACCATCAGGGTGAACACGCAACCTACAGAATGGGAGAAAATTTTTGCAATCTACTCATCCTACAAAGGGCTAATATCCAGAATCTACAATGAACTCAAACAAACTTACAAGAAAAAAATAACCCCATCAAAAAGTGGGCGAAGGACATAAACAGACAGTTCTCAAAAGAAGACATTTATGCAGCCAACAGACACGTGAAAAAATGCTCATCATCACTGGCCATCAGAGAAATGCAAATCAAAACCACAATGAGATACCATCTCACACCAGTTAGAATGGCAATCATTAAAAAGTCAGGAAACAACAGGTGCTGGAGAGGATGTGGAGAAATAGGAACACTTTTACACTGTTGGTGGGACTGTAAACTAGTTCAACCATTGTGGAAGACAGTGTGGCGATTCCTCAAGGATCTAGAACTAGAATTACCATTTGACCCAGCCATCCCATTACTGGGTATATACCCAAAGGATTATAAATCATGCTGCTATGAAGACACATGCACACATATGTTTATTGAGGCACTATTCACAATAGCAAAGACTTGGAACCAACCCAAATGTCCATCAACGATAGACTGGATTAAGAAAATGTGGCACATATACACCATGGAATACTATGCAGCCATAAAAAAGGATGAGTTCATGTCCTTTGTAGGGACATGGATGAAGCTGGAAACCATCATTCTCAGCAAACTATCTCAAGGACAAAAAACCAAACACCGCATGTTCTCACTCATAGGTGGGAATTGAACAATGAGAACACTGGGACACAGGAAGGGGAACATCACACAACAGGGCCTGTTGTGGGGTGGGGGTCTGGGGGATGGATAGCATTAGGAGATATACCTAATGTAAACGAAGAGTTAATGGGTGCAGCACACCAACATGGCACATGCATACATATATAACAAACCTGCACGTTGTGCACATGTACCCTAGAACTTAAAGTATAATAAAAAATAAATAAATAAATAAATAAAACAAATCACTTTAATCTAGTTGAGGTGTACCTATTTTCATTTGTCCTTACTTTTAGGTTTAGTTATTTCAAGGGTATTAAGTGAAAGCCTGTGTTGTTTACCATAGCCTGTTTTTGGCAAAGACTACACTCCACTTTGTTTCTCAAAAGTCCATAAAATTGTAGTATTTTCTGTTTATTTTTTTAGCATATTAGCAACTGCTTTCTTCATTTCCCTCTCTGAACTTGTACACTTCTAGAGCCAAAAAATGCTTTGATAAAAAATTGTATGCAGAATATAGGTATTTACTATTCTGCAGTTCTTTTTTCTTTGGGATCCTGACCCATTTATTCTCGATTTCCTTGCTAGCCCTCAACTCCAACTGATTTCTCTTCAGCCCAGTGAGACAAACATAAAATCTATACCACATCTTTTTTGGGGGTTCCATGCCCTCAAGTAATAGTTGACAAGTAGCCCAAAGGGAAAAGTGGTCACAAATGTAGAATTCACCTCAATGCTGTTCCTTCCTTTCTGATATCTTCGTAGTTCAACTCATTTGCCTTAATTGTAATCTAATACCTTATAAACTACTGTTTGTTTTGCTTTGTTTATCCACATTCTACATCTGCCCTCTGCTACAGGTTTAACTTGATCCAGTTATCCTATCATAACTGAAAAGCCTCTGCAGACTATTCCAATATATTTCATCCACTACAGTTGAAAGAAACGTCATGGAAGTTATTTAACTTTAGGATATACTTTAAAGAATAAAAAGGGGGCCAGGCATGGCGGCTTATGCTTGTAATCTCAGCACTGTGGGAGGCCAAGGCGGGCAGATCACCTAAGGTCGGGAGTTCGAGACCAGCCTGACCAACATGGTGAAACCCTATCTCTACTAAAAAATACAAAAATTAGCCAGGCGTAGTGGCAGGCGCCTGTAATCCCAGCTACTCGGGAGGTTGAGGCAGGAGAATCGCTTGAGTCCAGGAAGCAGAGGTTACAGTGAGCAGAGGTCGTACCATTGCACTCCAGCCTGGGCACAGGGCAAGACTCTGTCTCAGAAAAAAAAAAAAAAAAAAAAGAATAAAAATGGAAAAAAATTTTGAACTCACTTGAATGTTACATTAAACATCTTACATGTGTATTTATTATTATTATTATTACTTATTTTTAGAGAGAAAGTCTCACTCTGTCACCCAGGCTGGAGTGCAGTGGCACAATCTCAGCTCACTGCAACCTCCGACCCTAAGGTTCAAACCATTCTTATACCTCAGCCTATCAATTAGCTGGGATTACAGGGATGTACCACCACAGCTGGCTAATTTTTAAAATATTTTTAGTAGAGAGACAGTTGCGCCATGTTGGCCAGGCTTATCTCAAACTTCTGGCCTCAACTGATCCACTCACCTCGACCTTCCAAAGTGTTATGATTATGGGTGTGAGCCACCGTGCCCGGTCTTACATGCATAATATTTTATGGAAGTGTGGCAGGCCAATTCTCCCTGACAATCACACAGAAAGGTCTGTATGACAATCACACAGACAGGCCTGCATAGCACTTAAGTTACACAGACAAATTTCCACAGAGCTGCCTTAACATTGAGCAAATAGTTAAGCCTAGGGAAATCAGTGCCCAGACATCAAAGCTAGAAATGAAACATATGGTCAGTAGAAATCTTGCATGGGCTTCTCCCTAACCTGGAGCAAACCAAAATAATAGAGACTTGTCTTTCATTCCTGGTGCCAGGACCCATATCTGAGACAAGTCAAGGTAACAGAGGCAGCTGTTTGAATAGATTCATTCGAGAGTCTAAGGCAGCTCTCCAGACTAAGCTGTAAAAAAGATAAGATAGAAATAATCACCCTGGTACCACAGTAGACAGGCCTTGGAAGTACTGGGGCCCTTTTAATTGGACTTAGCAAGCATTTTTGCCTCTGATCTTCTAGTTGAAACAAAATTAGTTACCAACAAACTTAGGCGAATGTTATACGGCACCTAGGCACGTAACCCCAACCTATATAAGCACTAAGAAAATTGTAACATTTTGACTTGGTCTGGTGGAATTATCTCTGGCCTTCTCCCTGTATCCAGTTACAGCAATAAATTCCCTTCTTCCCTAGTTTGTCTGTTTCTCGTTATTGGGCCTTGAGAAAACACAGCCTGACCCGGCTTGGTTCCGGAAACAGAAGTATTTTCTACTTTAATTTCGCACATTCAGTTTTGCTTCAGTCTTAATCTACTAACAATTGAATGTGTATTTATTCTTTTTAACCTTACCTAAATATTGTTATTTGCAAGCTTTTTACCTAATTACTCTTCTAAGAGTTAATTAAAATCTCCCTTTACAACATATTATTTTCTTGTATTTTCTTCGTATTAAAATAACGCTTGTCCTTTAAAATCAGCTCTGATTAGAGAGCTTCATTTTTATTTTCCACTTTTCAGAGGATTAGCAACAACATTCATGTGAAAACACTGATGCACAGGTAATAAGTTGCTTCAGGTTCTATTTTGCAGACTTAAAAAGAGGAAAAAACTATTTCATGCTTTACACATTTAATTTGTCTCATTATACTTTAAGTTTTATGTTATTTCACAGCTGGTAAAAAAATAAAATAAATCTTCATTGAGTTTGTATAGTACAATTACCAAGAAAGGAGGAACTTTTCCTGTTTGACTCAATGCTAAATTGCTCCATGTCTAGAACAGTGCCTGGAAGATAGTAGTAACCCATAAGAGTTTATGTTAAGAATAACATATTGCTCTTTCAATTACTATTTTCAACTCTTTTCTTGTCTAATTTCTACTACTTCTGCCTAATATCTATTGAACACTTAGTATATGCCAGAAACTTTCACTTAACTTTATTACATTTAATTATTACAATAAATTTTATAAGTGCATCACCCACATTTTAATAACTAGAATGTTAGAAGATTTATATGAATTGCCTAAGAGCATACAGCTAATAAGTAAGAGAAATGAGATTTCATCATCAAAACCCATTGGTGATCTCTGAAATTCAAATAAAATTGATTGAATCTCCCTCTCATAAGCAAGGATCTCTGCATCCCTCACAATCTGGAGACATAAGTTAATGCAAACAGCACTAACATGTTTTTTCTAATGATGTTTGATCCTGGTTTAGTTCTGGTGTCTACAGAAGGTGTTCCTGTTAGATATGTGTTTCACCATCTCATCTGAGAAAAGGAACACAGCCCCTTTGTTTTTTCTAAAATTTAATTGATACAAGGCATGTGTGCAGCAGACTTCAATGAAATTTCAGGGTAAGGTAAAGAAGTCTATATTACAGCTCTTAACAGCAGAAAACATCACATGTATTAGACCACTGTACTTAAAAAGCTCTGGAGATCTTTTCCCCAATTTGGGCTCCAGAATTTCACTATGTAATTCAACTTTCTCTTACTTTCTCTTTTCTCTCATTTCTGCTGTCCTCTCAATTACCAAATTCCTGTTTGTTACATGCTTGTTTGTTATTATATGAAGATGTACTTATTCTTTGTGCCTACCAACCCATATCCTAAGGATCTTACTATCTACAGCCACTCAAGCTAAGACAGTGCTCTTCCTGAGAGGAATTCTAAAATCGGCTATTATGATTTAGTGTATGGTTTGCCTGTGTATATTTTTAATAGTTAAATCAGGTCATTGGGAACTCTAAATGCACTGTCCTTATAATCATAATGTATTTCTAATTTATTGAATTGCTTTGCTTGTACCCACTTCTTGAAGAAATATTTTCTTTTGAAGGGTTAAGGATTATATTTTCTCAGTTGTTATATTATCTACTCTCCATTCACTTGCCTATTAGAGGGAATTCTCATATCACTCTACATACTAGTAAAAGGCAAAAGATTTATACCATCTCAAGAGAAACCAGAGTATCACTCTACATACTAGTTCAACTGAAATTTTTCTCTCTCAACTTTGGTAAACAAGCACAAGATTTAGTGGTACAATCATCACTACTCCTGTGAGTTCTTCCAAAGTGCAGTTCATTTTTTCAACTGTTACTTCATCTCCTAATGTTTTCATGGTTTCAACATTTGGCCTACCAATTTCTTTTCAGGATAATCAATCAAAACACATTTCCTGTCTTAAACCACAGACCTATAAGTAGAAGTTTCCAATAATAAATCTAAGAAAAATTGCATACTTATCTATAAATTGTCATGACAAACTGCTGTAATAAGCTAAAACAGCACAGATGTTTTTCCATTAGGTTGGTACAATATTTATTTTGAAATGATTTTGTAATCTTGTTGCTTTTCTGTTGTAATTTCTGTAAGACAGATGTGATATTTTAGCAAAATGATTCTAACATGACTTCTTTAAGAAAATATATGCCTCTATGTGAGCTTTTAAACCCTACTTATAAATGCTTATCTCTAACCCTTTATAATAAACTTTAATTTTTCATTTAAATTATTTTTCAAATTTTTGTTTTGAGTTTTTTTGCTGATTAAGTTAACTTTTACTTTACAAATACCTGTTTCCACTCATTCCCAATTGGGTCCCTTTTCAAAATACATGTTGTCATGTTGAAATCACCTCATTGGTAATAGATTTCAAAACAAAATTGGCAATGAGGTCTCAAGATGATCAAGCCTTGCCTGAAATGTTAGTTTTCTCACAAAATTCAATTTGGTCCTGTTCCCTCTTACTTTTTTAAATTCTGCATTACTAGGCTTGCATCTAATCTGGGGTCTGAACACCTACCTTCAAATGCCTAGACTAGCAAAAAGGAAACTTAAGTTACCTTAAAATATATTTTCATAGAAAGTTAATTAAAAGGTAACTTTAAAGTGATGTAGACTGAGGAAGAAAGAAGTGACTAAGTATGGTCTGTTTGCCTTCAGACTGACAGATAAGTGATTCAAGTTTCTTTCTGACTCTTCCTTTGGTTCATTTCTTGGTTCACTACTATAGTTTCTTCCCCAAGTCTATTTCTTCCTCCAATGGGCGCCTTTGTGTTTTGCAACTTGGGTTCAAGCTAAGCAATTGGGTAAAGAGGGGCTTTTTTTGGTTAAAAGTAAGAAAGGAAGACTACTCTTTTTAGCCATACTGGAGAGTGTCTAGATTTATTCTACTTCCTGAAACAACTAAAAAATAGAAAAGCTATGAAACAGTCATCGTTAACAATTTGAACAATAGTCAGGAAAGATGAGTAATCCCTGAGAGATGAGGAAAAAATTAGATGTGCCACACAATTAGCCCAGTGTATTATCTGGAGAAAGTTTCCAGACTGAAGTGCAGTGAGGAGAAACTGAGGTGGAATCAGCAGTCTCTCTGGGTGGAGCTAAAGCTGGAAGTTCAAGGAGGCCAAGATAGCTGTGGTTGACAGGGCAGAGGAGCGGACAAAGACATTACAAGAAAACTACAGACCAATATGTCTCATGAACATTGATGCAAAAATCCTCAGCAAAATATTAGCAAGAATGTATAGAAAGAATTATAAAGTATGCCTGAGTGGGATTTATTCCAGATATGTAAGGTTGACTCAACATTTGAAAATGAAGTAATATAATCAATCACATGAACAGGTTAAAGAAAAATATGATGCAATCATATCAGTGGGTCCAGAGAAACCATTTTGCAAAATCCAAAACCATTTATGGCTTAAAAAAAAAAAAATTTCAGCAAATTAAAAATAGAGAATAATTTCCTCAACTTGATTTAAAAAAAAAATAAAGAACCCAAAGCTAACTTTATATATATATATATTTATTATTATTGTTATTTGAGATGGCATCTCCCTGTGACACTCAGGCTGGAGTGCAATGGCACAAGCTCAGCTTACTGCAACCTCCACCTCCCGAGTTCAAGTAATTCTCCTGCCCCAGCCTCCCAAGTAGCTGGGGCTACAGGCGCACACCATCACGTCCGGCTAATTTTTGTATTTTTAGTAGAGATGTGGTTTCACCATATTTGCCAGGCTGCTCTCAAACTCCTGACCTCAAGTGATCCACCTGCCTCGGCCTCCCAAAGTGCTGGGATTACAGGAGTGAGCCACCGCGCCCTGCCACTTTATATTTAATAGTGATAAACTTGAAGCTTTCCTGCTAAGATCAGGAACATGACAAGAATGTCCCCGATTACCACTCCTTTTCACATATTATACTGGAAGTCCTAGCTAATGCAAGAAGACAGAAAAAAAAAGGCATACAAACTGGAAGTGAAGAGAAACTGTCTTTGTGCACAGATGACATGATTGTAGAGAAAATCTGAACAACAAAACTTCTGGGAACTAATAAGTGATTTCATAGCAAGGTTTCAGGATATAAAGTTAATATGTAAAAGCCAATCACATTTTATATACCAGTAATGAAAAAGTGAAATTTGAGATTAAAAACTCATTACTATTTAAATTAGCACCAAAAAAAATGAGCTCCTCAGATAAATCTACCAAAGTATGTGCAAGATCTACAAAAGGAAAACTACAAAACTCTGATGAAAGGAATCAAAAAGAAAAAAGAAATAAATTGAAAAATATGCCATGTTGAAGGATAGGAAGACTCAGTACTATCAAGATGTCAGTTTAATAGATTTAATACAATCCCAATCAAAATCCCAACAAGTTGTTTTATGGATATGAGTGAACTAATTTTATTATCTATAGGGACAGGCAAGAGATTCAACTCAATATTGAAGGAGAAGACAAAGTCCAAAGACTGATACTACCTGACTTCAAGACTTACAATATAGTGGCAGTAATTACCACAGTGTGATATTGGTGAAAAAAAAAACAGTTCAGTGGAACATAACAGAGAGCCCAGAAATAGACCCACATAAATAGAGTCAACTGATCTTTGACAAAGGAGCAAAGGCAATACAATGGAGAAGAGATAACCTTTTCAACAAATGGCAATGCAACAACTGGTTATCCACATGCAAAAAAAATAAATCTAGACACAGATCTTACACCCTTCAGAAAAATGAACTCTAAATGGCTCATAGACCTAAATGTGAAATGTGAAGCTTTAAAACTTCTAGAAGACACCATAGAAGAAAACCTAGATGAACTTGGGTAGGGTGATGGTTTTTTATATACAACACCAAAGGTTCAATTTATGAAAGAAGTAATTGATAAACAGGACTTCGTTAATATTTAAAAATTTCTGCTCTGTAAAAGACAAGAGAATATGAAGACAAGTCACAGACTATGAAAAAATATTTGCAAGAGACACATCTGATAAAGGACTGTTAAAATATGCAAAGAACTTCTAAACTTCATCAATAAAAAAATGAACAATCTGATTAAAGATTGGGCAAAAGACCTAAACAGCCACCCCACAAGAATTATATATGGCAAATAAGCATATAAAAGGACATTCAACATAATATGTCATCAGGGAAATGCAAATCAAAACAATGAGATGACTACATACTTATTATAATGCTCAAAATCTAAAACATTGACAACACGAAATGCTGACAAAGATGCGGAGGAACAGAAACTTCTTCACCACTTATGCTGGTGGTAATGCAAAAGAGTACAGCCAATCTGTTTGGAAGACAGTTTGGCAGTTTCTTACAAAATTAAACATACTTTTACCATGTGATTCAGCATTCACACTCCTTGGTGTTTATTTATATAAATCAAAATCTGCACTTACAAAAATCTACAGATGGATGTTTATAGCAGCTTTATTCATAATTGTCAAAACTTGGAAGCCACAAAGATGTTACTTTTTGAGCAAACAGATAAACTGTGGCACATCCATCCAGACAGTGAAATATTATTCAGTACCATAAAAAGACATGAAGGAGAAACCCTAAATGCATATTACTAAGTGAAAGAAGCCAATCGGAAAAGGCTAAGTACTTCATGACTCCAACTATATGACATTCAGGAAAAGGCAAAACTTTGTGCCATGGAGGCAGTAAGAAGAACAGTGATCGCCAAGGGTAAGAGGAAGGGAAAAACGAATAGGAAGAGCACAGAGGATTTTTCGGGTAGTGTAACTGAACATCCACATGCCAAACATTTGATGAATCTATACACAGAACTTATACCTTTCACAAAAATTATTTCTAAATAGATTATAGACTAGATGTAAAACACAAAACTTCATATTACACTATAATGGTAGATAAATGTCATTATTCTTTTTGGACTTTCATCCAAACTCCTATGATGTATAATACCAAGAGTGAAACCTAATGTAAACTGTAAACTTTGGATAATAATAATATGCCCACGTAAGTTCGTCAATTTTACCAAAGGTGCCACTACCATGTGGGATCCAAAACAATCTCAATCAAAATTTCAGCATGTTTTTTGTGGTAGAAATTGATATGCCGATTCTAAAATTCATATGGAATATAAATGAGGAGATTCAAAACAACTTTCAAAAACAGCAGATTCAGAAGACTTATGGTACTTGACTTCAAAACTTATTATCAAACTATGGCAAAAAAGACAGTGTGGTATTGGCATCAAGATAGACAAACAATTATAGAACAGCATAGAGAATCTAAAAATAGACCCACAGTTGTTTTTCTGCAAAGACATAAAGTAAATTTAATATAGTCTTTTCATCAATTAATACTGGAATAATTATATATGCATGTTTTTTAAAAAAACAGCTTCTATTAATATATTGCATTATATACAAAAATGGATACAAATTATAGATATAAGCATAAGATAAAAAATGAAATTTCTAGTGAAAGCATAGGAAAAAAATCTTTGTAGCCTTGGTTAGACAATAATTTTTTGTAACAGCTTTTTTTTTTTTTTTTTTTGAGACAGAGTCTCACTCTGTCATCCAGGCTGTAGTACAGTGGTGTGATCTCAGCTTACCGCAACCTCCGCCTCCCAGGTTCAAGCGATTCTCCTGCCTCAGCCTCCCAAGTAGCTGGGATTACAGGCATCTGCCACTACAACCAGCTAATTTTTATACTTTTAGTAGAGATGGGATTTCACCATGTTGGCCATGCTGGTCTTGAACTCCTGACCTCAGGTGATCTGCCCATCCTGGCCTCCCAAAGTTCCGGGATTACAGGTGTGAGCCACTGTGCCCAGACAACAGCTTTATTAAGATATAATTTACATATAAATTTGGAAAAGGATATTGTATTAGTCACTGTTCTCTAGAGGGATAGGACTAATAGGATAGATGTATATATGAAAGAAAGTTTAATAAGGAGTATTGACTCACACCATCACAACGTGAAGTCTCACAATAGTGAGAGGTGACAGCGTGCTGACAGTCCTCAGAGCCCTTGCTCGCTCTCAGCGCCTCCTCTGCCTGGGCTCTCACTTTGGCGGCACTTGAGGAGCCCTTCAGCCCACCGCTGCACTGTGGGAACCCCTTTCTGGGCTGGCCAAGGCCACAGCCTGCTCTGTCAGCTTGCAGGGAGGTATGGAGGGAGAGGAGCCAACGGGAACTGGGGCTGCGCACGGCGCTTGCGGGCCAGCTGGAGTTCCGGGTGGGCGTGGGCTTGGCGGCCCCGCACTCGGAGCAGCCGGAGGGCCCTGCCGGCCCGGGCAATGAGAGGGTTAGCACCCGGGCCAGCGGCTGCAGAGGGTGTACTGGGTCCCCCAGCAGTGCCGGCCCGCTGGCGCTGCGCTTGATTTCTAGCGGGACCTTACCTGCCTTCCCGCGCGGCAGGGCTCGGGACCTGCAGCCCGCCATGCCTGAACCTCCCACCCAATCCGTGGGCTCCTGTGCGGCCCGAGCCTCCTCGATGAGCGCCGCCCCCTGCTCCACGGCGCCCAGCCCCATGGACCACCCAAGGGCTGAGGAGTGTGGGCGCACTGCACAGGGACTGGCAGGCAGCTCCACCTGCAGCCCCAGTGAGGGATCCACTGGGTGAAGCCAGCTGGGCTCCTGAGTCTGGTGGGGACATGGAGAACCTTCATGTCTAGCTCAGGGATTGTAAATACACCAATTAGCACTCTATCTAGCTCAAGGTTTGTAAACACACCAATCAGCACCCTGTGTCTAGCTCAGGGTTTGTGAATGCAACAATCGACACTCTGTATCTAGCTATTCTGGTGGGGCCTTGGAGAACCTTTGTGTCCATACTCTGTATCTAACTAATCTGGTGGGGGTGGAGAACGTTTGTGTCTAGCTCAGGGAGTGTAAAGGTACCAATCAGCGCCCTGTCAAAACAGACCACTCAGCTCTACCAATCAGCAGGATGTGGGTGGGGCCAGATAAGAGAATAAAAGCAGGCTGCCCAGCGAGCAGTGGCAACTCGCTCGGGTCCCCTTCCACACTTTGGAAGCTTTGTTCTTTTGTCTTTGCAATAAATCTTGCCACTGCTCACTCTTTGGGTCCACACTGCTTTTATGAGCTGTAACACCGCGAAGGTCTGCAGCCTCACTCCTGAAGCCAGCGAGACCGCGAGCCCACCGGGAGGAACGAATAACTCCAGACGTGCTGCCTTAAGAGCTGTAACACTCACCGCAAAGGTCTGCAGCTTCACTCCTAAAGCCAGCGAGACCACGAACCCACCAGAAGGAAGAAACTCCAAACACATCCGAACGTCAGAAGGAACAAACTCCAGACGCGCCACCTTAAGAGCTGTAACACTCACCGCGAGGGTCCGCGGCTTCATTCTTGAAGTCAGTGAGACCAAGAGCCCACCAATTTCAGACACAATAGGACGTCTGCAAGCTGAGGAACAAGAAAGCCAGTCCAAGTCCCAAAACCTCAAAAGTAGGGAAGCCAGCAGTGCAGCCTTCCATCTGTGGCTTAAGGTCCAAGAGACACTGGCAAACCACTGGTGTGAGTCCAGAAGCTGAAGAACTTGGAGTCTGATATACAAGGGCAAGAAGCATCCAGCATGGGAGAAAGATGAAGGCCAGAAGACTCAGCAAGTCTGCTCCTTCTATCTTCTTCTGCCTGTTTTAGTCTAGCTGTGCTGGCAGCTGAATAGATGTGCCCACCCAGATTGGGGATGGGTCTGCCTCTCCCAGTCCACTGACTCAAATGTTAATCTCCTTTGACAACACCCTCACAGACACACCCACAAATATTCTTTGCATCCTTCAACCCAATCGAGTTGACACTCAATACTAACCATCACAGACACAATTCAGCCCATAGCACCAAGTGTGTAGGCAAGGATGTGAAACAACTTGAACGCTCACAGCTGGTAAGAATATGAAATGGTATAAGCACTTAAGGGAAATAGTTTAGGGATATTTTTAAAAGTTAAGCAAGAGTCAGTCACAGTGATATGTGCTGATAGTCCCAGCTTCTAGAGAGGCTGAGGTAGGAGGACACCTTGAGCCCAGGAGTTGATGACCAGGCTGGGCAGCATCACAAGATTCCTCCATCTCTACAAATAAATGAATTAATTAAAAGTTAAACATACACCAGCTATATGTATGATCTATCACCTATGTGTAAGTATGCACCAGCCATTTCTAGATATTGCTCAGGAGAAATGAAAGCATATGTCCTATACAAAGACATGTACATAAGGTTAATTGCGCCCCAAATGTTAATTAACAGATAAATGGATAAACACACTGTGGTATAGCCACATGGTGAGTACCACCCACCAATGATCATTCACTGTTAGTATATACAAATACAGTTGTTCTTCACATGTTGATCTTGTATCCTTCAACCTTGCTAAACTCACTTATTCACAACTGAACAGTTGATGTACCCAAAACAGATGAGTATGTGTAGTGTTGTGTTGAGTGAGTAAATAAGACAAAGGAGAGTTGTGTGTTCCATGATTCCACTCATACCAACTTAAAAATGCAAACTAGGCTGGGCGCCATGGCTCATGCCTATAATGCCAGCACTTTGGGAGGCCGAGGCAGGCGGATCACCTGAGGTCAGGAGTTTGAGACCAGCCTGACCAACGTGGAGAAACCCCATTTCTACAAAAAATACACAATTAGCCGGGCATGGTAGCACATGCCTCTAATCCCGGCTACTCGGGAGGCTAAGACAGGAGAATCGCTTGAACCCAGGAGGCAGAGTTTGCAGTGAGCCGAGATAGCACCATTGAACTCCAGCCTGGGCAACAAGAGCGAAACTCCGTCTCAAAAAAAAAAAAAAAGCAAACTGTTCTGTACTGATGGACATCAGACAGCAATTGCCAGCAGATGGGGGTATAGTGCGAAATAACAGGAGGAAGAAAACACAAAAGCACATAGAAACTTTTGGAGGTGGTAGATACATTTGTCACTCTGATGCAGTGATGGTTTTATGGTACACAGTTGTCAAAATTTTTCATGTTGTACATTTTGAATATGTGCAATTTATTGTATGTCTATTATACCTCAATAACTATTTAGACTTTTAAAAACATATGTGCATACTTTAAAATATTTCTTCAGCTTTCCTCATTTTAATGGCCTTTCAAAAAAGAGCTAACATGGGAAAGGAACCACCATATTTACAAAAAGCAAGAATAAATGAGAGTGTATGGTGAGCCCAAGTACAGGATCAATCTAAATCTAATGCTTCAGTGTTTTGAACTTCAATAAAATCTTACATCTGGCACAGACATCATAAAAGCTTTAAAACTTCTGGTACATCAAATACTTCAAGAAGAAATATTTTGATAACTATATTTTTAAAATAAAGAAAATAGAGACATTCTGTTTTTCTTAACATACGCATGTGTTTTAAAAGGGGAGCATAAACTTGATATTTTTGTGGAAGGTTTCCTGGATACATAACATTGTACAGCCTAAAATACCAAAAATGTAGCTATTTAGTCCAATTCAGCAAATGTAACATGGAAATAAAATATTTCCACTTACCTTTTGAATAAAGAATATTGAAAAAGAAATAGAAGACAAGATTTTCAGTGTGGATTGAACAGATAATGATTAGATTAATTCAGTCTTAAGTTATTCATGGGGCCTACATTAGTTTCATCTTCAAATAAATAAATTCTTAGCTTTCAAAATTCTCTTTGGTCCGGAAAAAGATAAGGATCCACATTCTTCCCCTCATAGATCTTCTAATTTTTCATAGTATTTCATGTATCACCACACTGGCAGAAAATAAATATCCAGAGTAGTATGTATCGCAATACTGGCAGTGCCCACAGCAAGAACACTAGATAATCTTTTTTTCTGAAGTATTTATGTGAACTGTGTTCTAATTGAGGTCAATTTTGATATGCAATTGATCAGACAAATTATCCATATACATTAGCTGGACAGCAAAAGTGATGAACAAGTCTTCCCTTAGCTCCTATTATATATAATCACACAGCAATTAAAGAAGCCAAAAGGTAGCAGGAAGAGATTTAAATTTTGACTCAAAGAATATGGATTTGCATTCTAGTCTTGCTGGTTTCTAATTCTGTGATCTTGAAAAAAATCAGATTTTATAAATTTCTGTTTCTGACCTGAGAAATGAGAATGATGAACATCTATAACTTACTGTGCATATTTAATTTGGCAAAGTATAGGTAATTTTTAAGTGACAAAGCATCATGCATATACATACATAAGGTATTGTTATCTGACTAGTAGAGAAAACAGAAGAGCGTAGATTCCTCTTTTAGGTCTAACTTCCTTCAGTTAATAGATTCATGAATCATTGCTCATTTTTATTGAGGATAACTCCTGTATTTCCCTTAAAAAGTGCCTGGAGGGGGAGGCTGAGGTGGGCGGATCATGAGGTCAGGAGATCGAGACCATCCTGGCTAACACGGTGAAACCCCGTCTCTACTAAAAATACAAAAAATTAGCCGGGCGCGGTGGTGGGCGCCTGTAGTCCCAGCTACTCGGGAGGCTGAGGCAGGAGAATGGCGTGAACCCGGGAAGCGGAGCTTGCAGTGAGCCGAGATTGCGCCACTGCAGTCCGCAGTCCGGCCTGGGCGACAGAGCGAGACTCCGTCTCAAAAAAAAAAAACAAAAAAAACAAAAAAACAAAAAAATAATAATAAAATAAAATAAAATATAGCCCAGCAAGTATATTATATTATCCATAGGTTGTAATTGCCCTAATAAACATACAGTCTAGATAAGCTTAGAACTTTAACATCTTAGAATAGAACTATATCATTTTTCCAAAAGAGGATGGATCCTGCTGCCACCACCCTATGAAGTGGTTGGCTGGCACCACCCATCAGAGTGCTGTGAACAGCAATCCAGTAACACCTTGACCCCTCCACCACAGCAGGTTCCTAATCTCAAGGAGCCAGAGAGCAAAGCCAGGGGCCAGTTCCAGTCCCCCAGAATTAGAGCACACAGTCCAGAAGTCCTGAGCTAAGCCTTGGTACCCCCCACAAAATCTTCCAGAAATGAAGCCATTTGACTGAACTCACCTTATACCATGATCAAATCCCAAAGGTCATCAAATAGGATACAGGAAAAAAAAATCAAACAGACTGCAACTTCAAAGATTGAAGGAACATCAGCCCACAAAGATGAGAAAGAACCAGTGAAAGAACTCTGACAACTGAAAAAGCCAGAGTGCCTCATTTCCTCCAAATGATCACACTAGCTCTCCAACAAGGGTTCTTAACCAGACTCAGATGGCTGAAATGACAGAAATAGAATTCAGAATATGAATAGGAATGAAGATCATCAATATTCAGGAGAACATTGAAACCCAGTCAAAGGAAGCTAAGAATAACAATAAAATAATTCAGGAGCTGACAGATAAAATAGCCGGTACAGAAAAGAACATAACCAATCTGATAGAGCCAAAAGACAAGCTACAAGAATTTAATAATGTAAATGCAATTATTAACACCAGAACAAACAAAGCTGAGAAAATAACCACAGAGCTTGAAGACTGGCTTTCTGAAATAACGTAGACAAAAATATAGAAAAAATAATGAAAAGGAACAAACAAAAACTCCAAGAAATATGTGATTATGTAAAGAGAACAAATCTATGACTTATTGGTGTCCCTGGAAGAGGTGAGGAGAATGGAAGCGACTTTGAAAACATTTCAGAATATCATCCACAAGAACTTCCCCAACCTAGCTAGAGAGTCCAACATTCAAATTCAGGAAATGCAGAGAACCCCCACAAGATATTTCACAAGACGATATTGCCCAATAAAAATAATCATCAGATTTGCCAAGATCAAAGCAAAAGAAAAAAATATTAAAGGCAGCTAGAGAGAAAGAACCACAGCAGACCTTTCAATGAAACCCTACAAGCCAGAAGAGACTGGGGCCTATATTCAGCATTCTTAAAGAAAACAAATTTCAACCAAGAATTTCATATCCAGCCAAACTAAGCTTCATAAGCGAAGGAGAAATAAGATCCTTTTTAGACAAGCAAACACTGAGTGAGGGACTTTGTTACCACCAGACATGCCTTATAAGAGTTCCCAAGAGAAGCACTAAATATGGAAAGACCATTACCAGCCAGGCACTACAAAAACACACTTAAGCACACAGACCAGTGACACTATAAAGCAATCACACAAACAAGCCAGCCTAATAACAAGGTAACAACATGATAACAGGATCAAATCCACACACACCAATACTAACCTTGAATGTGAATGGGCTAAATGCACCATTTAAAAGGGACAGACTAGCAAGCTGGATAAAAAAGCAAGACCCAATAGTATTCTATCTTCAAGAGACCTATTTCACATGCAATGACACCCATAGGCTCAAAATAAAAGGATGGAGAAAAATCTAACAAGCAAATGGAAAACAGAAAAAGGCAAGGGTTGCAACTGTAATTTCAGACAAAACTGACTTTAAACCAACAAATATCAAAAAAGACAAAGAAGGGCATTATATAATGGTAAAGGGTTCAATTCAACAAGAAGGCCTAACTATCCTGAGAATATATCCAGACAACACAGGAGCACTCAGATTCATAGGCAAGTTCTTAGAGACCTCCAAGGAGACTTAGACTCCCACACAATAATAGTGGGAGACTTCAACACCCTGCTGACAGTGTTAGACAGATCATCAAGGCAGAAAATTAACAAAGATATTCAGGATAAGAATTCAACACTGATAATGAACCTGATAGACATCAGTCCATTCTCTGATAGATATCAGTCCATTCTCTCCACTCATTACAGAATATACATTAACATTGCTACATGGCATGTACTCTAAAATTAACCATATAATTGGACATAAAACAATCCTCAGCAAAGCACACACAAAAAAACATATCAAACACACTCTCAGACCACAGCACAATAAAAATGGAAGTCAACACAATGAAAATAACTTAAAACCATATAACTGCATGGAAATTAAACCACCTGCTCCTGATTGACTTTGGGACAAATAATGAAATTAAGGCAGAAATCAGGAAGTTCTTTGAAACTAATGGAACAAAGATACAACATACCAGAATCCCTGGGACACAGCTAAGCCATATTAAGAAAATTTGTAGCACTAAATGCCCACATCAAAAAGTTAGAAATATGTGAAATTAACAACCTAACATTACAACTAAAAGAACTAGAGAAGCAAGAGCAAACCAACTCCAAGGCTAGCAGAAGACAAGGAATAACCAAAATCAGAGCTGAACTGAAAGATATTGAGACACACACAAAAAATTCAAAACAAGCTGGTTTTTTGAAAAAATTAAACACATACACTGCTAGCTAGACTAATACAGAAGAAAGGGAGAAGATTCACATAAACACAATTAGAAACAGCAAACAGGATGTTACCACTGACCCAAGAGAAATACAAATAACCACCAGACACTTCTATGAACACCTCTGTGCACACAAACTAGAAAATCCAGAAAAAAAAATGATTTTCTGGAGACATACACCCTCGCAAGCCTGAACCAGGAGGAAGAAATTGAATACCTGAACAAACAAATAAGGAGCTCTAAAATTGAATCAGTAACAAATAGCCTACCAACCAACCAAAAAAAAAAAAAAAAAAAAAAAAAGCAAGAAAAGAAAGCCCACTACCTAATGGATCCACAGCCGAATTCTGCCAGATGTGCAAAGAAGAGCTGGGACAAAGAAAAGTTTCCTACTGAAACTATTCCAAAATATTGAGGACAGTCTCCTCTCCAACTTATTCTATGAGGCTAGCATCATCCTCATACCATAACCTGACAGAGATACAACAAAAAAAGAAAAATTCAAGCCAATATCCTTGATGAACATCAATGCAAAAATCCTCAACAAAATAATTGCAAATGGAATCCAGCAGCATATCAAAAAACTAATCCACCACAATAAAGTAGGCTCTATCCCTGGGATGCAAAGTTGGTTCAACATACACAAATCAATAAATATGATTCATCACATAAAAAGAACTAAAGACAAAAACTACATAATTATCTCAATAGTTACAGAAAAAATTTGATAAAAATTAAACATACCTTCATGTTAAAAACTAAATAAACTAGGAATTGAAGGAACTTACCTCAAAATAATAAGAGCAATCTTTGCAAACCCACAGCCAACATCATCCTGGATGGGGAAAAGCTGTAAGTATTCCCCTTGAAAACTGACAAAGACAAGGATGCCCTCTTTCATCACTCATATTCAACTCAGTATTGGAAGTCCTGGCCAGAGCAATTAGGCAAGAGAAAGAAGTAAAGGACATCTAAATAGGAAGAGAGAAAGTCAAACTATCCCTGTTTGCAGATGACGTGATTCTATATCTAGAGAGCCCCATAGTCACACCCAAAAAGCTCTGTAAGCTGATAAACAACTTCAGCAATGCTTCAGGATACAAAATTGGTAAACCAAAATTACTAGCATTCCTACACACCAACAACAGCCAAGCCAACAGCCAAACAAGAACACAATCCCATTCACAATTGCCAAAAAAATGAATAAAATACCTAGGTATACAGCTAACCAGGGAGGTAAAAAATCTCCACAAGGAGAACTACAAAACACTGCTCAGGGCTGGGCACAGTGGCTCACACCTATA
Source organism: Homo sapiens (assembly GCF_000001405.40). Lineage (NCBI taxonomy): Eukaryota > Metazoa > Chordata > Mammalia > Primates > Hominidae > Homo > Homo sapiens. The sequence continues at coordinate 106,517,267 of NC_000004.12, read as the reverse complement.
ATACCAGCACTTAGGGAGGCTGAGGCAGGCAGATCACCTGAGGTCAAGAGTTCGAGACCAGCCTGGCCAACATGGCAAAACCCTGTCTCTACTAAAAATATAAAAATTAGCTGGGTATAGCGGCATGCGCCTGTAATCCTCCCAGCTACTCAGGAGGCTGAGGTAGGAGAATCACTTGAACCTGGGAGGCAGAGGTTGCAGTGAGCCCAGATCACACCACTGGACTCCAGCCTGGGCAACAGAGTGAGGCTCTGTCTCAAAAAAACAAAAACAAAAACAAAAAACAACAACAACAAAAAAAACTGCTCAAAGAAATCAGAGATGACACAAACAAATGGAAAAACATGCCATGCTTATGGATGGAAAGAATATTATTAAAATGGCCACAGTGCCCAAAGCAATTTGCAAATTCAATGCTATTTCTGTCAAACTACTCATGACATTCTTCACAGAACTAGAAGAAAACTATTTTAAAATTCATATGGAACCAAACGAGAGCCTGAATAGCCAAGGCAATACTAAGCAAAAAGAGCAAAGCTGGAGGCATCATGTTACCCAACTTCAAACTATGCTACAGGGCTACACTAACCAAAACAGCATGGTACTGGTCAAAAATAGGCACAACAGCCAAGCCAACAGCCAAACAAGAACACAATCCCATTCACAATTGCCAAAAAAATGAATAAAATACCTAGGTATACAGCTAACCAGGGAGGTAAAAAATCTCCACAAGGAGAACTACAAAACACTGCTCAGGGCTGGGCACAGTGGCTCACACCTATAATAGAGAGTCCAGAATAGAGAGTCCAGAAATTAGGCTGCACACCTACAACTGTCTGATCTTCAACAAAGCTGACAAAAACAAGCAATGGGCAAAGCTCTCTGTTCATTAAATGGTGCTGGAATAACTGACTAGCTATACCCAGAAAATTGAAACTGAACCCCTCCCTTTATGTCGTATACAAAAATTAACTGAAAATGAATTAAAGACTTAAATGTAGAACCTAAAACTATAAAAACCCTAGAAGACAACCTAGGCAATATCATTCTGGACATAGGAACAGGCAAAGGTTTTATTAAAAAAGACAAAAGCAATTGCAACAAAATCAAAAATTGACAAATGGGATTTAATTAAACTAAAGAGCTTCTGCACAGCAAAAGAAACTATCGACATAGTAAACAGACAACCTACAGAATAGAAGAAAATTTTTGCAATCTATCCATCTGACAAAGGTCTAATATCCAGCATCTATATGAACTTAAACTTACAAGAAAAAAACCATTAAAAAGTGAGTAAAGGACATGAACAGACACTTCTCAAAACAAGACATACATGCAGCCAAAAAGCATGTGAAAGAAAGCTCAACATCACTGATCATTGAAGAAATCAAAACCACAATGAGATACCATCTCACACCAGTCAGAGTGGCTACTATTAAAAAGACAAAAAAAAAAAAAAAAGATGCTGATGAGGTTGCAGAGAAAAGGTAATGTTTATAGAGTGCTGGTGGGAATGTAAATTAGTTCAACCATCGTGGAAAGCAGTGTAGCAATTCCTTATAGAGCTAAGAACAGAATTACCATTCAACCTAACAATTCCATTACTGGGTATGTACCCAAAGGAATATACATCATTCTATCATAAAGACACATGCATTTGTATGTTCATTGCAGCACTATTCACAATAGCAAGGACATGGAATCAACCTAAATTCCCATCAATGGTAAACTGGATAAAGAAAATATGGTACATCTACCCCATGGAATACTATGCAGCCATAAGAGGGAACAAGATCATGTCCTTTGCAAGGACATGGATGGAGCTGGAGACCATTATCCTTAGCAAACTAAAGCACGAACAGAAAACCAAATATCACATGTTCTCACATGTAAGTGGGAGTTAAATGATGAGAATTCATGAACACAAAGAGGGGATCAAGGGTCCCCTGAGGATCTACCTGAGGATCAAGGGTGGGACGAAGGAGAAGATCAGAAAAAATAGCTATTTGGTACTAGGCTTAGTACCTGGGTGACAAAATAATCTGTACAACAAGCCCCTGTGACAAGAGTTTACCTATATTACAAACCTGTACTTGTACTCCTGAACCTACAATAAAAGTTAAAAAAGAAAAAGGATCTGCTTCATGTACATATGGACAATAGCCAATGATGAGCTGAAGCTGGTTGGTACCAACTTGTAAGAGATGATTTTTTGCATCTCTTTCCCATTTTCATGTGCAGTGATGGTAGCTTAAAATTAAATAGGTCAGTAGCACTTTAATAACTGTGTCTGGGGACTCTTACTTCAACCATCCAACCACCCAGTTTTCCACCCATCTGCCCATCTGTCCTTCCATACATCTATCCATTCATGCATCTATTCACCCATCCATCATCCATCTATCTATCCATTCAACTGCCCATACTTATATCTCTATCTATACATCATCTATACATCTACTAACTACATCAGAAGTTGGCGGCTTAAAAATCACTCCATGAATATTGGCAAATGCTAAAATTATGAGCTTCTTGTTTTCTGAAAAGTTATGTATTAAGCATTCACCAGCACAACACTGGCAATAATCTAGTAATTACTCCCTTCCTCTGAAGTGAGGGGTAGAATTTTGAGGGGGGATAAAGGGGAAAAATGGATACAAGTTTTATCCATAAATCCTAGTGCAAAATAAATAAATAAACATTGTTTGTCATAACTAAATTTTTTTTCTTTTTGGTCCCATTCTGCCAAATAATCTCAATTTTCATCACCCTTCCCCTGGAGTTACACCTAAATTTGACTTCATAACATCACAGTGTGGAACAGAGAGGTCATACAGCTGATCGTTGGTGGTATCAAATATACATATTGGCATCTCATCTGTTAATACTTATGCCCATCTTTGGTTCCATTACTGATTTACTCGGGTCATTGTTGGCCACTTCTGCCACATGGGAAATATTCTACTGCTCCCATCAGCTCTGAGCCTCAGTAAAACATATGAGGCCAACTCAGAAAAATCTGCCCAGACACTCTCCACCAGACTCCTATTTTCCTAGGATTTACCTGGGATTGTATGGGAAAGTTGGTCACACGGGATTCCTGCTTGAGATTCCTGCTTCTCCGATTTGTCTGAGGGTTTCTCCTCAGACAAATAGCTTTCTCCTTCCCTTGGAATGTAGCAGTACCCTTTCCATGGGATCCATCAGCACGAAGTGATTTATTCTCCCTTATCCTAGGAATGTTTTTCAGTTAGATTTTAAAAAAAGAAGTTTTTCTTTTATAGCACCATGGATTTTAGATTTCCTGAGTTCTTTAGCACCTGCATTTTTATAATTGAAAACTAAAGATTGAGATATCTTAAAAGGACTCTTTGTTTTCTTTTGTTTTTCTGCTTTGTGTTTCTTGCCTGCAGTGAAGGCGTCTGACTGTATGGGTGAAATGCTAAGAGGTGAAAGTAAAAATAAGTATAGAGAACTGCAAGTGCATTTGATAAAACTTCAAATAATCATATCATACCACATTTGCTTCAACACATTCTCTTGTAAGACAAAGGCAGAAATCTCTTAAAATAATTACATGGCTTATATTTTATAGGTGGTAGTAAAGTCCTGTAAGGGGTTATGAACAGAATTTGGGCAGGAAACAAGTGAACTGGTAATAATTAGGTCCAGGAATATCTAATGTAAAATACAATCTGGCACCTGCGTCACTGAGGGATCGTTAAGGAGACAAGAATAGCTGCATGCATTAGAAGGCAGAACAAACAAAACAACTCATTTTTGTTTTATATATTCCACATGTAATCTCCTTACCTTTTTCTCCCAGATCCTTGAAAAGTAGAGTGAGAGAATAGGTCTCAGGGTGCACATAAAAGTTGTCTTTTTTACTTTCCATTTTAAAAACTAGCATTGGAGGATTTTATTTATATATAATTAAAATTGTGAGACATCATAGAAGCTCATTAAATGCTGAAATTCAGTAATGTATTTGAGTGGTCAGAATATCTTAAATCAAATTTCTCCCTAATATCTCCCTTTTCTGAAAAATGTATTCACATTCTACTGATATCAGATGCACAACTTTTGGTACCCTTTCCTAAACATTCTAATTAAATTCACAGCTTCTTCTAACTTCCATTACCTTACAAGATGATAATCGTTGTAAATGTGAGTTTAATATGTTATTTCACTTCCAAACGAAAGACAATGCCACATAGAGCTTTCTAAACAAAAGAACTGATGCTAATCCCATACTATTCCAAAAGGTGGATGCATTCAAATACATCTGTTAAACTTTCTCACAAAGACAAATTATGCAAGATTTGGCCAAGGAAGGACAGAAAACATAACATGGAAAATCCCCTACATGATTACAGTATTCCTCTAGAGCATTTTTACTTTTAATTTATGACTTTGCACCTTCCATAAAAACTATTGGGAAGAAGTTCTTGGAGGCACACTTACTTTTTTGAATGTAAATCTGTAAATAACGCAATATATTCCAGGAAAAATTATGGGACAATATGCATTACTTAAATTAACTCCAAGACTTTCATTAACTCGTGGTAGGAATGTAAATTAGTCCAAGCATTGTGGAAAACAATTTGGAGATATCTCAAAGAACTAAAAATAGAACTACCATTCAACCCAGCAATCCCATGACCAGGTATATACCCAAAGGAAAATAAATCATTCTACTAAAACAGCACCAACACTCATACGTCTATCACAGCACTGTTCATAAAAGCAAAGTCATGCAATCAACGTGGGTGCCAATCAATGGTGAACTGGATAAACAAAATGTGGTACATTTATGCCATGGAATATTATGCAGCCATAAAAAAGAATAAAATCATGTCCTTTGCAGAAACATGGATGTAGCTGGAGGTCATTATCCTAAGGGAATTAATGCAGAAACAGAAAACCAAATATCACAATGTTCCCACGGATAAGTAGGAAGCAAACATTGGGTACATGTGGACATAAAGATGGGAATGATGAACAGTGGCAACTCCAAAAGCAGGGAGCTAGAAAGGGAAGCCAGGGTTAAAAAATACTTTCTATTGGTACTATATTCACTATCTGGGTGATAGCATTAATAGAAGCCTAAACCCCAGCATCACACAATATTCCCTTGTGACAAACCTGAGCATGTAAACCCTGAATTTAAAATCTAAATTGAAAAAATGACAAGATAAGTTTACGGATACTGTTATTATCAAGTTATCTTAGAAAAAATATCTCAACGTTGGATCTTAAATACACAGGTTTTGTACATCAGTTATAGAAACTGGAGGTTATATTAGTCCAACTCTATAACTCTTGGCAAAGACTCTTACATCTTAAAATCGCAGAGTAGCATTAAGTTCAAGCAGAATAGCATTCAGAAGATAACCATGTTTGTCTTATAAATTCTCTGAGTCTTGTTAAATAAGATATTTACTTATTATCAATGCTTATAAAGCAATTAAAATTCTTTCTGGCACATGTTATTACTGATTTAAACAAATTTACTGGTTAAAGAGAAAACGTGGTTTTGGAGACAAATCTGGCTATCAATCCCAATGTGTTCACTTGATAGCTGTGTGAATTTAAACATATTACATGAAAATTTTTAGACATCAGTTTCCTCATCTGTAAAACAGGTATAAATTCAAATGGACTGTAAGATTATTGTATAAAATGTGTGTGTAAAACAACTAACAGGGTGGCCAACCCAGACTAAGTACTAGCTCAACACATTCTATCTTATCTTGTTTCCCTTCATGCATAAAAGTCATGTTGAGAAAATGACAAAAACACAAATTTTACCCATCATTCAGCTCTAAAAATCTACTTTGGAGTACCTGCTTAGCCCACCTTTTCTAGACAATAGAGCCTGAGGCAAAGCTTGAGTATTGATGCTTGACCAGGAAATGAGAGTAGCAAAAAGACATATGAGGCAAGAAACAATGGGAAGTAAATACATGATGCATTAATCGACGTTCTTGCTTTATGAAAAGACACAAGCCTTCTCTATGTTACTTGCAAAATTAACAGGCCCCAGAGTGACATCATGCCCTAGAATGAACATTAGAAAGGAAATGGAGAAAGTATAATAATAATAAAATTAAAAAATATACATATTTAAATAATCACGTTTAAGATTAAAAAAAGAAAGAAAGAAAGGAAATGGAGAGGGACTTTACCTGTCTGCTTCTACCATCTTTCATTGAGCAATATTTGTACATGGGTAGTTCCAGGTTTTATGTGACAGTTGAGACAATGGAACTTCCCAGATGCTCATGAGGAGTCGGTCTCCTCCAACAGCAGCCGAAGTTAAGCAAAGTGCCAAGGTCTCTAGAGACAGGTTAACCTGAAAGAATTTGAAGCAACATGTAAGAGGTGTGAAATAATATATCTACGGTTACCACCATCTTGTATTCAAATTTCACTTGTCATGTGACACCAAATTCCTTTCTCCAAATCCTCTAAACTCTTATGAAGACATGGATGAGAGAGGTCATCAAACATCAGAAATGCCTGTGCAGAGATGCCACAGCACAATCTGTGGCATAAAATGACAAATGACTTGGAGCATCAAAACTAGATATTAATCTTTCAGTCTTGCCCACCACAGAAACATAGGCCCTGGGCGATAGATTACAGTGGTGCATACTTGGCAACACGTGATTATATACTTATCCTAAACCTTCAAAAGAAGTTTATGGTGAGCAGAAATTGGAAATTTTAGCCCTAGAGGCATGCTTCAGAAATTCTTGACTCCTGGAAAAATATGAAATGTCTCAACCTCATTTTGTACCAAATCTCAAGATGCAACATTTGAGTGATAAACTACTGGGGTGTCAGCAACCTTCTGGTATTCTTTAACCCAGCACAACTATAAGAAAATGCACTTGATTGAACTCTGAAGTCAATTACTACTTGATTTTCTGAAAATGTGTCATGAAGATCATTGTAATGCCTCAGCACATCTTTTTACCAGTAGGTGATGAAGGCAGCTGGTAAGTTACATTTTGAGAAACAAAGGAAAAACCTAATAGAATGACTTGTGAGAAATCCTATTTCATTTTTGGTCTAACTAGTTCAGTATTTTTTAGGAACCTACTCTCCAGTGGTAAAGATAAAATAAGCAGAGTTACAGTTACATAGAAGTTACAATGGAAATTCTAGTTCCATGTATTCAATACATTCAAGTGTTATAAGACTCTCATAAATCTTTACATAAATTCATCTATTCCTTTATATAGTCAAATTATCTAATTATTTCTGGTAAAATATTAAAAACACTCATTTAATAAGATATCTGATTATCTTGGTTCCACCACTAACTAGCTGTGGAATTCTCAGCAAATTATAAGACCTTACCACTCTGTTCCTTGGTTTCCTCATCTATAAGACAGAGATAATAACAATTATTTTGATGATTGATAGAGTTAGTTGTGAGGTATTTAGACAAGTGCTGAGCACCTTGTTCAAGAAAAGTTAGATATTGTGTTTATTATTTAGCAGTAACAGCAGCAGTAGTATAATGTCATATAGTGCAGAATACTTCAGAAGAAAGTCATAAATCACACTAAATCCACATAATCATCATTAATGATAGTTTAATATTATTTTCATTTCTCTACACATGCACACAGATAAAGTATATGTGCATACAAAAGTACATAGAACTGAAATAGTCTCTCAAAATAAAAATATTTGGTAGCTAATGAAACAAATGCTTGTGCTTTTTCAAATGAAATTCTGGAGTGGCAGGTATAGAGAACAACTTTTTTTCCAGAAATTCAGTTTTTCTCAATACTTCTATTGTGCCCTTACTAGTTTTCTTCACTTATATCTGCTATATTTGTAATATTATATGTAATTAATCTTCATCCATAAATCATTATTTTGAAATCTTAGAGTTTCCCTTTTGCCTACGAGGAAACACAAGTGGATACATTGAATACATCTTGTTTTACAATAATTTTTTCTAATTTCTTAGTGTTAATTTTGAACACAGTAAATCTCTTTGCACTCTTCAATAATTTTAATGGGATAAAAGGGTCCTGAGACAAAGAAGATTGAGAAATATTGATATAAACAACTTCTATGCTGAAACAGACATCTTAGATGCCATAGATAGATGTTAGATAAACATACAATACAAAATAATATGGCCGGGTATGGTGGCTCATGCCTGTAATCCCAGCACTTTGGGAAGCCAAGGTGGGCAGATCATGGGGTCAGGAGATCAAGACCATCCCGGCCAACACGGTGAAACTCCGTCTCTACTAAAAAAAAAAAAAATACAAAAAATTAGCCGGGCGTGGTGGCAGGCACCTGTAGTCCCAGCTACACGGGAGGCTGAGGCAAGAGAATGGCGTGAACCCAAGAGGCAGAGCTTGCAGTGAGCCGATCCCACCACTGCACTCCAGCCTAGATGACAGAGCAAGACTGTCTCATAGAAAAAAAAAAATATATATATATATATATACAAAATGTATAAAGAGGGCCCACTATGATCAAAGATGAATTCAAAATGTTATACAAAACTAGAGTTACTAATAAGAAGTGCTAAAGGCAATATTAAAACTCTCTTGTAATCGTTTTGAAAAATAAACAAAAATTATAAGCACTTTGCCTGGGGGAGATGGTCTAAAGGGAAATAGAGACAAGGAAAAATCATGTCAACATTTTGAAATTTACATTTACAATTTAACAAACTAACTCCTATGTTCATTGGGCTTATTCTGGACCAAGGGAAAATAAATTTGTCTACTGCCTATTTCCGTATCACAGAAAGGTGTTGTTATGGAATATTATGTCCTCTTTCTTAAGTTGGTGGAGCAGAGAGAATCCTAAAAAAGGGAAGGCAGACACAAGTTATATGTGCATAAATGTCTATCTTGTTTTTTGGTTCTAACACATGTAACCTTTTTGGTAGCTCAGAAAGCTGAAGAATATTAGAGTAGAACTACTAAAAATCAACATATCATGTTAATTGCTTAGTAATCTCCTAATATTAGAAAAAGTTCATATTTTTTTTAATTTGTGTATAAAACACTTTTAATTTAAACATACCTTTATGACAAGGGTTCTTAACTTGGATCTTATGAATAGATTTCATAGGGTCTATGAACACTTCAGTTACCTAAAAAATGTTTGTGTAAGAATATGTGGACACTGTTTGGAAAGACAGACCATAACATTTATCAGATTCTCAAGGAAGTTTGAGACTCAGAAAACGTTTTTAAAATACTGCTTATGGCTATTTAATTTTGAAAATAGCACTCAAATGAAATGACAAAGTATGTATAGTGCAGCATTTGTTTTAATTCTGTCATTGGGGTAATTAAAATAAGTTTCAAATTTAAGAAATGGTCTGCTATGGCTTGAATATCCTTCCAAAATTCATGTTGAAATTTAATTGCATTGTGACAGTGTTAAGAAGTGAGACCTACAAGAGGTAATTAGGTCATGAGGGCTGCACCTTCATGAATGGATCAGTGCTGTTATTGCAGTAATGGTAAGTTATTGCTAAAGTGGGTTCCTCATAAAAGAATGAGATCAGCCCAATTTCCTCTTGTCTCTTCTTCTTCTTCTTCCTCTTCCTTCTCCTCCTCCTCCTCCTCTTCCTCTTCCTCCTCCTCCTCCTCTTCCTCTTCCTCTTCTTTTGATATGGGGCCTCACTCTGTCACCCAGGCTGGAGTGCAGTGGCAGGATCTCGGCTCATTGCAACCTCCACCTTCCGGATTCAAGTAATTCTCTCTGCCTCAGCCTCCCAAGTAGCTGGGATCACAGGTATAGGCCACCACGCCCAGCTAATTTTTGTATTTTTAGTAGAGATGGGGTTTTACCATGTTAGCCAGGCTGGTCTTGAACTCCTTGACCTCAAGTGATCTGCCCGCCTTGGCCTCCCAAAGTGCTGGGATTACAGGCATGAGCCACTGCACCTGGCTCCTCTGTCTTGTATGCTCAACTTGCCTTTTCTCCTCCTGCCATGGGATGATGCAACATAAAGGCCCTTACCAAATGCCAGCACCATGCTCTTGGACTTCCCAGTCCAAAAGCCATGAGCCAAATAAATTTCTGTTCATTATAAATTACCCAGTCTGTGGTATTGTTATAGCAACAACAAAAAAAATGGATTATGACATAGTCCTTGATGCTTATCTCTCATTTACACATGTATAATCATGTATATAAGGTTATGAAAATCTCATTATAAATATCCTACATAATTCGTTTTAGAGAATGTTTAAATTTCAGAGTTGTCAGAGTTTTGAAAATGAGCAAGGTAAATGAATAGTACATGCTGTTTAATTGAAGATAATTCATATTTGTCTAATGTTTACCTTATAAGAAAATGTTTTAACATAATGAAAAACAGCTAATTAAGTGAATAGGACTTATGATAATGTGTCTTCTATTAAAGTCTAAGTATTTCTTTCAAAAACTTTGTATGTATTCTCTAAACCCAAAATGGGAGTTTCCTGTCTGTTTCAGCTTCAGACTACAGTCAAATGTTCCTCTTTTTACTCTAATAGGGAATTAAACTGGAATGCACAAAGTGACATTTTTGAACACAGAAGAATCAGATATTACTAAGAAAAATGAACTTATTTTTATAACTATGTGAATGTCTTTTAAAAACTTGGATAATAGTTACTATTCATGCTAAATATAATAAATTGGAAAGCCAAATAGCATATTTGATTTTGTCAATCTATGCTACAGAATATTATAATGAGATAAGAAAAACCCTACAAAGTTTGGAGAACATGTTTTTCAGTAATGGAGTGAACTATATAACAAAAAATTTCAAATAAATGGGAACTTTAATAAGAGGTTTATTTTCTCTCATGTAAATGAAACCCAGAGATACAGGCAATTGAAGCCTAATTAGTTGACTGCACAAAATAATTCAGTTCAGTTCCTTCCAGCTTTCTCATCTACCATCTCTAGGATGTGGTCCTTGCTTCATATTTCAAGGGTGGCTGCTCTAGTACTCTAGGCAGCCGAATGGGGACTGAAAGAAAAAAGGTATCAGTCCTCTCCTTTAAGGGAACTTAGCACAAGTCTCACACATCTTCAGTTTTATATTCATTAGCCAGAACTCCATAATCACCAGTGGTAGTAAGTAATATGTTCACCCACAAATGTTTACCCCTAATCCCTGGAAAATTTGAATGTATTAAGTTTCATGGCAAATAAAACTTTGCAGATATAATTAAGGTCACAGACCTGAAAACAGAGAATCCTGGATTTTCCAAGTGAGACCAATGTAATCATGTGAGTCCTTAAAGCAAAGAACTTTCTCCAGCTGAAGGTAAATGAGAACATTAGTATAAGGGGAAGTCAGAGAAATTCCAAGCATAATTCAACACCTGTACTTTTGTTGACCCTGAGATGTCAGGACCTACATAGCAATGACCAGAGAGAAGCCTCTAGGTGCCAATGGCAGCCCACAGCTAACAGCCAACAAGGAAACAGAAGTCTCAGTCCTACCCCAACTCAGGAAACTCAATTTTGCCAAAACCTGAGTAGGCTTCACAGCAAGTTCTTTCCAGAGAGCCTTCTAATAAGAACCCAGTTGTTGGCACTTTGATTTTGGCCTTGTGAAACTTGGAATAGAGAAACCAGCCCAATGAAGTGGGGAAGGCCACAGAGCAAGGTGTAGGAAAAGGAAGAAGTGCGTATGAAAATTAACTATGTCTCTTGCTATTCCAAGAGAACTATTTTCCCTTTAAATTTAAATTCATCTTTCAGAGTTTTGTCTATAGGTGTACATTGTTTTTTCTACATGCATACCATATGTCGACACCAATGTACACTATTATATGATTTTTACATGTAACGTTATATGATAAACATTATTCTGTGTCTGTTAAATAGTTTTTACAATTACCACTTGGTGAATTCCTTTCCAAACTAGCATATGCTTCATGTTAGGAATGAAGATATCTGAGCTTCATTGTCTTATACAATAATCTTATACAACTGTCTTACAGGCTTCATTGTCTTATTACAAAGTGAAGGTAATTGATTATTAGCTATATACCTGTGTATTCGTCTGTTCTCACACTGCTATAAAGAGCTGCCCGAGACTGGGTAATTTACAAGAAAAGAGGTTTAATTGACTCACAGTTCCATATGGCTGGGGAAGCCTCAGGAAACTTACAATCATGGCAGAAGGCGACGGGGAAGCAAGGCACATTCTTCACAAGGCAGCAGGAGGGAGAATGAATACAGGAGGACCTACCAAACACTTGTAAAACCATAAGATCTCGTGAGAACTCACTCACTGGCACAAGAACAGCATGGGGGAAACCACGCCCATGACTCAATTACTTCCACCTGGTCTCTCGGTTGACGTGGGGATTATGGGGATTACAATTCAAAATGAAATTTCGGGTGTGGGCAGAGCTAAACCATATTAACAGGCAATAAGTGCACGGTAAGTGTGTCTGTTCTTGTGCTGCTAATAAAGGCATACCCGATACCTTTATAAAGGAAAGAAGTTTAATGGACTCACAGTTCCACGTGGCTCAGGAGGCCTCACAATCATGGCAGAGGACAAAGGAAAAGCAAGGGATATCTTACATGGTGGCAGGCAAAAGAGTCTGTGCCAGGGGAACTCCATTTATAAAACCATCGGATCTCATGAGATGTATTCAACCACCACGAGAAGAGTATGAGGAAAACCACCTCCGTGATTCAATTATCTACACCTGACCCCGCCCTTGACATGTGGGGATTATTACAATTCGAGGTGAAATTTGAATGGGGACACAGGTCAAATCATATCAGTAAGAGCTTGGGTTTTGGAATCAGACAAATTTGGCTTTGAGTCTAGGCTCCACCATTCAGCAGCTATATGACTTTGGGCACTTTGTTTAACCTTTCTAATGTAGTATCATCTGCAATTTTGGAGGAAAAACTGGTATTTAAGTCATAGAAAAATTGTAGGAATGAGTAAGATCATGCATATAAAGCACTTGAGCACAGTGTCTGTAGTATTTAATAAACAGTAGTCTAAGATAAGTAATATCTATTCTACTTAAGCACTATGCACCCTCCAAATCCCATACTTAAAGCATTTCATAACTTAAAAAGTAAAAATTGAAGGGGGGAAGACCAAGTTAAATCCCATTCTTTTCATAAGCCATTCCCGGCCACATTGAGCCTGAGGTAACACACCTGTTTCCTGCCTTTCATTGGCCTAGCCTCTGCTATTTGGCATTATCATTCATCCTCATCTGAATAGGTCAGACCTCTGCAGAAAAATGTCAGCTACCTAAGTCCAGAATACTATTTTGCCTCTTTGTGGCTCAATACAGGAAGATGTCATCACTGTTGGTCTGTTACATCTCAAAGCGATATCTTCTTTCTCTAGTGTTTCTATGCTGATCTGGCTGCTGGCATTGCTTCCAACTCAGCTCATCCTCCTTAGACTTTCTAACTGGGTTTTATAGACTTTCTCATCTTCCTTGGCCTGTACATCATCTTTACACATCTTCTAAATTTAATGTTAAGAACACTTGGGTTTAAAAAAAGAAAGATTGTGGTGGAAGAAAATGTAGCTTTGAGTGGAGGATACAGTATTTCAAACACTAAGTGGATAAATAAAGTTAAAACCTTTGTTTAAATTTATTTTCCATTGTATTTATTTAGTTACAAATCCTTTGCTGAAGGAGTTTTAAACACAAGCATATTTGAAACAAAGGCTTTTTAAACATATGTGCAGGCATTATCCAAATCTATGCAATAAGCCCTAGCCCCAGAATCAGCCAATTTCTCTAAGTTTGGCAGCTTTAGATACTGATTTTTATGACAGGGCCCAATGGAATAACAAACTTTGTTGTGTTTGACAGGTTTACCACTCAAGTCCCACGCAAATCAACCTCCACTGACACAAAGATTGAAAGAAACCCATTTTGACGACCACAGGAAATTCAAATGAAATTCAGGCAGAACAGCACCTCTGTACATTACTATAGGCAACCTGAAAGTACCATTTTTCATATGTCAAGCTTCATGCTGGCAATGGTTTCAGTTAGCCATATTTTATTGTGCTGTTGCCAAATCAAAAGTTATTACTTTTTAACTTGCTGGGTCCTTAACACACCACAGCTTCTAATAGGGAAATATTCAGCTGACCAGTATTTAGGGAATAGAGGCATAGAACATAAAATCATAAGTGTTGAACAGGGATAGTGTGAAATCTCAGCATCATTTTAAACCTAATTACACTTATGAGTTATAGATGGTTTCTAAACTGGTGAAAGCTTTATTTGTGGTATTTAGAGCTTGCTTAGGAGAAAAATAATATCTGATTAAAATTGAATTTGTAAAGCTCAACCTCAAAAGTTTATGCTATGGTAAACCACAGACCAAGGAAATTCACTGAAATTAAGACTCATCATGTTTTTCAGGGCAGAGCATAAGAGATATCCTAGTGGGGTATTGAGGGAGGGACATGCCACGCTGGTTGTACTATACCCATAACTTCTATTGCTAGGGAGACCTTTCTTCTGATTAGGATGAGTAAAACATCTGATCAATGGATTAGCACAATTATAAACTTGGGAGAGCCTGATAATAAAAGAGAAGTATAAAAAATAGGTTAATTCTAAAAAGAGTAGGAACTTTCTTTAGACCCTTAACAAACCAGTGGAATTAAGTTGTTTGGAGCAGGGCCTACTTCTCTCCCTGTTGAATCTTATCTTTGCTTCCAACACAAACCGGTGTTGCCTCTTCTGTAAATCTTTTCCTGACACTCCTCATGGTAGTGGATTCCACTATCTCTTGGCCCTCCCATTAGAGCCAAACTTCCCATATTCTTCTGAGTGAGGTCTGTTTCCCCTGTTTAATTCCCGACTTCCTAAGGGCAAAGAACGAGACCTGTTATCTTTAAATGCCCCAACACCGTACCTAGAAAGTAGCGGCAAGATGCCAGAATTGAACCGACTTCTCCCCTTATGGGTCTCTCCTTCGAAGTCCGCCAGATGGCAGCAGTGCCGCCTTCAACAGAAGTGGATTTTAGCGGTATCCTGGCCTCTGCTCATTAATAAAGGCACTGCTGCATTCCCTCTTCTTCCTCCAGGCCCGAGCCATCAACTCCTGGACATTAATTCACAGCAGTGTGTATGCCCACAATTTATGAGTCTTTCTGATTTGCAACTCTCTGTGTAATTTTCTGAAAAATGGAAGTGGAAATTTTGAAATGTAATAATCCCTATGTCCCCCCTTCCCAGTAATACACACATTTCTAAACACATGGCATAATTGCTATTAACATAATAGATCACACACATGTGATGAGTAAATCATGTTCTTGGTTGGGGAGAAATATTCTCCATTCTTCCTGTTTCCATCTGGGGAGACTTTGGCTAGAAAGAAACCCTCAGCCTTCCTTTCTACCCCTACTTACCTCTCCCTATGAGAGAAGAATCAATTGATTTGACTAGTGAATGTCACCGAGCAAGTTCACCTCAGCCTTTTCCTCTTTCTCTCTCTTTCCAGAGCCATCTAACCAAGGGGCCTTAGCCTTCGGGTCTGCCCCATGCCACGTGGTAACCATCCTGACCTGTGAGGGAGTCTGCAGCAATACAGTGGCTTACACCAAATAAGTACATGCATCTAATGGTGGTGAAATGTTAGGAAGGCAATTGTAGATGCAAATCTAAGTTGCACGCTTCATAGCAGATTTTGATTAGTTATAAAGCTGGCATTTTAATCTCCATCTAACTGATTCATTGTCTATCCTTATAAAGGAAAAGAAGGCATTTTTTGGGGGTCCCATAAAACCTCAACAAATGGTACTTAAAACCACCTTACATTTTAAATCTCAAGAAAAAGAAAAAAAAATACTTTCTTTTTTTTTCAAGTCTCAGTATTTTCTGTTGTTTGATGGTTAACATTTAAACTAATATGCTTTACAATCTCTTACTTTCAATCATTAACTGCTTCATCAAATGCTGATCTTAAATAACATTAAAAAATAAGCCCCCTAAATTATTTTCTTTTACTGCAAATAATTGCCATAAAAAATCAGTGGACATAAGTAGCTACAGCCTTTACAACAAAATAAATTTTTGTGAGCCTTATCCCACTGGTCCTCATGGAAATTTTTATTCCTTCCAAAAGTGGTTTGCCTTACTTTTCAACATTTGGTTAATGAATTGAAACAAAGTACACTAATTTACCTCACTTAATAAGATACTCAAAAGCATTTCTCTTTCTTGACTAACCAACTGTGATAGTTTCATATATGCTCTATTTCTTAATGAGGACTTGAGCAACTCATTATTTCAAAGCCCTAAAGTAGTCCTTAATATTTTTTAAATATACCTTGACATTTTTAGTTGCTAATCAATACAGCTGATTTTTCAGAAGAGCTAATGGGATGGGGCAATGATATATACATTTTATATTTTAAAGCCAAAAATTTTCTTTTTGGCCAGGCACGGTGGCTCATGCCTGTAATCCCAGCACTTCGGGAGGCTGAGGCAGGTGGATCAGCTGAGGTCAGGAGTTTGAGACCAGACTGGCCAACATTATGAAACCACGTCTCTCCTAAAAATACAAAAATTAGCCTGGTGCAGGGGTGCATGCCTATAGGTCCCAGCTACTTGGGAGGCTAAGGCAGGAGAATAGCTTGAACCCGGGGGGCGAAGGTTGCAGTGAGACGAGATTGTGCCACTGCATTCCAGCCTGGGTTGAGAGCAAGACTCTGTCTCAAAAAAAAAAAAAAAAAAAAATATATATATATATATATATATTCTCTTTATCTCTACATTAGCATGATCCTTAACAAATCTTATATCAAGATTTGAACATAGCATCATTTGTAGCCTCTTCTTCACTCCTTTCTCAACACTTTCTAAGGAGGAGGAGTATTCATAAACCAACAACATTAGTTTACATGGTTTCCTCTTATCTCAGTGTTCTTCCTCTTCACTCTGGTTCTTCTTTTTTTAAAATTTTTATTTACTTTTTTCGATCTCATATATATAGAATTGGATTAATCATCATCTATTGTGAATGACATATTCTCTCTTCATTGGTGTTTTCAGGGCTTGTCTTTTCATTAGTTGTTATATTTGTAATTGTAATTTGAAGATAGTTACCTACAATTCCACCACTCACAACTAATAAAGATCTCTGTCCTCAAGGATATATTCAAGGATTATATTCTAGTGGGGACAGATAAATTAAACAACAAGCAAATTTTAGGTAAATATAACATGATGCTATGAAATGCACACACAGAGCAGACCAGAATAAGGGAGAAATTGGCTGCAGTATTTTAAAAAAAAGCTGACAGGGTAAGCTTCACTTTGCACTTCAGAAAGTATGATTTAGGGTAATGAAAGGGTTATCTAGGCAGATATGTGGGAGAAGAATATTCCAGGTAATAGAA
The DNA here is from genome assembly GCF_000001405.40 of Homo sapiens. Taxonomy (NCBI): domain Eukaryota; kingdom Metazoa; phylum Chordata; class Mammalia; order Primates; family Hominidae; genus Homo; species Homo sapiens. Next base: position 106,499,854 of record NC_000004.12, on the reverse strand, counting down.
TATCTAAAGCAAAGAAACCAAAATGAGAGCATTCCTGGAATATTTGAGGAACACAAGGAGCTCAGTGTGGCTGCAGGAGACTGAATGAGAGAGAGCAGCAGGCCAAGAAGCCAAAGTGGAAAGGGGAGGTCCTGGCCTTGTAGCCATTGTATGGACTTCAACTTTTCCCTTGAGTGAAATGGGAGCTATTTCAGGATTTTAAACAGAAGAGCTCCATGATGCGATTTCGGTTTTATAGGGCTCACTCTGGCTAATTTTTTGACAATAGACTCTAAGAGGACAAGAATAGAATGAGACCTGATCAGGGGTTCTAGTAACTCAGCAGAGGAGGTAAGAAATGGTCAAATTCTGAGTATATTTTAAAATTAGGGCTAACAGGATTTCCTGAAAGATCGGCTGTGGGGTGTGAAAGAACAAAAGTCACTAAAGATGATCTTCAAGTTGTCATGAGCAACTGTAATGATGGAGTTGCCTGAACTGAGATTAGTGAAGGTTTGCAGAGAGGTGAGGAATATCAGGAGTTGAATATGAGGCATGTTGAGTCTAAGAGATATTGCTGGATACAGGAATATCAGGTCTGGACAAAAGATGGTCCTAGAGGTATGACTATGGAAATAATTAATATACGGATAATATTTAACACTGTGAGTATAAAGAGGAAAACAGAAAGAACATAATATTTCAAAATTAAGAAGTCAAGAAGAGGATTCAGCCAAGAAGACTGAGAAGTAGCAACCAGGAAGATGGAAAGAAAACAAAAAGAATATGATACCTTGGAAACCAAGTGAAGAAAGTTTATTAAGAAAGAGGAAGTGATCAAATGTGTCAAATGATGCTGACCAGCCAAGTAAGAGGAGGTTTGAGAACTGACCGTCAGATCATGGAGGTTATTGGTGACCTTAAGAAGAGCATTTTGGCCGGGCGCGGTGGCTCACGCCTGTAATCCCAGCACTTTGGGAGGCCGAGGCGGGCGGATCACGAGGTCAGGAGATCGAGACCATCCCGGCTAAAACGGTGAAACCCCGTCTCTACTAAAAATACAAAAAATTAGCCGGGCGTAGTGGCGGGTGCCTGTAGTCCCAGCTACTCGGGAGGCTGAGGCAGGAGAATGGCGTGAACCCGGGAGGCGGAGCTTGCAGTGAGCCGAGATCCCGCCACTGCACTCCAGCCTGGGCGACAGAGCGAGACTCCGTCTCAAAAAAAAAAAAAAAAGCCGGGCGCGGTGGCTCACGCCTGTAATCCCAGCACTTTGGGAGGCCGAGGCGGGCGGATCACGAGGTCAGGAGATCGAGACCATCCTGGCTAACACGGTGAAACCCCGTCTCTACTAAAAATACAAAAAAATTAGCCGGGCGTGGTGGCGGGCGCCTGTAGTCCCAGCTACTCGGGAGGCTGAGGCAGGAGAATGGCGTGAACCCGGGAGGCGGAGCTTGCAGTGAGCCGAGATTGCGCCACTGCACTCCAGCCTGGGCAACAGAGCGAGACTCCGTCTCAAAAAAAAAAAAAAAAAAAAAAAAAAAAAAGAAGAGCATTTTTTTTTTTTTTACTCAACTGGGAGAAAAGCTTGATTGGATCAGATTAAGAGAAAGGGAGAAGAATTACAGACGAGGAATACAGATAATTCCTTTGCTCCAAAAAGGAGCCAAGAAATGGGGTGATAGGTGAAGTGGAAAACAGGTCAAGATAAATATTTTTAAGATAAAAGAAAAAAATTGCGTATTTGTATGTCCATAAGAATAATTCAGTAGAGTGGGAAAATCTGGTGATAAAAGAAGGAGAAGGGAATATTGCTAGAGAAATGGCCTTGATTAGGCTAGAGGGAATAGGATCTAAAGGGTGAAGAATATGAGGCTGTTAATCGATCTGAATGTTCATGAGGGCAATAGAGTGCAAGAGTTTCAGGAGTTGAGGAATTGGGGAGGGCAGCAAAAGGGTAAAATGGAAATATACAGAGCCTGTGTGGAGTATCTGTCAATTTTTCAAGTGCTACTCATATAAGTATAAACACTCCACTCTATGTTGAGTGTTTAGCAATTGATTACCCAAAGTCAAGATTATCCAAGATTTTCCATTCCACTGCTTACTCTGATCTCCCAGGAATTGCTAAGGAAAAGAATAAAATGAAAAATCCCTATCAATTTGGACATTTTAAGCAGATCTCACACTAAAGTTGGATAATGATAAGATGCTATTTACAAAATACATTTAGAGATTTTCTGAGGATTTTACTTCCCTCTGTTATTCACATTTTCCATTGCCATGACATTTTTAATTTTCATGTCTGTGTATAATTCTATGAATGTGCAACTCAAAATTATAGTTTCAAACAAGAGCAAAGTATGTAGAAATCTGAGATCTTTGGCAAAGCTAAAAGAGAAGCAAGTTCCAGTTATCAATTATAAAAAACAAATGTGTTCATAATGACTAACTTTACGGAAATGAAGCACATTTCTTCTCGTGAAAGTAACAGACTTGCTGATGCAATGGAATATTATGTGGCCTTAAAAGAAGGGTATCTGTATATCTCCACCTGAAAACGTTTTCAATACTTCCTTGGTGAAAAAGTTTGCTACAGTAACATGTAAAGTATTATATCAATATAAAATTAGAGAAAAAGTCAGATAACACTCCTAGAAGAATATTCAACAATATATAAATGACCCCTCTTACTGTTCGGAATTCTAGTGGTTACCTTACTCCCTGCACTTTTCCATACTGTTTAAATTATTTCCAATATTATCTTTATAATCAGGAAAAAAAATATAATAAAGCCATTATTTTGAATAATAAAAGAGACAACAATCAAGAATATAACTAAGTTATGACATGGTTATTCATAGTTCCAGCTATTATCACAGCACATAGACTTAAAATGCTAAATGCTAACCTTAATTCTATCACTCTCTTGCTTGTGTGGATTCAAGCAAATAATAGTCATTTGAATGACTATTTTCTCATTGCAAAAAAGATAATAGTGATTACACCAGTATGTGGTGGACTTATTAATCAGTACTTGAAAGCAACTTTCAAAAAAAGATGTCAATAATTTTGAAGATTTTGTTTACATTTTTAGATAAAAGTCTGTTTTTTTCCAAGAAAAAAATTCAGAACTTTAGAGATTTTCAGCTCCAAAAGCCAAACTCTACCCTCAGTTATGTGTGTGCAATTAGTTGCATGTGCATAATTGAGGGCAGAATTTCGCCCATAAAATTTGGAATAATCTGGAAATTCTTAAAATCTGGAAAAAATTACAATCTTTTTGATAATATAAATTATGAAGTGACCTAATTCAAATGGGCTTTGATGTTTAAAGAAATAGTGTTTTCACTTATGTGAGAAAGTTTACAAAAAAATTATTTAACCCAATTTAGAACAGACAATTCTTAAAGATAAGAGGGAGGAAAATATTAGCACTGATCTTTCCCCAGAGTCACAAAGATCATGTCTATAGGTGAGTTTGTGTACCTTTATCATTAATAAATGCCTCATGCAACAAAAGAAAAAATGGAGAGGAGGGGAGAGAAACAGTCTGTGTGTGATAAACTCCCCAGAGATTTCATAACTGAGGCTTTTGCATGCATCTGGTACACTTTTAGTATCTAAAAATCCCTCTGTCCTGCACTTACTCTTGGAGTGAGTCCTTCTGCAAGTAGATTCTTACCTAAGTTATCTGTCAAGTGAAAACTCAGCCCAAACAAAGTAAACTTTCTTTTCAGCTTTTGTTTCTACTTCAGTTTTCTTTTCACATGCCATCTAAACAGGACCACCATAGTTTTGCTTCCAATAATTTCTGAACCCACTTTTAATTTTTTCACTTTAAAAAGAAAATTGAAAAAAATAAATTAAGCTCCATATACCTACATCGTTATCATATTCTGAATTTTTTCTTTCAATGCCACATTTTAAATTCCGACATATCCTTTTTATCCTTGCCACGTCACTAAGCAAGAGGTTGTAACAGAGAAATAACAAAAACCACAACTCCTCTCCCTCATTTCTGCCTTCAAAAACAAAAAAAAATACGGTTAGCTGTGCAATGTGCGTAAGGTTCATTCTTCTGGCTGTGCGTGCTGAACTATTTATCAACCCACAAACTATGATCTGTTTCTCCTTTATGGTCCTTTCAACACACACAAAAAAATTGGCACAGCTACTTTCTGCCCCTCAAGAGGCTCATCTGGATTATAACCACACTACCCATGGGATTAAACCACTTGTAAAACAGTGAAGTCCTTTGCATTTGGATCTCAAAACTTTGAAAACAACCTTAAGCTATCCCCATAAAAACACTAAAAGGAGCATTTTTTGTGTGCTTTTCAGGCATCTTTACAAGTTCTTGTGAAACACTAAAAGTAGCCAGTTTGCATTTCGTATGTTCGCTATTTCTGCATAGCCTTGCCTATCACTACAGATATGGTCATGAAATCAGAAGAGAATAGTCAAGGTCTTTCTAAATGTCCTCTATTTTGTGGGTCTCTGCACAAAGGTAAGGTGTTTCACAACCAAATATTAATAAGGTATCTTTCCTCTGTTTAAATAATCAAAGATAATGAAATTGATAATAGACCCTGGTGCTGCCCTTCTCTCCCACCCAGTAAACCACAAAGCCTGCACTTCAGCTTAAAGTTTTCAAGAGGCTGGTCTATTTTGTCAAAATCTAAACAATATCTGTCTCACACTTCTCAATCTAGAAATCTCCCTAATCCCCCTCAACCCCCTTTGAAGGTAAATTTCTAGTTCCACAGTGTAATCATTTTCTGTGGTTCTCATAATAAAATATCACATACTGGATGGCCTAAACAATAGAAATTTATTTTCTCACAGTCCTAGAGGTGGGAAGTCCAACATTAAGGTGCCGACAAGATTGGTTTCATTGAGGCCTCTCTCCTTGGCTTGTAAATAGCAGTTCTTCTGCTGCCTCTTCACACGGTTGCCCTTCTGTGCACGGGCCCCTGGTATGACAGTCCCTCCTTATCCTTATCTATAAGGGGATATGGTCTAAGACCCCCAGTGGATGCCTGAAGCCATGAATGGTAGCGAACCTATACATACTGGTTTTTTTCTATGCATACATACCTATGATGAAATTTAATTTATAAATTAGGCACGGAACTCTTGGGCTTTGGGGACGTTATTAAAATAAGGGTTATTTGAACACAAGCACTGCCACATTGAGACAGGTCGTATTAGTCCGTTTTCGCACTGCTGATAAAGACACACCAAAGACTGGGCAATTTACAAAAGAAAGAAGTTTAGCGGACTTACAGTTCCACATGACTGGGAAAGCCTCAAAATCATGGTGGAAGGTGAGGAGGAGTAAGTCACGTCCTACATAGATGGCAGCAGGCAAAGAGAGAGCTTGTGCAGGGAATTCCCACTCCCCTTATAAAACTATCAGATCTCATAGACTTATTCACTATCTTGAGAACAGCATGGAAAAGTCTTGTCCCCATGATTCAATTACCTCCCACTGGGTCTCTCTCAAAACATATGGGAATTCAAGATGGGATTTGGGTGGGGACACAGCCAAACCATGTCACAGCTGATGTGCTAACCACGACAGTCACTAGGTGACTAATGGGTGAGTAGTGTCTATAATATGGATACACTGAACAGAGGGATGATTTACATCCCCAGCAAGATGGGGCAGAACAGAGGAAGATTTCATCATGCTACTCAGAACAGCAAGTAATTTGAAAGTTATGGAATGTTTATTTCTGGAAGTTTCCATTTAATATTTTCAGACTGCCATTAACCATGGGTAACTGAAACCTCAGAAAGTGAAATCTCAGATAAGGTGGAACTACAGGAGTTCTCTCTCTTATAAAGACAGCAGTCGTATTGTATTAGGTCTCCATCCTGATGACCTCATTTTAATTTTTTCAGCTTCTTAAAGGCCTTATCTCCAAAGTTAATTACATACCAATTTACTGAGGGTTGAGACTTCAATATATGAATCTGGGAGGGGACACAGTTCAGTCCATAATATATAGTTTAACTTCCTTACATTTATATCACATATTCTCCTTCCTAGGAGTTGTGGCCAGGCAAACATCTGGTTAGGTATGTCTCGGGGAACTATACATTTTCAAAGTACAGAAGAGTTTGTATGTTGTTAATTAATAGTGCTTTTGAAATATTGCTTTTCATCAATATGTAGATTTCTTATCTTAAAGAGTATGAAGTCAATAAATGCTTGATAAATTAAAGAATCATGAACTAATTAATGAAATAATATATTGAGTAAATAAATTTGTCACTAGCATGGCGATTTTCAGTTGCAACATCCTATCATGCCACTGGTTGTGATGTGATTTGTAACTAAATGTGTTTTGTGTGATTCTATAATTGTAAAGATTTATTTACTATAAGTACATCTCAAATAATTTTTTAATCCCCAGTAAGTTTTGACTGGGATAAAAAAAATTTAATCCTTTATAATACTGGTTATGATGGATTCAGTGATTCAATCATTCATGGATTAAATCACTAGCAGTTCTCCAAGGAATTCTGAGTGTTCCAGCTGGCCTTTACATGGAAGCATTCCCCAAAGTCCTGATGTCAGCTTTCATCTCAGTCACTTTTGCAGGCATTCTATTGATGACCTCACCCATTCTCACAGTTTTACTTTCACCTTTCCACAGATGACTTCCAAATCTGTATCTCTTCCTCAGCACCCAGGCCTACATTTCCAACTGCCTGCTGGATTTCTCTGGAGTTCTGCAGGCACTTCACATGAAAACCATCTTCTCCTAAAAATCTGATTGCCATGTAAAGGAAAATAATATGATGTTCAGAATCAGACTGATATGGATTCCAACCCACAATAGCCCACATTTGCTAGTAGGTGACCTTGGACAAGTGAGTTCAGCTCTGGGAGCCTTGAGTTAATCAATCATTCAATTAATCAATCAATTCATTAAAATCCGCCTTTCTCATAGGATCACTGTGCAGATTAAATGAGATAATATATTAAATATCATGAGCTCAATAGATTAGATTGATATAAAACTAAGAAAGAGGGAGTGGCCGAGATTGCCAACTAGAAGCAGCTCATGTGTGTGGCTCCATGGAGAGGAATGGAGGGGGTGAGTAAATACAGCACCTTCAACTGAAACATCCAGGTACATGCATTTGGACTAATCAAGAAAATAACTTGACCCACGAAGAATGGAGAAAAGCCAGGCAGAACATCAGCCCACCCAGGAGTGACACAGAGTCAGGGGAACGTCCCCTCCCAGGGAAGTGGTGAGTGAATGTGTGAACCCAGGAAGGCAGGCTTCTCCCACAGATCTTTGCAACCCTGGGGTCAGGAGATCCCCTCGTGAACCCACTCCATCAGGGCCTTTAGTATGATAGACAGAGCTACATGGAGTCTCAGCAGAGCAGCCACTCAGGCACACGCAGAGACCCAGGGTCCTTAGATACCCAGGCTTTCCGAGCTTCCCAGCAAAAGTAGCTGCAACTCTGGCAAAGTGGAAGTTTAGACCCCAGTGCATACCACTAGAAAAGCGACTGAGTCCTGAGGGCTGCAGCAACAGTATGCAGTCCCCACTATCATGGCACATCACAGGATAAGACCTGCTAGCTTGGAATTTCAGCCAGCCACCGGTAGCAGCATTTTGCCTCCATGAGACAGAGCTCCCAGTGGAAGGGGTGAGCTGCCATCTTTGCTGTTTGGGCAACTTAGCCATTCCAGCCTTCAGGATTTGGAGACCCCAAGCTGACTGAGGGCAGAAGCAGCTTCTAGTACAGCACAGATGCTCTATGAAAATGTGGCCAGACTGCTTTTTTTAAGTAGGTCCCCCATCCTGTTCCTCCTCCCTGGGTGGGATCTCCCAACCAGGGTCTCCAGCCACCCCAGCCAATGTTTTCTGGCTGACAGAGATTCCAGACCTCCCTGGGACAGAGCTCCCAGCAGAAGGGGTCGGCTGTCATCTTTGGTGTTTGGACAATTTACCTGTTCCAGCCTTTGGGCTTCAGAGAAGCCAAGCCAACTGGGAATGGAAACAGTCCCCCAGTATAGCACAGTTGCTCTACAAAAATGTGGCCCAACTGCTTTTTAAAGTGGGTCTCCAATCCCATTCCTCCTCACTGGGTGAGACCTCCTGATGGAGGTCTCCAGTTACCCCCACCAGTGTTCTCCAGCAGACAGAAGTTTAAACCTCCCTGAGACGAAGCTCCTAGAAGGCGGGGTGGGCCACCATCTTTGCTGTTGGGGCAACTTAGCCATTCCAGCCTTTGGGATTTTGTGGCTGACTGCCACAACTACTTGAGACCTTCATTCAGCAGTTATTATTGTTACTACTTGAGACCGTCATTACAGCAGTTACTACTGTTACCATTTGAGACCATCATTGCAACTGAACGAAGGGACTAACATAGAAATGAAAACCAAGGAAAAAAGAAACTTTTTTTTTTATACTTTAAGTTCTAGGGTACATGTGCACAACATGCAGGTTTGTTACATATGTATACATGTGCCATGTTGGTGTGCTGCACCCATTAACTCGTCATTTACATTAGGTATATCTCCTAATGCTATCTCTCCCCTAGATGCCCATCCCACAACAGGCCCTGTTGTGTGATGTTCCCCTTCCTGTGTCCCAGTGTTCTCATTGTTCAATTCCCACCTACAAGTGAGAACATGCGGTGTTTGGTTTTTTGTCCTTGAGATAGTTTGCTGAGAATGATGGTTTCCAGTTTCATCCGTGTCCCTACAAAGGACATGAACTCATCCTTTTTTATGGCTGCATAGTATTCCATGGTGTATATGTGCCACATTTTCTTAATCCAGTCTATCATTGATGGACATTTGGGTTGGTTCCAAGTCTTTGCTATTGTGAATAGTGCCGCAATAAACATATGTGTGCATGTGTCTTTATAGCAGAATGATTTATAATCCTTTGGGTATATACCCAGTAATGCGATGGCTGGGTCAAATGGTACTTCTAGTTCTAGATCCCTGAGGAATCGCTACACTGACTTCCACAATGGTTGAACTAGTTTACAGTCCCACCAACAGTGTAAAAGTGTTCCTATTTCTCCACATCCTCTGCAGCACCTGTTGTTTCCTAACTTTTTAATGATCGCCATTCTAACTGGTGTGACATGGTATCTGATTGTGGTTTTGATTTGCATTTCTCTGATGGCCAGTGATGATGAGCATTTTTTCACGTGTCTGTTGGCTGCATAAATGTCTTCTTTTGAGAAGTGTATGTTCATATCCTTTGCCCACTTGTTGATGGGGTTGTTTGTTTTTTTCTTGTAAATTTGTTTGAGTTCTTTGTAGATTCTGGATATTAGCCTTTGTCAGATGAGTAGATTGCAAAAATTTTCTCCCATTCTGTAGGGTGCCTGTTCACTCTGATGGTAGTTTCTTTTGCTGTGCAGAAGCTCTTTAGTTTCATTAGATCCCATTTGTCAATTTTGGCTTTTGTTGCCGTTGATTTTGGTGTTTTAGACATGAAGTCCTTGCCCATGCCTATGTCCTGAATGGTAATGCCTAGGTTTTCTTCTAGGGTTTTTATGGTTTTAGGTCTAACATTTAAGTCTTTAATCCATCTTGAATTAATTTTTTGTATAAGGTGTAAGGAAGGGATCCAGTTTCAGCTTCCTACATATGGCTAGCCAGTTTTCCCAGCACCATTTGTTAAATAGGGAATCCTTTCCCCATTTCTTGTTTTTCTCAGGTTTGTTAAAGATCGATAGTTGTAGATATGCAACATTATTTCTGAGGGCTCTGTTGTGTTCCATTGATCTATATCTCTGTTTTGGTACCAGTACCATGCTGTTTTGGTTACTGTAGCCTTGTAGTATAGTTTGAAGTCAGGTAGCATGATGCCTCCAGCTTTGTTCTTTTGGCTTAGGATTGACTTGGCGATGCGGGCACTTTTTTGGTTCCATATAAACTTTAAAGTAGTTTTTTCCAATTCTGTGAAGAAAGTCATTGGTAGCTTGATGGGGATGGCATTGAATCTATAAATTACCTTGGGCAGTATGGCCATTTTCACGATATTGATTCTTCCTACCCATGAGCATGGAATGTTTTTCCATTTGTTTATATCCTCTTTTATTTCATTGAGCAGTGCTTTGTAGTTCTCCTTGAAGAGGTCCTTCACATCCCTTGTAAGTTGGATTCCTAGGTATTTTATTCTCTTTGAAGCAATTGTGAATGGGAGTTCACTCAGGATTTGGCTCTCTGTTTGTCTGTTATTGGTGTATAAGAATGCTTGTGATTTTTGCACATTGATTTTGTATCCAGAGACTTTGCTAAAGGTGCTTATAAGCCTAAGGAGATTTTGGGCTGAGACGATGGGGTTTTCTAGGTATACAATCATGTCATCTGCAAACAGGGACAATTTGACTTCCTCTTTTCCTAATTGAATACCCTTTATTTCTTTCTCCTGCCTAATTGCCCTGGCCAGAACTTCCAACACTATGTTGAATAAGAGTGGTGAGAGAGGGCATCCCTCTCTTGTGCCAGTTTTCATAGGGAATGCTTCCAGTTTTTGCCCAGTCAGTATGATATTGGCTGTGGGTTTGTCATAAATAGCTCTTATTATTTTGAGATATGTCCCATCAATACCTAATTTATTGAGAGTTTTTAGCATGAAGGGCTGTTGAATTTTGCCAAAGGTCTTTTCTGCATCTATTGAGATAATTATATGGCTTTTGTCGTTGGTTCTGTTTATATGCTGGATTACATTTATTGATTTGTGTATGTTGAATCAGCCTGGCATCCCAGGGATGAAGCCCACTTGACCATTGTGGATAAGCTTTTTGATGTGCTGCTGGATTCGGTTTGCCAGTATTTTATTGAGGATTTTTGCATCGATGTTCATCAGGGATATTGGTCTAAAATTCTCTTTTTTTGTTGTGTCTCTGCCAGGCTTTGGTATCAGGATGATGCTGGCCTCATAAAATGAGTTAGGGAGGATTCCCTCTTTTTCTGTTGATTGGAATAGTTTTACAAGGAATGGTACCAGTTCCTCCTTGTACCTCTGGTAGAATTCGGCTGTGATTCCATCTGGTCCTGGACTCTTTTTGGTTGGTAAGCTATTAATTATTGCCTCAATTTCAGAGCCTGTTATTGGTCTATTCAGAGATTCACCTTCCTCCTGGTTTAGTCTTGGGAGAGTTTATGTGTTGACGAATTTATCCATTTCTTCTAGATTTTCTAGTTTATTTGCATAGAAGTGTTTATAGTATTCTCTGATGGTAGTTTGTATTTCTTTGGGATCAGTGGTCACATCCCTTTATCATTTTTTCTTGTGTCTATTTGATTCTTCTTTTCTTCTTTATTAGTCTTGCTAGCGGTCTATCAATTTTGTTGATCTTTTCAAAAAACCAGCTCCTGGATTCATTGATTTTTTGAAGGGTTTTTTGTGTCTCTGTTTCCTTCAGTTCTGCTCTGATCTTAATTATTTCTTGTCTTCTGCTAGCTTTTGAATATGTTGCTCTTGCTTCTCTAGTTCTTTTAATTGTGATGTTAGGGTGTCAATTTTAGGTCTTTCCTGCTTTCTCTTGTGGGCATTTAGTGCTATAAATTTCCCTCTACACACTGCTTTAAATGTGTCCCAGAGATTCTGGTATGTTGTGTCTTTGTTCTCATTGGTTTCAAAGAACATCTTTATTTCTGCCTTCATTTCATTATGTACCAAGTAGTCATTCAGGAGCAGGTTGTTCAGTTTCCATGTAGTTGAGCGGTTTTGAGTGAGTTTCAAAAAGTAACTGTTTTAAAGGAAAGGTAACATGGGGAGAAGAACAGAGTTCCCTGCTTCTAGTGAGCAAAGGCAGTCCCTGGGCTTCTACAGCCCTTTGCATTTATTGGGTAACCAGAACAAGGAGGAGGAGGTGATGACTGGTCAGCTGCTTAATTGAACACAGGTTCATATTGTTACTGACAGGCTTCAATTATGCCCAATCATAAGAAATATTTGTGTGACCTCCAACAGGCTTTGGAGTATCTGAAGCAACAGGGACCTGAAGCGGACTCCCAGCACAGCACAGCTGCTCTACGAAAATCTGGCCAGACTGCTTTTTGAATCTCTTTCCTCCTCATGGGGCAAGACCTCCCAATTAGGGTCTCAACCACCTCCTACTGGCACATTCAGGCCAGCAACATGTCTGTGCCTCCCTCGGAAGGTGTTTCCAGAGTGAGGGGCAGGCCACTATCTTTTGTGTTTTTCAGCCTTCACTGCTGATACGTCCAGATACTGGAACATTTGAGGTGACTAGGGACTGGAGTAGGCCCTCAGCATATTGCAGCAGCCCTATGGAAAAGTGGCCAGACTGTTAGGTAGGTGCATTTTCCCATATCTCCTCAGCAGGCAGATTCTCCAGGACTGGACCTCCAGCCCAGCCCCCACCTACCCCCAGCAGGGCTACCAAGCCAGTAGAAGCTCTGCAACTCCCTCCCTAGACAGAGCCCCCAGGGGCAAATGAAAGCCTCTCTGCCACTACCTCAGAAATTCCCTTGCTACCCTCAGATTAATGAAGGAGTAAAGACCCTAAGTGCCTTATCCATACCTCCAACAAGGTGCAGTCAACCTAAGAAGAGGAGGCTAGTCTGTCCTTTACAGGTCCCTCCCACCCTCCACTGCTTGTCACCAGACAGGGGACTCCCAGCTTGACCCACAGAACAGTTCCTCCATCCTGTGCTGACTGCACTGAGCAATTGCTGACCTGTGTATCCCTGGGGTGGAGTACCCAGAAGACAAGCAAAAGACCCTTGGCCACAACCACTACTAAGGTTTCTTCTTCTGCTTTCTCCAAATTGGGAAAGGAACATAAACACTGAGATCGCCCCAGAGCTGCAATGGGCAGCCCAGGAGTGCCAAGTCCTGATCTATAGCCAGCACTCAAAAGGGAGAGGAATCCACACTCTCAGAGCATTTAGAGGGAACAGCTGCAACTGTGAGGAAACAGCGGAGCCACACAACTGAGCAAGAGTCTACCAACTGACCAATATGCCTAAGTGCTACCTACTAGATTACACCCTAAAGCTTCAACACCAATAATAACCCACTAATATAATCCCCTCTGAAACCAAAGAGAAGAACTCAGCTTCAAATAAAGACCCTGCACAAAGGCTTGGCCTGTGAAAAATCCAAAAAAGAAGTCTATTGACTATACTCAATCTACATTACAATTAAAGGACCACCCACACAGAGAGATGAAAAAGAACCAATGCAAGACCTCCAGTAACTCGAGTGGCCAGAGTGTCATATGTCCTCTAAATGACTGTACCAGTTTTGCAACAAGAGTTCTTAACAGGGCTGAGCTGGCTGGAATGTCAGAAAGAGAATTCAGAATATGGATAGAAACGAAGATCATCAAGGTTCAGGAGATAATCTTCTGAAACAAAACGCAGTCGAAGGAAAGTAAGAATTGCAATGAAATGATACAGGAGCTGAAGGACAAAATAGTGGGTGTAAAAAAGACCTAATGGGTCTGACAGAGCTGAATGACACAATACAAGAATTTCACAATGCAATCACAAGTATTAACAGCAGAATAAACCAAGCTGAGGAAAGAATCTAAGAACTTAAATACTGGCTTTCTGAAAAAAAGTCAGATAAAAATAAAGAAAAAAGGATAAAAAGGAATGAACAAAACCTCTGAAAAGTATGAAATTATGTAAAGAGGCCAAATCTATGAATCACTGGCATCCCTGATAGGGAGAGGGAGAAAGCAAACAACTTGGAAAACAGAATTTTAGAATATCATCCATAAAATCTTCCACAACCTTGCTAGAGAGGCCCACAGTCAAATTCAGGAAATTCAGAGACCTTCTACAAGATTCTACAATGGAAGATCATCCTCAAGATATACAATCATCGGATTTTCCAAGGTCAAAATGAATACTGGACATAAAACAATCCTCAGCAAATGTATAAGAACCGAAGTAATTCCAAACACTCTCTCAGACCACAGTGCAATAAAAATAGAAGTGAACACAGTGAAAATCACTCAAATCCATACCATTACATGGAAATTAAACAACATGCTCCTGAATGAATTTTGGGCAAATAATGAAATTAAGGCAGAAATCAGGAAGTTCTTTGAAACTAATTAAAACAAAAATACAACATACCAGAATCTCTGGGACATAGCTAAGGCAGTGTTAAGAGGGAAATTCATAGAACTAAACACTCACATCAAAAAGTTAGAAAGATCTTGAATTAACAACTTAATATCACAACTAAAAGAATTGAAGGAGCAAGAAAAAAATAAACCCCAAAGCTAGCAGAAGACAAAATATAACCAAAATCAGAGCTGAACTGAAGGAAATTGAGACACAAAAAAACCATTCAAAACATCAACAAATCCAGGAATTCATTTTTTCAAAAAAAATAATAAGATAGGCTGTTAGCTAGATTAATAAAGAAGAAAAGAGAGAAGATCCAAATAAACACAACTAGAAATGATGAAGGGAATGTTACCATTGGCCCCACAGACATAAAAATAAACGTCAGAAACTACTATGAACACAACTCTATGAACACAAACTAGAAAATATAGAAAATATGAATAAATTGCCAGACACATACAGCCTTTCAAGACTGACAAAGGAAGAAATTGATTCCTACTGAAACTATTTTTAAAAATTGAAAATGAGGGATTCCTCTCCCAACTCATTCTGTGAGGCCAGCATCATCCTGACACCAAAACCTGATAGACACAACAACAACAAACTTCAGGCCAGTATCCTTGATAAACATTGATGCAGAAATCCACAACAAAATACTTGCAAACTGAATCCAGCAGCACATCAAACCTAACCCACCACCATCAAGCAGGCTTCATCCTCAGGATGCAAGGTTAGTTCAACATACACAAATCAATAAATATGATTCATCACATAAACAGAACAAAAGACAAAAACCATATGATTACCTCAATAGATGCAGAAAAGGCTTGTGATAAAATTCAACACTGCTTCATATTGAAAACTCTCAATAAACTAGGTATTGAAGGAACATACCTCAAAATAATAACAGCCATATATGACAGACTCACAGCCAACATCATACTGAATAGGGAAAAGCTGAAAGCATTCCCCTTGAAAACCAGCACAAGACAAGGATGCCATCTTTCACCACTCCTATTCAACATATTAATACAATTGGAAGTCCTGGAGAGTGCAATTAGGCAAAGGAGAGAAATAAAGGGCATCCAAATAAGAAGAGAGGAAGTCAAACTAGCCCTGTTTGCAGATTACTTGATCCTATATCTAGAAAACCCTATACTCTCAGCCCAAAAGCTCCTTAAGCCGATAAACAACTTCAGCAAAGTTTCAGGATACAAAATCTATGTACAAAAATCACTAGCATTTTTATACACCAAGAACAGCCAATCTGAGAACCAAATCAGTAATGAACTCCCATTCACAATTGCCACAAAAAGAATAAAATACCTAGGAATACAACTAAGGAGGCAAAAGATACTTACAAGGAGAACTACAAACCACTAGTCAGAGAAATCAGAGATGAAACAAACAAATGGAAAAACATGCCATGCTCATAGATAGAAAGAATCAATATTATTAAAATGGCCATACTGCCTAAAGCAATTTACAGATTCAATGCTATTTCTATCAAACTACCAATGACATTCTTCACAGAACTAGAAAAAAACTATTTAAAATTCATATGGAACCAAAAAAGAGCACTAATAGCCAAGGCAATCCTAAGCAAAAAGAACAAAGCTGAAAACATCAGACACTAACTGACTTCAAACTATACTACAGGGCTACAGTAATGAAAACAACATGGTACTGGTACAAAAGCAGACACATAGACCAATGGAAGAGAATAGAGAGCCCAGAAATAAGGCCACACACCGACAACCATCTGATCTTTGGCAAAGCTGACAAAAACAAGCAATGGGGACAAAGATTCCCTATTCAATAAATGGTGCTGGGATAACTGGTTTGCCATATGCAGACGATTGCAGCTGGACCCCTTCCTTACACCATAAACAAAAATCAACTCAAGATGGATTACAGACTTAAACCTAAAACCCAAAGCTATAAAAATTCTAGAAGACAACCCAGGAAATACCATCCTGGACATAGGAGCAGGCAAAGATTCCATGACAAAGACACCAAAAGTAATTGCAACAAAAGCAAAAATTGACAAATGGGATCTAATTAAACTAAAGAGCTTCTGTACAGAAAAAGAAACTGTCAACAGAGTAAACAGGCATCTCACACAATGGGAGAAAATTTTTGCAAACTATGCATCTAACAAAGGTCTAACATCCAATATCTATAAGGAAATTAAACAAATTCTCAAAAGAAATGCAGACAATCCCATTAAAAAGTGAGCAGAAGACATGAACAGATAACTTTTCAAAAGAAGATATACATGCAGCCAACAAGCATGTGAAAAAAAAGCTCAATATCACTAATCATTAGAGAATGCAAATCAAAACTACATTGAGATACCATCACACACCAGTCAGAATGGCTATCATTAAAAAGTCAAAAAATAGCAGATGCTGACGAAGTTGCAGTGAAAAGGGAATCCTTGTACACTGCTGGTGGGAGTGTAAATTAGTTCAGCCATTGTGGAAAGCAGTGTGGCAGTTCCTCAAAGAACTATTCGGTTGGTGCAAAACTAATTGCAGTTTTAAAAACTGCAATTTTAATAAAGCAGAACTACCATTCGGCCTAGCAATCCCATTACTGGGCATATACCCAGAGAAATACAAAGTATTCTACCATAAAGACACATGGATGCAAACGTTCATTCCAGCACTGTTCACAATAGCAAAGACATGGAATCAACCTAAATGCCCATCAGTGACAGATTGGATGAAGAAAATGTGGTACGTATACACCATGGAATACTATGCAGCCATAAAAAAGAATGAGATCATGTCTTTTGCAAAAACTTGCATGAAGCTGGAGGCTACTATTCTTAGCAAACTAACACAGGGACAGAAAACCAAATACCCTATGTTCTCACTTATAAGTGGGTACTAAATGATGAGAGCTTATGAACACAAAGAAGGGAACAACAAATACTAGAGTCTGCTTGAGTATGGAGGGTAGGACAAGGGAGAGAAGAAGAAAAGATAACTATTGGCTACTGGGCTTAATAGTTGGGTGGTAAAATAATCTATACAACTAAACCTGTGACATGAGTTTACCTATGTAACAAATCTTCACATGTACCCCCTAAAATAAAAGTTTTTAAAAACTAAGAAAAAAAAGGAGAGAGGAGCGGGAGAAGGAGGTGGGAATGAAGAGAAAAGAAAGGGAATGATAAAAAAGGAAAGAGGGAACATAAACAGATAGAAATATTCTTTAATTTAATTCTGAAAAATGTTATTCTCTGAATTCCTGTTATTTAAAAATCTAACAAATTTGGCTTCTCTCTCTCCCTCGCTTTCCACATTCAGTCAATAGCTAAATTTTGTTGATTCTACCCCTAAAATACACCCCTGACCTGTCTCCTCCTCTCTGTGCTGACTGTTTCAGTTCAGAAGCACACTTTTCTTCACCTGGCATTTTAGCTGCTTTAGTTTTTCCTCCTGTTTTTCTTCCCTTATTATTCGTAGCCCATCCCCCATGCTATCCTTCACAATTTTCCTATCATATTTTGTTTTTGATGTTTAACCATATCGACTAAAACTCTCCCATGGTTCTTTCTTGCATACAACATTAACAAACTAACATTTGGTACCAGCCTATGTTATCAAATATTTTTTTCCTGTTAAAGCTCCAAAAGGCATCCTAAGCTCCGGCCATAAAGAACTTATTATTCACAAACCCACAGTGCAGAAGTGGGCATCATGTCTGCATCGGGAACACATCCTTCTTTATATTCACCTACCAAAATTCTACCCACTGTTCTGACATAAACACAGTCATTCATTCCAACTTAGTGTTCTCTGTGTGCTGAATTGACTGAGAATAGACACAGTGATCGGTCAGATACACATTTAGTCAAACCATGTATCATTTAGACATTTTCAAAACATTGATTTTAATATTGGTCTGTAATATTGGATTGGAGAATGCAGCTTTATCTGGCCAGAATTAAGCAGTTTTTTAGTCTTTCCCTCTAAATCTGCAGATCAGGATTGGTCCTCCAAAGGAGAGTTAGATCTACAGAGCAGAAACACTTACCTGAATTCCGTCACACCCGTCAGGCTCCTGGAGCTAGGATCTCAGACCTATGGGCCTTCAGATATGGCTCAGAAGTGCAAGTGCCGGGTCTCCAGCCCTGAACCAGGATCATTTACCCTTTGGAGGGACCTAGAGGAAAATGCACACTTCCTCAAGGCAAGCAGATCTCAAAGAGGAGAGGGGAAGGTGTACTTAGGCCAAGCGAGTGTAAGGACCCTCTTAATTTCATCAATTAATTCAGTAAGTCCGACTGAGAGTGTGAGCAGAGATAAAAAGTAGAAGAACAGGTGAAACCTTCACTTTTCATCACTTATGGAAAGGTGAAACTTTCTATTTCTTGAGTTCAGGCCAAAACACTGGAAGAGGGAAAGTGCCTATGTACTACCTTACAGTGTTTAACTTTGAAACCTTGTAACAAAAATAAAAGACAAATTGTTCTTTTGTAAAAAAGCTGATTAAATAAAACAGAAAAATGTATTTTAAAAATGAATACTGAAATGAAAGAGTTAGATAATAAGAGGAAAAAATGGTTTTTAAGTTGCCTTCCCTGGCCAAGGTAGGAGTAGGAGAGAACAAACAAAAATTAAAACTTTTAAATTATTTTTTAATTCTTAAGGCTCACGTGGCCAAAAAAACTAAATATAACAATTTTTATATGCTTAAATACATGTACATTCCTTTTTCTCTGCGGTAGGTAGCATCATAAGGCAAATTTGTATGTTATTTAGCTGCATTGTTTGAGTTTCCTGAAAAGAAAAGACTGCTTGACATAAAGAAAAAGATTTTGGTCTTTTCCCAGCATACTATAAATGTGAGGCTATAAAATCTGGTTTGGTTTTATTACTGACAGTACTATAGTGTCATGCTATAATTGTGGTTAAGAAAGAACAAGTGTCTGAAAACACTTGTATAATACTTAACTACAATATTTAAGTTCTTCTCATAAGAGAAAAATATACAATATATATGTATATTATATATAACATATGTATAAAACATATATATATACACACACACAGACACACAAACACATACACACACACACACACACACACAAACAGCTGTCCTTCAGAAGCCACAAGGGATTGGTTCCAGGACTCCTGCAAATACCAAAATTCAGGGATTCTCAAGTCACTTACATCAAATTGCATAGAGCCTGGAGAGTGGCATGAACTGTAGTCCCAGCTACTTGGGAGGCAGAGGCAGGAGCATAGCTTAAGCCTAGTAGTTTGAAACCAGCTTGAGCAACATAGTGAGACCTTATCTTGAAAATACATAAATAAATAAGTAAAATAAAATGGCATAGTATTTGCATATAACCTATGCACATCCTTCCCTATACTTTAAATCATCTCTAGATTATTTATAATATCCAATACAATGTAAATGCTATGTAAATACTTGTTATTCTATATTTGTTTTTATTTATAATATTTTTATTGTTGCATTGTTATTTCTTGTTGATTTTGTTTTTTTCAAATCTTTTCAATGCACAGTTAATTGAATCTACAAATGCAGAATCCATGGATTCAGAGAACTGCTGTATATCTTTAGGGATGAAATTGCTCATGCTCATTTTTCAGTCTAAAGGTAAATTTTTTTCTTAGAAAGTATGGAAAGATTCCTTGTGATTTATCTAAATCTTTTTAAAATCATGTTTTTTATATTAAAAATATATTTGGTGTATCTTTGTTTGTTTGTTTGTTTAGGAATGAATTCAAACTATGCTTTGGAAAGACAACTTTGAATCTGACATTCATTGAAAGCTCCCTTCACAAATTAAGGAAAAATATGCCTGGAATTATAGATAGTAAAGCTAAAAAGTTTCAAAGCTATGTCTGGATTACATTAAACACTGAATTTTCCTCTAAAGCTATAGTAAAACTCAAGGAAAATAGAGTAGTCCAAATTCTGAAAGTGATGAACATGCAAGAAACCTCACATTAAGTCACTAAGAGAAAATATCAATGCATTGAGATTCATTTATTTGTTACTCAAAAAATATTTATTTTTGTTACTCAAAAAGTATTTATTTGCTGTCTACCATGTGTCAAGCACAGTTTTAGGTGTTTTTCATAGTAATGAGCAAAAAAGATTAAAATTCTAATTCTGATAGAGCTTACATTTGGGAGGGGGAAGACAGTGAAATATGTGGTATATTACTGATATTCTAAGAATAAAATTAAAAGTAGAAGTGGGAATATAAAATATTTCAAGGTAAGGGGAGATAACCATTATAATAAAATTGTTTATCAGTTTCAAAGATCACTTCAGCAGTTTCCTGGTTATAGTAGCCTTGGTCCCAGAATAACAAAGCCTTGGTCCCAGACTTTTATAGGTCTATCTCAGATTATGAGATTGTCTTTGTATGTTTTCTGTTGTTGTGACAGAATACCACAGACTGCGTAATTTAGAAAGAATATATATATTTCTTACAGTTCTCAATTCTGAAGGCTTGGAAGTTCAAGGTCAAGTTCCGCAACTGGTGAGGGCGTTCTTACTCTGTCATAACATGCTGGAGGGCATCACGTGGCAAAATGCATGAGCACGCCATCTCAGGTCTCTCTTCCCCTTCTTATAAAGCCATCAGACCCGTCATGGGGACTACCTTTCTGATCATTTCATCCCATAGGCCCTACCTCCAAATACCATCAACATATAAATTTGAGGATTAGGTTTTCAACACATGGGATTTGGGGGATACATTCAAACCACAGCAGAGATGGTGAAAGGGAGCACTTGAAGCTGACATTAGTTCATCTCTGTCAATACTCTTCCTTTAGAAGGCATACTCATTGGACTTGCCATGAAAGAAGTAGGGCACCTCTAGGTAGCAGCCTCTGGGGAATCAGACTAGCTCTCCATTTTACAAGTGACAAACAGACCTCAAAGGG
This sequence comes from Homo sapiens, assembly GCF_000001405.40. Taxonomy (NCBI): domain Eukaryota; kingdom Metazoa; phylum Chordata; class Mammalia; order Primates; family Hominidae; genus Homo; species Homo sapiens. The sequence goes on along the minus strand of NC_000004.12, from coordinate 106,478,818 downwards.
TTTAAAACAGATTTACCAAGTTTAGTTAGTGGTGGACTAAGTGCTATTCAAATTGTGGTTTTCTGACAGCCCCTGGCTTATAAACTTTCTTTTACCCATTCTCAACAAGAGAAGTACAGAACGTAAGAAAAGGCATTTAGAAACTTTTGTAGTAATTTGACAGAGATGTTTTATTTGTTTCATCTAATACTTTAAAAATTGGAGCTCATTTTTTGTTTTGTCTTTACATTTAATTTTTATTATTTTGTTTTGTTGTATTTTATAAAAGATTAAGACTGAGAAAGATTAGAAAATCAGAAAAAAAACTGGACTTTTTCCACAGTTATTTTCAGAAGCATTGTGTTAAAATACGGATCCCTTAACTCAACACAACCACATATTATCTTGAGTACCTATTATGTGGCAGGTGCAGTATTATGTGCTGTGGGTTACAAAATAGGCCATGCCCCCATCGGGCTTACAACAGAGTGAGACAATAAGTGAGCAAACACTCTGGGCATGAAAGAGTTCAAAGTTTCCCATAAAAACTCACTACCAGCCAGGTGCGGTGGCTCACTCCTGAAATCCCTGCATTTTGGGAGGCTGAGGGAGGTGGATCACGAGGTTAAGAGATTGAGACCATCCTGGGCAACACGGTGAAACCCCATCTCTACTAAAATTACAAAAATTAGCTGGGTGTGGTGGCACATGCCTATAGTCTCAGCTACTCGGGAGGCTGAAGCAGGAGAATCGCTTGAACCTGGGAGGTGGAAGTTGCAGCGAGCCAAGATCAGGCCACTGCACTGCAGCCTGGAGACAGAGCAAGACTCCTTCAAAAAACAAACAAGCAAACAAAAAAACAACAACAAAAAAACTCACTACTTCCCAGGTATGGATACTAAAACAAAATCTGAGATCTTCCAGACATGCACTCCTACCAGCAGAGACTCACTTGTGGAAACAGCAGCTGGGAACCTGTTCCCCATGGTAACAATATTTCCTTCGAATAGGGACCTGAGCAGGAAAATGTGTGTAGCAGCAAAATGTGTGTAGCAGCAAAAATCTTGAGGAAGAAGATTAGGGCATTTTATTCTTATAAGGGGCCCTCAAGGCAATCTTGCTACATTGGTAGTTTCTCAGTATTGCTACATTGAGAGACATTTAATCTGCAGACTCCAAATTGTGATTCTTAAGACTGCCAAAAAAATTTTTATGAATTTTCATCAGCCTTATGACTTACTACAGTTTTAAATATTTTTAAAAAAATTTTGTCTCAATCTTGAAATTAGTATCCTTAGATGAAATTGTACAGTTGATAATTAGAATAAACAAATTTTTAAAGAAGTATACTTTAGAAAAAAAACAGTTTGGAAGTCTGTAAGTATTTTAGTCTTAAATCTGCCTTAGGTTTATGAAGAGGTTTAGCCTGGGATGATGGTATTTTTTTCTATTTTTGTATTATTATTATTTTAATTGGTAGTCTGTACACATGGAAATAATAAAAGGTTGAAATAAAAGAGATTGGGAAGAGACACATGAGACATTTTGAGATATTTTGAAATGTCCATCCAGTGGTCTCTGTTTTGTAAACGAGACTAAAGTCATCTAGCAGCAAAAATCAGTGCTAATTGGTACCATCTAGAAAAATAGCAGACCTGTTTAAAGAGGTATTTATGATGAAATTTGATAGGTAGGAGAAAAAGAAATACAACTATTAAACTGAATGGATTGTGCAGCAGATAAAGAAGAATGACCCAATATTCCTCTGGGCAGAGTAGTAAGAAAGACAGTCAAGAATAATGCTTTTGGAATAAACTCAGCTGTTGATAACACTGTGAGTAAAGGATAAAGCAAATGGAGCTGACATGTTACTAAGCAGATCTCAAAGATGCTACTGAGAACGTCTAGTCATCTGAGGAATGTTTTATCCCTTTAAAAGAAGAATATCTGATAGATTTGCAACTTGAATTGAAATCTTCATTTCTAGAAAAGTTGATGAAGCAATGAGAACAAAATCCAACCCACAGGGCCCAGTTGTTTGAAAGGAAAATCACAGCTATAAACATGTCACTTTCTAGCTCCAAAACCTTCAAAGACCAAAAGCTGCTGGCTGAATAAAGTATTAATAACAAGGATCCTGTGCAGTTTGGCTTGAGTTTCCTTTCCAGGTGTAGCTCCCACTGTTTACTTACAAAACATGTGATGGGAAGGGTAAAGAAGTACATTATTCCTCAGCCATACTATAAGCCAAGCATTATATTATGTTATTACATTTTATTCTTACAATCCTTACATCATAGAATGACTGTGAGGGTTGAATAAGAGTAAATGTTGAGTGCTTAGCCCCAGTATTTAAAGTTACAGAATTAATGTGCTTAAAACTGTGCCTAATATATGTAAGTCCTTAATAAATGTAAGCAATTATTATTATTGGTTTAGGAGAACATAGGAAAAGAGAAAATCAACATTACTCTTTTAGGATGAGGAAACTGATGATCATAAATACTAAGTTGTTTTCCCAAAGTGACAGCAATGTTAGGACTTCAGGTGATGCACAGTCCTTGTTCTTCCTACAGTATCAACCTCTCTGCTATGACACTACTCTTCAGTTAAATTGGATGCTTTACATCCACTTTACATCATAAGCTTTCCAAACTTTTTATCTTTCTTCATGCTTTTGACTTCTCCTATAATGTCCCTGTCTTTATTTCTATTTTCTGAATGTAGAGGATCAGCAAAATTAATTGTCCATTTTATACTCTCTCAAACCAATGCATTTTCCAACTCCCTGCACTTCCCCCAGCACCAGCACAGAGTAAACGTGTTAACTAACATTTATCATGGCTTGTTAATTTTTTTCTGCATTATGACCTTTTGTTCTTGCACTTCTAACTGCAGAAGACAAACTCATTTTTTAAACTTATTTTAATATTTATTTCAACGAATATTTACTGAATACTTACCATGTGCCAGACAAGGGATATATGGCATGATATAACATGTACAGGGTGAAGAAAAGAGACACATGTTGGCAAGGACTTAATAAATATTAGATTACTAACTGTCCTATAAATACAGTGTTACAGAAGAGCAAGCTGCATCCCTAACAATGCAGAGAACAAGCCTACTTAGATTTATACTACAGTAGCTCTGCTGATAACTCAATAGTGTTTCTAACACAACCCCCATACCTGTTCTAATTTGGGGCAGCAGTATCCCTTTATATTTTTTGATTCAACTTTTGTGTGTAATACTCAGGACTTATTTTTCATTATCCTTCCACACTCTTCTCCCATAGTGCTATTTCTTTAGGAGAAATACAAAGGTATCTCAGTCTTGGAGCTTTGCAAAGTAATTTTTCTACTTCTGATAAGCTGCTTGTATAAGACCTATCAAATGTGCCTTCAGAGTATCCCAAGCAGTATTGCTTCCTTGAGACCATAAGATTGAGTGGTCAACTCCTTTTGCCATTCTGCTCTCATCACAGTGATCATCCTCCCACTTCCTCAAAGTCAAGTGTCATTTGATTCATTGGAAACTTACTTTGCTATTTTATTAATGTTCTTCCCTAGTTTTCATTACCTTGTGATCTATCTCAAGACCAAGGCTTTTTGAGTCAGATAACTCAAGCCTTTTCTCTATGACTCTGTTTCAATTAGACTTGCCTCCCTCACCACAGACTACCTACTTTGCAAAGTGAAGTGCATTTTATTGTTTTCTATAAATCATTAAAGTGCTTCATTTTAAAAGGAAATAACTTGCCCATTTAATATAGTGTTGAACGTTAATTGAGCCATTTGGCTCTATTTTGTGAAATCTTTAAGCAGATTTATTAAAAACTAGACATTTATGGGGGCCGGGCATGGTGGCTCATGCCTATAATCCCAGCACTTTGGAAGGCTGAGGTGGGTGGATCATCTGAAGTCAGGAGTTCAAGACCAGCCTGGCCAACATGGTGAAACCCTGTCCTACTAAAAATACAAAAATTAGCTGGGGGTGGTGGTGGGCACTGATAATCCCAGCTACTCAGGAGGCTGAGGCAGGAGAATTGCTTGAACCTGGAGGTTGCAGTGAGCCGAGATTGGGCCACTGCACTCCAGCCTGGGTGACAGCGAGACTCCGTCTCAATAAAAAATAAAAATAAATAAATAAATAAATAAATAAACACTAGACATTTATTTATAACACCGTCCAAATAACTAGCTGGAACTTTCCTTTAAAAGTATGATCCAGGGTTTTACAGTAACCCTGCCATAATTCAATGTTGTGATAAGAGTTTCTCCCCACTGATGAGTAAACTTAGGGCCTGGGATAGGTTCCTGAAACCTATCTTCTCTGAGTCAAAGTGTGGGAATCTGCACACAGTATCAGGCTAAGATGAGAGGAAGCCTTCAATACTCTGCTTTGCAACACCTTAAAAATTATATTCTTCAGTTATTCTACCTTCCAACACTCCAAAGCATCCCTATGGCCATTAAAATGAAATATATTCTCCCTGCAATGTCTAAAGACTCTCTACATTCTGGTTCCTCACAGTGTCTCCACACCCACCTCCCCTGTTCCCACCTAACTCCAGAAATGTGGGGTTTTTTTTTCGGTTTCTTGCTTCTGCCAAGCTTACTCCCATATCAGGGTAACTGAACTTGCACTCCTTTGGTTTGAAATTTCTTCCTCTAGATCTTTATGTGGCTTCCCTCTTCTTTTCTCTTCATTCCTGGTTCCAAAGTGATGTTCTCGAGAAGCCCTTGCTAGCATTCTGTTGTTAAAGGCTTCCTGTTCCTGCTCCCCACACACAAGCCTCTTCCAATCACTCTTCACCCAATCACCTCTATTTTATAGCACATATCAGTATCTGAAATCTTATTTATTATTTATTTCTTTTGTTTTATTTATTATCTCCCTCCCTCCACCAGAATGTAGGCTCCACAAAAAAAGGCCTTTTCTCATCTGCAACTGTATTCCCAGCACTCAGAGAAGTGCCTCCCAAAGATAGGTGCTAAAGAAATATATGCGATGAGTCAATAAATACATATTTATTTTCAAGAGAGACTGAGCACTGCCTGTGGTAAGATGAAAGAAAGAAGGCAATTGACTGTAGGTGCAGCCTCCACCCTGCTGTTCTAAGTAAGTAATACCCTACTCAGCAAACCTCAGCTCTATGGTTAACCTGCCCTCCCCACAAGCCCCTACACCTTGCAAGATGGTTTGGTGCTAAGTGAGTCATGGAAGGTTTTCACTTCCCTTCACTACCTAAATGGTTTCTTAATTTTTTTTTTATTCCTAATCATTTATAGTACTATCCCTAAAGGAACTGACATGCAAAATTCTGCACACTAATATACTTCCATTAATGTTTTAGCAGCTCATAGAGACTGTCCTCTGTCCTGATGACTGAATTTCCCCCTGGTATAGAAGACCTTTAATATAGTACACAATGACTCAGTAACTCAATCCTCTACTTTTTTTTTTTTTTTTTTTTGAGACGGAGCCTTGCTCTGTTACCCAGGCTACAGCGCAGTGGCGCGATCTCCGCCCACTGCAAGCTCCACCTCCTGGGTTCATGCCATTCTCCTGCCTCAGCCTCCCGAGTAGCTGGGACTACAGGCCCCCGCCACCATGCCTGGCTAATTTTTTTTGTATTTTTAGTAGAGACGGGGTTTCATAGTGTTAGCCAGGATGGTCTCGATTTCCTGACCTCATGATCCGCCCGCCTCGGCCTCCAAAAGTGCTGGGATTACAGGCATGAGCCACTGTGCCTGGCCACTCAATCCTCTACTTATAGTTTGGAGGATGCTCATTCATTCATTCATTCATTCATCCATTCCATTTGTACTTATGGAGCAGAAGATACTATGCTTTGAACACCTTTCTGTATACTGGGGTAAGAGTCCAAAAATGTCTAAAGGGTTTAAAAAAAAAGTCTGCTCTCATGTAACTCCCATTCTAGTAGAAGTAATCGAAAAATAAGCAACATAATTTGGAGTGAATTATATAATATGTCCAATATAACTGATACTGAGAAAAATGTAATAGGATATAGGAATTGGAAATGCATCAGGGAAGGGGTTACGATTTTAATAGGATGATTACAGAAGCCCTGGCAGAGAAGGGGAAATTTAAGTAAATCCTTAAAAAAGATGAGGGAGCAAGTCATGTGACTATCTGGAGGAAAATTTCTAGACAGAAGCAAAGATGAATGTAAAGAAATAGCTGAAAGGCCAACATGGTTGGCGTAAAGTGAGCAACAATACAGAGGGCAGAGAGGTGGAGATAGGAGAGATAATGAGAGAGATGAGAGGAGACCAGATCAAAGGACTGTATGGACCATAGTTGTAAAGACTATAGTTCTTACTCTGAGGGACTTTGGAACCCTTCAGAAGGTTTTAAGCAAAGGAAGGACTTGATCAACTTTGCATTTTAATGGGATCATACTGGCTGCTGATTAGTAATAGATTACAGGAAAACAACAGCAGGAGGCAGAGAAGCCCAGAGGTTAGTGCAGTAATGCAGGAAACAGTTGAGGGACTTTGGACAAGAACGGTAACATACAGTGGCAGAAAATGTTTGGATTCAGGATAATTGATGTTTGTTCACACACCACTCAATTCTAATTAAAAGGAGAAACAATATATTACAGTGCATAAGAGCACAACCTCTAACATTAGATGGTTTGGGGTACAAGTCTTGACTTTGACACCTCCTTGATGCTTGAATTTATATAATTTATTGGTCTTCCCTATATCTCAACATATGCTTCTGTTATAAAGGAGATAAAAAAAAAAATGTTAAGTGGGAGGATTGCTGGCAAGATGGCCGAATAGGAACAGCTCCGGTCTGCAGCTCCCAGTGAGATCGACAGAGAAGGCGGGTGATTTCTGCATTTCCAACTGAGGTACCTGGTTCATCTCATTGGGACTGGTTGGATAGTGGGTGCAGCCCATGGAGGGCGAGCAGAAACAGGGTGGGGCATCACCTCACCTGGGGCATTGCCTCACCCATGAAGCGCAAAGGGTCGGGGAATTTACCCCCCTACCCAAAGGAAGCCATGAGGGTCTGAGCCTGAGGAACTCCGGCACAAATATTGTGCTTGTCCCATCGTCTTCACAACCTGCAAACCAGGAGATTACCTCTGGTGCCAACCCCACCAGGGCCCTGGGTTTCAAGCACAAAACTGGGCAGCCATTTGGGCAGACACCGAACTAGCTGCAGGAGTTCGGTTTTTTTTTTCCCTACCCCAGTAGCGCCTGGAATGCCAGCAAGACAGAACTGTTCAGTCCTCTGGAAAGGGGTGCTGAAGCTAGGGAGCCACGTGGTCTGGCTCAGTGGGTCCCACTCCCACGGAGCCCAGCAAACTAAGACCCACTGACTTGAAATTCTTGCTGCCAGCACAGCAGCAGTCTGAGATCCACCGAGATGTTCCAGCTTGGTGCGGGGAGGGACATCCGCCATTACTGAGGCTTGAGTAGGCAGTTTTACACTAACAGTGTAAACAAAGCCACTGGGCAGTTCAAACTAGGCAGAGCCCACTGCAGCTCAGCAAGGCCACTGCGGCCAGACTGCCTCTCTAGATTCCTCCTCTCTGGTCAGGGCATCTCTGGAGAAAAAAGGCAGCAGCCCCAGTCAGGGACTTATACACAAACCCCCATCTCCCTGGGACAGAGCACCTGGGGGAAGGGGCGACTGTGGATGAAGCTTTAGCAGACTGAAACGTTCCTGCCTGACACCTCTGAAGAGAGCAGTGGACCTCCCAGCACAGCGTTTGAGCTCTGCTAAGGGTCAGACTGCCTCCTCAAGTGGGTCCCTGACCCCCGTGTATCCTGACTGGGAGACACCTCCCCGTAGCGGCCAACAGACACCTCATACAAGAGAGCTCTGGCTGGCATCTGGCAGATGCCCCTCTGGGATGAAGCTTCCAAAGGAAAGATCAGGCAACCATCTTTGCTGTTCTGCAGCCTCTGCTGGTGATAACCAGGCAAACAGGATCGGGAGTGGACCTCCAGCAAACTCCAACAGACTGGCAGCACAGGGGCCTGACTGTCAGAAGGAAAACTAACAAACAGAAAGGAATACCATATCCACTCAAAGACCCCATCTGAAGGTCACCAACATCAAAGACCAAAGGTAGATAAATCCACAAAGGTGGGGAGAAACCAGCACAAAAAGGCTGAAAATTCCAAAACCCAGAATGTCTCTTCTCCTCCAAAAAAATCACAACTCCTTGCTAGCAAGGGAACAAAACTAGATGGAGAATGAGTTTGACAAATTGACAGGAGTAGGCTTCAGAAGGTAGGTAATAACAAACTTCTCCGAGCTAAAGGAGCATGTTCTAACCCAGTGCAAGGAAGCTAAGAACCTTGAAAAAAGGTTACAGACGAATTGCTAACTAGAATAACCAGTGTAGAGAAGAACAAAAGTGACCTGATGGAGCTGAAAAACACAGCACGAGAACTTCGTGAAGTATACACAAGTTTCAATAGCTGAATCGATCAAGCAGAAGAAAGGATATCAGTGATTGAAGATCAACTTAATGAAATAAAGAGAGAAGACAAGATTAGAGAAACAAGAATAAAAAGGAATGAACAAAGCCCCCAGAAATATGGGACCATGTGAAAAGACCAAATCTACATTTGATTGGTGTACCTGAAAGCGATGAGGAGAATGAAACCAATTTGGAAAACACTTTTCAGGATATTATCCAGGAGAACTTCCCCAACCCAGCAAGACAGGCCAACATTCAAATTCAGGAAATACAGAGAATACCACAAAGATACCCCTCGAGAAGAGCAACCCCAACACACATAATCGTCAGATTCACCAAGGTTAAAATGAAGGAAAAAATGTTAAGGGCAGCCAGAGAGAAAGGTCGGTTTACCCACAAAGGGAAGCCCATCAGACTAACAGCAGATCTATCAGCAGAAACCCTACAAGCCAGAAGAGACTGGGGGACAGTATTCAACGTTCTTAAAGGAAAGAATTTTCAACCCAGAATCTCATATCCAGCCACACTAAGCTTCATAAGTGAAGGAGAAATAAAATCCTTTACAGACAAGCAAATACTGAGAGATTTTGTCAGCACCAGGCCTGCCTTACAAGAGTTCCTGAAGGAAGCACTAAACATGGATAGGAACTGGTACCTGCCACTACAAAAACATACAAAATTGTAAAGAATATTGACACTATGAAGAAACTGAATCAACTAATGGGCAAAACAACCAGCTAGCATCATAATGACAGAATCAAATTCACACATAACAATATTAACCTTAAATGTAAATGGGCTAAATGCCCCAGTTGAAAGACACAGACTGGCAAATTGGACGAAGAGTTAAGACCCATCGGTGTGCTGTATTCAGGAGACCCATCTCACGTGGAAAGACACATATAGGCTCAAAATAAAGGGATGGAGGAATATTTACCAGGCAAATGGAAAGCAAAAAAATAAAATAAAATAACATAAAAAAATAAAAGCAGGAGTTGCAATCCTAATCTCTGCTAAAACAGACTTTAAACCAACAAAGATCAGAAAAGACAAAGAAGGGCATTACATAATAGTAAAGGGATCAATGCAGCAAAAAGAGCTAACTATATCAAATATATATGCACCCAATACAGGAGCACCCAGATTCATAAAGCAAGTCCTTAGAGACCTACAAAGAAACTTAGATGCCCACACAATAATAGTGGGAGACTTCAACACATCACTGTCAATATTAGACAGATCAACGAGACAGAAAATTAACAAAAATATTCAGGACTTGAACTCAGCTCTGGACCAAGAGGAACTAATAGACATCTACAGAAGTCTCCACCCCAAATGAACAGAATATACATTCTTCTTAGCACCTCATTGCACTTATTCTAAAATTGACCATATAATTGGAAGTAAAACACTCCTCAGCAAGTGCAAAAGAACAGAAATCATAACAGTCTCTCAGACCACAGTGCAATCAAATTAGATCTCAGGATTAAGGAACTCACTCAAAACTGCACAACTACATGGAAACTGAACAACCTACTCCTGAATGACTACTGGGTAAATAACGAAATAAAGACAGAAATAAAGATATTCTTTGAAACCAATGAGAACGAAGACACAAAGTACCAGAATCTCTGGGACACATTTAAAGCAGTGTGTAGAGGGAAATTTATAGCACTAAATGCCCACAAGAGAAAGCAGGAAAGATCTAAAATTGACATCCTAATATTAAAATTAAAGAAAAATAGAGAAGTAACAGCAAACAAATTCAAAATCTAGCAGAAGACAAGAAATAACTAAGATCAGAGCAGAACTGAAGGAAATGGAGACACAAGAACCCTTCAAAATTTAATGAATCCAGGAGTTGGTTTTTTGAAAAGATCAACAAAATAGACCACTAGACAGACAAATAAAGAAGGAAAGAGAGAAGAATCGAATAGTTGTAATAAAGATGATATAGGGGATATCACCACCGATCCCACAGAAATACAAACTACCATCAGAGAATACTATAAACACCTCTATGCAAATAAAGTAGAAAATCTAGACGAAATGGATAAATTCCTGGACACATACACCCTACCAATTCTAAACCAGGAAGAAGTCTAATCCCTGAATAAACCAATAATAAGTTCTGATATTGAGGCAGTAATTAATAGCCTACCAACCAAAAAAAAGTCCAGGACCAGATGGATTCACAGCCAAATCCTACCAGAGGTACAAAGAGGAGCTGGTATCATTCCTTCTGAAATTATTCCAAACAATAGAAAAAAAGGGAATCCTCCCTAATTCATTTTATGAGGCCAGCATCATCCTGATTCCAAAACCTGGCAGAGACACAACAACAACAAAAAATTTCAGGCCAATATCCCTGATGAATATTGATGAGAATATCCTCAATAAAATACTGGCAAACTGAATCCAACAGCACATCAAAAAGCTTATCCACCACAATCAAGTCAGCTTCATCCCTGGGATACAAGGTTGGTTCAACATATGCAAATCAATAAGCGTGATCAATCACATAAACAAAACCAATGACAAAAACCACATGATTATCTTAATAGATGCAGAAAAGGCCTTCAACAAAATTCAACACCCATTCATGCTAAAAATTCTCCATAAACTAGGTATCGACGGAATGTGTCTCAACATAAGAGCTATTTATAACAAACTCACAGCCAATATCACATTGAATGGGCAAAAACTGGAAGCATTCCCTTTGAAAACCTGCACAAGAAAAGGATGCCCTCTCTCACCACTCCTATTCAACATCGTATTGGAATTTCTGGCCAGGGCAATCAGGCAAGAGAAAGAAATAAAGGATATTCAATTAGGAAAAGAGGAAGTCAAATTGTCTCTGTTTGCAGATGACATTATTATATATTTAGAAAGCCCCTTCGCCTCAGCCTAAAATCTCCTTAAGCTTATAAGCAACTTCAGCAAAGTCTCAGGATACAAAATCAATGTGCAAAAATACAAGCATTCCTATACACCAACAACAGACAAACAGAGAGCCAAATCATGAGTGAACTCCCATTCACAATTGCTACAAAGAATAAAATACCTATGAATCCAACTTACAAGGGATATGAAGGACCTCTTCAAGGAGAACTATAAACCACTGCTCAAGGAAATAAGAGAGGACACAAACAAATGGAAAAACATTCCATGCTCATGGATAGGAAGAATCCATATCATGAAAATGGCCATACTGCCCAAAGTAATTTATAGATTCAATGCTATCCCCATCAAGCTACCAATGACTTTCTTCACAGAATTGGAAAAAACTACTTTAAATTTCTTATGGAACCAAAAAAGAGCCTGCATAGCCAAGAAAATTCTGGTCAAGAAGAACAAAGCTGGAGGCATCACACTACCTGACTTCAAACTATATGGAAAGTCTACAGTAACCAAAACAGCATGGTACTGGTACCAAAACAGATATATAGACCAATGGAACAGAACAGAGGCCTCAGAAATAACACCACACACCTACAACCATTTGATCTTTGACAAATCTGACATGCACAAGCAATGGGGAAAAGATTCCCTATTTAATAAATGGTATTGGGATAACTGGCTAGCCATACACAGAAAACTGAAACTGGACCCCTTCCTTACACCTTACACAAAAATCAACTCAAGATGGAACAAAGACTTAAATGTAAGACCTAGGACCTTAAAAATCCTAGAAGAAAACCTGGGCAATACCATTCACGACATAGGCATGGGCAAAGACTTCATGTCTAAAACACCAAAAGCAATGGCAACAAAACCCAAAATTGACAAATGGGATCTAACTAAACTAAAGAGCTTCTGCACAGCAAAAGAAACTATCATCAGAGTGAACAGGCAACCTACAGAATGGGAGAAAATTTTTGCAATCTATCCATCTGACAAAGGGCTAATATCCAGAATCTACAAAGAACTTAAACAAATTTACAAGAAAAAAAAAACCCCATCAAAAAGTGGGCGAAGGATATCAACAGACACGTCTCAAAAGAAGATATTTATGCAGCTAACAGACATATGTAGAAATGCTCATCATCACTAGTCATTAGAGAAATGCAAATTAAAACCATAATGAGATACCACCTCATGCTAGTTAGAATGGTGATCTTTAAAAAGGAAACAACAGATGCTGGAGAGGATGTGGAGAAATAGTGACACTTATACAACGTTGGTGGGAGTGTAAATTAGTTCAACCATTGTGGAAGACAGTGTGGCAATTCCTCAAGGATCTAGAACTAGAAATACCATTTGACCCAGCAATCCCATTACTGGGTATATACCCAAAGGATTATAAATCATTCTACTATAAAGACACATGCACACATATGTTTATTGCAGCACTGTTCACAATAGCAAAGACTTGGAACCAACCCAAATGCCCATTAATAATAGACTGGATGAAGTCAATGTGGCACATATACATCATGGGATACTATGCAGCCATAAAAAGATGAGTTCATGTCCTCTGCAGGGACATGGATGAAGCTGGAAACCATGATTCTCAGCAAACTATCGCAAGAACAGAAAACCAAACACTGCATGATCTCACTCATAAGTGGGAGTTGAACAATGAGGACACATGGACATAGGGAGGGGAACATCACACACTGGGGCCTGTCAGGGGGTGGGGGGCTAAGGGAGGGATAGCATTAGGAGAAATATCTAATATAGGTGACAGGTTGATGGGTGCAGCAAACCACCATGGCACGTGTATATCTATGTAACAAAACTGCACGTTCTGCACATCTAGCCAGAACTTAAAGTATAATAAAAGAAGAATGTTTTTTTAAAAAAGGAGATAAAGAATATGTTAGTTAAAGTCATGCTTCAAAATGACTCCAACATGAGAGAAATTCATTTCTAATTCATGTGAAGTCTGTTGAAGGTATTTCTGATAACTGGGGCCTCTCCCGTAAGAAGTGACCCAGAAATCCAAGCTCCTTCAACTTATGGTTCTGCCATTTTTCAACACTTAGTTCTGAGGTCTCCCTGGGCATGGATTTCCAACTTGCAGACTGGAACAATAAATAGGAGGCTCGTGTGTGAAAAGCTTTTAATGGACTGTGCATGGAAGCAGCACAATCATTTCTGACTCCATTTCTCTGACCAGTGAACTCAGTACTCTGTCTCACGGTCACCCCAACTGCAAGAGAGATTGGGACACTATGTCTCTCTCTGTGCCTGAGAAAAGAGGAGATGAGTTTGGTAAGCAGCTGATTAGTCTTTGCCACTATCAGTCTTCATCAGAGGACTATTGGATATATTCGCCAAGGTACCATTTGTCAAGCATTGTACTGCAAGGCCTGCTGGAGCCAAGTGGTTGCTACTAATTTAGGAATGAACAAGGGAAAGGGAAACCACACCCACAATTCCTTTGTCTACTGTCCAATTCAGAGTGACTTCTGCCTTTTTGATTGGAAGAAAGTTAATCGTATACACCATAAAATTTATCCATTTTAAGTGTACAATTCAATTATTTTTAAAATTATAGAATTTTACAACCACCACCATATCCAATTTTAGAAGCTTTTCCATGCTTCTAAAGTTTCTTCATGCCCATTTGCAGTCAATTTCTATCTCCCTACAATCAGCCCCAGGCAAACTTTTTGCCTCCGTAGATTTGTCTTTTTGAATTTTTTATGTTAATGTAAACATAAGATAAAATGTGAGCTTTTGTGACTGTCTTCTTTCACTTAGCATAATTTTTTAGAGTTTTTCCCATGTTGTTGTATTTATCAGTAGTTCCTTCCTTTTGGTTGTTGAATAGTATTCTATTCTATGAAACTACCACTTTTTTATTCATGTGTCCATTGATGAGCATTTGGACTGTTTCCAGTACTTTGCAAGTATGAATCATTTTTTGCAGGACTACTCATCTTTGCAATGGTAGTAAGATGCTATTCTTTAGAAGGCTTTGTCCATAAGTCCAAAGGTAGCAGTAGTATTTAGAGTAACAGTGAAGTATAATGGAAGAATATTCCTATTTGACTCTCAAATGACTTAGACTTGTGCCTTACTTCTCTTTTCTGAGCTGCCTACCCTTAGAGAATAACCTCACAATTGCTGATAGTAAGAGTCTAACATGGTATTTGACACAGTTGGTGCTCCACAAATGTGAATTCCCATTACATTGCCCACACTCCATTGTCTCACATCCTTCTCTGTAATAAACTTGGAACCTCTTAGCACCCCACAAGACTAGCTACAATTTCCCATATTCAGGTGGGTTCTTTTACCAACATTGTAAGTAAAATAAGGGTGCTTTCAGTATGTAGTTTGGGAGAAGCCACCTCTCTGTTTCTTTTCCTACTGGTCTATAAAATAGAGCTTCTGCTGTCTCAGAAGTGTTGGTTAAAAGCATCTGTTTCCTTTAAGATCTCATTTGTTCCTCTCCACAGGAAGAGCAATGATTTGTCTGTTTGACATGTTGAAGAGTCTGATATTCATTGATCCATATTTCTGCAGTGGTCAGGGTTACCACAGTAAGTCACTGCACACAGGTGGCCTCTTCCCTTATGCACCTTTAATCTTGGGCTTTCAGTTTCGACATGGTGAGGCATTGCTGGTTGATAAGGGACTGCTTTGGAGGCCTTGCTCCTCAAGTGAATTCAGATATAACTATAGAAAAAAAGGTTAGGAAGTCCAAAGAGACCACATTCAAGCTACATTTGTCAAGCTAGGTTTCCTTTCAATAACGTTGACATTTCAATTTTCTGACTCCTGTGCCTAGTTCTCAATCAGCTTCCATTCTGAGGAGCAGAGGATGGGATTAATTTCCTCAAGCCCAACACATGGAGGCTGCTTGTCTCTTTTGGAAAGACAGAGTTGGCAATATATTTAGGCAGACCAACTTTTGGAGCCTATTTTTCCTTTCACATGTGGAAGATTGTCTTTAGGACTAACCATCCAGTAATGTAATATTATTGTCCTATCACTTAACACAAGTTTATCCAATCCCTCTTGGGTTTCCCAAAAGAATTTGTTAGCTTTCTTTCTCTGAAGTAACAAATTACAGTTTGAGCCTGCCTCATATACCACATCAATCACTTGTTCAGTCCCTGGGATTGCTAAATGGTTGACCCAATTGGGCAGTTTTAGCTGTTCAGTCATTTAGTGTGGGGTGTTAAAACAACTGAAGTGGTCTGACTACTTAGACTTAAAATGCCTGACTTAAACCATAATGAAGATGAAAACATCCAATTTAACTGAAAAACAAACAAAGTTATGGAATCTTTTAGATGTGTCCACATGTGTGATCAAACACAAACTGTCTTTCAGGTTCTCATTTTCTCTTCTCCTCTCTCTCATCTCTCTTTCTCTCTTTCTTTTTGTCTTCCCTCATCTATTTCTTCTCTCTCTCTCTCTCTCTCACCCCCACTCCTCCACTCCTTCTCTCACTCTCTCTCTCCCATTCACTCTCTCCTCCATGTTTCTCTACCTCACTCTTGTTTTTTTCTTTGGGTATTTACCTCCCTCCTTGTTTCTGGCTCCCTCTTAGAGTTAGCAAATATTCATAGTAGTGAGGTATAAATTTTTACCAACAGTGCTTCTTTCTCATTTCACCCAAGATCATAATCTAAGAAAGACTAAAATGAAATCGTTATACTTGTTTCCTTGAGGGTTTAGATGAGTCAGTGAATGAGTTCCTATTTCATAAGAAGAAAGAATTTGATATTGGCTGAAGGAGTTGAGATGAAAGAAACATCTCAGAGAATACAGCAGGTCCCATTATATTACTAACACAGGACAGGGCTCCATGTGGCCCTTAACACCATCTAAATCTTTAGAATAACAACTTGGAGGTTTCCCTGTTTATTGACAACCAAATTTTATTCTCCTGGCAGTCATCCTTATCCTTCACCTCTCTTCACCTCTGAGTGCTTTTGGCATGGAGTTTGGACTGAGTACCTCAGAGACTAGTAAATCACTAACTCCATGAAAATCCGAGCCCCAAGAATGATCACTGAAATAAGATAAAAGCTGAACAATTAAGAAGTAGCAGGAGACACATTAAACTTTTAACAGAGGAAGGTCATCACCTTCTGGGCTATAAGTTAGCCTCTGATATCATGAGGTTGTCCTTTAAGGCTGGAAAATTAAAGTTGCAAGTGCCCTTCTATCACCCCCTAAATCTGCTCATATAAAATGTCACATCAGCACAGAAGACACCCGTGAGCTGTCCTAAGAGGGGTTGATGCCTTGTTAATGACACAGCAACAAGTGTTAGGTAAATCCCATAAGCAGCTCTCCAAAGTTGAGATTGTTGGCCATGATTCAAGTAGACAAAATCTTCATTATGAAGACAATTCTCAAGAACTCAACTTTTGAGATTTACGCTCATCAAAGCATGTTACTCTTAGTTCTGCTGAAAATAATCATATTCACGACATAACAGAGCCCTATCCAAAAGAGAATGAGGGTACATAAAGTTCCTTTTAATGTACTTAGAGGAAAAGACACAAAAAGTCTTAATTAAAACACTGTGATATTTGGAAAACACTTTCTATTACACAACGGATTGCTCAGTACATCAAATGTTTTTTGTGAAACATGGAACAATTCAATAATAAGACCATTAATGCATTGCAAATTGATTTTGTTTCAGTTCCTTTTGATTTATGTTAAAATAAACTATTGTCCCACTGTCACAACTCACTGTAAGACACCATGTGGTTTGAATATTCTATTCTCGATTTTACTTTGACCTGAAAAACTAAATAGAGCATGAAAGATGGGAAAATTCTGTAGTAATTTATTAGATTTGGACATTTCATTTTAATGCTTATTGATATCAACCTATCAAATATAGAAATCTATGTACAATATTGAGAGAATATCATAGCATAAAAAATTGAACATCCTAAATTATACTGTAAGTGCTCAAGAATAGTACTTGACCCCAAAATTTATTCACAATCTGTAAGGATTTGATATCTATGAATATTAAATTAATTTTGGTCCACATTTTCATTCTTTATAGCTTTATTAGAAAACAATTTTACTTATTATAATGAGGTCATATAATTATCATCACAGATTAACCCTGATACAAAATGGTCTTTTTGTTTAACACTTAAATATGAAAAATTATATGGTGATGATATGCTAAGTAAAGAACTACCCTGGGACCAGCACTTCTCATTCTTTGTGTTGGACTGGCCACTTTATGTAATTTTCTTCCTTAAAAGTATATCAGGGGAAGAAGACACATTGGCTGCCTAGAATATAGTGTAAAATTGTGCTTATAGTTGGCAGGCCTATCTAGTAGAGCACTCACTCTACAGTTCATTCACTTACAGATATAGGCTGACGGCTTGTTCTGTATATATATATCTTCATTGGTGGTTCTGAACATGGAAAATTACAGAGAATAACATAATAAATACCCATATACCCAACATATACAATTAACAAATATTAACAGTTGAATATGTTTACTTCAGCTCTTTTGATGTAGGTCTTTTTGTTTATTGTTTGTTTCTTATTGGAAAACAACACATTAGTGATAAAGTTTAAGAGTTTGGCCCAATTTACTCTCTCTGTCAAAGCTGGCTTTGTCTTTCCACCCTTTCGCCATGGGATGACCCTCACCAGATACTGGTACTATGCTCTTAGACATCCCAGCTCCCAGAACCATGAGCCAAATAGATCTCTTTTCTTTATAAATTACCCAGTTTGTGGTATTCTGTTATAGCAGCAGAAATGGACTAAGATAGTATCCTTACTTTGTCACATTTCACTACTTTCATATCCACAGAAAATCTGTCTTATTTCTGGTATAAATCCTTCCTATACATATTTGTATTCCTTCTCTCCATAGAGATAGAGATAACCAGGTCCAATATATAGGGATATTTCATCATAGTGTATAGGTGCTTCTTACTTTTTACTCATTAGACTTTTTATCTATCAACGTCACTACATATAGCTATAGCTCCTTTATTTTAATTATAATCATCTATTTCATTATAAAATATGCCATAATTTATTTGACCATTCTTCTGTTGATATGTATTTAGATTGTTTCCAGTCTTCACTGTTAAAATCAATGTTCCTTAAAATGTCCTCTTGTATACATGTGCCAACAGTTTCTCTGGAATATATATTAAGAAAAGTAATTGCTAAATTATCAGATGAGTACATTTTTAATAATATTGTTGTCAAATTGCTTTCCAAAATTTACAGTCATCTCAGCACTGGATGAGAGTTCCTGTATTTTGAAGTATTCACTTTATAATTTTTGATTTTAAACATTTAAAATTTTCAGATTTTAAAATTGTTGCTAATCATTGGGTATAAAATTGTATTTCATTATTATTTTAACATGCATTTTATTCATTACTAAACTTTCCAAAATTGACTAGCTATTTGACTTCCCTTTTTTCTGAACTGCATCTTTATATCTTTTGCCAATTGTTATGGGGCCGAGAAGTTTATGTGACAAACAGGCTGAGACTATAAACCAAAATGGCAGCAATAAATTGCTATAATTTAAATATGCTCAGATGTTTCTGTTAAATTTTAATATGCATATTCTTAGACTGAATGTAATCAAATGCCTCTTGTAACTCTGTTTATTGTTTGTTTGTATTACCTGTGCTCAACACTCCCAGAGGAGATATAAAGATTGTTGTTCTGTCCCCAAAAATGGTACTCCAATTCTCGTTTTTCCTTCAAGGTCAACAGTTGACTTTTCTGACTCTTCCAGAAAAAAAATATCTGTGAGCTCCTGAGTTGGTGTTGAAAAAGGCTACATGAGATATGTACTGTCGTTATCTTTTTTTTTTCTTTTTTTTTGAGATAGAGTTTCACTCTTGTTGCCCAGGCTGGAGGGCAGTGGTGTGATCTCGGCTCACTGCAACCTCTGCCTCTCGGGTTCAAGCGATTCTCCTGCCTCAGCCTCCTGAGTAGCTGGGATTACAGTCACCTGCCACCACTCCGGGCTAATTTTTTGTAGTTTTTTTTAGTAGAGATGGGGTTTCATCATGTTAGTCAGGCTGGTCTTGAACTCCCAACCTCAGGTGATCCACCTGCCTCGGCCTCCCAAAGTGCTGGGATTACAGGCGTGAGCCACCACATCCAGCCTGTCTTTTTCATAATAATAGTTTCTGTACCCATATTCTTAAAGCAAGATAAACCACTTATTTGTTTAGTGTAATATGTGAGCTTGATCATTTACATTTAATCCAACAAAGTAAGCAAGTACCCATACACAATACCCATTTTTAATTACATTATCTTTTCTTTATTGACTTGTAGGATTTCTATATAGCTATTCTAGACATTAATCCATTGTTCTCTATGTGATAAACATCATTTCTCATTCTTGTTTATTGTATCTTTTGTTGTATATATAAGTATTACTTACAGCTGTGTATCAATTTACTTTATGTTATATTCTGTTTTTATGTTACTTGTGTAAGATATCATCTCTACTCCAATGTAATGAGAATATTCTTCATATTCTTCAAAAAGTCATAAGGTCTTTAATCAAATAGAACTAGATGCATGTATCTATTATTTTCACATTTGGATCTGCAGTTATTTCAACACCATTTATTATTCTTCAGCATGTTGTAGTGACACTTCTCTCATAAATTGAAATCCCATATAGTTAAAGTCTCTGTGTTTTCTGGTTTTTGGCTTTGAGGTTTTGCCTGTTTGTTAGTTTTTGCTTTCTCATTCATCCTTCTCATGTACTTGCCCTTTCCTGAGCTAATACCATAGTAGTTTACATTGTATAAGTATATTAATAAGACTTAGTAACTGGTATGGCAAGTGTGCCTTCTTCCTCCTTCTTCTTCCTCTTCAAAATTAACCCAGATCTTTTTGGACTTAATTTCTCCGAATTTCTAAGTCATTTTCTCAAATTCCATGAAAAACATGACATTTTTATTGGAATCACATTAAATTTATAGAAACATTTGGGTGAGTTGAAATCCTCATGATGTTGAATCTTCCCACATCTGACCTAGCGCACATCTCCATTTAATCAAGTCTCCTTTCATATGCTTCAAAACTATCTTATACATTTAACCATGTAGAACTTGAATACCTGTTTTCGATTTATTTCTAGGTGTCTTATATGTTTTGTTATATTGCAAATGCTTTTTTCAAAATTTCTATAACATTTTTCAAGTATTTATTACTTTCACATAGAAATATTATGGAGTTTATATATAAATTGTATCTTGACTGAACCACTAGACTTTCTTATTATTTTGAATAATTTGTCTGGAGATTCGTTTGTACATTTTTCACGGAAAATCATATCATGTGAAAATTACAATTTTGTCTTTTTCTGTTTAATCTATACATTTCTTATGTCCTTTCCTTCTCTTATTATAATTATTAAAACCACCAACACAACATGAATAGTATCAGTGACGACACTGATTTTGAGGAAGACAGATCATATTTCTTTTCATTTCTAGTTCACTAATAGTTTGTTAATTGTTTTTATCATAAAAGGACAGTGAATATCATTGCATTAATCAAGATGACTTTTTCTTGCAATAATAGAGACGATTATTTTTATCATCATTTGTCTATTAATGTGATTAATACTTAAATATATTTTCTATTGTGGAACAATTGATCTATACAAAAATAAACACCATTTGGTAACGTTGCTGGTGAATTCAATTTGCCTAAAATTCTCTAGCAAGACTGACCCAGAGAAAGAGATTGAGTATTTTAATTTTGCACCTGCATTTATAAATGAAATTAGCCTTTGTTTTCTTACTATGCTTTCCTTATAAGTTTGGATATCAAGGTTATAAAGTTACACTACCTTCAAAAAAAAATGGATTAAGTAGCTTTACTTCTTTTATCATCTGGGAACATAGCATAAAGTCAGAATTATCTGTAAGTTAAAGGGGCTTGCAAAACTTCCTGGTAGAACTCTTTGGGCTTGGAGTATTTGTAGAGAGAAGGTAAGTGGGTGAGAATTGTAATTACCAATTAAATGTTTTAATAGTTATTGATCTATTCAGATTCACTATTTTTTTCTTACATCGATTTTGGTAAATTTTATTTTAAATAATCCAATATGTCTAAACACAGTCATAAAATTGATCATCATGTTCTCTTTGGACTTGTAGGGTAAAAGAGATGATATCTATTATTTGACCCCATGTTCCTCATAATATTTTCTTTTACATTCTTTGTCTTTCACTTGACCAGTTTTCCAGATGTTTTTCTAATTTATTAGTGCTTTCTTTTCTTTGAACTAGTTGTTAGTCTTGTTAATCATCATAACTGCTTCCTATTTCTTTAATTTCTTCTCTTCTCTTTTATTCTTCATCCTGCTTTTGTCAGATTCGCTGTTTTTTTCTTTGTTTGGTTCTGTAGAAAAAAATTTGGCTTATTACTTTCAAGCTTCTAATTTTATTTTATTTTATATACATAAATTCACTTGAGCACTGCTAAACTATACTGCTTTATGAACTTCCCTAAGAAATGCTTCAAGTACTTTATAAATTTCAATTTGTCATACTTTTTTTGTGATCTCTTGAGTTCTTCTGTAACCAATTATTTAGAAGTTTCTTTTTACTTTCTAAACATATTGGAGTTTTAACTATTGTTTTCTTGTTAGTTTCAATTTTATTACATTATGCTAAGCAATTGAGAATTTTATTTTATTAATTATTTGGGATTCATCTAGAATTTATTTTAGTCTACTACAAGACTATTTTTTGTTGTGTTGTTTTTTGTTTTTTGTTTTTCTTTGTTTGGTTGCTTGGTTTTGTTTTTAGATGGTCCCGCTTTGTTGCCCAGGCTGTAGTGCAGTGGCACGATCTAGGCTCACTGCAGACTCAGTCTCCCAGGCCCAAGTGATCCTCTCACCTCAGCCTTCCAGGTAGCTGAGACTACAAATGCAAGCCACCACATCTGGCTAATTGTGTGTTTTTTGTAAAGAGAAGGTCTCACTAGGTTGACCAGGCTGGTCTTGAATCCTGGACTCAAATATTCTTCCCACTTCAGACTCCCAAAATGCTGGGACCACAAGGTGAGCCACTGCATCCGGCCAACATTAACTTTTGTAGATGTGACATGTGTGCTTGAAGAGCGTGAATTTACTATTTGTTATCTGATTATGTGTGCGTATAGTCCGTGTGTGTGTATGTGTGTGTTTGTGTGTATGTATGTATAAGTATATACATATATATATATATATATATATATCTTGAGTATATATAAATATATACATATGTCATGTGTATGTATCATCAACCTTGTTAATTGGGCTGTTACATAATATTTAAAACTATTCCGTTTTATGATACACTATTTTAAAAATGAATTGTTATAACTTAAAACTCATTAAATACCAAAATTGTTTATTTGCAAGAAAAATATATTAAACCAACACTTTATAAAAGCATGTCATTAAGTATTGGGGTAACACAGGAAATATCACACAAGTCCCTGCCATCATCAAGCTTATAATATAGTTGTCTCCTCAGTTAGAAGTCCATAATTAAATTTCATTGAGCTATGCCAAATTTTTTTCTTAGCACTGTTTTAATTCATTTTACCCTCATGAGGTAAATACTATTTTATAGGGGAGAAAACTGAGCTGAAGAAGTTGGTTGCTCAAGCACCCCGCTGAAAAGTGGCAGCTCTCTAAACTCAAAATGTGGAATATTAGTCTTTTGATCTCAACTACAGAATCTTAACCAAAATTATGAGACAATGGGACATCTCACTGTCCCATAACACCACCCTAGTACAGAATTTTAATTTATAATGATCTATCATACAGTGGTCCTCCCTGTAAGTCATTACAACCAAAGAAAGACTTTCCTTTTCCCTAAATTTGCACCATCTCCATATACTTTTCATATAAATTAAAAACAGTCACAATTTGATTAACTTTTGAGACTTTAAAAAGTTTGATACACTAGTTGATTTAAATTCATTTTAAATAATCTCTTTATTTAAAAAAGCACAAGAAGTCACACCTTTAAATAAAGAGTATGTATGATCTTCTATGATTATATTTAGGAAGCCCACGTCCTAGGAGGCTGTAAAAGTCTCACAGTTCAAAGTCATATGGAAAGTCAGAGGTGGAGTTTCCAGTTAATCTCTTTGTTCCAGTTAATCTCTTAATCTCCACAGGTTTTCCAGTTAATCTCTTTGTTTAATCTTCCATAAAATGCAGATGGAGATCTGACACCTCAGCAATATTGAAGATTAGCTTAAATAATGTTTATTAAGTAATATAGGAGTATTATTTCTTCAAAAAAAGATTAATATAACAAGGTTTTTTTTCATGGACATTATTTGATTCCATCTTTAGGAACACAGAGCTTCCATCTGGGAATATGTACAAATCCAGCAAAATAGAGTCCTAAATAAAGTCATTTAAAATTTGATCTCCTTAAATGTTATAATCTTCGTAATTTAAATTTGGTTTCTGTTTTCACACATTTTCTTGGGTTTGGCTATTAGAACAGTGGCTTTCAGAGTGTGGTATGGGGAGCCCTAGACATGTAATGCTGGTACCCTTGGGGCTACCTAAGTACACAGGTCAATAGACAACCCAGCTGCTGCAATCCCGGGCCTCCACCTCTTTCTCTCTTCATCCAGAGCAGCTCTGCTTTCATCTGTGAGAGACACTGGGCTAAGGAGTAATTGCATGGTAGAAATGGTTCTAAATCCACTGTTTTAGACCATCTAATCAGCTTAAATGTCTGCTTATCTAAGTGTACACCTTTTATCATAAGCCTAAATTGAACAGCTCAGTTTTAAAGCAATAAACTACAGTCTAGTGTCAAATGTAAAAGGCTTGCTTCTCTGAAAGAAAACCATTTCTTAGACAATACAGAATAAAGGTTATACAGTGCTACATTTACTTATTTATTTGATGACTTACCTAGAGTTTATTGCTTTGAGAGCTGGATTGGAAACATCCTTGATAAATACCCAAGAGTGCCCTAAACAAATGGTGTAATTCATTCTGAGCTTTTGGTTATTTCTGACATCTTCAATTGACTTGGCTTTGGTCCTGATACTTAATACTTCATTCCATTTTTTTTGGCTGACACAAATAATGTATAAATACTCATAAACACACGCAAGTTATTTTAAATCCACGTTAGACCTGTGAATTGATTCAACAAAAGCAGGATTTTGTGGCATCTTGCCTTTAAATGCTTTTGTTGTGCCATGTATTAAATCACTAAGCATTTAACATTCCTCTAAGATACATGTCCAGAATCAAATCTCTTTCTGGTAATTGGTGCCAAGGTCAGTATTGAACAAGAGTTATGGACATGAGCACTGGGATTGAACTTTTGTTCCTTCACTTACTAGCTGTTAAGACTCAGGCAAATTCACTTCCATGTACCTCAGAGTCAATGTCACCTACTTCATAGGGCTGTTGTGAGAATCAAAAACAAAGATACCTATAACACATGTGAAAAATTATATGCCATATCCTCTGTTACTAAAAACATCAAGTTGTGGTACATTATTAGTGTTGTGAACTGTGTTATATAAGACTACTAATTTCTGTAGTTTTTGTTTGCTAAGAATGGGGCATGATTTGACCTGGAGTAGAACTGAATCTGTGCTATGACAAATTGTGGTTTATAGATACAAATGCATTTGATTATCCAATAACATCAAAATTTTTAACTTATGAAATGTTAATAAGTGAGCATCAACATTTTGAGTTTTTCAGTTAATTTTTTTTAATATTTGGTTTTTGAAATCTCAAAAAGCTATTTTTTCTCTACTGTTTTCTGAGACTCAAACTCCCCATTTGGCAATTACTCATCTTCAAACATTAGCAAAATTCAAACTGCTAGTTTGTCATCAATTTTGTTTTGTTTCCTTCTGTATATCATCTCATATTCAATACAAAAAATATTAACAATAAGAAAACATAGATTTTGTTAGTTCTGCTCAACCAGAATTTATTTAGCAGAATGTGGACACATTTTGATTAGGCATCTTTGATACATTTGTCAACTCTTCCTTCAGTTCTGGGACTGTTGATCCCTGCCTGTGTATTACCATCCATCACCCCTGTTCTTCAAAATGAACACATTTTGAAGAATTATGCCACCTAAGAAAAGTTACTCTGCTTCTTCTGTCAAGGGCCAAGAAGAGATCTGTAAGCCAGAAAAGAGGATTAGAGAGAAAGAAGAGAAAAATATTTGCTGTCACTGTTGAATGATAATCAGAACAAAGTACACATAAATGACATCTGAGGTTGAACTACTCTGGAAGGAAACGATATTGACCAAGTGACAAGTGAGATCACTTAGTTGTCATATACATCTCAATAGTTTTAAAATCATTTTAGAGAAACCTTTACCGAAAGGCAGCAAGGCAAGAATGCTTGGCAAATTGTTGGAGGTGCTTTATGCTTGCTTTGCTGTCATTAGTGCTTTTAATAACTGACTGGCCTGTAATGAATTTAACTTAACTTCACCTTCAAATAAGGTTTTCTGCCCCCACCACCTCTGCACTTTGAACGAATGTAAAAAGATACTCTTGTCCTCAATAAGTATTCCCTCCCCAATCTCAAAGATGACAGCTCACTGTGCATGTGCTCCTGTGACCCAACTGAATTCATTTTTCCCAAGTCCTATAACACAGGGGTACATTCATTTTTTTTCTCCTATATTCTGTGCTTTTATTAGCAGGAAAGTTTATATTAAAGAGTTTTCCATTTGTAGAGAATTTTGCTACTTAAAAATAAGTTTTCTTTCAAGTAAAATTTAAAAATAATAATGCTGAGCACTTACCATTATACTTGTTCTGGTATAATTATTAATAATGCCCCTTTTTATATTCAAATGCATCCCAGGTTGGGTGATCAATTAAGTGGTCACCATATTTATATAGCACCTACTAAGTGTTCTATGCAATTCACATAAGTTAACTGATTTAATCTTCACAATATCTCAATAAGATAGGTGATGGGCAGGCTTGGTGGACCATGCTTGTAATCCCATTATTTTGGGAGGCCAAGATGGGAGGGTCACTTTAGGCCAAGAGTCTAGACCAGCCTTGGCAACATAGTGAGACTCCATCTATAAAAAAATTTTTAAAAAATAGCCAGGCATGGTGGCAAATGCCTGTAGTCCTAGCTACTTGGAAGGCTGAGGTGGGAGGATTACTTGAACCCAGGCAACCAAGGCTGCAGTGAACTATGATTATGCCATTGACTCCCTCCAGCCTGAGTGACAGAGTGAGACACTGTCTTTATTTAAAAAGGGGGGGCATGGTATTAATAGATACTGTTGCTATTGCATTTAATAGGTGAGTAAATCAAGGCACAGGGTGGTTAAGTAAATTGCCTAAGATGAAACAGAAATAAGCAGAGAAGATAGAATTCAAACTCAAGCAATCTGGTTCCATATATCTGCAGTCTTATTCCTCATGCTATTTTGTACTGCATGAAGTCTGATACTTGTTCTGTTTTTCTCTTTGATATATTTTTTAAAGTCACTGTGGTCATAAAGACAACCTTTGGGTATCCCCTAGAAACAATTTGTACTCAAACTTAGGCCCCCAAAAGCTCTGACGCCTGGGGAGGTTTTGGTCCAAACCTTTGAAATTGGTCATCTGAATAAGAACCTTAGGAAATGGAAAAAGAAAGGTATAAAAGAAAGAATGGGGTGGGACAGGGAAGAAAAAAGGCACAAGTACCTTCATCAGACATCATTGCAGGAAACCAAGGATATATCCTCCCTGGAGCCATGTTGTAAAAAATGGGTGGTGGAAATCAGAGAAGAGGGTGAGTTGACATTTGGAATTTGGATATGAATGAGTTGCACAGCAAAGATAAAAATTCTCATGTTTAGGTAAAGATTATGATATTTGAGCCAGGAAAGCATTCACTACAACAAGATACTTTATAAATTTGACTTTTAAAATAAAAGGAGAGAGAGCTCTGCTTTCACTCCCACCACAGGAAGCCAAGGCCATATTTCTCAGTCTCTGTCAAGAAACACCCAGATATGTCAGCTCTGAGGTCTTGAGTCTCTTAAACCTGTTGCAGAAAGACAGATACATATCCAGAGACTTGTGTGAGGAGGACTTTGCAGCTTCTTTAAACTTGATCCAAGGAAGGATGAGTGCTATTCTGTTTCACTGAAATTCTTGTCTTAGCCTCTTGAGCTCACATTTCCAGACTGCTTTGGAAGTGTTTCTGTAGATACTTAAAAGTCCAAGAAGGGCATGATGTCCTCTGTTTTTCTCTAAGTCATATCTTCCCAAATCCTAATATAGTGTTACGATTCAGTGTCCCCAGTTAATGTAAATAAAATAACACCACAATTATGTCTTAAAATGTTAGATATAATTTATTCAGGAGTATATAGCTTTTCAGTTTTATTTTAAACAATCTTATTTTGTGTATTTTTGAATAAATATTTTGTCTGATTTTTCTTCCTTGCCAGATTCAGTACAATTGTTAATAATAACTGACAAGCGTATGGCACTGTGTTTGGAATTCAAACTTATTCTTAAACTTTAGACTTCATATTACCCTTTCAACATAATTATGAGGTGTGTTGAGGGTCAAGACCACCCCTGGGATTGGTGATTCGCTAGAAAGACTCATGGACTTCGGTATATAGTCATATTCATGGCTATGATTTATTACAACGAAAAGATACACTGAAAAATCAGCAAAGAGAAAAGTCACGTGGGGTGAAGTCTGGGGGAAACCAGGAGTGAGATTCTAGAATCGTCTCCCATTGGAACCACACAGTACATGCTTAAGTCCCCCATAATAAGTTGTGACAAGTGTGAAATATCTACCAGGGAAGCTTGTTAGAGACTCAGCACCAAGGTTTTTGTTTGGGGCTAGTCACGTAAGCACCCTCTGCCTGGCACATACACACATTCCAGACTCCCAGTAGGGAAGGAGGAGTTCAGCACAAACCATATTGTTCGTACAAGCATTTTTGGCACAGTGAGACACTCTCATGAGGAAATGGTGGGAATTCTTTTGAAATCCAAGTTTTCAGATGCCAGGCAAGGGCCAATTTTGTAAGTACCCTTTCTAAGGATAGTAGTCAGGCTTGCTATGTTAACTCTTTTCTGCACATGTCTCATAGTTTGGTTTTCCACAGGTAAAAGTAACTTAAATAAGTCAAATTATTTTCTCATCAACACGAGTTTATGGTTGGAACAAACTCCACTTATCCTATCTTCCAATCCAATATTTTTTCCAGTAGGTTATACAACTGTTCAGGAAAGTATCTCGTATCTGAGTAATTAAGACTGTTCCAAATAAATTGAAGTGACTGATAATCAAGGGTGCAATTCTAGCTTTTTGTCCTTTATATATGAACTGGAAATAATAATGCCCTCTGAATTAGCCCTTTTCATTATAACTTACAACAATGCTGGAAATATCCGACAATCTATACTGTTCAGCACAGTAGCCACTAGTAATATGTGACTACTGAGCACTTGAAATGTGGCTAGTGTGAATGAGAAACTACTTAATTTTGTTTATTTTAATTAATTTTAATTTCAATAGCCACCTGTGGCTAGTAGCTACCTAATGAAAGCACAGCCTCAGATAACTTAACTTACTTCATTAAAGTTAAGTACACTAAGATTCTCAGGTTGAATAGTTCCTGGAACACCAGAGTTACCTTCTGATTTCTTGAGGGCCAAACTAATAGCACAATATGGTCCCACAAATGTTTTGATATCTTGTGGTCTTAATCCAAACTTACAAAGTTTACCCAGAATAAAGAATATTCCATCACCATCAACTAGATTTTTTTAATTAAGCATTATTTTTAAAATAACCTAGTGTATGGAAGTTGGCAATGGTTCATCTGCACAAATGGTACTGATTGACAGTCCTCAGGAAAAGGTGCCTGCCATTTTGTAAATATCAGCTCACATATCTTTACAGTTACTGGTAGTTATGCCAGAAAAGAGAGAAGGGAGAAAAGGCAAGAGCAGTAAAAGTATTTAATGAAACAGATAATAAATTTTAACTTACTCCAAATATTGTGTTTGGCAAATATACTTTTACAATATTATATTGCAAAACTACAGTAGGAAATAATTTTGCTTATAAGCAAAGCATAATAAAAGATGATAGCATATCAAGTAAGCAGGATCATTTTTTAAATATTAGTCAATGCTCTATTTTTATTTTCTATGCCAATGTAAAAAATCACAAATTTTTCTTCAAGTTAGAAAACAAAAACAAAGGAATGACATCATGTGGCATATCCACTACTCCTGCATGGTATTATAAATCACACTCACCTTCCAAAAAAATACTTCCTTAGCCCTGTTGGAAATGCTTCTGACATCAACCTCAAATTCTTTCTTATATTTTATCTCTGGTTCAGGTTCAAAATGCAGAAGAGAAAAATAAAAACAAAATGGAGAAACTGAAGGTAAAAGAAAGGGCCTAAGATTGTTCTTCTGAGATTATTCTTCCTCACCAGAGTGAGGAAATGTTTCTATGAAAAAATATAGAAATATTGGTAGTGGAAAAAAGGACTTCCAAAACTTATGAAGTGAATTTGGTAGCCTAAGGAGAAAATAAACTGAAGTTTACATAATGCAATATATTTTTAAGGGAGAGGAAGGAAAAACTATACAAATTAATGTTCACCCTGTTGGTGCTAAGTTTGCTAATAACTGCAGTAGGGAATAAGAATAAAAAGGGAAAACATGACTAAATGTATTTTATTCTATGTATTCTTAAAGCCCTACAAAACAATATTACTCATATGAAAAATACTTTCTTACTAATTTTTCAGTATAGAAAGTGGCATTCAAAACTAGGAAGTTCAATTGTAATGACAGTCAAGTGGAATTTCATTTCTCACAGATGTAACACAATAGCATGTGGTATTAAAACCCAGAAATCTATGACAAGTATTAGAAAAGCTGAGGTTAAAACCAAAATTCTTTATGGCAGAATTATTTAGAATATTTAATATGTTCTCATGTATTGTAAATACTCAAGAGAGATATTTGAGTATCATTCCTTGGTAAACTTTTATGGGTAAATAACTATATGTTTTCCTTTGGAGTATATTCAAGGACTAGTGTTCTACAAGAAACATTTTGGAAAACATTGTTCTTATTTAATAGTTCCAAATCATTTTCATTGAAAAAGACTTTCAGCATCCTTTCTCACTTGCTGTATCTGGATATATTATCACAGAAGAAAAGTAAACATACAGCTAAGAAAGCTGTTGCATGTGTCCCTGAATGAAAATTTGCCCTATTAATTATGAGTTGGAAATCACTTAATGTTTTCAGCATGGCCAATGACTGAAAAAAAAAACCTTTTATTTGTAACAGTAGATAGTCTGATCCATAGCCATTAGGAGTGCGATATGGTTTGGCTCTGTGTCTCCACACAAATCTCACCTTGAATTATAATCCCCATAATCTCCATAATCCCTGTGTGTCAAGGGAGAGACCAGGTGGCAGTAATTGAATCATGGGGCAGTTTCCCCCATGCTGTTTTCATGATAGTGAGTGAGTTCTCACAAGATCTGATGGTTTTGTAAGTGTCTAGCATTTCCCCTGCTTGTACTCACTCTCTCTCCTGCCTCCCTGTGAAGAGGTGTCTTCCACTATAATTTTCAGTTCCCTGAGGCTTCCCCACCCATGTCGAACTGTGAGTCAATTAAACCTCTTTTCTTTATAAATCACTCAGTCTCAGGTATTTCTTTGCAGCAGCATGAGAATGAACTAATACAGTAAATTGATACCACAGAGAGTGGGGTGCTGCTATAAAGGTACCGAAAAATGTGGAAGTGACCTTGGTACTGGGCGGCAGGCAGAGGTTGGAACAGTTTGGAGGGCTCAGAAGAAGACAGGAAGTTGTGGGAAAGTTTGGAACTTCCTAGAGACTTGCTGAATGCCCATGAACAAAATGCTGATAGTAATATGGACAATAAAGTTCAGGCTTAGGTGGTCTCAGATGGAGATGAGGAACTTTCTGGGAACTGGAGTAAAGGTGACTCTTGCTATGCTTTAACAAAGAGACTGGCAGCATTGTGCCCCTGCACTGGAGATTTGTGGAACATTGAACTTGAGAGAGATTATTTAAGGTATCTGGCGGAACAAATTTCTAAGCAGCAAAGTGTTCAAGACGAAGCAGAGCATAAAAGTTTGGAAAATTTGCAGGCTGACAATGATATAGAAAAGAAAACCCATTTTCTGGGGAGAAATTCAAGCCAGTTGCAGAACCTTGCATAAATAATAAGGAGTTGAATGTTAATCATCAAGACAGTGGGGAAAACATCTCCAAGGCATGTCAGAGACCTTCATGGCAGCCCCTCCCACCACAGGCCTGGAGGCCTATTAGGGAAAAATTGTTTCCTGGGGTGGGTCCACGTTCCCCCTGCTCTGTGCAGCCTTGGGACAAGGTGATCTGCCTCCCAGCTGCTTCAGTTCCAGCCCTAGCTAAAAGGGGCTAAGGTACAGCTCAGGCCATTGTTTCAAAATGTGCAAGCCCCAAGCCTTGGCAGCTTCCATGTGGTGTTTGGCCTGCAGGTGTACAGAAGTAAAGAACTGAGGTTTGGGAACCTCCACCTAGATTTCAGAGGATGTATGGAAATGCCTGGAGGTCCAGGCAGAAGTTTGTTGCAGGGGTGGAGCCCTCATGGAGAACATCTGCTAGGACAGGGCAGAAGGGAAATGTGGGGTCAGATCCCCCACACAGAGTTCCCACTGGTGCACTGCCTAGTGGAGTTGTGAGAAGAGGGCCACTATCCTCCAGACCCCAGAATGGCACATCCACTGACAGCTGGCATGGTGCACCTGGAAAAGCCACAGGCACTCATGCCAGCCTGTGAAAGCAACTGGGAGGGGGACTGTACCCTGCAAAGCAGAGCTGCCCAAGGCCATGGGAGCCCACCACTTTCATCAGGGTGATATGGATGTGAGATACGAAGTCAAAAGAGATCATTTTGGAACTTTAAGGCTTAATGACTGCCCTATTAGATCTCAGACTTGCATGGGGCCTGCAGCCCCTTTGTTTTGGCCAATTTCTCCCATTTTGAACAGGTGTATTTACCCAATGCCTGTACCTCCATTGTATCTAGGAAGTAACTAACTTGCTTTCGATTTTACAGGCTCCTAAGTGAAAGGGACTTGCCTGTTCTCAGATGAGACTTTGAATTTGGACTGTTGCATTAATATTGAAATGATTTAAGACTTTGGGGGACTGTTGAAAGGGCATGATTGTGTTTTGGAATGTGAAGACAGGAGGTTTGGGAGGGACCAGGGATGGAATGATATGGTTTGGCTCTGTGTCCCCACCCAAATCTCACCTTGAATTGTAATAATCCCCATGTATCAAGGGCAGGACCAGGTGGAGGTAATTGGATCATGGGGGCCGTTTCCCCCATGCTGTTCTCATGATAGTGAATGAGTTCTCACAGATCTGATGGTTTTATAAGCATCTGGCATTTCCCCTGGTGTCACCCATTCTCTCTCCTCTGAAGAGTTGCCTTCCAGCATGGTTTTCAGTTTTCTGAGGCCTCCCCAGACATGTGGAACTGTGAGTCAATTAAACCTCTTTTCTATAAATTACCCAGTCTCAGGTATTTCTTCATAGCAGTAGGAGAATGAACTAATACAGAGTCTGACAACATTTTCTGCCCAATCTACAAAATCAAAAAATATGGCAACAGTTGCTTATAAATGACTGTGACATATGTAAATTATGTAAAGAGGTCCTGATAGATACATCATGTGTGGCAGAAACTGAAAAACTGTTTACTAAATCATTTCCCCTTTTGCATATTTAGAAAACTAGGATACATTTTCCATTTTCCTTTGCATTTGTGTATCATCTGACTAATTTAGTTGGTCAGATGTGGATAAATGTGGATAAAATAAACTAAATGTGGATAAAATAATGTGTATAATTTGTAGGGTTGGCCAAATGATCACACACTCTCTTTTCCTTAATTTACCAATAGGAGATGACACCCAGAAAGGCCTTGGAAAACATGAGTTAAACAAGTCTCCCTCAACCTGGGTCCCTGAATATTTGCTCCCTCTAATTTTGTGTGGAGCAGAATCCACCCTCTATAACCACCATCTCTTATTGAACTTTATATGAAAAAGGGAGAAATAATTGTATTAAGTCACTGAGATCTCCGGGTTATTCTGTTATAGTATCTAGCACTACTTTAATGACCAAAGAAGGATATGGGGTTGTTTGGACAAAACAGTAGCCTTGCTAAATTTAATTAAATTTCTTTTAAATTTTACCACATATTTTAATTTTTTAATCATGCTTCATATCTCTGTTTACTTATTGTTCATATATTTGGAGAGGCAATGAGAAAAAAGCAATGCATGTAGAGTGAGAAAGGCTGCCTTTTAATCTCAACTACTTACTAGCTGTGATTTTGAGTATGTGACTTTCACTTAACTGTCTGTCCCTGAATCATCTTTGACAGCTTGATTCCCTTTTCTAAAACATGCTAACCTCCCCACCTCCCACCACCTTCACACGCACACCTCACCCACACACACATCCCTAATGCATCCATTATGCTCTTTTGGACCTTTGACTCAGACCACATCTCCTGGGCCATAAAACAAACCACAACAAATTCAAAAGAATTTAAGTAATATGGAATGTCACCTTTGACCATAATGGAATCACACAAAAGATGAAAAAATGAAGGTCAACAGGAAAATCTCCAAACATGCAGAAATTAAACAACATACCTCTAAATGATTCATCGGTCAAAGAGAAATTGTCAAAGGAAATTTTTTAATGCATAGCATTGAATAAAAATGAAAATACAACATATCAAAGTATGTGAGATGCAGCTAAGCCAGTACTGAGGGAGCTACTTATAGCACTAAATACGTACATTGAAAACAAACAAAGGTCACAATTTAATAATCTAAGTTTCACTTCAAAAAAACTAGAAAAGAAAGAGCAATGTAAAGCTGAAACAAACAGTGGAAAAGAAATTTTATAGATAAGAGCAGAAATAAATATAATTGAAAATAGGTAAAACTAGAGGTAATCAATAAAACTAAGAGCTGGTTCTTTAAAAAGGATCAAAAAATTGATAAACCTGTAGCAAGACTGACAAAATAAAAAAGATAAGATTCAAATTACCAATATTAAAAATGAAATGAGTGATGTTATTACAAATCTTGCAACTATTAAATGAATAATATGGGAATGCCAAGAATGATTTTATGCTCATACATTTGACTACTTAGAAGAAATGAACTAATTTATTGAAAACCACAAATTACTAAAACTCAACCAACATGAAATACATAATCTGACTAGTTTTATAAACATTAGATAATAAATTGAATTTGTAATTAAAAAGCTCCCAAGAAAGTAACTTTTATTCCAGATGGTTTCACTAGAGATTCTGTCAAACATTTAGAGAAAAATTAACACCAATTTTATACAATCTCTTCCTGAAGACAGAAGAGAGAACACTTCCCAACTCATTTTACAAGGACAGTGTTACTATGTACAAAAAGCAGACCAAAAAACATAAAAAAAAAGTTATTGATCAATATCTCTTGTGAACTTACACATTAAAACAAATTATCAGCAAAGTAAATCTGAAAATGTATAGGAAGAATTAGGCTGGTTGCCATGGCTCACACCTATAATCCCAGTACTTTGGGAGGCTGGGGCAGGTGGATCGCTTGAGCCTAGTAGTTTGAGATCAGCCTGCACAATATGGTGAAACCCTGTCTCTACAAAAAAATAAAAATAAAAAATTAGCCGGGCATGGTGGGGCACGCCTGTGGTTCCAGCTATGCTGGAGGCTGAGGAGGGAGTATGGCTTGAGCCCAAGAGACAATGAGCCATGATCACACCACTGCACTCCAGTCTGGGTGACAGAGCTAGTCCCAAGAGAAAAAGAGAAAAAAAGAAAAAGAAAAGAAAAGAAAAGAAAAAGAGAAAGAGAAAGAAAGAGAGAAAGAGAAAGAAAAGAAAAGAAAGGGAGGGAGAGAGGGAGGGAGGGAAGGAAGGAAGGAAGGAAGGAAGGAAGGAAAGAAGGAAGAAAGAAGAAAGAAAGAAAGAGAAAGAGAGAAAGAGAAGAGAAGGAGGGAGGGAGGAGGGAGGGAGGAAGGAAGGAAGGAAGGAAGGAAGGAAAGAAGAAAGGAAGGAAGGAAGGGATTATACACTATCACCAAACGGGATTTATTCCAGGTATGCGAGGCTGGTTCAACATTCAAAAATTAATCACTGTAACCTGGTTACAACAAGGTAAATTCAAAAGATCATATAATTATATAACGTTATTATATGCAGAAAAGGCATTTGATAGAATCCAACACCCATTAATCATAAAAACTGCCAGCCAAGTCAAGAATAGAGGGATTTTCTCTCAACTTGATAAAGAGAATCTAAAAAATGCTAGGTCATACTTAATGGTGAAAGATTGAATGTTTTTTCCCTAAGGTCAGGTACAAAGGAAGGATCTCTGTTTCACCACTCTTATTCAACATAATACTGCAAATTCTAGCCACCACGGTAAGGCAAGATAATGAATAAAAGAAAAAACTGTCTCAATTTGCACATGACTTAACTGTTTACATAGAAAATCTCAAGAACTCTACTAAAAATGCTCATATAGACCTATGGCTACCATCTAAAACTATCTTCTAGATACAGAGATACTAGCAAATAGCCCTTCCCTTTACCCTTCCTCTTGTCCCTCTTCCACCATCCCAGTGACTAAGTATAGGACTATGCCTAGCTCCAAAAAGTGGATTAACAAAGGTCACTCCCAGAAGACAGTTCTCACTAAAAATTAACAAAAGAACATTCATAAAGGGATTGTTTTACTACTCTACTTTTAACATACTTTGAGCATTAGGACTTGTTTATCCTTTAATACTCAACAATATTAACAAAAATCCACATATAGAGTGATGATTAGACCAACTGAACTAGTGTAAATGACGGGCATAGAACCCTTCTCCCTGCATACTTCCTAGAAATACTAGATGTTTCAAATAGGACATAAGTTTTCCACTCTATACACAGTAGCATTGAATAAATGATGCATACATATAACACAGGTTATAATTTGAAAGTGTTTTCTAAAAATAAACATTATGGCCTAAAACCCTTCCCCTTTCTACTTTATCAACCCAGTGGACAGGTATAAGCATCTGTAGTACTTAGAGGGGATTTTAACAATTACACTTCTGTGTTTTTAATAACCGTCTTCCCTGTGAATTTTAACACAAAGTGTACTCCCATGTATTACTTTACTGACTCTCCTTTTGTCACACACTGACAACATCTCTAACATCTAGAAAGACTAGATGTTGTAAATTAGGACTTGTTTGTTTGCTTATATACGCTATATACACAGCACTGTAAAAGGAAATGCAGACATAAGGGCCAATGGTCACTTGTGCCTTGCCATAAACACACTGGTATAAAACTCTTTGCACTTTCTACTCCTCCTTCCTCCTTGAACCAGCATAAATATGTGTACTGATCAGAGAAGTGGTTTGATTAATTTTTAAAAGACAACATTTCATGTGAATCAAAAGGATATCTGCAAAGTGTGTTATTCACTACCTCTATTTTTAACAATTTTGTGCACTTCTAAACATCTGGAAAGACTAAATGTTTTAAATAAGGACTTCAGTTTGTCCACTGTATACAAAGTAGTGTTGAGTAAACCTGTGTTTATTGTGGACAAAGCTCATTATTTTGCAACATCTAAGCTTTATAAATGTCCTGAGGTGACAATGTAGGTTAAAAAGTAGAGCTAGTGAATTAGCAATTTATAAATATATTTTTGTTATAATTGATAGAAAAGATGCACCTTGGACATGAAATTGTTAAACCACCTCTGAGCAGTGTATAGCAAGACTTGCTCACTAGGTTGGCAGCAGAAGGGCACAAGGACGTATAAAGGGAGAAATGTATACAGATGTATATATATTTACATTTTGACAATAGCCATTGATGTATGTGCAATTCTTTTGGCTGTGCTATGGGAATAGGTTAAGTAATTCAATGACAACACACCTTGCTAATATTTTAATGGTACAGATCTGCTAATGAATTCTCTTAGAAACATTATACTTAATGTATTCTGTTGCTGTATGTTTCATTATATATATATACACACACACACACACACACACATATATATATATATATATATATTTTTTTTTTTTTTAATCGAAACAGGGTTTCTCCATGTTGGCCAGGTTGGTCTCAAACTCCTGGCCTCAAGTTAAGCCACCTGCCTCAGCATCCCAAAGTTCTTGGATTACAGTTTATGTCTCATTTTAAATTGAGCATTAAGGGAATGCAGTATTTAAATCAGAACTCTGCCAACGCTTTTATCTAGAGGCATGTTGTCATTTTTGTCATCCATGAAATTTTGGCCCAGGGAAGGCAGGATTACATTTTTTTCTAAAATAGGTGTAGTTGGTGAGTTGGTGTAGTGTATTTTTGGCTATCGAAATACTCATATAGCTTTGGGATTTCAAATTGGTAAATATTCATGATGTGTGAAAAAGCATGATACATACTGTATGATCTCAATCCCATAAAATAGGATATTTTGTCTACATACACACAGGACATAGAAGGACATGTCAAACTGTAAACCACTTGTTATCATAGAGGACTTTGTTCTTTGCCTCTTGTGTTTTTCAGTTTCCTGAAATGCACATATTAACTTTTAAAAAATAAATTTTTTTTAAAAAAAAGCAAACCCCAAAAGCTTTACAGAAAAAAAAAATTCATTTAGCAAGGTTGCTGAATACAAGATCAACACACACACACACAAAGTGTATATTTCTGTTAATGAATTAACATTGAAAAGAAGAAAATCAAAATTTAAAACAGAATACTATTTCCAATCATTCCAAAGAAATGAAATACTAAATGAAATACTAAAGTATACACTGAACAAACCTGTAAAAATTATATGCTGAAAATTACAAAACACTAATGTAAAAAATCAAAAAAGTACTAAATAAATGAAGAGATATACCATATTCATGGATTTGAAGGCTCACATAATAAAGATGTCAATTCTTCCCCAAATTGATCTATAGGCTTAATGTAATTCCTATCAAAGTCCCAGCAAGGTTTTGGCACACACAGCCAAGCTTGTTCTCAATCATGACAAGGAAAAAAGTGGGAGGGAACACTCTGACATTGAGGCTTTCCATATAGCTACAGTTAAGAATGACAGTGCAGTATTAACGGTTGGATAAACATGTAGATCAACAGAACAGAACAGAGAACCCAGATCCACACAAATTTTTTTTTACAATGGTACAAAAATAATTCAAAGGTGAAAAAAGTCTTTTCAACAAATGGTGCTGGAGCAATTGATAGGCAGAAAAATGAACCTAACCTAAACCTCACACCTATAAAAAAATTAATTGAAAGTATATAATGCTCTTATATTTAAAAGTTAAACTATAAAACTTGTCAAAAAAAAGCATGAAAAAATCTTCAGGATCCAGGGTCAAGCAAGAAGTTTTTAGACTTTACACCAAAAGGACAATCCAAAAAGGAAAACTTGTTAATGAGGTCTCATCAAAATTAAAAACGTCAGTCTTGTAAAAGACCATAAAAATAAGATGAAAATACAAGCTACAGACTGGAAGAAAATATTTGCAAACCACATGTCTGACAAAAGAATAGTATCCAGAATATACAAAGAATTCTGAACACTCAATTGTAAAAGAAAAAAAATTGACAATCCAACTAGAAAATGGGCAAGAGATATAAACTGGCATTTCACCAAGGAGGATATATAGATGATAAATAAGTATATGAAAAAATGTTCATCATGATTAGCCATTAGGAAAATCCAAATTAAAACTACAATGAAATACCACTACACACCTATGAGAATAGCTAAAATAAAAATTACTGACAAGACTAAACACTGGCAAGGATGCAGAGAAACTGGATCACTCACTCATACATTGTTCATATGTATGAATGGGAATGTAAAATGGTGCAGTCACTCTTAAAAGGTTAAGCAATTTCTTATGAAATAAAATGTGTACTTACTATATAAACCAGAAATTTCACTCTTGGGCATTTATTGCAGATAAATGAAAAGTTATATTCACACAGAAAATCTATACATGAATGTTCATTGCAGTTTTATTTTTAATAGCTAAAAAGTAGACGCTGGGTGCAGTGGCTCATGCCTGTAATCCCAGCACTTTGGGAGGCCAACACGGGCAGATCACAAGGTCAGGAGATTGAAACCATCCAGGTTAACATGGTGAAACCCCGTCTCTACTAAAAAAAAAAATAAAAAATTAGCCAGGCATGGTGGCATGCGCCTGTAGTCCTAGCTACTTGGTAGTCCCAGCTACTCGTGAGGCTGAGGCAGGAGAATCGGTTGAACCCAGGAGGTGGAGGTTGCAATGAGCCCAGATTGCGCCACTGCACTCCAGCCTGGGTGAAAGAGCGAGACTCCGTCTCAAGAAAAAAGGTAGAAAAAACTCTGATATTATTTTACAAGTGAATGGTCAACAAACTATGGTACATCGATACCATGTAATATTACTCAGTACTAGAAAAGAATGAACTAGTGATACTTGCAACAACTTAGATGAATCTTCAGAGTTTATGCTGAGCAATAAAAAATAAACCCAAAAGATTATATACTGTATAATTTCAAATACACATACATGTATTTATGCATATACATTTATATATGCATATATATATTTTGAAATGATAAAATTTTAGAAAAGGAGAGTATATTAATGGTTGCTAGGGTTTACGGACAGAATTGGGTAGGGGTGAGAGAAGAAAGGGGTCAGGAAAGGATGAGAGCAAAGCAGGTAGAGTTATTAAACAACAGCCAACAGGAGGAATCCTAGTAATGGCGGAATGGTTCTGTATCTTGATAGTGGTGAGGGATACATGAACCTACACATGTGATAAAATTATATAAAATTAAATGCACACACACACACAAATGAATACAAGTAAAACTGGTCAAATTTAAATAAGATCAGTGGATTAGATCCATATCAACAATATACCAGTTGTGATATTGTGTCATAATTTTGCAAGATGTTACCACTGGGTAAAGGGTACATGAACTTGCTAAGTTTTATTTCTTACAATTGTATGTCAATCTACAAATTTCTTTTAGCTTTTTTTTTTTTTAATGGAGTTTCATTCTTGTTGCCTGGGCTGGAGTGCAATGGCGCGATCTCAGCTCACTGCAACCTCCGCCTCCCAGGTTCAAGCAATTCTCCTGCCTCAGCCTCCCAAGTAGCTGGGATTACAGGTATGCACCACCGTGCCTGGCTAATTTTTTTTCTTTTTTTGTATTTTTGGTAGAGACAGGGTTTCACCATGTTGGCCAGACTGGTCTTGAACTCCTGACTTCAGGTGATCCACCCACCTCAGCCTCCCCAAGTTCTGGGATTACAGGTGTGAGCAACTGTGCCCAGCCAATCTACAAATTTCTTAATCAAAATTTCAATTCATAAAAAGCACTATCTTGCTACTAATAGTCACTGTTTCTCTACCACCAAATCAGCAACACCTAGACTGACCAACCATCTCAGTTTGGCTAAGACTAAGGGATTTCCTGGGGTGCAGCACTTTCTGTTTTAAGATCGGGGTAATCCCTATGTAAAAAAACCCTAAATATTCCATGCACAAAATACAAATAAATAACATTAGCGAATAATGATCAAATGCAGCAAAGCAGCAGCATACAAAATCAACATGAAAAAATCAGTTGTGTGTCCATGCACTAGCAATGAACAATCTAAAAATGAAATTAAGAAAACAATTCCCTATATAATAGCATTAAAAAGATAAAATACTGGCCGGGCATGGTAGCTCACACCTGTAATCCCAGTACTTTGGGAGGCCGAGGCCAATCAGTCACCTGAGGTCAAGAGTTTGAGACCAGCCTGGCCAACATGGTGAAATCCTGTCTGTACTAAAAATATAAAAAATTAGCTGGGCATGGTGGCACATGACTGTAATCCCAGCTACTCGGGAAGCTGAGGCAGGAGAATTGCTTGAACCTAGGAGGCTGAGGTTGCAGTGAGCTGAGATCATGCCACTGCACTCCAGCCTGGGTGACAGAGTGAGACCCTGTCTCGATAATAATAATAAAGTACTTAGGAATAAATGTAACCAAGAAGGTGAAAGGTATACACTGAAAACCAGAAAACCTTGCTTAAAGAAATTAAAGAAGACAAATAAATGGACTATATCTGATACCAATAGATTGAAAGAACTGATACTGTTAAAATGTTCTTACTACCCAAAGCAATCTACAGATTGAATGTAATTCTTATCAAATCCCAATGGCATTTTTTTGCAGAAATGAAATATAAAAAAAAAATCCATTCTAAAATTCACATAGAATCTCAAGGAATACCAAATAGCCAAGATAATTTTAGACAAGAAGAACAAAGTTGGAGTACTCACACTTCTGATTTCAAAGCACATTACAAAGCTACAGTAATCAAAACAGCATAGTGTTTGCATAAGACAGATACACAAACCAATATAACAAAATAGCCTAGAAATAAGTCTTTTATTGTGTATGGTCAAATGATTTTAAACAAGGATGCCAAGAATACTCAATTGGGAAAGGACAGTCTCTTTGACAAATGGTGTTGGGAACACTGGGTATCCACATGCAAAAGAATGAGGCTGGACCCTTATCCAGCACCATATACAAGAATTAACTATTTGCAACCTTCCCTTGCCTCCACCTTTCTCCAGAAAGAGCTAGGTAGACAATCCTTCTTCTTTACTCTCTGAACTTATGGAGATGGTAAATTTGTTTTTCAATAAAAATACAGACAGACAGAGATAGATAGATAAACAGATAAATAAATAATCTCCTACTGGACTGTGAACTCTTACAGGAAGAAGAGTCTTTATTGCTCATGTTTGTATTACCAGTTCACAAAATGATTGTTTAATGAATAAGTATATGAATTGAGGAAAATTAGAACCAAAGTATCAAAAATAAGTAGAATTTCCTTCATAAAGGATTTTCCACATCTACCTCTAGATATAACAACTGCTCTTACATACTCTATCTTCTATGACAAGTAAGGTAAGTTTTAGAGGATCTCAAGGCTAATTTTTCAAGATGCATTTCATAGAGCAAATATATGTCTGGACACAGCTGGATGAACAAACTGGACTCTTCTCACCCTTCCCTGCCCCATCCTGTGACAAAAGTTGTAATGGTGTACCTTCTCCTTTGCCTACATTTTCCTTCCACATTCTGTAAAATGATTAGACCATATTATGAATTA
This sequence comes from Homo sapiens, assembly GCF_000001405.40. Lineage (NCBI taxonomy): Eukaryota > Metazoa > Chordata > Mammalia > Primates > Hominidae > Homo > Homo sapiens. Next base: position 106,436,061 of record NC_000004.12, on the reverse strand, counting down.
ATCACTTTCCAAATTTCCTGTTCTTAAAAAATTAAAAAGTGTGATTTTAGTTAGAAAAAAGAAGAGAAAAAATTGTCTCATTTTCTACAAAAGTTGTATATGAGTTTAAAATTTCTTATGATCAAATTCTATAAACAGAAAAGTTATTCCTTCAGGGCTCAGGGCTTACATTCTTTCTCTGAATCAGGTTAGAATTAATGGCTAGCGTTTTTTCTTAACCCTATAGAATTATTTCTTTAAATGACATGCTATTAGACTCTTACCAGCCAGATCTTAGGTGAGGAATTTTTAAATTTCACAATCTGATAATAAAATGGAATTATAAAAAAGATTCAATTTGGAGTTTTTATTTAACTCCCTATTAAAAATGTGTAAAAACACTTTTTTCCTGTGTTAAACTTTAGAAAAGGTACCAGAGTTTTTGCTTGATACATAACATAATGAATATATCAAGGCCAATGGTATCAGAGAAATATGATTATAAACCTAAAACCTACCCCAAATCTCAAATCTATAAATTGCAAATCTACCACTAATTAGCTGTTGACCCCAAGGAAATTTATTCACCTTATTTGGGCCTCTATTTCTTCATCAATAAAATATATTTGATAATATCAATAATATTATTATGAAAAGTGCTGTAGTACACATAAAGCATATAGCACAGTGCTTAGCACAATAGATGAATATTACATTTTATTAAATTTTACTAAAACTCATGTACCGGGAACTAAATTTCCTAATAAAAAAATAACTAACAGAAATAAACTGTCAACAGCTGAAACAGGGATAAATATATTATGTGCCATTTTTGTTTTATCTTGACATAAATTGGCTGAAATAGTGCCATATAGTCAACACTAGTTTTTTTATTACCACTCTTTTAAAAATAACTGACAGAATATTTTAGTTTACATGTCAAGAGGAAAAATCAACTGGCTATTCAAAGTGACTGTCATGTTTCCAAACTGTATTTTAAAAGCCTATCCAATTTGAATTTGCATTTCATTCATTTTGTTTTAGAGCACAAAGTAAAAGCTTTAATATAATCAGCAACAACTCTCTTTTGAGCCCCAAATTACTGTCCTTTGCCTTCTTGTATTACAGCAAAAGTTTATTAACTTTTCAGGCCCTTGAGTGTACTGGATATATTGCCAATACTGGCCTCAAAAATAGCCTGCTTCAGTTTGTACCTTAATGTTAACACATGATAATGATAAACCTGGGGAGTAGGGGGATAGAGAGAGAGAAAGAGAGAGAGAGAAATAGCCCTAGAGAAATTTGGTGGATTTCTTGACCAACCTTTGGCAAGTTGAAAAGAAAACTTTGGGGATTTGAAGTTTTGTTCCAGGGAACTTACGTGTGCTGAAGCTGATACCTGGGATTCTGAGCCATTCTCTCCAGCAGTTAAATATGTTTGAAGAATTGTGGCTCTCTCATGACACGACAGCTTTAAAAAATAAAGAGAAACAGGATTTTAACTAAATAAGAAAATATTTACTACTCATTTTTAAGAAAAGGAAGTGTTTTGAAATAATCTTGAAAAACAACTGTACATAAAATTATTTATTTTTTACAAAGAATTCTACTCTATCATTCTGTCAGAGAAGTGATAGTTCTTTTTAGGATAAGTGGAAGCGTAGCTACTTAGTGTCAAATATCTACAAATACGCTATTAAAAATCAGACTGTCAGAGCTCATTAGTTAGGGTTCTGCTTCTCTAACATGAAGTTCTATATTTGTTTTCTACCAGTAGTACTTTCTCTTCTTCAATGCTTCTGTAGCTACAGAAAGAATAAAACATGTACAAGACCAGGACTCTGTCATTATCCTCTAATACATCCTAAAAACACATTATAAATATCTTTCTTTAATTTTGCATGTGCATAGCAGATCTGAATCCCAAGAGAGTAGAAGGCACATAACAGGGAACACACATGCACAAATCCTCTAAAATATGCTTACAACCACACTATCATTCTACCATCCTTACTGCAACTCTTGTAACACCTTCAGTCCAAACTCTGGTGTAGTCATAGGCGTAATTCCATGTTAAACTTTGTTCCAAAACCAGATATGGCCATGTTGGCTCCTAACTAGTTGTTCTAGTTACATATATTCCCATGAAATGCTGGTATTCCACTAGCTAAGTGGATCCAAATGCTTCAGAAAGTATTGAATTTTTTTCAGGTCACAGGAGTAGGGGGAGAACTGCTAACAAATAGAATTTTCTCTATGTTTCACATTCCTCAGCTGTTTTTTCATATACTTTTGGAATCTAATATTTACCTACTGTGATATTCTCACCATATTGATCCTTTTAGCAGTTTCTGGAATAAGCTACATTTTCTTTTATACTTCTTCATCTTTGCACACACTATTCCCTTTCCCTAAAATGTTCTATTTTCCTTTCTTATTTTCCCACCCTCTCTTGTTCTAGCAAAATCCTTCCCATTCTTCAAATGACAGAATAGATGCTGTTTTACCCCAGCCTCCTTTTCTGACCAAACCTTTCATCACCACAAATGTGGTTCAGCTATCTGTCTCAGATGTTCATTGGACCAGATGTATCTGTGTACAGCAGCATGATTCTTCTGTGATGTCACTACCTGCTTATTACAGTTTTCAACAGATGGCAAGCTCCAAGATGATACTGAGGAGTGGTGTCCTCAAGAGCTATTTATATAATACAGTCACTCAGTTATGTGATACAGTGGTCTTTTAAGAGATGTTTGTTGGGCTAGGCACAGTGGCTCATGCCTGTAATCCCAGCACTTTGGGAGGCCGAGGCGGGCACATCACAAGGTCAGGAGTTCAAGACCAACCTGAAGTACATGGTGAAACCCTGTCTCTACTAAAAATACAAAAATTAGCCGGGCATGGTGGGACACGCCTGTAATCCCAGCTACTCAGGAAGCTGAGGCAGGAGAATTGCTTGAATCCGGGAGGCGGAGGTTGCAGGGAGCCAAGATTATACCACTGCACTCCAGCCTGGGTGACAGAGCGAGACAACATCTCAAAAAAAAAAAGAGAGATGTTTGTTGAATGACATGAATGAGCGCTAAGAGATGACAAAACAACTGAAGAAACTGCAGCTGAATCTTTTTTTTAAAAGTTGGAAAGAATTGATCGTTCAACAGCTTTTCCTCCATAGATGCCTGTGATCATGATCTTTATATTGCATACAAATTCTATTATTATTCTTCTCCTGGAAAAAATGCTCTAAATGTAATTTAAAACACAATTGCCTGAGATTCAACCATATGAAGAAGTTTTGGAAAACACTAGCCCTGTTCATTTTTGTTTTTTTATTCTTTGGCTCCACTATCAACTCTGTCCTGGGTACACTTCTATCTGACTCTAGCTGCTTTCATAACTTTCAAATATATAAAAACTAACAGAAAAGATGATATACTTTTAACCACAGAACTCTGACATTCTTATAAGTAGCCTTATTCGTATTTTCAGCCTCAACTGCAAACTCTTTAGAAAGAATAAGCTACATAGGGTAAAACTAAGAACTGGAGTAACACAAGATCATCATCATAGTTGCGTATCATGCCATCTTAACTTCTCTGTTCCTCCCAGGAAGAAATTTCAAATAACTCTTTACATATTGAGGACCCAAGTGGCAATATATTTTAAATAAAGGTATCAGTATGTGTTATTGTTGTTTGTTCCATTGGGGAAGAAACTATTTAAAATTTAATTTTTCTTTGTGAACCTGGAGAATTCTCCTTAAACATTTGGAAAGGGGCTTTTATTAAAGTGCCCCTTTAGTTGACATTAACAATAGCTACCAATATCACTCATTTTACACATGTGAGAACTCTGACCTGGGACCAATATGACTACTAAAATGCTTGAGAAGGTTTAGGAACATATTTCAGGAATGAGAATGAGACTGTTGGTGGTAGCGCTGGTAATGGTGTCAGTGGTGATGATGATAATGGTGATTGAGGTCACAGTAGTGACAGTGATGTTGGTTAGTAGTGGCAGCAGTGTTAGTGGTTGTTGCTGGCTGCAATGGCAATATGGTAGTACTAATGACTGTGGTGATGGTGGTGGTAGTGGCAATCGTAATGGAAGGGTTATGTAAAAATGATGGTAGTGGTGGAGTGGTGACAGTGGTGGTAATGGTGGCAACATATTAGTGGTTGTTTGGGGCGGTGATGGTAATGGCGATAGTTGGTGATTGTGGTAACATTGGTGGTAGTGGTGGTCATGGTGGTTATTATGGTGGCAGTTATGAGAGTGGCAGTGTGACAGTAGTGGTAATAGTAAAGGCAGTTATGGCATTTGTGGTTGCTTTTTGTGGTGGCGGCACTGGTAGTGATGTTCTTTCTGTGTACTATTTTAGAGACTTGACATAAGACTAAGAAGGGTGGCTTTGAGCAAGACTTTGACAGCTCTTCTCCATGGATATCCAAGAGAAACTTAAAAATCAATGAATACTAACAAAATTCTTCCATTTATAACTTATGTAATATGGTGCTTCAGGTCCTTGAGAAACATTTCTCCCTGAATGCCATGTGGCATGTGTCCTTCTCTCCTAAGCTTCAGACCACACATAGCACACTTTCATTCACCCCTTGCATTATTTGTATATAAAACAAACCAATTACCCTTTCATCTTAGAAACCTCCCCTGGTACCACTCTCACCATATTTCACCAAGCATTTATCACAGTTGTAAACTATTTATTCATCTATTTCTCCAATAAATAAAAAAGATCCTTGATGTCTGGTAAAAACTGTCTTTTCATTTTGTACTCCCAACATCTACCACAGTATGTAAATAAATGTCTCTTGAATACCTGCATGAAGGAAAGCATCTCCATATAAGATGATGGGCTTAAGAGGAAAAGGTATATATTTTTTATCTTTGTAGTTTTCTATCTCCCAATGCTTCCTACATAGTGGGTACATAGTAATAGTCAAGGTCAAATAAATACAAAAATAGTTTTAATATTCATTGATTCCCAAAATACTACCAAAATAGGTAGAGATACTAATACCCCAAGGTCCCTTCCATGCCTGAATTTCAATGGCGATATTATGCTGATAAGACATAATTTATATAGGAGAAGGAATATGACATTGAAGAATGTCTTTCTTCAGTCACACGTTATTGCAGGAGCAAAGCCCAGACTGAGTCCAGGCCTTGTTACTCCCTTTCTAGTGTTTCCTTCACAAAAGCATATTACCTTGTATCTCACTTCTTTCTCTTCTTATGGGTCTTTTTTATGCAGTATTAAGTACTTAAATAGAACGATTCTCCTGTAGTAAAATAAAAATTTAATGGTCGTTAAACTATTTCTGTTTTTAGAACCCAACTCCTCTCTAATGAAAGTAGAAGCAGTCACCTTGGAAAATAACACCTGCAAAGATACAGAAAGAAACGATTTGGTCCAGATGGTAACATTTGGCAGTTGCCAACACATTCACATGGCCAAAGCTTTACACCAAATCAATTCCATCACACCTTTGCTTGGAGATGGGCTGAAAACAAAAATATGGTCAATTCCCAGGGTCATTATAGTTTGTTTGATGTAGATTCTCACCCATTAGGGATATAGTAGTGGGACCAGAGATCAAAACAACTGGTCTCTATTATCCTTTGCTTGTTCCCTCGGACAGTGCTTGCTGAAAGAAAAGGAGGTGAATGATTTTCAACTTGGGCTCAGTTCTCCTGAGAAGCTTGTGGTTTCATGAGTCTGAAAACAGTGCAATCATTCCCAAGACTACTTTGTCCAACAGTGTTCTTAGGATCCCTTGGTCCCAAAGCAACGCTCTAAAAGCCATTCCTTCCAGGAGAGCTAGTTCAACTGGCAGCCAAGAGTCAACCTTGATAAATACAATTTTAATATGTGCGAGAAAATCAGGAAATTACAGGCTGTTGGTTTTTGTGATTTTTGTCATACTGAGTTCCCCACAGAGAGCTAAAGAAGAGCCAGTAATGTGTCATCCTTTCCATCAGAGTCCTGCAAAAAGTGCATGTTGAAGAGACATTTTCCTGTCAGGTACTACTGTGTATCCAATGTATCCACCAGTTGGAGAAAAAAGTGAAATTTATTTGAAAACAAAGAGAAGAGTCTGTAGCAACACTGGCAGAGGACAAGGTTTATAAGCTGGCCCAAGGTACTCCAAATCTGTCATAAGGGAAACATCTGACAGAGAAAAATGTGTGCTGGCAATTTGTTTGATTGTAATTTCAATGAAAAATTGAAACCATACTTCCATGGGATCAGGCTTCTCTCATTCACCAGAAGGAGGTTTCTGTTAACAAATATGGACCATGTTATCATCCCCTGCACTTCTACTTTCAGGCTGCTTGCCCATAAGTATACAAGATGAGCTTTAGATGCCTTGACATGGAAGAAACCTCCTCAATATAGCCAGAGGTGGTAGAGTTGTTTTCGATATGTTGAGGACTGAAGTGCTTGCAATGGTGGCAAAATGTAGACATGTGCCTTGCAGATGCAATATTAATTAGAGGAATAACTAAATCCAAAGGGTTTTTCTTCCTGAGAGATAATAAGTCTCTCTTGTTGGTATAAAAAAGAGGCCCATATCTTGCCTATCATAGAATGCTGAATGGACGGAAGATACTTCAATTAATTTTCCCCAAGAGGTATGTATCTTTATTTTTGTCATACACAAGAAAATAACATAAGGGAAATGGTCATGTTCATGTTTTTCAAAAGAATAAATTCTTTGGTAAGGAAAAGCAATGCACTTGACCCCAAGGGGTCCTTGACAGTGTGGATTTGCCAAGAATACCAGAACTGTTTACAGTGTGTAAATATCCCAAGGAGTCAGCCAAAGCAGTGGTAATTAATGTGTTTGAAGATTAATGAGTTAAAGACTAGTATATGGAGAATACAGCTGACAATTTAGCAAATGTAAAGGCTGGAAAAAGGAATTGTTTTGTGTGTGCTTTTATTTATTCATTTTTATCAAGACTACTGCCTGTCCTGCATTGCATTCCCTATTTGCCTCTTTCACAGGGCTCTGACCATCAACAGAGAAACACAGATATTAACCTCTTGTGACTAGGTGTTTCATAGAAAAATCCGTCCTTGGGACAAAGAAATGATTCTGTACTGCAATGAAGTTATTTTACTATATAAAGAAGTGAATTATTTGGGAGTATTTGCAAGAAGAAACACACAGCTGGTGAGGGAACGAGAATGCATCTGAAGGTTAATCCCTTACGAAAGTGCCTCAGCCAAAAAATCTTCTGTAGAGTGTGATGAAATACACTTTCCCTAGGTAGCTCCAATTATGTAGAAAAATATCTAATGTCACCCTTCCGTGTATACATTTTATGTAAGTTCTCAGAGGGCAGGGGCCACATGTCCTTTAAGCATTGACTTTATTATCTGTCATACAATTGATGCTCAGTTAATAGAATCAAATAAAATACTCTTTACATAAACTCTGTTTTGTAAAATTAAAAGAAACCATGTAAATTCAGAATCCTAGAGTCTTTTTAAAACAAAAATCAATGGCTTGCTACAACCAAAGAAAACATATGTAGGTTTTTAGGTATTACATTAAGACTAACTCCAGCTCCACCAAGGCCAGTCCAAGCCTGATTTGCCTTTTAGTATTGCTTCAATGGGTAGCCTAATGGCTTGAAATTATCACTTTATTTTCAAAGAGGCTAAATTATTATAAGTGTGGACAACAAAAAAGGTTCACTTCAATGATTCCAACAGCTGTCTGTATGCATAACATCTTGTCAGGTCATAGATGAAACGAGAAGTAATTCTTCACAAATCTCTGAATGTACTGAGGTAAAAGTCATGCAGGGTACAAAAATCCCATATATTACTGGCTATCTCATTTTATTTTGTTTAGAAACTATTCTTCAGATAATAATGAGCTGTTCATCCATGTCTTTCTTGGTCTCCAAAGGCAGGGCACAAGCCTTGGGAGGAGGAATGATATTATAGTTTATATTATAAATGGCCTATGGGAAAATTTTATTCCTCTGTGAATAACAATTACAGCTCTACTAGGTCATGATCTTGACTGTAGGCAAACATCAGATGATTGAAAACTTCATTAGCTTGGACAGTGGAAACTGAGAGAAAAGGATTGTTATACAAAATTTCTGTCTTTTCAATGTACAAGGCAAACTGAAGAATTGGAAATAACCAGAATCACGGAGAATAGGTGGTCTCAAAGGGTAAGCACTGGACCTGCAGCATAAACATCACCACCACCATCATCAGGAAACTGACTCAAAATGCAAATTCTTGGGTCTCCTCCAGACCTATTGAATTAGAAACTCCAGAGATGGAGCCAAGCAACTTATATTTTATAAAGGCCTCCAGGTGATTCTGAAACTTGCTATAAAATTTGAGAACCACTGCTGTACACCAATAACAATTCAGAGAATGAGTAACTGGGAAAGAAAGATGCTTGCCAGATGGAGAAGATTTGAGAAAATGGCAATAGCAAAAAGATGGAACAGTATAGTTGTAAACAGTGGATTGACTAATATAATAGTTTTAAATTGTGATTTTTAAACATGTTCCCAACCTTATCTACAAAACAATGCTTTTATTATATTCAGTACTTTTTGAACTACTTTAATATTGAGTAAGGTCTAAAGTTTTAGAATTATGTGAAAACATGATATTTTACTTCTTTGGGAACCATATTTAATTAAATTTCAAGTGTTAGAAACAAGTTAAAGATCAATAACCTAAAGAACAGCTTTAGAGATATTTAACAAAGTTTTTTTAATAAATTCTAGAGCTAAGTAAGCAAAATCTTTCTCCACAAGTGAATTGTTCTAAATTACAACAAAGAGTTTAAGTTAGTTAAGTAGAATTATTGGTCAATAACAGGGTTGACACACATAAGATGCACAATCTTTTCAATTTCTATCATTTAGGTGCTTTAAAAGCAATCTGATTAAATGGCAAAGATACATTACTTTCAAGTTTATCTTTTGATCTCAGGCTACAAGTCTATAAATACAATTTTTATAGAAACATATATTTCCAGGCCTATAAAATTTGATAGATAGGTCTTTTCCTTCTGAAGTGAACCCAAAAAAGCTTAAGAATGTTGCTTAGAGATTAACCATGTAAGAGACAATATGCTAGAAACTATGTTTTAAAATGGTTTCAATGTCTTAAACACTTGAATTAAATATAAGTCCTAGCCTGTTTCTTCCTAGCTGTGTGTCTTGAGATAAGTATCTTAACTTTCTGAGACACATTTCTTACTTTTAATCTGCATGTAATCATAACCTTTCTCAAAAGGTTATAAGTTTAAATGGGATAATGCATGGAAAAGTTTTGGTAAAGTTTATTTTGTGTACTAGATGAACAAAAGGTATAGCTTTAAAAATCTAGAACATTAATATGCTTTAAGACATGTTCTTTTAGGATCATTTAATATAAGAACTACCTATTACCAAAATATTACAACATTTCCTGAAGAATCTTTAATTTTTTATCAGAAAATTAAAATTGTTATGCTCTGTTTAATATAGCAGCCAACTTAGTTTCTTCTGAACTACCTTAATAAATATTTTTTAAGTAGTAAAAAGTTTAATGGGATGGAATTTTCATTCATAAAGAGTAGCCAAAAATGACCCTGGTAAGCATTATTTTGGCTTGTGCTAATACAGTGAGCAATTGTAAAGGGAAATCCTTGGCCTTCTATGTTCGCTTAGGAATTTATAACCCAAAATAGAGATACTCGAAGAGCTGTTTTGCAAAATCTCTGTCCTTCCAATATGTCAAAGGGCCAGGGTGATGTAGCCTCTGGGAGAAGGAGACATTTGGGAAGCTGTAAGCAGAACAGCAGCCTAAATGTTGAGGTGACCTGGAACCATAGATATATCATTTCACACAGATTTGCCAAACAAGAACAAAGGTCTTAAGACACAAATACAGCTGAGAAATGAGTTGATCTGATGAACTTTTGCATGAGATTCCTGGTCAGAATAAAATGAGACCTGAGAGATTCATTGAGAATCCTATTAAATCTTTACCACTCTTTAGTCTCCAGAGAATCTATTTATCTGAAAAATGTGACATATAATCTGGTTCATTCAACCTTTCCATGCTAATTCAACTTCCAGGAGGAACACTGACCCCTGCTTCATTTTACTGGTGACAATATTTGATGAAAAGACCTATTTAAAGGTGATGTGCTGGGGAAGGGTAATTCTCCTCAAATAACCTAGTGTTTCTATGAAATCCTGGCTTTGTATTCTATGCCATTGAATTTTACAGTGAAGAGTGATTTTTACTTTGGGAGAAAATCCAAAATAAAGACACCTGGAAAATAAGACTTGCTTCACTCTGCAGGACAAGAGAGGAGCTTCACATTTGCTGAGAGTGTACTTTCTTAAGTAGTTACACATGGTTTGCATCTATTAATCTCTTGAGCACCCTATATCTTTAGCATTTCATTGTTTAGTGAATTTTTCATTGGTTTTAATTATAAAAGAAAAACATCCTTCCAAAACGGCATCTTATAAGTTGTGAGCCCTGCATCCTTCACTAAGGTAAGTTATTTTGTGGTTATTTATAACAGGAACCTCCTAAAAAGAATGCTAATGATTTCACACCATTCATTTCATTTAACAAGTATTTATTGTCCATATATTAGGCTAGATGCTGGATAATTTTTAGTTCTTCTAATTCTTATTGCTTATTAAATATTCCCTTTATATATTGACATTCCTTCGACTACTCATTGGAAATATTCAAAGGCAATCTATTTCTATTTAAAATATGATTGTATATTTATGAGCCCTAAGAGGAAATAACACAAGATGAAAAATAGAACATCTGGGTTCTAGTCACAGTTCTGCCACCAAATTGCTGGATATTATCTTACACAAGTCCCTTAACCTGTGCAGTCCTTGGTGTCCTCCTGAGTATAGTAAGCAGTTAGACTAGAAAACCATGAAGGTCCTTTTTGTTCTGTGGGCTCCTCATAGAACAGGGCACTGTCATGATGTATTCTGAAATCTCTTTCTCCAAGGGCAGTTATGCTTCTGACAATTCCTATGCAATATTTTCATTTCAGCACTTGCTGACTGAGAGGAGGCATAGATCACTTGGGATGGACTACATAGCCATAGACTCAGAAATTATTTTCACCATAAACTGTGAAAACTACTTCCTCTACGTTCAGTAACAACTCCATTTCTCACCTGAAGGTTAACTGTTCTATGGTCTAACTGTCAGCTGCACACAGTCTGGTTGAACCTCTGATGGCTGGACCCAGCTGTCGGCTGTGAAGCCAGTTGGAAAATACTTGGATCCTGGACATTGACTTTGGGGCTTTCTGATCCAGAGGGAGGTATCAAATGTTATGTGGATCCAGCACTAAAGCCCTTCCCAGCATAGTCAGGTTCCCACTGTAACTGTGATGCTATAAACTGGATAGTAGCTGTCTTGGTGCTGTGTACCTCAGTGTAAAAGTTTAGACTTGTCAGAATAATCCAGGGGGAGCAAATGTTTGAGGCCCTCCCAAATGTAGCGCTCACAACTGCCCCTGTTCCCACCCCCACCCAGGCTGCACACAGCTGCTAGCAGCCTGCCTAACCTCTCTGAACCGTCCCTTACATATACTTGAGTCAGCTGCTCTTTGATTTGTGGGGCCAGAGGGAAGCAGAGAAGGGGACAGAAGAGGGAAATAGGGGTTTTCATGTCTTGTATCCTCAAGGGGTTATCATATGGATAAGTTTGAGGGTTCTTTCAGTGCATCGCACAGATTCACTGTGTTTTTCAGGATGAGAGAAATGATACTCAGTACGTTTAACAATAATGCCTCCAACATTACTGAAATGAGGTCTACTACTTGGTTAGATCCCTGGGTAGTTGAGTCAATCAGTCAATCTCCTCCCCACCTTTCACAATTCCCTCCTAAGCCCTACATCCTGGGGCCCCACTTGCCAGGCCCTACATCCCTCAGCCTCTCCCTCCCCCAACTCCTGATCTCTCATCTCCCTTCTGGCTCATAGTGCCTCTGTCTCTCCCTGGGTCTGTATATGCTTCTGTTTGTGCCTCTATCTATGGCTCCATATGTGTGTAAGTATCTTTCTATATGTCTTTCTCTGTCTGTCTCTGACTTTCAATTTCTCTTGTTCTGAAACTGTGTGTGTTTCTCTTTCTGTGACTCTATTTCTCCCTGCTTGCCTCTTCCCCAACCCACAAGTGGAAAAAAAAAAAAAACAAATGTAATATTTCTTTTTCTTTTTTTGAGACAGGGTCTTTCTCTGTTGCCCAGACTGGAGTGCAGTGGCATGATCATGGCTTACTGCATTCTCAACCTCTTGGGCCCAAGCTATCCTCCCACCTCAGCCTCCTGAGGCTGAAGCACGAACCACCATGCCAAGTTAACTTTTTTAATTTTATTTTTTGTAGAAATGGGATATCACTATGTTGTCCAGGCTAACCTTGAACTCACAGCCTCAAGCAATCCTCTCACCTCAGCAAAACACATCAACTGCTGATACTATTAATATCAGCAATTCTGCTCTCAAAAGTTACAATGTCAACACAAACGTATACTGAAAAAAAAAAGAATAAGATAGAATCACTTTCTCTTAGGTGTGATCCCAAATTAGGCCATAGTCACTGGGAACCCCCGAGACAACACTCAGCCTTGGGAATGTTGGTAGCAGGAATGCCTGCAGCCCACTCACCTCCCAGGGCCCTCACTATCCAGGGGCTGAAGCTCACCTCTGTTCTGGAACCCTTCCAGTGAGTATCTTCACTAAGACAGAAAAACATTTTCATGGAAATGGCACAAAGTTTGAAATCAAAAGACCTAGATTCATAATCCTTGCTCTGCCTCTGACTATGAGGCATTGAGGTGGTCACATAATTTTTCCTATTTGCTTCTCTTTACATATGAAATAAAGACAACACTGACCTGTCTTATGAGATTTTTGAGGTCTTTGGGACAGTGAAATGAGATAATATGTAACATAGGGATTTCTGCTTCTTGTTTTTGTTTGCTTTGGTTTAGCTTTTTTTGTTTATTAATTCTGAGGTGCAGTGGTTTTCAACTGGGACAATTTTATGTCCCAGGGGATGTTTGGTAATGTCTGGAGACAATTTTGGTGGTTACAACTGAAGGGGTGTTACTGGAATCCACTGGGTAGAATCCAGAGATGCTGCTAAATATCCCACAATGCACAGGACAGCCCCACAACAAAGAATTATTTGGTCCAAAATAACGTCAGTGGTGCAGAGGTTGAGAAACCCTGGTTTATAATTAAGTACTTTTTAAAATAATCTCATTTATCTTAATATAGTGTCATCATTTAATACTTAACATTTTATTTTTAAGATGGCCTAATCAAGGGAAGTTGGCCACATTTTACCCTTTGGTCATCCAGCCCCTCTCAGTCATTCCTTTGACAAACTCTTAGGCAATAAAGGTAACATATTATATTGAGTTATACAAAGATTCACAAACCCAAATTCTTCTTCTTGATATAGCAATACAGAACCAGTGACAATATGACTAAATATATTCATTTGAACATTTGAAAAATGATTATCTAATATGAACAAAACACTTGCTGTGCTAAGCTCTAGGGAGACAGATTTAAAATAAATTCAGATATGATCTCTGCCACCAGGAATGTACAGTCAAATAAAGAAGAGAGAAAGTAAACAAAAAAACACAAAAATAAATATGTGATTACAAACTATAATAGGTGTAATAAACAAAAAAATAGATTTTAAGAGTGAAAATAACTAAAAGAACCCCATTTAAAAGGTGAAGAAGGAGTGAGAGATGTCACAGAAGCTTTCTGTGCTTGACAGCTGAGCTATAACCTGCGAAAGGTGTAGAAGTTAGTCAGAGTGGAACCTTTCCAGGAGACAGAATAGCACATGGCAGAGTACTAAGGTCGGAACAGGCTTGAGCTATTTAAATAGTTGAGATTTTTTAAATATTTTTGCTTCCTTGTCTTGAATCATCCAAATTCTTTGTGAAAACTGTTTGCTAACTGCGTATGGCTACATTTCTCATTCTTCATAGACAGTCTCACAAATTCATATGGTTTTGTTCATTGTTTTTCTTTTTTGGAAAAATATATAATCAAAACAAGCATGCTAATGAATGTGATACAATTATGAACTTAAAAAAGAAACAAAATAAGAGGAGTTAGAGATTATGAAATTGTCTACCTAGAAGAGATGTCCAAGTCCCATATTTTACAGTTTAAAAAAAAAGGGACTTGCATGAACATCACTTTGTAGATGTAATCAAGTTAAGATGAGATCATGTTCAATTAGAGTGGACCCTAATCCCATATGATTTGTGTCCTTATAAGAAAAGGAGAAGAGACCGTAAGACAAGGAAAACATCACATGATGATGGAGGCAGAAAATGGAGTTATGCATCTACAAGCCAAAGGATGCCAAGGATTGCTGGCAACACCAGAAGCTGAAAGAATGGCATGGAAAGAATTTTCTCTGAAGGCTTATGAAGTCTTTAGTCTCCAGAGACAGCATGCTCTGTGGATACCTTAATTTTGTACTTCTGGCCTCCAGAACTGTGAAAGAATGAATTTCTGTTGTTCAAAACCATCTGAAAACCATCTAAAAAAAAAAAATTAGCCAGGCATGGTGGCACGAACCTGTAATCCCAGCTACTCAGGAGGCTGAGACAGAGAATCG